>NC_000010.11:22510000-23135000 GCF_000001405.40 Homo sapiens | reverse complement strand
ACATCGCCATTGGTTGCTGTTTCCTAAGACTTTTAAAAATCTTTGGGTTGTTTCTCTCTCCTCCTTACAAATTACTTATGGAGGAAATCAGTCTGGATTTTCCTAACTGCAGCCCTGTTGTATTATTTAACATGTTCCTCTGTCCCCTGTGTTTGTTCTGATAGACCAGCAGCTCTAGCTAGAACTTGATTAGATTCATGCTGGAATATTTTGGTAAAACTACTTGCCCCTCTTTTTGTGATGATCATTGCCTAGACCCATTATTTCAGTAGGGATTGTGACATGGTAATATAGAATGATAGATCAAACCATTTATTAAGTGGATTACTTGTATAAAGAGAAATTGCTTCCATTTTTCCCTTTATTTACCATAATTTTTCCCTTCCTTCCTTTCTTTCTTTTTCTTTCTTTCTTTCTTTCTTTCTTTCTTTCTTTCTTTCTTTCTTTCTTTCTTTCTCTCTCTCTCTTTCTCTCTTTCTTTCTTTCTTTCCTTTCTTTCTTCTTTTTCAAGGCAAGGTCTTGCTCTGTTGCCCAGGCTGAAAGGCAGTGGTGTGATCATGGCTTACTGCAGCCTCAACCTCCCAGGCTCAAGCTATCCCCCTTGCTTCAGCCTCCCAAATAGCTGGTACAGCAGGTGAGCCTCACCACACCCAGCTATTTTTTTTATTTATTTTTAGTTTTTTAGCAATGGGGTCTCACTACATTGCCCAGGCTCATCTCAAACTCCTGGCCTCAAATGATCCTCCTGTCTCATACTCCCAAAGTGCTGGGTTTACAAGTATGAGTCACTGCACCCAGCCCCAATTTTCAAAATAATCATTTGGTTATCTAATAGCCTCAAAAGTGAGCCAATAAAGGTTTTCTTTCTATTATGAACTAATGGACTTAAACATATTTAAAGTGATTCACTATATTGTCGATACTATTCTTATTGATCCTCAACTTTTCCCATTTTTAGTCACTGTGAGCCCTTGCAAGTTGGATCCTGAGTTCTTTTGACACGATTCTAGTTAAGTGGTTGTTTTGTTTGAGACAGGGTCTCACTCTTGCCCAGGCTGGAGTGCAATGGTACAATAGCTCACTGCAGCCTTGAACTCCTGGGCTCGTGCAATCCTCTTACATAGCTGGAACTACAGGCATGAGCTGCCATGCCCACTATTCTTTTTTTTTTTTTTTTAATTTTGTAGACATGGGGTCTTTCTCTGTTGCCCAGGCTGGTTTCACACTTCTGACCTCAAGCAATCTGCCCTCCTCAGCCTGTAACCCTTAAAGCACTGGAATCACAGGCATGAGCCACCCCAACTGGCCTTAGGTAAGTGTTTGATAGCTACCTTGCTTTCTGGTAAGAAGCCTAGATGACCCAGGCTCATCTTATACATTTCCCATCCCAGATCTGGAGAAACCCATTTCTTCAAGGAGCCCTGGTTCCTTTCATGGGGAAATATTTAGAGATAACAAACTGCTCACTGTCCCTGGCTTGCTCCTTGATTTAAGGTCTTTTCATGGACAGAATTGGGAAATAATTTTTAAAGATAAAACATAAAATGTGTTTTATATTATTACATACTAGTATTTCCAACTCAAATGGAAAATTGTAAGGTTTTTAAATTAACTTTTTGAAATCTTCCATCAGTTTCTTCTTTCTTATGGAAAAACCCATACTCCAAGTCCCAGTTCCCAATGATACTAACATAATTACTTATTTACCAAAAGTAAAAGGTAGTGAAAACAGTTCAATTTTTTCTTCTTTTACAGTTCTTTTTGTCCGAGGTAACAGCCAATTATGGATATAGAGTGGAATTACCATGTTTTTAAATTACTTAAAATTCCTACTCTCCGTGTGGTCATGCCACTAACATGATGTAGAATTGGGTTCACTGTCTCATTTTGCTTTTGGTTGTTTGGGGATTGCTTTTTGAAATTTAACTTTGTTTTAAAATTCTGTGAAATGTTTCCATAGTTTCAAAGGCAAATCTACAAAAGAAAGTTTATTTGGAGAAATCTCCTTTTTATTAGAAGACTATCAAGGTAGGCTTCATTTCTTTTCATAATTTGATAGTACCCCATTATGTGGCTGTACTATAGTTTATTTAACCAGTACCCTACTGATGGATATTTGGATTATTTCCATCTTTTGCTCTTATAAACAGTGCTGTGATGAATATCCTTGCACTTCTATTTTGCTTATTTTTGCCAGTATATCTTTGGGATTGATTCCTAGAAATAAAATGGCTGGGTCCAAGTGTAAATGTATATTTTTGGTAGGTATTGCCAAATTGCCTTGGATAGGGGCTATGCCATTGTGTATTCTGATTAGCAATGTATAAGAGCATCTATTTCTCTATAATCTGACCAATGGAGTATGTTAGCAAACTTTTGAACTTTTGGCAATCTCATAGGTAAGAAATAATATCTCTATGAAGTTTTAATTTGCTAAATGTAATTTTCTTTTTACCACTGAAATTAGAATAAAGAGGTATAAATTGTTTTATTTTGATAATTTTCTCTTTAATTTAGCATGACAATCATCATAGGTATACAAGCTACATCCAGGCTTGATTAGCCTGTGGCGACAACCCATTACTATTTTTTTTTTTTTTTTAATCACAGGGTCTTGCTCTGTTGCCCACACTGGAGTGCAGTGTTGTGATTATGGCTTACTGCAGTCTTGACTCCTGGACTCAAGTGATTCTCCCACTTCAGCCTCCCGAGTAGCCAGGACAACAGGCACAAACCACCACTCCTGGCTAATTTTTTATTTCTTTGTACAGATGGGGGTCTCACTATGTTGTCCAGGTGAGAACTCCTGAGCTAAAGTGATCCTCCCACCTTAGTCTCCCAAAGTGCTGGGATTATGGGGGTAAGCCACCTCTGTGGGCTAACTTTTAATGCCCAAACTACAGTAGACATGCCTGAAAAGAAACATAGCCATCCTTATGTCTCCTAGTTATTTTGGGAAGTCTCCAAAAACTGGAAGCTCAGTCAGCCTGTTTCCTGTTTCTGATCCTTATCCAGTATCTTATAAAGAATTTCATAAATAGTTCCTTCCTTGGGTGGTTCAAATCCCATCTAAGGGGCTAGAAGGAGATCTGAGACCGTCTTCCACTCTATCAAACAAAACATGGGTATCCATGAAGCAAGCAGACACAGGAACATGATACATCACACTGGCATCTTAGCTGCACTCACAGCATCCCCTGAGCACTGAATGTCCTGCTGCACTGGCACTGCCAGTGGTCTCGCTAGCACACGGGCATGCATTTACAATCAGCTGACTGTAGGACATGATTGAAAATGACTTAAAAGTCGCAAGTCTGTAGTCCCAGCTACTTGGGATACTCAGCAGGCTGAGGCGAGAGGATCACTTGAGCCCCAGGAGTTCGAGCTCAGCCTGGACAGCATAGAGAGACCTTGTCTCTAAAAAGGAAAAAAACAAAACAAAAAAAAAAAAACAGACAAAGAAAATGACCTTAAACCAGTGTTTTATTTTTTTAACTTTTATTTTAAGTTCTGAGGTACACATGGAGGTTTGTTTTATAGGTAAACTTGAGTCATGGCAGTTTGTTGTACAGATTATTTTGTCACCCAGCTATTAAGCCTAGTGCCCATTAGTTATTTTTCCTGATCCTCTCCCTCCTTCCACCCTCTGCCCTCCAACAGGCCCCAGTGTCTGTTGTTCCTCTCTATGTGTCCATGTATTCTCATTATTTAGCTCCCACTTATAAGTGAGAACATGTGATATTTGGTTTTCTGTTCCTGCATTAGTTTGTTAAGGTCGGGAGGTGGCCTCCAACTGTATCCATTTCCTGCCAAGTACATGATCTCATTCCTTTTGATGTCTGCGTAGTATTCCATGGTGTACATGTACCATTTTCTTTATCCAGTCTACAATTGATGGGCATTTAGGTTGATTCCATGTCTTGGCTAGTGTGAATAGTGTGCAGTGAACATACGTGTGCATGTGTCTTTATGATAGAACGATTGTATGCCTTTGGGTATGTCCCCAGTAATGGGAATGCTGGGTCCGCTGGTAGTTCTGTTTTGAGTTGTTTGAGGAATCGCCATGCTGCTCTCCGCAATAACTGAACTAATTTACACTCCCACCAACAGTGTATAAGTGTTTCTTTTTTCCACAACCTCATCAGCACCTGTTATTTTTTGGCTTTTCAGTGATATCCATTCTGACTGGTGTGAGATGGTATTTCATGGTGATTTTGTTAAATAAGTTTAACAGGCGAAATAATGGAGAAAGTGGACAAAATTACTTGACAATACATTTTAATAGAAAATCATCCTGGAGTGTAAATGTTAGCAATACAAATACTAAGGATTTGAAAGATTCATTTTTAATGAGTATTCTTTTAGAGATTTACTTGGAAACAAAAATCAAATTAAAAATTCATGGAAGGTTCATGCCTGTAATCCCAGAGCTTTGGGAAGCCAAGGTAGGCAGATTGCTTGAACCCAGGAGTTTGAGACCAGCCTGGGCAACATGGTGAAAACCTGTCTCTACAAAAATACAAAAAAAAAGTAGTTGGGCTTGGAAGCTTGTGCCTGTCGTTTCAATTACTCAGGAGGCTGAGGTGGGAGGATCACCTGAGCCCAGGAGGTCAAGGCTGCAGTGACCAGAGATCACATCACTGCATGCCAGCCTGGGCACAGAGTAAGACCCTGTCTCAAATAAAAAAAGATGTACTAATGACCATCAAAAGCTGCTTCATAACACTTCAGATGCCTCCAATGAGTCTAAGAGCTGTGAAATTAGGGAAGACGGGACTCCCCAGCAGCGCAATACCTAAGACTGTGAAATCAATCAAGCAGCCGTGTTTATATAGTAAAAGGTAGAAAATAGAGTATTTTAATTGCTAATTGTTCTTGAGACCTTTACCAAGATATATTTTTAAATGTGGCCTAAATGCTTCCCTTGACAGGCATAGTGAAGGAATTACAGTTTATTCAGAGGCTGACATGCTGCTGATTGAAGTACAAAGAAGAGTAATCAAGGTGGTGGGTTTTTTTCATATGGCTTTTAACATTTACAAAGAAAATGATTTCAAGGGGTACATGCTAGAAAGAAACAAGTCTATAAACAGTTACCAATCAGCCAAATACACCAATTGCTAGGAATATTCCCTCCACCCTCATCTCTTACCAACTCCCATACCCCGTAATCAGCATCTAAATGCCGCATGCATTATTCTTTTGTTCCTAACTCTGAGGGAAGGGAATGAAGAGTCAGACTGTGTTCAGAGACCCCAGAACCACATCTTAGATAACTTTACAGACACAAATCTACCATGATAGTGTTGGGGAGGCAGCCACGCGGGATGCTTCCATTTAGGATAAAATGAGCAGAGACCAAGAAGCAGAAGGCTGCACAGACCAAGCCTTGCACTGGCTCTGCTGTGGAGGCTGGCCTCCTGTCCTCCTTCGGAACTAGACTCAAAGGGGCCTCAGACAGTGAGTTTTAATTGGAGAAAAGGCTAGAGACTGTGAGGGGAGGAAATAAGACATACATACAAAGCAAGCCTGTGTGGACTACCCATTCTTATAGAATTCCTCACTACTGGGTGTCTTGAGAAAAAGACCTTTTCCTGGAGTCCCAAAGCCCCCTTGGTGTCTCATGGGACACCTTGTGGTATCAGTGGGTTAATAGACTTGAGAATCTCTGAGTCACTGGCCATGTCAGGTGTTCAAATCCTTCTTGCATCATGGGGAATGGATCATGCTCTTAAGGCCCATGCAGAGGCAGAATCCAGCCATGATGACCCTGGAGACCCATCTTGAGATATTCTTAGACAGGCTTCTTAAAATCCCACAGACTGATGGTGGGTTCTAACATGCCTGTGAATTATAGGAAGAACATCTTACAGAACCATCAGTTAGCCTATAGGCTGAGGTAGGCACTTTTAAATTTTATGTTGTTTAATTTTTTATTTTTTAAGAGTCTTGCTATATTGCCCAGGCTGGACTTGAACTCCCAGGCTCAAGTGATCCTCCTGCTTTGCAGCCTCATGAGTAGCTGGGATTACAGATGTGAGCCACCATTCCCAGCTTAGGTCTGCAGCTTTTTAAGTGCCTACTGGGTCAAATTTTAAACTTAGTTTTAAAGCCAAGCATAACTCTGTGACCCAGGACAAGAAAAGCAGTGGTGCCCCCTTGGCTTCACTATTTCATTTTTTTATCCTAATTAACTTTTTCCAAATTTAATTTCTGCCATTCCTAGTGGGATGTCATACATCTGGTTTACTCTCTTGGCTGAGGTGGCATAGTTTTAGGGGTTTCCACTTCATCCTTCTTATCACGGTTGTCCTTACTCCACAGTCAGGTAAACCATGTGAGATCTCCCCATCTAGGAAGTCTGTCCATCCCAATAATGTCCTCAGGGACCAGCAAAATGACCACCGGGTGAGTCCCATGAACTCAATGGCTCTCTTGTGGGATGAATCTGGAGGAGGTTCATGTGCCTCTGTGCACCTGCACTAGGAAAGAGGGGCCATGATGCTTTTTAGGTTCCACTTGTAGGAGCAATGACTAACACCCTTCCAGAGGACTATGCTCCTCAGAAAACAACTGCAAAACCTGGACTCAATACAAAAGCAACTCTGAAGTACTGAGTGAACAGAAGCAGACAGTCTCTAGTGAAAAGTGTGAGCTGGCATGAAGAAAGGATGATGGGGAGCTGAACAAATTGGTTCTCATCTGTCCAGACTTTAGCCTGAGGCTAAGTGAATTCCATGTGGTGCACACAGTGGAAGTGGGGGTGCAAACATGGAAAAAACCTGCAGCATTTGTGGTCTGAGAAGCCAGAAAAGTGAAGCCAAGAAATTGTGAACATTGAAAAGAGAGGGGAAAAGTTTACAAGGGAAAGGCAAGAGAGGGGATCCCCACATTTTGTGTGTCCACGTTTCTGACTGACTCCTGAACTATGTACCATGGAACAGACAAGCCTTCACCAGACGCCAAAACTGCCAGTGCCTCAATCATGGACTTCCCAGCCTCCAGAACAGTGAGAAAATACATTTTTGTTCTTTATAAGTTCCTCAGTCTTCGTTATTTTGTTATAGCAGCACAACAACAAAAGACAAAAGCCAGAGATAGCACGCAAAACTTGTAAGCAGCAAGAGGAAAATGACAGATTGTACCGGGGAGCAACAATCCTAGTAACATCCAACTTTTCTTCAAAAATCATGGAAGGCAGAAGAGAGTGGAGCAAAAAACCTGTCAACCCAAGATTCTATAACCAATGAAAATAACATTCAAGAATAGGCCAGGCATGGTGGCTCATGCCTGTAATCCTAGGACTTTGGGAGGCCAAGGCAGATGGATCGCCTGAACCCAGGAGTTTGAGACCAACCGGGGCAACATAGAAAGATCTCATATCTACAAAAAATAGAAAATGTAGCCACGTGTGGTGGTGCATACCTGTAGTCCCAGCTACTTGCGAGGCTGAAGTGGGAGAGGATCACTTGAGTTTGGGAGATTGAGGCTGCAGTGAGCTGTGATCACACCAGCGCACTCCAGCCTGGGTGACAGAGTAAGACCCTGTCTCAAAAAAAACGAACAAACAGACATTTTCATTTAAAAGAAAAGTTACAGAATTAGTTACCAGCAAACCTGCACTGTAGGAAATACTAAAGAAAGTCATTCAGTCTGGAGAAAAACCATATAGAAACTTGGATTCTCTGAAAATAATAAAAAGCATGAGTAATGGCAAGTACCTGGCTAAACACAAGTTTTTTTTCTTTTTGCCTTTTACCTCTTAATTATTTTAATAAACCACATTTAAAAAATTATAACATGGTCTTTTGGGGTTTGTAATGTTATAGATGACTACATATAAAAACCATAAAATAGAAAGGAACATGGACTGATAGGATTGCAAGATTTCTATATTTTATGTGAAGTAGTGAAGTAATCATTATAAGCACCCAGTGAAAAGTTGTGTGTGTGTGTGTGTGTGTGTGTGTGGTGTGTGTATTCCTTCCACAACCACTAAAAAAAATTAAGAAGTCTAGCTAAATGAAAACAGGAAAATTAAAAAGGAATTCTGAAAAATATTCAAAGAATTCAAAAAGAAAAATCACAAAAGAAGGAACAAAGGCAAAACAACAGAAGAGACAAAAATAAAAAATAAGACAGATCCCAAATGCAAGCATGTGAATGGTTGCAGCAAGTGTTGATGAACTAAACAATGCAATTAAAAGGCAGAGATTGTCAAAATGGACCAAAAAAAAAACAAGACCCAACTATATGTTTATTAGAGAAGAACCAGCAAATATATTGACAAATATGTTGAAAGAAAATGGGTGGAAAAATACACCATGCAAACAGTAGACATCAAAAGGCTAGACTGGCTAGACTGATATCAGACAAAATATACTTAAGCCAAAATGTACACTGCATATTTTTAAGTGGAGAATTTTATATTATATGAAATTTTATGTTCTGTCAATTATATCACAATAAGAAATGTATTATCATATAATTTCATTACTCCATAATGATAAAAGTCTTATTGTCAAGGACAACACAACAGTCGAAATTTGTATGCATCCAATATATGAAGCAAAAATACATGAAGCAAGTAACTGACAGAATGAAAGTGCAGAAGAGATAGTTCCACAAACATCACTGCAAATATTAACATCTCTACCTAGCAGCTACTAGAACAATTAGACCAGAAAATGAGTAAAGACATAGAAGTTTTGAACAATATTATCAACCAACTTGACTTGATATTTATAGAACACTTCACCAAAAATGGCAGAATACACATTATTTTCAAGTGCACCTGGTGTGTTTGTCAAGATAGGCCATATTTTGGGCCACAAAACACAACTCAATAAATTTGAATAGTTTAAAATCACGCAGGCTATGTTCTCTGTCCACAAAGGATTAAACTGGAATTCAATAATAATGAGATAACCAGGAAAATTTCAAATATCTGGACTTCAACATACTTCTGAATAATCACTAGATCAAAGAAGAGTCACAAGTAATATTAGAAAATATGTTGATAATATATCATATACCTATGATAATGAAAGCATATCAAAATTTGTGGGATGTAGGGTAAAACAGAACATATAGGGAAATATGTAGCTTTAATGCCTACATGGGAAAAGAAGCAAAGTCTAAAAATAAAGCTCAGTGATCTAAGCTTCCACCTTAAGAAATTATAAAAATAAGTCCAAGTTATGCTCAAAGTAAACAAAAGGAAGGAAAGGATAAAGGGTAAAAATCAATAAAATAGAAAAGATAAATGGCGTGAACCCGGGAGGCGTAGCTTGCAGTGAGCCGAGATCGTGCCACTGCACTCCAGCCTGGGCGACAGAGTGAGTCTCCATCTCAAAAAAAAAAAAAAAAAAAAAGAAGTAGAGAAAAATCAATAAAACCAAAAGCCACGTTTTTGAAATAAATTCAATAAAACCGACCAGCTGTAGCCAGACTAGTGAAGAAAACAGAGGAGACAAATCCCCATTAGGAATGAAAGAAGGGGTTTTTCTACACGTCCTTCAGACATGAAAAGAATAAGAAGGGCATACTGTGAACAATTCCATGCTGATAAGCTTGACGATCTAGATAAAATACTACTTAAAAAGCAAATTTTTTTTTTTTTTTTTTTTTTTTTGAGACGGAGTCTTGCTCTTGTCGCTCAGGCTGGAGTGTAGTGGTGCGATCTCGGCTCACCACAAGCTCCGCCACCCGGGTTCATGCCATTCTCCTGCCTCAGCCTCCCGAGTAGCTAGGATTACAGGCACCCGCCACCACGCCCGGCTAATTTTTTTGTATTTTTAGTAGAGACGGGTTTTCACTGTGTTAGCCAGGATGGTCTCGATCTCCTGACCTCGTGATCCGCCTGCCTCGGCCTCCCAAAGTGATGGGATTACAGGCGTGAGCCACCTTGCCCGGCTTAAAAAGCAAATTTACCAAAACTGCCTCAAGAAAATTTGGCAGCCCTATTTAAATTAATAATAAAAACTTTCCCACATAGAAAACTCCAGATCTAGATCACTTCACTGGGGAATTCCACCAGTTATTTAAGGAAGAAATGACGCCAATCTTACACCAACGTTTTCAAAATATAAAAGAGGAGGGAGCATTTCCCAGATCGTTTTATGGGGCTAACATTACCTTTATTAGAAAATCAAATACATCACAAGATAATAGAACTGCAGAGCAATATTACTCATGAGCATAGAAACAAAAAGTTCCTAACAAAATATAGCAAATAAGAACCAATAACATGTAAAAAGAATACTATCTATCATATCCAAGTGGGGTTTATCTCAGAATGCAAGGTTGGCTTAACATCAGAAAATCAATCAATATAATCTACTCTATGAATAGAAAACAGAAAAAGAACCATATAATTATTTAAATGGATGCAGAAAAAACATTTGATAAAAATCAACACTCTTTCATCACTAAATCTCTCAACAACTAGGAATAGAAGTCTTCCTCATCCAATTAAGGTTATAAAAAAAATCTACAGCTAACATCAAACTCAATGGTGAAGATTTAATGTTTTCTACCTAAAATCACAAACAAAGCAAAGCAGGCATATCCACTCTCACTATTTGCATTTAAATTTGTATTGTAAGACCCAGATAGTGAATAAGGCAAGAAAAAGAAAAAGGCAAATTGGAAAGAAGAAGTAAAACTGTCCTATTTGCAGACATGATTTTGTATGTACAAAGCTCTAAGAAATCCAGAAAAAAGTTACAAGGATTAATATAAGTCAATTTAGTAAAGTTGCAGGATACATGTTCAAAACACAAAAATTAATTGTATTTCTATATATAGTGAAAGAATAGAAAATAAAAATGTAAATAACAATTCAATTTATGACAGTATTAAGAAAATTAAAATATTTTGGCATTAATTTAACAAAATATGTGCAAGACCCACATAGTAAAAACAACAAAATATTTAAAGAAAAACTAAAGCATACTTAAATAAACAGAGAAACATACCAGGCTGGTGGACTGGGACACTCAATATTTTTAAGATGCCAGTTCTCCCCAGATTGATATATCAATGCAATACCAATCAAAATTCCAGCAAGACTTTTTGTAGAAATTTCCAAGCAAATTCTAAAATTTATATGGAAATGCACATGTTTTGGTTATGTTTTTCCAATTGTGTTCTTTTTTCAAAATTGTTTTAGCATAAAACAACTAGCCAAGACTTGCTATAAACCTATAATTTCAATACAGTGTGGTATAAATGCCATAAGATTTTCAAGACTTGCTATAAACCTATAATAATGTCAAGACTTGCTATAAACCTATAATAATCAATACAGTGTGGTATAAATGCCATAGGAATAGATATATCAATGGAACAGAATAGAGAGTCCAGAAATAGACCCATGCTAATATGGAAATTAATTTTTTTGAAAAATGTCAAGGAAATTCAAGGAAGTCTTCAGTAAACAGTGCTGGGATAATTGGCTATCTGTAGAGGAAAAAATTCTAATTCCCCAAATTAGAACTCTATACTCAGGGAAAATATTCCTCAGAATGAAAGGAGAATAAATACGTTTCCTCACCAACAAAAACTGAAAAAAAATCATCACTAGGAAATATGAACTAATGGGAAAAATAAAAGAAGTTCGGCCAGGCACGGTGACTCACGCCTGTAATCCCAGCACTTTGGGAGTTCAAGGCGGGTGGATCACAGGCTCAGGAGTTCAAGACCAGCCTGGCCAAGATGGTGAAACCCCGTCTCTACTAAAAATACAAAAATTAGCCGAATGCGGTGGCAGGCGCCTGTAATCCCAGCTTCTCAGGAGGCTGAGGCAGGAGAATCTTTTGAACTCGGGGGTGGCAGAAGTTGCAGTGAGCCGAGATCGCACCACTGCACTCCAGCCTGGACGACAGAGTGAGACTCCATCTCACAAAAAAAAACAAAAAAAGAAAAACAAAAAGAAGTTCTTCAGGCAGAAGAAAAATAATCACACAGGGAAACACAGAATTGCAGGAAGAAATAAAAGAGCAACAAAAGAGGCAAATATGTAGGTAAATATAAATGAGTATCAACCACATATACTAAAAACATATATTATTATATATTAGTATGTTATATATTAGTGTATATTTATTAGTATACATATTAGTGTATATTATATATTTTATACTGATTCATTATATACTAATTATTAGTATATATTCGTACATATTTTAGTATATTATTATAATGGTTTGGGGGCTTTAAAGTGTGTGTGAAATGAAATACATGAGAATAGTAAAACAAAATGTGAGAGGATGTTAATAAAGTGTTCTAAGGCTAACATTCCTGGAGAACTCAAAATAAGTAATAATTTACATATGATGGTAACAAGTAAGGAAGCATGTTGTAATTTCCATGGTTGCTACTAAAAGAAATGTAAAATAATATATAACAAGTTCATAAAGAGAAAAAAAGTATAAACAAGTTTCCTTTTTGCCCATAAAGTCACAAAGAGAATGATTTATATACTTTCAGTAACAAATTATTCAAGACTCTTGATTTGTGAAATACTTGAGTTGCTATTAGTCTTGGTATAACCAAATGCCTGCTACCATGTGAGCCAATTCTTATTTGTCATTTTTAATTTAGAGGTTTTTTGTTTTTTGGTTTTTGTTTTTGTTTTTTTTTTTTTTTTTGAGATGGAGTTTTGCTCTTGTTGCCCAGGCTGGAGTGCAATGGTGTGATCTTGGCTCACTGCAACCTCCACCTCCTGGGTTCAAGCAATTCTCCTGCCTCAGCCTCCCAAGTAGCTGGGATTACAGGCATGTGCCACCATGCCCGGCTAACTTGGTATTTTTAGTAGAGATGGAGTTTCTCCATGTTTGTCAGGCTGGTCTCAAACTCCTGACCTCAGGTGATCCGCCTGCCTTGGCCTCCCAAAGTGCTGGGATTGCAGGTGTGAGCCACCACGCCTGGCTAGAGTTTTTTTTATAAAAGAGCATGTTCATTGACTTAGCCAAAAAGCAAACATAAATTTTAGTGAATATTTTATTTGGACATTTTAAAGTTTAGCTTTGTAACCAGAAGGTATGAAGGTGAACATTTATTCATAATCATTGAAATCTAACCAAGTCCTATTGCAGTTTATTTGTGGGTAGAATGGTTGGAAGTAGCATGCTCAAGACATTTAAAATTTTGAAAAAAAAGTCATGCATCTGATTGATCACCATATATGCTCCCAGAGCACAGCTCCTCCGTAATCCTGCTCTTCAGTGCTAGCATTGTTGATTCCTTGGATCCTGTATTTTCCTTCCTCTTCTCACTTGATCCCTTACTTATGTCTGTCAAGGACTGAAACGCAGTGGAAGGTGCAGGGAATTTTTGTAGGAATTGTTTGGCTTAATAGTCCATCAGCCTCCTGATGTTCCCAGAGTCATGCCCTCGTCTCAGGTGAAGCTGTGGAAGTGTTTGATGGAAACAGCTGTCCCTCTGTCGTTTTGTGAAGTTCTACTCCAAGTGGGAGTTGGGTGATATGGTTTGGATGTTTTCCCTCTCCAAATCTTATGTTGAAGTATAATTCCTAGTGCCGGAGGTGGGCCCTGCCGGGAGGTAACTGGGTCATGAGGGTGGATCCCTCATGGCTTGGTGCTGTCCTGGTGACAGTGAGTGAGTTCTTGAGAGATCTGGCTGTTTAAAAGTATGTGGCACCTCCCTACCACTCTCTCTTGCTCCTGCTTTGCCATGTGAGACGCCGGCTCCCCCTTCACCTTCTGCCATGAGTAAAAGCTCCCTCAGGTCTCCCCAGAATCCGAGCAAATGCTGGCACCATGCTTTCTGTACACCCTGCAGAACTGTGAGTCAATTAAACCTCTTTTCTTTATAAGTTACTCAGTCTCAGGTATTTTTTTTTCTTTTTAATTTTGTTTATTTTTCTAGTTTTTCTTTTTTTTTCAAATTCTCCCAGATCCTGATCAGGTACTTCTTTATAGCAACACAAGAACAGCCTAACACACAGGATTAAGTTGATTCCAGGTAAATAAATTAAGAGAAGCAATGACTCGCTGGAGACAGCAGCAAATTCAGCCCAGTTTTATTGCAAATAAAACAAGTCATTCAAGTGAATTGTGGAAATTGAGGGTGCACGTGAAGGGGTGGCAAGGGAACGGGACTCTTGAAGATGGTCAGTGTTTCCTTGGTTTGAACTTCAAAGCCACACTGTTGATGCAAAACCTCTGACCATTGGGCCCAGGTCCATCAGGAAACACGTGACCTAGATGAGCTTCACACTGCAAAGGACAGAAGCCTCTGTCATCTCCAAATGCAAACAAAGCTCTTTATGTAAAACCAGACAGACGAACCCCCCCAAAATCACTCCACTCCGGAGTCTGACATCTGTGTTAGGAGAAAAAGTCTATTGCATCCGAATTCAATTAAGAAATGAAAGAAAGCAGAACACAGTCATGGTAAATAGTTTTACTTTATCAATAGGATGTGAGCAAGTTATTAAATTTGGGCCTTTACAGTTACTCATCTAAAAATGGGGATAATTATCATACCTACATAAGAGAGCTGTGGGGACAATTAATTGATATATTACATGTAAAGCATTAACATAATTCCTGGGTAAGTACTGAATAATATTGTAGTACCCAGTGTATTATTATTATTTATTACTTAAGGCAAAACCACGCTATCTTAATCAGCTTGCCTCTAATGTTTTACAAAACCCATGAGTCAGAAAATGTGAGCAGCTAAGGATATCAAAATGAATTTGTGATCTGGATTTAAGCCACTCTCTCCTACGGGGCTCACAGAAGGCAGAGGTGCTGACGTCACCCGCAGCATTGCTCTGCAGGCCAGTGACACGCTGCAGGGTGCAAAAGGAGGGTGGAGAGATGGAGGTGCCAGTCACACTGGGTAAGTCAAAGATGAGATGCCAGTCACTCTGACAGGATAAGGACTTCCTGCTCCTTATCCCTGCTCAAAAGAAGGTGAAGATCCTACCTCTGTTCTCATCTCTGTGGAAGGTTAGAACCAGGAAAGGCCACATTAGAGAGAGGCTGGAGAAGACTTTTCTCTTTTTTGCAGTGCCCAGATTGAAGGGAGAGAGTGATCGTTATTGGCATGTGTAGAAACCCCATGTGTTCTGGGCTGGGTGTGGTGGCCCACGCCTGTAATCCCAGCACTTTGGGAGGCCGAGGCAGGTGGATCACTTGCGGTCAGGAGTTTGAGACCAGCCTGGCCAACATGGCGAAACCTCATCTCTACTAAAAATACAAAAATTCACTGGGTGTGGTGGCAGGCACCTGTAATCCCAACTACTCGGGAGGCTGAGGCACTTGAACTCAGGAGGTGGAGGCTGCAGTGAGCTGAGATCATGCCACTGCACTCCAGCCTGCAAAACAGAGCGAGACTGTCTCAAAACAAAACAAAACAAAACAAAACAAAGCAAAACAAAAAAGAAACCCCATGTGTTCTGAAGACAAAAGAAAGTACCCCTATAAAAGGACACCAGATTTGCCAAGAACAAGAGAGCTCTTTGTGGCATTGGGGGCAGCATCAGGGAAAGTAAAACAAAATGAGAAACCTCACCTGCTTGCAGACAACCTCTGTGCGAGCTGATCCTAACGAGGTATCCAGACGTCTCAGGATCCCTGTGTGGCTTTCATCAGAGCCAGACGTACCATGAGCCTCGGAAAACGAAGGCCACCCAGTGCCAGAGCAGTACTTTTTCTCAGAACTGTGGAAGACATAAACGATACTACAGCTGCTAATGACACTGTCATTAACATGCCAAGAGGTGCCCCGATGTGTTGTTCCAGGCAGCAGGATCTGTTCCCACTCTCCTCTGCCAGATCCCATGCCCAGTTATTCGACAGTCAGTCCCCCCGGAATCGTCCTCACTGCACCTTCACTATCGAAGCCATTGCCTCTCGAAGTGGAAGGACTTCTTGATCCTTTGATGCTAAAGACTTCTTTCTGGATATCCAACAAGGATCTAAAAACACATGGTGTTTTGTGAACTGTGTTGCATATTAGGTAACACAGATCAAACCCATGTGTTGAAAATGTCAAAAGGGGAGAAATCAAAACGAAATACTAATGCTCGGAGGAAGTCATCATCATCTTAGAGCAGCGCAGAAGTGTAAGGTCTGATGAGAAAGTCATGCTTGGCAACAGGAATTTCAGGTTATCTCAACACAGACGCCTGACCAGGGATTCAAAAGCTGCCTCTGGCCACTTCTTAGCTGTGTGAAACCACAGCTCTTGAAGCCTCAGTTTGCTCACCTAGCAAATGGGAATAATATCTACCCTACAGGGCTGTTTTGAGGATTTGAGGGGAAACTGAAGTGTGACATAAAGCTTAGCACGGTGCTGGGCACATGGTAAGTTCCCTGAATGCTTGCTGTGATGGTGATGATTAGTATTAATTAATACGCCTGGGTACCTGGCATCAATCACTGCAGTGAAACCTAACCCTCCAGAAGTCTCCCAGGGACTCATGATGCTGGCACAAGGAGAAGGACAGCAGGCAAATCCACTCACCAAAGACCCACCCTCTAAGTGCTCTCATGGATAAGCTCCCTTAAATGGCACTGGGAAAATAGACTTCAAAAATTGCTGTGGCAAGGAAATGGCTCTCTCTATCTAAGGAAGAAAGAGAAGAACTGAATGTTAGACCCAGCCAAAAAAAAAAAAAAAAAAACAAAAAACTAATCTAAGAAGAAAAAGTAGCAAAGAATCAAATCCCTAGACTATGAACACAGAAGGAAGCCTAGCTGGCAGCACAAACTCCCACAGAAACAATTGTGTAATGCAGCAATTCTCAAACATTTTGGTCTCGGCACCCCTCATGTCCCCTCTGTGTCCCCAAAATTAATAGGGATTGCTGAGAGCTTTTGTCTGTGAGTTACGTATGTCAACATTTAACAAATTATACATTATAAATGAGAATTTAAAAATATGTGTGCATTAATTTTTTTTTAATATAGGTTGAGTGCCCCTTATCTGAAATGCTTAGGACCAGAAGTGTTTCGGATTTCAGATCTTTTTGAATTTTGCATTTTACTTGATGGCTAAGCATCCTTAATCTGCAATACTCCAGTGAGCATTTCCTTTGACTAGCATGTTGGTTCTCAAAAAGTTTCGAATTTTGCTGGCGTGGTGGCCCACGCCTATAATCCCAGCTTTTTAGGAGGTGGAAGCGGGTGGATCACTTGAGCTCAGGAGTTCGAGACCAGCCTGGCCAACATGGTGAAACCCCCTCTCTACTAAAAATAGAAAAACTAGCTGGGCATGGTGGTGCATGCCTGTAGTCCTAGCTACTTGGGAGGCTGAGGCAGGAGAATAACTTGACCCCAGGAAGCAGTGGTTGCAGTGAGTGGAGATCAGTCAACAGAGCGAGACTCTGTCTCAAAAAATAAAAAAGTTTCAGATTTGGGTGCATTTCAGATTTCGAATTTTCAGAGTAGAGATGCTCAACCTGAAATAAATTTATTATATGTTAACATAACATATATTTAAGGCAAATAATTATACTTTTCAAAATGAAACAAACATTTCATGAGAAGAGTTGCACTGTTTTACAATTTTGCAAGGCTCTTTAACATCCGGCTTAAAAAAAAGACAACTGAATCTTCATATGTGCCTCTGAATTCAGTCTGTTGCTATGTTGTTTTGATTGGAGTATAAGAGGATGTGGCCTCAAGTGGTCTCAAGTGTGGTTGGAAAAGCCCCTAGAAAGGTCCCCCCCAGGAATCTCTGGGGTCCTCAGACCAGGCTTTAAGAACCACAGGTATAGCCATTAGAGGAAGGGCTTTGACTTCTGAAAGATTTGTGTGTGAATCTGGGATCTGTCTGTTACATCTGTATCACCTTGGCAAGTCATTTAATTTTTTGAAGCCTCAGCATCCTAGTCTATAGATAAGTATAAACTAAAAATAAAGTTCTAAGCCACCCACTGACTGAATAGAGCCCTTCTTGGCCAAGAGGACTCCAGAAAAACCTTTAAATCGAGTTTCCGGTCATGATGGGACAGGAGGTCAGACACACCTCATTATACCCTCTCCCTTTTGTGGTTTAGACACAACAAATGACCAGCATTAATGTTTAAATAGAGATCATAAGACTGGCAGAACAGCCTCTTTGTGGCAATAATATACCAAATTATAAACAGGACCTAAGGCCATGCCAGGCGAGGGTGAAGTCATGCACCCCTACACTTAAAGAATCAACTCTAACTGCCACAGGGGTTTTCTTCTTCTCTAGCAGCTAAACAATCACTGGCCTTGAGATAAGCAGTGTTGAAGCAATTGCAGCTCATCTACCATCAGACACTGACTAGCTGAGACCCTCTGTTCCACCAGCCGTAACTACAGCTTTGATTGCACAAGAGACTGATTTTAGTAACTTTCTCCTGATTAAAAGACCATGAAGTGGTTCTGGATGGTTTACAGAGGCTGTGCACTTGTGGGCCTTCATATCCTGAAAGACCTTTTGATGTATAGGATCTAATTATAATACATTTAAATGTTAAGTTTCTACCCCCAAATAAACATAGGTCATATGTTACATGCATGTTTGTTCAATATGTGTATGTCAGGACCATCTTCACAAATTTTCATAGCCCCTTCTGTGATCTGTTAAATAGGTATATTTAGCCAACCCTCTCAGCATAAAGCTCCTACCCCAGCTGCTCCCCCTTCCAAGTGCCTGCATCTGCTCTTGGCTGGGAGCTCGCTTCCCAGCCTGTAGGATGGCCACCTTGAAGGCTGTAACCCTTTAGAAGAAATAAAGTCTCCTTTTCTAAATTTATAGATTGTATGATTGTTTTAAGCTAACAATAGCAATGGCATTATCACCTCACTTTCTGTGTGTGTGCTTAGCATAGTACCTGACACATGGCACTTGAGTTGGTAGCTATTTTTTAATATTTTTTTATTATTAATACCAGAAATCTATGGAATGTGAGCAGTTGTGGGTCCAACTAGAAATGTCTGCATATTCAGGTCGGATTCTTTGCAACCCTCCTCCAGGGGTTCAAAAACATTCATCTGGCCACTCTGCTCAGGGAAAAACATCATTAAGTATCTTTTAATCCCAGTCTTTCCATCCTCAACATTATATATCAACTAGTGATCATTAAAGGTATTTTGATTGAGAATTATGAATACAATAAAATTTTTTAAATAAATGAAACTAAGGCTAATAAAAACTCATTAAAGCATTTTATGGGAAACAATAAACCTTTATTGATGCAATTAGCAGAATCGGGAGATTTTTACCAAGTAATATGAGAGGCCTAACATATATAAGTTAAGACTGGGAACCAAAATATTAAAGCCAATCAGAAATTCCAATATACATATTTAAGTGATTAGCAGATTGTAAGGTTTGCCCTTGAAGAACTAAAACCATTCTGAATCATATACTCTAAGGGATTTTTACTTTGTTTCGTTTTATTTGCTTTGGTTTTCCTTGATTTCTGGAAGTTCTACAGGTCCCAAACCAACAGCACAGGCACTTGGTGATAACTGACAACCCTAACCTCTTAGAAGAATTTCTATTCCTTTGAGGGAATGGGGCATACAGAAGGTTTTTAACAATATTACTTAGTTACTCATGGTACATACGACATCAGGATATTACGTAAAAGGTGAACTAGTATCAGGCTCTGTTTCCTCTTATTTTAAGAAGATTTGTGATCATGAAATATGTGATCCCACAATAGATTTTAATAAACACATTCCAAATAGGCTCATGTAGAAGAAGAAAGGGAGAAGGAGGAGAGGAAGTGGCAGTGATGGGCAATGTCACTTCATTCCGAGTTAAGGAAAGAGAGTCTGGAGTCCCTAGGAGTGTGACAACACATTCTGGAAAGTGTTCTTGACCCAGACACCTTTGATTAAAGGTGTCTGATTTGGAGAGGCAGAAGCTCTCCAAAACTGTGCACCAAACTCATTCCAACAATTATAGGATGATGAGGAGAATGACGCTAAGTCTGGTGGATGAGGCTGGGAACAAGGCTCTGGAAAGGGAACTCATGAGTTACACTGGCTGGGATCACTCTCAGAGGCTGGTTATGTCTTCTGGGAAACTTACACCTGTAATAAGGAAAGCAGGCACCAAAAGGCGATGGCACCTATGTCAACGGAGCTGCCCGTGTGGCTTAATGGAAGCTCAGCTAGTGAAGAATGTGGGCTCTGGAGTCCAAAACTGTGGGTTCATATTTTGGCTGGCTACCTGTAAGCTGCAGAACCCTGGACAAGTTATTTCATCTTCCTAGCTCTCAGTTTCCTCACGTGAAATGAGAATGATAATAACACTACGGGGAGCTGCCGAGAGGTCTGACGAAACGATGCACATGAAGAGCCTGGGCATGGCACCTGCCGCGTGCCCAGAGGGCTCCTTCATTGCTGGGGTGCTTCCCACTCTCAAGAAGAGTGCAGTGGAGCCCAAATCCCTGCACTATCACTTACTAGACAAGTGACCTGGAACAAGTTAGTTAAATTCTTTAAGCCTCAGTTTTCACATCTGTTAAGTGAGGGTCTTAATAGCTCCTTATTGGAGGGTGAGGATTGTTTGCAAAGTACTAGAGCCCAGTGTCTGGCATGTAAGTGCTCAAGAAGTTGCAGCCACTTCCCTCACATTTTCACAGTGATTTCATAATCACAGCTTTTTTTTTTTTTTTTTTTGAGATGGAGTCTCACTCTGTCACTCAGGCTGGAGTGCAGTGGCTCAATCTCAGCTCAATGAAACCTCTACCTCCTGGGTTCAAGCAATTCTCCTACCTCAGCCTCCTTAGTAGCTGGGATTACAGGCATGTGCTACCACGCCCAACTAGTTTTTGTATTTTTAGTAGAGACAGGATTTTGCTATACTGGTCAGGCTGGTCTCGAACTCCTGACCTGCAGTGATCCACCCGCCTTGGCCTCCCAAAGTGCTGGGATTACAGGCATGAGTCACCACGTTCAGCCCGTAACCACAGCTTCTGATAGTCCCAACATTGCTATGATGTCTAAGCAGCAGGATGGATATTATTAATCAACCAATCAATACGTACTTATGGAGCATCTAAGTATTAGTTTCCAAGGTGGCTGTAACAAAGTACCACAAAATGGGTGGTACTCTCTCACAATCTTGAAGATAGAAGTCCAAAGTCAAGGTGTCCACAGGGCTCTGAAGCATCTAGGGAATCCCTCCTTGCCTCTTCCTACCTTCTAAGGTAGGCAGTCTTCGGTTTGTAGCTGCGGATCACCAATCTCTGCTTCCGTTTTCACATGGCTGTCTCCTCTCTGTCTGGGCTTCTCTTCTTCTTATAAGGACAGCAGTGATTTTGGAATTAGGGCTGACCCTACTCCAATATGATCTTATCTAAACTAATTATACCTGCAGCCACCCTATTTCCAAATAAGGTCACATTCCCAGCTTACAGGGATTAAGACTTCAACATGTCTTTTTGGGAGACACAATTCATCCCATAACAACTTCCATGAGCCTTGTCCAAGAAGCATAAGATGGCCAAGGGACTCGAAAGCTAATCAAGTTTATCTCCTTAACTAAATAAAATACTTGATCCAATAGGAGAATAATTAGGTCCTAAATTGTGTGATACTGATAAATTAATAGGAATTTGAAGCAGATTAAAAAAAAACCCATGGTGTGTGCTATCAGAGAAGGTTTCAGGAGAAATCTGGGATCCAAAAATAAGTGGAATTTCAATTAGTATTAGTGGGGCTGAGCAGATCCCAGGAGGCCAGCTCAGCATGAAGGGAAGTCCCAGGCAGGAAGCAGCCAAGCTGGAGCAGGGAGCTCAAAGGAGTGAGCCCTGCATTTACTTGTTAAAAGAACTACTTAGTTTTGGTTGACCAACTTTCCCTTCACTTTCACTCCACACAAGCATTTGAAGGAATTATTTTTTCTGTACCTCTGCTTCCTACTATAGAGACTGGAGACCAGAGACAGAAAGAGAAGGAAAATGAGAGGCAAAACCAGAATATATTTCTAAAACTCCTCTTGAACAGGAAGAAGTCTCAGGAATATAGTCTGCATTTGTATGTTCTCATTAATTAGAATATATCCTCCAGAATTCCTCAGGATCAAAAGCGCATTCATGTATACAGCCCTAAGAGGGATCTATTGCTTAAGAACACATCATTACGCCCGGGTGCGCTGGCTCACGCCTGTAATCCCAGCACTTTGGGAGGCCAAAGCGGGTGGATCACCTGAGGTCAGGAGATCAAGACCATCCTGGCTAACATGGTGAAACCCCGTCTCTACTAATAATACAAAAAATTAGCCAGGCATGGTGGCACACGCCTGTAATCCCAGCTACTCAGGAGGCAGGAGAATCGCTTCAACCTGGAAGGCAGAGGTTGCAGTGAGCCGAGATCGCGCCACTGCACTCCAGCCTGGGCGACAGAGCGAGACTCCATCTCAAAAAACAAAACAAAACAACAAAAACATCATTACTAACTTGCATCAAGTGCCTGGCCTGAGTCAGTCATGTCAGGCATTGCTCTATGCTTTTCCATGTATTAATTCATGACTCAGATTATCCTCCCAACAACCTTATGAATTAGGTACTATTATCTTCATTTTACAGGTGAGGAAATCAGACACAGAAAGGTTAAGAAATTTGCTCAAGGTCACACAGCAATGGAGCCAGGATATACACCTTGGCAATCTTAACCATTCTACTGCCTCTCCCATAAATGAGTGCATCTTTAAGAATAGTATATTCTGGAACATAAATAATCTTCAGGAATATATTATTTCCTTCAGCTGCAGTAGCAGCAACAGGAAAGGGGAAGAGAAACAAACTCAGAAGTCTTTAAGAATGCAAAATGGAAACTTTTCAGCTCAAACTAAATGGTTACACAAAAACAAATAAAGTTAGTGAATTGGCAGTCTCATAAACTGGCCACTTGGTCAATGGGCTTTTGGAGAATCGGCTGGTTTTCCTATTAGTCTTGGCTGCTTCACAACCTCCAGGACCTGGAGTTGGTCACTTAACTTCCTTAATTTGAACTAGCATTGTGCTAATATAGTAGCCTCTGGCCACATGTGGCCTTTTAAGTTTAAATTAATTAAAATTACATTTAAGTTTAAATTAATTAAAATTAAAGTTTAAATTAATTAAAATTAAATTTAAGTTTAAATTAATTAAAATTAAATTTAAGTTTAAATTAATTAAAATTAAATTTAAGTTTAAATTAATTAAAATTAAATTTAAGTTTAAATTAATTAAAATTAAATTGAAAAAGTCAGCTTCTCAGCCATGCTAGCCACACCTTGAGTGCTTAACAAGCTTATGTGATGAGCAGCTACCACATGGCCAGATACAGACATCTCCATCACCACAGGAAGTTCTACTGGACAGAGCTTTCTGCTCTGGACTCAGGACCCTCCTGGCTCCAGTATTCTGACACCACAACTAAGCCTGCAAGGTGAAAGGAAGGGAAGAAGTCCCCCCCTTTTTCAGATGCAGAAACCGGAACATCAAGGAAGGGGAAGAGTGAAGACTGTGATTTAAGAGAATGCTCTTGCGAGGATGATTTATCTTCTGTATTCACAGTGCAAAGAGGGAGACAGAGCACTGCCTGGTGCCTGCGGTAACAAGGGAGCCCTTGACACGCTGGCAGCATGGTTCTATGGCTGAAAGCTCATGGGCCATCTCAAAATCCTACCTCTCCTCTTTAACACAACCAAAGGTCAAGAAATAACTATTGTCTCAGAAACCTGAGTCCCACATTTTACTGTGCAAAAATTAACCTCCTTCTAGTTTCCCCCATGCCAACGTGAATGCATCCGGGCAAAGGCCTGCCCATCTGTGAGCACGGAGGAAAATCGATGCTAATCGCTCCTCATCCTTGCAGGCGGGTCCGGCTTCCTAAGGCAGCCCACATTAGCAGCCAGCCGGGCAGGAAGGCCCAGACTGCTCAAAGCCCAGAGGACAGAAGGAAGCACTGCCTAATGGGCAATGCACAGAGCTGGCTTGATTTATATTTTATTCTAAACCAATTTAGGGTTGATGCAAAAGAAAGGAAAACATCTTTGAAGTTCTGAAAAATAGGACTTCAAAGATGTTTTCCTTTCTTCTCCATCGAATCTACTTTTTTTTAAGACTGTTTCCTGCATGTCTAAACAAAAAAGCCTTTGTTGAGAGATTTCAGATCCTGATTGACTTAAAAGAGGCTTTGAAATCAAGGGACAAATAAGTTTACTTTTAGCTATATAGAAGAGGGTATGGTATTCGCTACTGTCAAGCATTGTGGGGAATCTATCCTCATAAAATTCTACATTTCCTAAATTAAATTATAAACCCATTTTCCCTGGGAGAGAGTTTTAATCACATGGCCCAGCAAATATAATCACGGTTTAGATTTCTTTAAATACTTTCCCTCTAAAAAAAAAAAAACTCTAATAGCTTTATCATAAGGGGCCCACTGAGTTTTATTTCCTTGCTATTTCTTGAGGATAGAGAAAGGAAGAATATAAGCTAAGAAGTCTTGTTAATGGCTCTAAATGCTAGAAAAAAAAGTCAAGACAGGCAAGTATCTTATATGAATAGCTCTCCTTACAGCAACAATGCAAAATGAGAAGAGCAATTTAAAAAACAAAATGGGTATTATGGGTATTTATTTATCCAAGATCTCAAATGAAACAAAGCAGTAAGAACCTGGAGGTTTGGTCTCCTTCCGTGGCTCTCAATTCTTTATCTTACCTGAAGAGTGGACTGTCGCAGCACACGCAATGATACATTCCTGCTTCCTTGTTATTCAGGTAGATCCCACTGAAAGGCTGAAAGTAAATTAGATATGTCATGTTCAGATTTCTCATACTACTGGCAGGAGTTGAAACAGCAGATTTAAATCCTGGGTAAGTCCCCAAATCAAGGAATTTCTGTACTAATTTGACGAAGTGCAAATAACGCCAGAGAGAAAATTATAATGTACCCAATGAAGCAGCCTGCAGATGTATTTACAGCCTGGGCTTTATTGCACCCAATATTCAAATTATGACTTTGATAATCTTTGTATTCATACAGGACTTTTCATCCAAGAGCATCAAAGTCGGTGAAAAAGCAAGAAAACAGAGTCTTGTCCTCTGTGACTGTGTGAGATTTCGGTCTCCCTTTTAAAAGAGTTAATACAACAGGAATCTAGTCCACTGTCTAACATACTTTGAAATCTCCAATTAAAGACAGAATATAAATACATAAAAAGCATAGTTCAGTGAGATCAGGCATTTTGCCTTTAATATGCTTCACATAATGTTTAGGACACAGCATACTTAATAAATGTTAAATAATGAGCTAGATTCCCCACCCCCTCAGTGCCCAGGTTACTACTTAGATGAAATTACTGCGTTCATTGTGGGTTACAGGGTTTGCAAGTTTTCAGAGGTATTCTGAGAGGAGAACAAGGAGACAAGTCAATGAATTAGCCAAGTCAATATTTTTTAAAATGTTATTTCTCAAACTTGATTTTTTTTTTTTTTTTGAGATGAAGTCTCACTGTCACCCAGGCTGGAGTGCAATGACACGATCTCAGCTCACTGCAACCTCTGCCTCCCAGGTTCAAGTGATTCTCCTGTCTCAGCCTCCCGAATAGCTGGGACTACAGGTGCACGCCACCACGCCTGGCTAATTTTTGTACTTTTACGGGGTTTCACCGTGTTAGCCAGGCTGGTCTCGAACTCCTGACCTCAAGTGATCTGCATGTCTTGGCCTCTCAAAATGCTGGGACTACAGGCATGAGCCACTGCACCCGGCTGATGACTTTTTTTTAAAGACCATTTTTGCCCAATTTCTTTTGTCATCTCCCCTGTCAAAGAAAATTAAATAAAAAACAACCCTTGCACAAGCTGACCATGAAGATCCGCTATCACAGGGCCTGGCGGCAGGCACTGTCCCCTCCTATGGGCCAGAGGAAAGCCAGAGCACAGAACAGCTCACCAAGTGACAAAGCTGACTCAGGAAATCTTCAGATCCCTCCAGGCTTCCCAACTCAAAAAATTCACAGTTTAAACATCCAAATTCCCTGTGGTAGTATTAACAGCACATTTGCAGTGAGCTGTATAAAAGACAATTTCAAATTAACCTACTGAGCCTACCATCTGGGTACACTTGGATGTTTTCCTTCTTTAAAACCCTAAACTTAGCTGCAGAAATCCAAACAGTAGTGAGCTGGTCCTTTATGGCCGGTCCCCTCAAATGCCTGCTTCCAACACTGGCACTAGTTAGCAGCTGTGAAGAAGAGGAAGTTGGCCAGGTGTGGTGGCTCATGCCTGTAATCCCAGCACTTTGGGGGGCCGAGACAGGTGGATTACCTGAAGTCAGGAGTTCAAGACCAGCCTGGCCAACATGATGAAACCCCATCTCTACTAAAAATGCAAAAAAATGCCAGGCATGGTGGAGCACGCCTGTAATCCCAGCTATTCAGGAGGCTGAGGCAGAAGAATTGCTTGAACCTGGGAGGCAGAGGTTGCAGTGAGCCGAGATTGTGCCACTGCACTCCAGCCTGGGCGACAGAGCCAGACTCCATCTCAAAAAAAAAAAAAAAAAAGAGGAAGTTTCCCATCCTTCCCACCTGGGCTGAAGATGAATGCATGCAAAACAGGACTGCCAGTCCTAAGGCTGATCTAGAAAAGCCTTTTCATAGGATCCAGACAGCCTGGAAAGACTCAAAACATAATTTCATTATTGCAGGGGGGCAGCTGGACAGAGGAAGTGATAGATAACTGCTATCACAGTAAGCAAAATAAAAATTAAAACATCAGTGAAGGCCAGGTGCGGTGGCTCATGCCTGTAATCCCAGCACTTTGGGAGGCCAAGGCGGGTGGATCACCTGAGGTCAGGAATTCAAGACCAGCCTGGCCAACATGGTGAAACCCCATCTCTACTAAAAATCAAAATATTAGCCGGGTGTAGTGGCAGGCACCTGTAATCCCAGCTACTCGGGAGGCTGAGGCAGAATCGCTTGAACCCAGGAGGTAGAGGTTGCAGTGGGTCAAGATTGCACCATTGCACTCTAGCCTGGGCAACAAGAGCAAAACCCCATCTCAAGAAAAAAAAAAAAAAAATCAATGAAAAGGAATACTCAGCCAACATAGTTTCTGAAATGACATCTACCCACTCTCTCCTTGCCTAGCTTCCTGATGTTTCCCTCCCTCTCCAATTTTATACAAGTCCTGTAACTTATTTAGGGTTAAACTCAGCTTCTATCTCATTTCTAGTATTGACATGATAATCTAATATAAACCCAGGCTGAGCTGGGTGCTAGTGTTGCAGAGGTGGGCAGCAAAACAGTTTCTGCACTCAAAGAATTTGCTCCCTAAGTGGGAGGAAGACACACGTGAGCTGACAATTTATACCATGTGGTGACAGCTATGATAGAGATGGCATGGAGTTCGGGTAGCGCTGTACCCTTCACTACGAAGGGGGGAGTTTCCACAAAGGCTGACTGTATCAGATATTATCTGAGATGGGAGGAAGTCTTTTTATTTCTTAACCTTTTATTATTATTCTAAATTGCACAACTGATGGTTGTTTATTATAGAAAAATGCCAACACTAAGCTGACTTTTGAAGAGTAAGAGTTAATTGAATGAGGAAATGGAAGAGTATTTCTGGCAGGCAGAATACCTTGGTCAAGGCCCACATGAAAGAAGAGGGCAAAGAGGAGGATGGAGAGAGATGATGCCGGAAGGCAGGTGAGACCAGGCCAGATGGGGTTGGTTAGATCACGACA
Organism: Homo sapiens; assembly: GCF_000001405.40. Taxonomy (NCBI): domain Eukaryota; kingdom Metazoa; phylum Chordata; class Mammalia; order Primates; family Hominidae; genus Homo; species Homo sapiens. The sequence continues at coordinate 23,107,291 of NC_000010.11, read as the reverse complement.
AACAGCTTAAACTGTGTCCTACTGGAAATTTGAAGCTACTGGAAACTTGTGAACTGGGTGTACGCCTGATTGGAGTTGGTTTTTAGAAAGATCGCTTGACATTCAGGTAAAGAATGAGCTGGAATGGGGCAAGATGCCACCAGAGGCAGAGGGCAATCCGACCTCCATCACACATGCAGGCCTGGAGTGTGCTCCTGCTCAGGCAGAGCAGTGGAAATAAAAGAAAGAGAAGAGATTCAAGAATACTTAGAAGAGAGAATTGAAATGCCTGGCTGCACAGGGAGGGGCCAGGGTCAGAGAGAGAATGATGTTCAAGATTCCCCTGGGATTGCAAGGTCTGCTGGACCAATGGCAGTTCACCATTCCATCTTGTCAATACAACGCACCTGCTGGAAACAGATGACACACTCAAGAGGGATGACTGCAGATAACCTCACACAGGACTGTTTACAAAGGTGCAGACGGGGCCAATGGAAATCCACAAGTGAGGGCAACGCATCCCTGGGCTAATGACTCTGAGAAGCCATGGCCTCCACTAGGCCTGTGGGACAAAGGAAGAGGGAGTGGCCAGAACCTGGTGAGGCTGCACCTGCAGGGGAGGGCTGCCTACAAGAGGGGCCACCTGCAGTACAGGAACACAGCCACTGCCATCCTGCAGCCCCACAGAGAGAACGCTGGGCTCTAGCGATTTCTCCATCCCACCTTTTGATCTCACTGTTGTCTCCCACTGGCTAAACTGAATCAATAGCTGGGGGAAAGGGAGCTGCTCACTCTTCCTAGAGCTCAGAGCAGGGGAGCCCGCGGAGAGTGGATCTGGAGAGTAGACAGAGAATGACCTGCACAAAACCTCCCTTCTATTGATACTTGACTTTCAGTTATTGCTCAGCCATCCTGTAAATTTATTCGTTGGTCTAGCAGAGTGCTAGCACATTACCGTTGCCCAAGAAAAAACATGCGGGAGGGAATTTTAATTTAGAGTCACCAAAGAGAAGCCTTCGATGTTTTATTTCTCTTCTCTTAGGTGAACAAAGCTAATGAAGGCTTACATTTCTGCAATACTCTAAAAAGTTAAACGTGGAAATGGATCCATGGAAAGGGATTTATAACATTAGTTAAAATAATGAATGATGCTCATTTTGTCAAATGGCCAAATGCAGAGAGTATATTGCACCATCTGTTTGAGAAGCCCACAGATTTATTTTCCTAAACATCTGGCAGCTCATCTCTAGGGTCTGTCTATGTACCAAGCCCTGCCTGGCTCTGTACCTGAGAATTAGGGTTGGCTTAGAATACTCTGGGAATACATACAACTGCTCACAGAGTATCATGTGGTTCCCTTGTGCAGTCTACACAAATGGCTAATGTAGTCTCTTTCCCAACAAGGGCTTTAGTAAAATCCCGCCTACAGGAAGTTTTCAAAAATACCAGCATTTCAGGGGACTTTATTGGAATGTGCTGGCCCTTCTGATGACTTTAGCATTGGAAAAACTGAGGGTGAGACCATGATTACAATGGCAGTGCATGTGGGTAGTGACATGAGTTTTGCAGGTGCTGACAAAGGAAAAAACATTCATACTCTACTATGTTTGAAGCCACAGGGCTGGGGTCCACTCTGTGGGATCTGCTTCACTAGTAAAAATATCTAATAACAAAGTTCAATTCAAAAAAGCTACATTCCAGTAGCTATATTTGGGTCTAAGACAGACCACTTGTTAAGCAACGCGGCACTATGTTCTCATTTATATGTGAGAGCTAAAGAATTTGAACACATGGAGGTAGAGAGTGGAAAAATGGATAACAGAGCCTGGAAAGGGGGTTTCCTACCCTGGAAAGCAGGGGGTAGGGGGAGGATGAAGAGGAGTGGCTTAAAGTCCACAAACATACAGTAAGAGAAAAGGAATACACTCAGTGTTTGATGGCAGAGTAGGAGGATGACACTTAACAAAAATGTATTGTATTCGGGTGACAGACACCCTAAATACCCTGACTCGATTACTATGCATTATATATGTGTAACAAATTTTCTCAAGTACCCCAGAAACTTGTATACACACACACACACACACACACACACACACAGACACACAGAGAGAGAGAGATAAATGTAGCACTGTAAAAAGTGGTGTTATAATGAAGAACCACTGAGGGTTGTTCTCTCAGAAAATGAATGAAAGCTGAGATTGCCAAATGCAGTTTAAATAATGTTTCCACCTCTTACCCGGCAGTCATTCAACATTCACAAAAGTTGATTTTTCGGATGCCTACTAGGCCAGCCACCACGTTAGGTGCCAGGGGTTACAGCAGTGATGGCAAATGCTATGAAGGAAGAGTTCTGCTAGAAGCAACCCTAGCTGGGGGCTAGGAGAAGGTTTGCCAGAGAAAGTGAGATTTGGGCCGAGAGCTACAAGGTAGGTCTGAATGAATGGGTGGAGAGTGTGGGGAGGGATGACGGGAGAGAAGAAGGAAAGCTGGGTGCAAAGGCCTTAAAAGAGAAGGGAGCCCAGGGCATGTGAGAGCTCAAGGGTGGTGTGGCCAAAGTACCGTGTCAAGAGGGAAGATGGCTGGATTTGAGGATAGGGGTGGGAGCCAGGGGCCGTTAGGACCTTATTAGCCATCTCATACTTTTCTTTTTCCTTGAAAGCACTGGGCAGCCACCAAAGGTTTTGAGCTGGGGAGTGATATGGTCAGATCTGTGTTTTCCAAAGAACTCTTTGGCTGCAGTGTGGAGAATGGGTTGGCTGGAGCAAGAATGGCCATGCACAGAGAAGGTGATGGTGACTTGGCCCCACGGGGAGGTGACAGCGGTGCATGGAAGTGAAATGACAGGAAGGTTATTTAGGAGTCAGAATAGAGATGCTGTGTCCAGAGAAAAGTTTCAGGTTTCTACAACTCGATGGATATCAACACCCCGAGAAGGGCACAATGGAAGAGGAAGACCAGGCCTGTGGAGTGTTGCTGGGCAGCTGGGTTTCATAGCTGGACCTATTCCAACTGGCCCCTCACTGCCAACACATGCAATCAGAAAACTGTAAACCAGCTTAGCTTACCGGTTCCGTTCCCTTTTCTCTTGTGACGTAGAACTGCTCCGGGGTTAGTTTCTTTTGCCACTCACTCTTGGCAAGAGGCAGCTCACACGTTGCAAGAGACCCTGTATTGTTAAACAGGAATTTTAAAAATTAAAACAAAAATGCCTGATGGACTTTTCTTCCTTGACCTTTTTCCCTAAGTGTACTGTCACCCAGCAGAATAATCCAGTCCCTTCCTCTCTCTCCCACGAGTTTATTCTTCATGGGGACCAGAAGGCTCAGGCACAAAATGCCTTCATTGACTATTTAATTTAATAAGAAATTAACAAGAAGTAGAGAGCCAGTTTTCTAGTCTTCCTGGGGCACAGAAGTGAAAGAGGCAGCTGAAATATGAAAGAATGCGGAATACATTCCCTTCGGGTACCTAAGGGTAGAAACTGATCCTCTCTTCTCTGATGACTTTTAGAGGAGCAGTTGCTGTCAGAATCTAGCCAGAAGTAGTTGAGGCATTGGGCAGAAAAGAACTGTGAGCTAGTCGGTTATTAAACTCTTCTCCCTTGCTAGTTTATAAGGATATCTCTGATTTTCTTTGTCAAGGGAGGTCTCTATTTTAAAAATCTTCTTGCATGGAACAAAAGAAGAAACTCCCATAGCATATAGTCCTGAAAGAGAAACAGACCTACCATAATCTATTATGATGCTTCATGGTTTTTGTCCATATTTTGTTTTCTTCTTTCCTACTCACCTTGGCATCTATATTACTACATTTATTCACGTGAGTGTAAACCAAGTAACTAGAGCAATACTCTCTTTAGCCAAAGGGAGTAGGAAGCCCAACTCCTATAATAAATGTTTTTAATCATCCAACATTAAGAATCTGAAAGGATTTTATAATGTGTCCAACTCTTCAGTTTGCAGATGAGAAACAGAGGCCCAAAGGGTTAGTAATCTGACTATGGCACTGAAGATGAAACGTTGAATGCCCGTGATGCCAGCACCTATATATCAAACACGTCAGAAGTTACAGTTGAAATTCATTTTAGGTTACAAAAAAAGTCCTAAATTATCCTTCGGCAAGAAAAGACTTATCTCCTCTCCAGTTTATAATACTGAACAATACTGCATTTCCAGTGATACATATAGTTGATTGCTTACATTTTGCTAAAAGGTTTTTAGGCTATTTAATATATTAAAAGTTTTCTTCTTTCTTTTTATTACTGTTATTATTTTTACACAAGGGCTCCCCTAGGAGGTATCTTTTATTAAATACAATCTTTATAAGACTACAGGGGTTTCTTTTTGCTATGAAAATAGATCTCTGAAATTCCTATGGAATATACCTCAGTTAACACATGATTTTTGGGGTATTCGACACTTTGGGAACAAAACAAAATGTATTTATGTGATAATTACTATTGCTCAATGGCCTTCAGAGTTATCACGCAGAATGTCAAGTAATAAATGAAGAAGGAAGTATAGAATTTTTAAAATCACCATTTTGTAAAAATCATCAGAGGATTCTAAAACCCCTGGGTGAAAGACTACTGGGGAACAGATAGTCACATCTTCTCAAAATACAACCCCAAAGTTTATTAATTACAAAAAAGAAAATGCCACTACTTTAACCAAGTAGGCTAAGTTAGCATCACCAACAGTGGGACAAGTGACATCCTGTCTTCCTGATGTGATGCTCTGGAAAGGACACAACATCACCAGTAAAGTTTTCCTGCTGAAAACATTCAATCAGTGTCTCATGAAGAAAAAATCACATAAGTGAAAATTGAGGGAAATTATTCAAAAGAAGGACTGTCCACAACTAAAACCAATGTGTGACCCTTTATTAAATTCTAGATCCCAGAAAAAAAAACAAGAGCTATAAAAGACATTGTTGGTATATGGTGGGAAATTTGAATATCAACTGTGTATTAGACAAGGGTGCTCAATTTCCTGAGAGGAAAACTGTCTTGCAGTTTTGTAGGAAAACATCTTTGGTCTTAGGAAACATGCCGAAATATTTAGCAGTAAAGTGTCATGATGTCTGCAACTCTCAAATGGTTTAGCAAGAGAAATATAAATAAGTAAGTGTGAGTGTGTGAGTGTACGTTTGCGCGTGTGTGTCTCAGTGTTGGGGAGAGAGATGGGGAAGAGCACATGAATCTAGAAAGGAACTGCATCTCTATGAGATTTTTCCTAATAGCCCATAATCCCAGTTTAATTGTGAGGAGAAACATCAAACAATCCCAGACTGAGGGACATTCTACAAGGAACCTGACCAGTCCTCCCCAAAACTGTAAAGGTCATGAAAGACAGAGACAGTTTTGACAAATGTACTATGATGATGTCAGAAGATTACCAGGGGGATCCGGATGAGGGGTCTTGAGAACTCTGTACTGTCTTTATAACTTGTCTATAAATCTAAAATTATTCCAAAATAAAAAAGCTTATTTAAAAAACTATCTTCTCCATGGCTACCCGTGTACCATCAAGCACTACTGGAGAAAATCCCCCACCTGGGGAGAGGGTTGTCCTTATAAACTCAAAGTTACTCATCTCACTGGGGTTTCAGTGAACCATGGAACCATCTTTCCCCAGTCAGCTCTCTTCCCATTTCTCTGCAATGAGTGTTTTAAACCTTTTCCACTCTCAGGAATGTAAACTAGTACAACCACTATGGAAAACAGTGTGGAGATTCTTTAAAGAACTAAAAGTAGAATACCATTTAATCCAGCAATCCCACTACTGGGTATCTACCCAGAGGCAAAGAAGTCATTACATGAAAAAGATACCTGCACACACGTTTATAGTAGCACAATTTGCAATTGCAAAAATATGGAGCCAACACAAATGCCCATCAATCAACTAGTGGATAAAGAAATGATGGTATATATATAGACTATGGAATACTACTCAGCCATAAAAAGGAACAAAATAATGGCATTCACAGCAACTTGGATGGAATTGGAGACTATTATTCTAAGTGAAGTAAGTCAGGAATGAAAAACCAAACATCGTATGTTCTCATTCATAAGTGGGAGCTGAGCTATGAGGATGCAAAGGCATAAGAATGATACAATAGACTTTGGGGACTCAGAGAAGAAAGGGTGTGAGGGGGATGAGGAATAAAAGACTACACATTGGGTACCATGTACACTGCTCGGGTGATGAGTACACCAAAATCTGATAAATCACCATTAAAGAAAGAACTTATTCATGTAACAAAACACCTGTTCGCCCAAAAGCTATTGAAATTAAACAAAACAAAACAAAACAAAACAAAAAACCTTTTCCACTCTCCTCAAACCATGGTATCTATCTACTACGTCTCCCCTTCCTCTCAACAGATTTCACTTTTGCAAAATCAAAAGCCACAAACCTTCTGGCTACCAAACCATCACACTTACTAATACCTACATCTACCCTTTTTCCATCTTGTCACAGTGGAACGAGTGACTGCCTCTGATATGGTTTGGCTCTGTGTCCCTACCCAAATCTCATGTGACATTGTAATCCTCAGTGTTGGAGGTGGGGCCTGGTGGGAGGTGATTAAATCATGGGGACATATTTCCCCTTTGGTGCTGTTCTCGTGATAGTGAGTTATCGAGAGATCTGGTTGTTTAAAAGTTCACCTCCCCCTCTCTCTCTTCCTCCTGCTCTGACCATGTAAGATGTGCTTGCTTATGTGCTTGCTTCCTCTTCACCTTACATCATGATTGTAAGTTTCCCGAGGCCTCCCCAGCCATGCTTCCTGTACAGCCTGTGGAACCGTAAGCCAATTAAACCTCTTTCCTTCCTAAATTACCCAGTCTCTGGTATTTCTTTATAGCACTGTGAAAACAAACTAATACAAGCCTCTTCCTGTCTGTTTTTTTGCCACTTCTGTTCAGGATCCTGTCTCTTCTTGGCCACCTCAAATGATTTAAAAAGAGAATGCTTTAGCCAGAGGCACTAAAAAGAGCAAGAACAGGCTTTGCTAGAAAGAGTGTATGTCCTGGGTTCCTCCTCCCAGATCTAAACTCTGGTCCCGTGGGGGAATTTGTGAGACCTAATCTCTGGCTATCATTGACATTTGTCAAGGAAAGGACTAAACGCATCATGATAAAACACCCTCCTCTTAGCTTTGGCAAAGATCTTGCATTATTCCTGTAGATAGGTAAGAGGACCAACTTCAGGTACAAAGGTTGGAATTTACAGTCTGTGAAGCTGGCTTTATCTTCCTGTCTCCTTTCAGGCAGGAAGTGGAATGGGCTTAGAAAAAAACCCTATTGTCTCCTGGAAGCACTGTCCTTAGTGTGACTCAACAGGCAGTACACTATAGTAGCTGACACTGGAAAGTGGGAATTAGAGAAGAGCTAAAAGTCAGTGGGACTCTCATGAATTGAGCTTTAAAACATGTACTTCTTTCGCTTTGAACCTAAGGCTTGAGTTGGTCTGGGTTCCCAGCTCCCTCTCCCACACCTCTATATTTTGTTACACGTATTAGAGAGTGACTATCTGTTCTTCAGACACCACCTTCTCCCTCTGCCCTAATTTTTTTAAGAGACCGAGTCTCACTGTGTTGCCCAGAATGGAGCACAATGGCTATTCATACGCATGATCAAAGTACACTACAGCCTTGAATGCCTGGACTCAAGCGATTTTCCTTCCTCAGCCTCCCAAGTAGCTGAGACTACAGGTGCGTGACACAGTGCCACGCCATAATATTTTCTTTTTAAGTTTAAAATATATAACTAGTATTTAAATTGCTAACCAAAAGAATTAAGCCTTCATCTAAGTACAATATGGAAAGGACATTTTTAATGGTTCTTTTAATCCTTATCAATGTGGACCTTTTACACTATTTTTAATGTGTGCGAAAACTTTAGTGGGTAGGCAATAATGTTTAGACTAGTTCTTGTTCAAGCACCAATTATGCAACATTTAGCTGCAGAATTTGCCAGCCTAGAAGGCTCAGTCAAGGGCAGACAGACTTTGCTTTGATAGCAAAATGATGAACGCTCAGTTGGGTACACCCAGGTCAGGTTATATGTGGGCTGTATCACTTTAAGAGGTTTCTTTGACCTGGATGTTATGAGCTGAATTGTGACACTCCCTGCCCGCCAACTTCCAAATTCATATGTTGAAGTCCTAATCCCCAGTACTTTAAAATGTGACTGCATTTAGAGACAGGGCCTTTAAAGAGGCAATCATGTCAAAATGAGGCCATTAAGAGGGGGCCCTGGTCCAATAAGACTGGTGTCCTCATAAGAGGAAGGGACAGCAGAGAAAAGGCCGCCTGGGGACACAGCAAGAAGGCAGCTATCCCCAAGTTAAGGAAAGAGGTCTCAGGACAAATCTCAGGACAAGTCTTGGCCTTGGACTTCCAGCCTCCAGAACCGTATGAAAATGAATTCCATCGTTTAAGCTGCCCAGCCTGTGATATTTTGTTATGGGATCCCTAGCAAATGAACACACTGGGGCTTTAGAAAACAACCAAAGTTTAAATAAAAATTACAGTATGAGTAAATTCTGAGCAGTTTTATCAAACAGCAATTTAGGCACGTGTAAATTAGATACACGACAAGGTCTCTCACTTGGGAATGAGTCAAGTCTTCTGGCTACCGTGGCTAGAGAGAGGTTTCAACACTGGCTGTGTCCTTTTCTGTGTGTGTGCAGGTATTTTCTGTCCTCTGCACCACGTGCTCATCCTTTGGGGGCTACACATTTTCCAGATTCCCTCTACATTCTCTTGCTATCTTCACTATGAAAACATTTATCGGTTGCTGCTATTGCATGAGATAACTACACAGCTTTACTTTGAATTATGCCTTAATAAACTCAAATTCCTTGGAGTTCCCTTCTCTCTGTGTGCTGTGATTTGCACAGGCCATATATTTTGTTGGTCAGAAGTTCTACGGGGTGGGCCTCGATTTTTTCATCCCTAAGGAAATCCACTCTTGGTCCTATGGTCACCTACTGGGTGCCTCCTTCGGGTTTTGCTAACCTTCCTGGCCACAGTTGCTATACTGCCAATTGTCACACATAAGCCCACTCCATTTTGATAAATAATGTGTTGAATCTAATGGAACTCTTTAGAAACTGGTATTAAAAGAATCCCCAGCCCATTCTGATCTGCAGAACTAGTCTCTCCCACCAGTGCCTGGACTATTTTAACCCTATGCCCAGGACAGTTTCCTAGCATAGTCATCTCTAGAAAGAATATTTTCCTGAAGCAACAGATTTTTTGCTCCAGAATATTTCTTACTTTCCTTTTTCAGTTTGCTCTTTGTCAATCTGGATTAAAAAAAATCACTCTAAGCATATGAGAAATTGCAGCACTGGAAAAAAATACTGTCATTTCAATATCTTCTCATTTCCCCCCTCCCAATGTCTCCCTCTCTCTCAACACTCCCGAAGCCCATGATGTAAGTTAAATGTAGCTACATTTTTGTCCTTTCCACTTATTTATGTAATCATAACTAACATTTATTGTGTGCCTAAGTGTCAAGCATTGTAACAAAATATTTAATTAAAAAGTTATTCTTTACAACAACCCTACCATTATCATTATCCTTATTTGACAGAAGGAAAAAAAATCTGAAGTTTAAACTTTCCAAATTCAAGAAACATGTCCAAAGACATTGTTACAAACTGAATATTATATGTTCTCCCTGCTCCTCTCCCCACTCCCATATGCTAAAGCCCTAACTCCCAATGAGATGGAATGTGGAGGTGGGGCTTGGGAGGTTATTAGTTTTAGATTAGATCATAAAGGTGAGGCTCTCTTGAGGGATTAGTGGTCCTTCCTGAGACAGTCACCTGAAGGCAGAGTGAGAAGGCAGTCAACTGCAAGCCAGGAAGCAGGTCTGCATCAGGAACCAAATCTGTTCCCACCTTGATCTTGGACTTCCCAGCCTCCAGAACTGTGAGAAAATGTTGTTGAAGCCACCCAGTCCACGGTGTTTTGCAATAGCAGCCTGAGCTCAGACACAGAGCCAGGAAGTAACCGAGAGCCAAGACTCAAAATCTGCATCTATTCATACCCAAGCCCTTCACCACAGAAATACTCCGTTTATCATTTTTAATGGCTGCCTAACAGTTTGTTGGATTGAATTTTCATGATTTACGTAAGTATTTCTTAACTGATTTGGGTTACAGCCAGTTTCCATTTTGTAAGAGACTAGTGCTTAAAGCATCTTTGCATATATCTCTTTGTTCTTCTTTTGAACTATTTCCTTCGAATAGATTCCCAGGAGGGGTGTCTGATAAGGTACACAGCTCCTGTTACCTACTGGTGGCTGGCCAAATTTTATTGTTGCTGGAGAACTTCAGATCCCAGGGCAATTCATTAGGCTGCTTCTGACAGCAGCAATTACAGCCATGAAGTAGTTACCGCTAAAACCACCATCCTTTTTCAAGGGGTTATAGAGAGCTCGTCGGTAACTGTGACCTGTTTCTATCACCTGTGGTTCTCAGCAATACAATGCTTGGCACACAGTAGGCTCACAGCAAATGTCATCAGACTGACTAGAGACACCAGTGATTAGAAAGGCCATAGCTGGAAGTCAAGTTGGATGAGCTAACATTCCACAACGCCAACGCTTTTATTTAGTTACGTATTCTTTCAATATTGCATTTCGAAAACTTCAGGGGCTAAAAAGAGCTCAGAATGAGTTGGTACATTTTCATCAGTTGGGTATCTCTGAATGTCTTCAATGAACACATATAAAATTGGATTCAGAGTGGGTCAGTCTGGCAACCGCCCAGGAAGCCAATCCCCTGGGGCACTAAGTTACCCTGAAATAGAACTGAAATACAGGGGTAGCTGGCACAGGTCTCCCGAGGTGACTCCTTCCTGCTTGGTGAAATGTGCAGGTACCCAGATCCAAGAGAGGATCCAAAAGTATTTAGCAGAAACACACACACACACACACACAGAGAGAGAGAGAGACACACACACACAGGCTCGCCCTGGTCTCTGTCTCAGTCATTAACAATGGCTGTCACCTTAAAGAAGGAACAAATGATCAACCCAGTCTCCCTGGCTCTTAGACACATTTATGGGAAGTCAGCAGGGCAGGAAACACTCACAGGAACCCCAAGTCTGAACTGCCTGCTTCTCAGATGCTGGAAGGAAGCCCGCGGAACTACGAAGAGGGCTGCAATGCAAAATACTAGGGGCCTTCGCAGGGGCGCGCGGGCCGGGCTGCTACAGCCCAGGCCCCGGGCCTTCGCCTGGAGTCCCCGATAGGGGTCAGAGGCCCCCGAGCCCCACTTATGCCCCCACTCCCCGAGCCAAGAAAAAAAAAATTATGCGCACATTTAGGGGGATCATTTGTTCATTTCCTCGGATTCTCACAGGGGTCAGTCCCCACCCTGCCGCCACCAAGTTTACAATCCACTGTCCCAGATCCTCGGGCTGGGGGGGGGGAGGGGCGCGCCGAGGAGGGCTTAGTAGGAGGGCAGCGCCCGGCCTGGACCGGCCCTAGGCTCCCGGGTGCAGCCGGTGAAATGAAGCCGAAAGCCGTAGGCGGCGGCGGGGCCTGCGGGACCCGCGTCCTACCTGCCTCCCCCAGTCCCGGCCCGGTGCCGGGCCCGCCGCCGCCCGCTTGGCCCCGCACCGCCCGCCGAGGCGCAGTTCCGAGGGTCAGGCCCCGGAGCAACCAGAGGAGCCGCGCCATGACGCCCGCTCCGGCGCCGCTCCGCCCTCTGCCCTCTGCCCGTCTCTGCCCCTGCTCCCATCCCACCCCTCCCCCATTCTCTCCCGTCCGCCTGCGCTAGTCGGCCTCCCTCCCCACGCTCCGCCCACACCGCCAGTCCCCTCGTCTCCCTCCCCCTCTTCTCCCTCCCCTGCCCCTCCCTCCTTCCCTCCTTCCCACCTGCTCCTCCCACTATGTGCCCTGGGCCCTCCCAGGTCCCCGCCCCTCTTTCCTCCCACTCTGCCTCTCTCTCCCCCTCCCTCTTCCTCTCCTTTTCCCCTTGCCTTTCCTCCCCCTTCCTCTCCCCCTTCCTCTCTCCCTTCCCTTCCATGAGACCCTCCCCAACCCATCTCTGCATCTCCCAGCTCCTCCCACTCCTGCTCCTCCCTCGCCCTGCCCCCCTCCACCTATCCCAACTCCACTCATCCGCAGCCCAAACACTGATCTGTTTTAGTTTGCATTTTCTAGAGTCGTCCATAAATGGAATCATCCCATATGTACTTGATTTTGTCTGGCTTCTTTCACTCAACATAGTTACTTTGACATGCCTGCGTGTTTTTGCATGGAACAATCATTCATTGCTTCCTGAGCAGTATTCCATTTATGGATATACCACCGTGTGTTTAGTCAGCACTTGATTTAGCCTGCTTTCAATTTTTCCTGATTAGAACTACAGCTGCTAGGAACATCCCTGTGCAAATCTTTGTACAGACATATACGGTTTTTCCTCTCTGGGGTAAATACCTGGAAGTGGAATGCCCAGGTCGTAAGGTAGGTGTAACCATTTAAGAAACTACTATACTGTTTTCCCAAGTGGTTTTTTTCTTTACCTTCCCACTAGCAGTCTATGCGAGTTCCAGTTGTTCTTCATCCTTGCCAACACTTGAAAGTCCAGAGATTTTAACTGTAGATGTTCCGGTTCTGTGTAGTGGTAGCTCATTGTGGCTTTATTATGCATTCTCTAATCGTTAATGATGTTAAGCATCTTTTCATGTGCGTATTTGCAGCGAGTGTATTTTCCTTGGTGAAGTGTCCGTTCAGATCTTTTGCCCATTTAATGTTGAGTTGTTTCATTATTGAGCTTAGAACACTTTATATATTTTGGATGCAAATCTTTTATCAAACATATGCTTTACAAAGATTTTTTTTCCCAGTCTCTTGTTTGTCTTTTCTGTCTCCTAATATTGTCTTGGGAAGAGCAGTTTTTAATTTTGATGAAGCCCAATTTATCAATTTGTTAATGGATTGTTCTTTTTTTGGTATCATATTTAAGAAATCTTTGCCTAATCCAAGATCACAAAGATTCTCTCCTATGTTTTGTTCTAAAATTTTTATAGTTCTAGGTTTTACATTTAGGTCTCTGACCGATTTAGAATTTTTATATATGGCCAAAATTTTTGTTTTGTTTTGTTTATCTGTTTTGTTTTTTGCATATCTATATCCAGTTGTTCCAGCACCATTTTTATTGATTGATTGATTGATTGATTGAGACAGAGTCTCTGTCGGCCAGGCTGGAGTGCAGTGGCACGATCTTGGCTCACTGCAACTTCCATCTTCCAGGCTCAAGCAATTCTTCTGCCTCAGCCTCCTGAGTAGCTGGGATTACAGGCGTGTGCCACCACGTCTGGCTAATTTTTGTATTTTTAGTAGAGACGGGGTTTCACCATGTTGGCCAGTCTGGTCTTGAACTCCTGATCTCAGGTAATCTGCCTGCCTCGGCCTCCCAAAGTGCTGGGATTACAGGCGTGAGCCACCAGGCCTGGCTCCTAGCACCAATTTTTAAAAGACTACTCTTTCTCCACTGAACTGTTTTTGAATCTGTCAAAAATCAGTTTCCTATCAATGTGTTGTGTCTATTTCTGGACTTCCTATTTTGTCCCATTAATTAATTTGTCTATTTTTACATCAATATTACAATATCCTGATGACTGGACTTGCAACCAGCTAGCATTGGTACTGTACCTCTGTTCTTTTTTAAGGTTGTTTGGGCTATTTTAGGTCTTTTGTATTTCAACATAAATTTTAGATTCAGTCTGTCAATTTCTACACATGATCTTACTTAAGTTTTGATTGGGATTGCATTGATTCTATCCATAAGTTTGGGGGAAATTAATATCATAACAATATTGAATCTTTTGACCCATGAATAAAGATATGCCTATCTATTTATTTAGGTCTTCCTTAACACCTACTAGTAGTGTTTTGTAGTTTTCACTGTATAGGTTTTGCACATCTTTTGATAGATTCATCCTAAAGCATTTCATATTTTTGATGCTGTGGTATTGTTTTATCAATTTCAATTTCTGATTGCTAGTATGTAGATTTTGTATATTGATCTTGTATTCTGTAATCTTTCTAAACTCATTTCTTAGTTCTAGTAACATTTTATGGATTTTATCAGATTTTCTACATAGAAAAATCATGTCATCTGTGTAGAAAGAGTTTTACTCTTTCTTTTTAATACAGATGTCTTTGATTTCTTTTTCTTGCCTTATTGCACTGGTTAGAGCCTGCGCAGTGTTGAATAGAAATGTTGAGAGTGAACATCCTTGTCTTGTTCCTGATCTTAGAGGAAAAGTATTCAGCCTTTTACCATTAAGTATGATATTAGCTATAAGTTTTTCATAAATTTTCTATCAGATTAAGGAAATTTCTATTTGTAGTCTACTGAGAGTTTTTATCAGGAAGGGATGTTGGATTTTTGTCAAATGCTTTTCTGCAGCTACTGATATAATCATACCTTTTTCCTATTTTCTTTTTGTAGTTTGTTACTTGATTTTCAAACGTTAAACCAACTTAGTATTTCTTCAATAAAGCCTGCTTTGTCAGTTTTATTATTTGTTTCATGTATTGTTGGATTATGTTCTATGTATCATGGATTACATTTTTTTAGAATTTTTGTGTCTGTGTTGATGAAGGATGTTGGACTGAAAGCTTCCTCTCTTATAGTATCTGTCTGGTTTTGTATCTGAGTAATAAGTAAACAAATTCAAATCCAGAGAGGATAAGTACCTTGTCTATGATCACACTGCTAGTTAGTTGAAGAGTTTGTAAAGTTCCCCTAAAGTTTAGAATTTAGAAAATATCAAGGAATACCGGTTTAACTCACCCACCTTCACCCCCAATCCCAAGCAAAGTTAATAAATTAACTTAACATTGTGACATTGTGGGAAAAAAATCATGGAGTCTGGTGTAAAACACATTCAAGTCAGAATATCTTAAATTTAAAAGACGCATGAGCTTGATCAAGTATTCAACCTGTGACAGATCAGTTTTCTTATCCCCAAAATGGGGTTATTGTAAGGATTAGATACAACATACGTTAAAACACCTAGCAAACCCTTTGGTACATACTTGGTTTTAATAAACGTTAGTTGTTATTGAAGATTTAATGAGGACAACGGTAATTGGTAAACAGAGCTGATAACCAATCTATCCTTGCATTTCTACATATCCTCACACTCCCAGAAAGACATTCTAAGCACAGAGGAAGTCCCTCCCTCCCTACCACCATTCTCCTTTACACCTGCTAGGAGGACCTTTACCTCATCTGTGATCAAGCCCTTACTGGTCTTAAAATGTCCCCTCTTCTCACCACCATTTATCTGAATCCAACTTAACCATCAAGGCCATGCATTAACCTCACATTCTTGGACACATGGTCTTAGCCTGAACAAAACTCTACTTTATGTTTTCCCTTTTACTTTGTACACTGAGTGGTAGAGACTATCATTTGCCTGGCCGATATCCACTCTCTCTACTTACAAACAGATCTTTGATTTTATTAAGAGTAGCAATATGCCTAGCTAAAATGTTACATCTGTCAGCTCCCTTGTAGTTGGTGGCAATCATATGATGCTGTTATGGGCAATGATAGGAGCAGACATCACTGGGAGCTACCAGGAAAACTAGTTAAAGAGGAGCTGGCTCAGCACTGGACTTTTGCTCTGTCTTTTGTTTCTGCTTGGAAATTAGTCATGATGGCTGGAGCACTGGCAATCTTCTGGTATACATGAAGATGAGACCCACATCTTGATTTTAAAGAAGTAGAAGACATGAAGGAGCCCAGGATTCTGAAGACAGTGTGGAGTCAATATGCTAGTCTTGGATTGCCTGCCTTCAGATTTCCAATTACATGAGAGACCAATAAATCTATATTTTGTTTAAATCACTGTTACTGGGATTTTCTGTTTCATGAAGTTGACACAGTGTATATCTGATGTCCTGAATTTGATTGTGAGAATCTTCAGGAAAGGCAAAATTCTATAACTTTGACTCTTTGTATATCCAACACACTTCTCTGCAAACTATAAATTTGATAATAAAATCCCTAAAAGATAGGATAGAATGACCAAAAAATGGGAGATAAGTGCAAAAGCCAATTTGCTTTTCCCTACCAAAAACCATTTGGGAAAGAATGAGGGACTGGAATAAGCTTTACACAATTAATCTGCACTGAAAATACTTTATCTGCTTCCATCTGCCCAAAGTTCAATGTCGATACTCATTTTTGTTTTACCTCAATCTAGAGAATTCCTAGAAACTAACCAACTGGAACATCTAATATATATAAAATATAGTTTTAAAGCTCTAAAGGCAGTGAATGAAGACTTAAATAAATGGTTCGATAGAAAAAAATAGCATGGGATAAGCTCTGGGTTCAATTTCTAGGTGTTCTCCTAAGCAGATACAGATGTTTTGGACAAACCAGTCTCTGGGCCTTGGTTTGATTATCTGGAAAATGACACGAATACAGGGGAGGGTGGCCTAGAACTAGAACTCAAATTATATCTCAACTCTCTTCAGTCTGTAATTATATGACGGGTGGTGAAAAATGGAAAGATACACTTGCTGACCAAAGAGCTGAAATTACGAAGGTTAAAATACATTCAACTTATAGATTTAAGCTATGTCACTTATAATCCCAATGGATTACTTTACAGGAATTGAAAAAATAACAACTGAAATAAATGTGGATAAAAATAGACTTTTATGTTAAAGATAATATTGGAGAAGTAGCCTCTCACATGTTAAAAGTGCTTATCAAGGAAGAGTAGATATGAAAACAGTGTTCTGATTGAAATAATAACCAAAAAATAGTCCAGAGAGATAAGAGGTTCCAGAAATTAATACATATTTAACCTATTAGAAACAAGGGGATATAAAATTATTCAGTATATTTTTTGTGGGAAAGTGACTATCAATACAGGGGAAGTAACCTTGGCGTCTAAGGCTTAGATGAATAATTCACTTCAAAAGAATTATTTTTTGAGTTAAAAGTAGTATGTGGATATGTGTATCATGTCAGAGCTCAGAGTACAATACCCCCCAAGTATGGTGCTCTGGTATGCTGAGCATTTTTGAATTAAATGAAATTGGAAAGCTTTAGAAGCTGCCTCAGAAACAACGACTTTCTAACTTTTTATTTCTTCCCCACAAGTGAAGAGAAGGGCTTTCTCCCACTGAGTCTTCCAAAAGAAGTGCAGTTGTCTTAAGATCTCTTTACTAGGAATCTTATCAGATAACCAGGAAAGATTAACTACTGGAGAAGAGGAAAGACTAAAAGTCATCACTATGCCCTGAAACACTTTTTATCTGTTCTTCTGATGGCACCTCTGAGAGATTACTTTATTATTTAAGATTTATTTAAGATTATTTAAATATTTACTATTTAAATAAAAATTAAATGCATAATAGGACAACCTTTGTTCACAGTACAGTTCTGCCCCTCACCTTCCCATAACTGTGGGTCCCATTCTTCTTCCGAAAAGAATAATTCAAAAACTACTGTCTGCTCTTTGGGCCTATTCAATTTTCCTGAAAATTATTTACAATCCCTCAAAATTGCCTAAGTTTCCGCCATCGCCCTCTTCCCTATGAAGAAGATATATAAGTTTCAACAATTTGGCCTTTCTTTGAGTCTCATATTTGTGGGGGTCTTGTGACCATGTGCACTTTAATACATTTGTATGCTTTTTCTTCTGCTACTCTATTGTCAGTTTATTTCAGCAGTCTCACTTCAGAGGGAAAGTTTAAACTTCCCTACCACACATACACAAACACACACACACACACACACACGAAATAAAACAATACTGCATACATCCATTTTGAAATAAAAATAATTTTTGGACAATAAAAGCAATAAAAGGAGTTAGCACTGAACAAATGATAAGGTTGACAGGTTCAAGTGAATGAAATTTAAGTACATACATACATACCACAAGATGAAGAACAAAAAATGATTACTCTCAAATTAGAAAAATTAAAATGATAAAAATACGAGAGTATTGTAATACACATAACAGTAAACATTTAACATTATATATATTAGGGAAATTAATATTATCTATATGGCCAATTTCAGGTCTGACTGGACAGATGGTTAAAGAATATGAACAGATGGTTTGCACAAGGAAAAATACAAATAGTGAACAAACACTTGGGAAAATGTTTGGCTTCCATAATAATTAAAGAATTAAAAATTAAAATGGCCTAATATATTGCCTCATGCATATTAAATTATTAATAATAGTGTTTTTTTGGAATTAAAGCTACCAGAGCTTTAAGAACTCATACACTGTCTGTAGAAATAGGGTCATACTTTTTCTGGAAAGAAATCTGACAACATGTACTAAAGATGACAATTTGGCAAATTGGCTTTGTGGAGCAAATCCCAAGGGAAAAAATCAATAGTAAAGAAAGCTCCAGTTTTGCAGAGAAGTTTACAGTTATGCTTTTCATAATGGCAGATGAATCCAGAGTCATTAACAGCCAGGAAATGACTAAGTAAATCTTGACATAGCAATACAATGAAACATTATATAGCCATTAAAATGTCAAATATGAAGACTACCTGGATTTATGGAATGGTCTGCATGAAATAATGTCAAGGAGAAAAAAGTAGAATACAAAATAGTTCATACTTGACAGTAAAAGTGGGTAAAAGCATGCACATGGAACCAATCTCTACTGAGGCATACCATTTTGGAAGAGGTTAGGATTGTTTGGTGAAAAGATACTTCTTTTGTACTTTTCTCTTCAAGTGACTTTTTACATTTAACAAAATTTCATTTTAGATAAATTAGAAAACAGAAGCATGTAAAGAAATTATTGAACACTGTCTCAAATCATTACTGATAATATTTGGTGTATATATTTATTCAATCTTTTTTAAGTATACTGTAATTGATGGCTGATAGTTTAATTACTTTCCCTTCCTTCTGAACTATACTCTGATTCTTCTTTGAGAAACAACTCCCCTTCCCATTCTCAGTCATGAAATTTAGATAAGATGGCTCCAGAGCAGAATTTCACAACCTCAGCACTATGGACATTTTGGGCCAAATAATTCTTTGGTGAGCGTATGGGTGGGTCGGGGGGCATAGGTTTCAATTGTCCAGTGCATTGTAGGATATTTAGCAGCATTCCTGGTCTCCACCTCCTAAATGCCAGTAGCATCCTCTTCCCGTGTGACAACTAAAAATGTCTCCAAACATTGCCAGATGTTCCCTTAGGGGAAAAATCACCCACCATTTGTTGAGAAGCACTGATCTAGACTTAGACCCTGATTGACTTAAGCCACTTAACTGATTCCATCCTATTACCCTCAAGGATATGATCAGAGATGGACACACAAGCCAAACAGAACCGCCAAGGAGCAAGAAATCAATTGTCTGCCGAGCCCATGGGGAAAGAATGACAAAGTTCATTCTTTCCCTGGTCAGGACAGTGCGAGAATGAGAGCTGAGATCTGGAAGCATGAGGAAGAGTCTGTCGTTTTGGTGACTGGGCTAGGGAACATAGTGTAATACTAATGACAAAAACAATCACTTGGAAAACAGAATAGAGCGGTGTGGAGAATCTGAGTCATTGGTGATGTTGTTTGAGCTGCTAGAACTCACCTGAAGGTTACATCTTGATTTTTCATCATCTTAATAAATTTCCCACTGTCTTTTTAAAAGTCAGTTTGAAATGGGTCTTTTATCTTTAGAACCTATAGGTCTAATTGAATTATATTTATATTTTTTCACTTAATTTTTCAGGAGTATCTTTTTTTTATTTTTTATTTTTTATTTTTTTTTTGAGACAAGGTCTCATTCTGTTGCCTAGGCTGGAGTGCAGTGGAGAGATCAGGGTTCACTGCAGTCTTGACCTTCTGGGTTCAAGTGATCCTCCCACCTCAGCCTCTCAAGTAGCTGGGACTACAGGTACGCACCACCTTGCCAGCTAATTTTTGTATTTTTTGTAGAGATGGGATTTCACTATGTTGGCCAGGCTGGTCTTGAACTCCTGGGCTCAAATGATCCTCCTACCTCAGCCTCCCAAAGTGTTGGGATTACAGGCATGAGCCATGGCGCCTGGCCAGGAGTATCTTTTAAAAATTATTACATAATTATGAGATACTTAAAATATCCAGAAAACAAAGACTACAATGTAACATATCTATAACAAGCAGAGTGTACTAACATGCAGAGGTTAAAAGTTTTAAATATTTGCCTCAGACTCCTGTCTTCCAACATTGCCCAATCTCTCTCTCTCTCTGTTGACTAAACATGGAAATACATGTAAATTCTCATTCCCCATTCTCCTCCTTTCCTTATCTTTCTCCCCATTTCCATGTGTGTTTTTGTACTTTTTTAACAGATGACTGTATGTTAAAAGAGTTTAAGCCATCATTCAGTGTATTTTAAAACCTCACGAGAGGTATCATACTGTCTGTATACATTTGCAACTTGAATTTATCATTCAGTATTATGCTTTTAAAAGATTTATTGAGAGAGAGAGTTTGAGTTCTTTCATTTTAGCTGTTGAAGAGAATCCATTGTATCAATAAACTGGAGGATATCCATTATCCTCCTTATAGACATGATGTGGTTTGAGTCTATGTCCCCCGCCAAAATCTCATGTCCAGTTGTAATCCCCAGTGTGGGACTGGATCTTGGGGGTGGATTTTCCTTTTAGTGCTGTTCTCATGAGAGTGAGTGAGTTATCGTGAGATCTGGTTGTTTGAAAGTGTGTAGCCCCTCCCACCTCTCTCTCTTCCTTCTGCTCTGGCCAGGTAAGACATGCCTGCTTCCCCCTCACCTTCTGCCACGACTGTAAGTTTCCTGAGGCCTCCCTAGCCATGATTCCTGTACAGCCTGTGGAACTGTGAGCCAATTAAACTTCTTTTCTTTATAGAATGCCCAGTCTCAGGTATTTCTTTACTGCAGTGAGAAAATGGACTAGTTCAGAAAATTGAAATGCTTTCATTCTTTAGCTATTACAAACCATGCTACAATGAACAGCTTCATACAAGTCTCCTTGTGCATGCAAGATTTCATTAGAGTAGACATCTAGAAATGGAACTCATGGATCAAAGAATACACTCATCTTCAGTTTTCCTAGGACTCCCCATCATTCGTCAAAGTAGTTGTACCTGCAGTGTCTGTGGGTTCCTGTTTTCCCTACATCTTCCCCAATATTTGATGTTATGAGATTTACTAGTTTTTGCCTATGTGGTGGGTACAAAATGGGGTCTCATTGATTTTTAATTTTCAGTTCCCTGATTGTTAATGGGATTTAGAATTTTTTCAGATATTTACTGGCCACTGCGGCTTTCCTTCTGAATTGTGGACATGTTGTCTCTTTCTTTCCGAGTATTTCTTTTTTATTACAGCCTTATTGGAATCCTTTATTATTATGCACATCAACTGTTTATTGAATATATGGATTCCAATTATTTTCTTCCATTATGTGGATTGGAGTTTTACTTTGCTCATGATATTTTTTTCTATAGATATTTTGTTTTTTAAGTAGTTAAATTTGTCTAGCTTTATGCTTATAGTTTATTTATGCACTTTTATCATGTTTATTCCCATATGTGTGCATATAATTTTCTACAAACAGTACATATTCTTGTCATTACTGTAGGTATCCGTTTCCACCTTGTTTTCTCAGTCAATTTTTTTTAAATTTTCAGCTATGGATTTTTAAAATCTATTTTATTTATTCTAATGAATCTTATGTAATAATGATATGCTCCTAGGTTGTCTTCTAAAGCTTCACATTTCAGTTTTTAGTCCACTTGAAAATGCATTTGGGGTATAGTGTGATGTAGGGATCTAATTTAGTCTTTTTCCACATAGAGAGCTAGTTGTCAGAGTCATTTATTAAATGTCCATTTAATAAGCCATTTATTAAAAAGTATATTCTGTTCCATTGACCAGTTTTCTAGCTCTGTACCAATACCAGTTTCAATACTGTAATTTTAAAATTAATTAATAATCAATAATTGCATCTATTTGTGGTATTCAAAATGATGTAGTATAGAAAGATTAAATCAAGCTAATTAATGTATCTATCACCTCACCCCTTATCACTTTTTTTGTGGTAAGAATGTTTAAAAACCTATTCTTTAAGTAATTTTGAAATATACAATACATTGTTATTAATTATGGCTGCCATGCTGTGGCTTAAGATACCCAAAACTTATTCCTCTTGTCCAATTAAACTTTGTACCATTTGACCAACATCTGCTCTTTCCCTGCCTTCTCCCACTGCTCCCCACTCCTCCCTGGCTCTGATAACCACCATTCTACTTTCTGTTTCTATGAAATCAATGTTTTTAGATTCCACGTATAAATGAGATCATATAGTCTTTCTGTGCCTGGCTTATTTCACTTAGCACACTGTCCTCCAGGTTCATCCATGTTGCAAATGACAGAATTTCCTTCTTTTTAAAGGCTGTATAGTATTCTGTTGTGTAGATATACCACATTTCCTTTACCCATTTATCTGTGGATGGACACTTAGCTTGCTTTAATATCTTGGCTATTGTGACTAATGCTGAAATGAACATGGGAATGCACATGTCTCTTCAACATGCTGATTTCAATTCCTTTGGATATATACTCAGAAGTGAGATAGCTGGATCAATACTATCATTTCATATTAAGCCTTAGTATTTGGCAAATATAAATTTTCCTTCTTCAAAAATGTATTGGCTATTTTTGGCTCTCCATTCATACAAGTGAAATATAGAATCACCTTCCATGTGAAGTCTAGTAGCATAAAAAAATTCTATTGAAATGTTGATTGGAATTGCTTTGAATTTATAGAGTAAGAGGCAGACAGTTGCTGCTTTTTAAAATAACATTTGAAATTAAAATAATAAGTTAAAATAATGAAGTACTAAAAGAAAACTTAGGTTTTCTTTTATATTTTTCTATAGTTTTATGCTATTGTCCATAAAGGGCTTGTACATCTTTTCTTATATTTATTCATAGAAACCTTGTAACCTTTGTTGCTATTGTGTGTGTGTTAAACATTCTAATTTCTTCTTGTTGTGTATTTGAGGGTAATTTTAGTATATTTATACAGTCATGTATTGCTTAACGAAGAGAGAGGCATCCTGAGAAATGCATCATTAGGTGATTTTGTCATTGTGTAAACATCATAGAGTGTACTTACACAAACGTAGATGGTACAACCAACTACATAACTAGGCTATATGGTATAGCCTGCTGCTCCTAGGCTACAAACCTGTACAGCATGTGACTATACTAAATACTGTAGACAATTGTTAACACAATGGCAAGTATCTGTGTATCTAAGCATATATAAACATAGAAAAGGTACAGTAAAAATACAGTATGATAATCTTAATGAACTACCATGGTATATGTGGCCTATTGTTGAAAGAAATGTCATTATATGGTATATGACTGTATTTTACCGAGTAATCTTGCCAAACTCCCTTCTTGCATTCAACAATGTGTCTTGAAGAATTTCTTAGATTTTCTATGAAAACAATCTCATTATCACATCATCTTTCTTCCTTTCCTGTCCAATACCTTTAATTTCTTATTGTGCTGGCTGAGACCCCCATTCAATGTTGAATAGAAGTAGTGATAGCAGGTGCCCTTGTTTTGTTCCTGACTCTAAAGGAAATGCTTCTAACATTTCCCCGATACAGAGCATAGATTGTTGGAGATTTTTGGTAGTTAATCTTTATTAGGATATAGAAGTTCCTTTCTATTCCTAGTTTACTAAGAGTTTTTGTCATGAATGAGCGTTGGATTTTATTTGTTGACTTTCCTGCTGCAGTGAGATAATCATATAATTTTTCTCTTTTACTGTGTTAATGTAGTGTATTATATTAATAGAGTTTCTACTAATGCTAAGTCATCATTGAAATTTTCAGGTCATTTTCATGACCATACTTGGTCATGACGTGATTTGTTATTTTAAAACATGCATTTAATTTGGTTTCCCAATGTCTTTTTTAGGATTTTTGCATTTATGTTCAAAATTGAGTTTAGTTTATAATTTTCTTTTCTCTTAGTTCCATTGCCTGCTTTTTAAAAATTAAGCTTATTCTAGTCTTACCAAATGCATCTCGAAAGCTTATGTATATTGCTCAAAATTCAATCAGTGTGTGTGTGTGTGTGTGTGTGTGTGTAATTTTAATGGCTTCACTATTGTTTGGATGTATCATAATTTATTTGCAAGTTAAAGAAGATACTTTGTATATAGTTTGTTGGTGATTTTAATATTTAAATATGAATTTAAATATGATGAACAGTTAGTAAAACCAATATAAAAATAGTATTTTATTATTCTGATCTATCTGGTTCTGTTCCCATATCACAGAGGTTTTCTGGCCAAATTGGTGGGCTAGCACTTACCTTTTAGCAGAGGTGAGTTTCCCCTCCAGAGGCCTGGCATCTTTCCTACTCTGCAGACTGGCATTATTTCAGGATGAATCTGGGTTTGGTCCAGGGAACTCCGCCTCTGGTCATTGATCTCCTGGGCTCTTCATGTCTGAGGCATCTTGTCTTTATCCCCACACTCTGCCAATTACTTTTCTTCCATTCATATGTGAAGACTTTTGCTGCCTCTAGTGCTCCTTTGGGTCCTTTACTTTCTGAGGCTAATCTAAATGTGTTCCTTTTTTCCTCAAGGGAACCACCCCTATCTATCTGGCATTCTAGAATAAAAATCTAGAAAGCTGAATTCTAACTCAGTAATTTCTCTGCTAGTCCTCCAGTCCATGCACTTCCATTTTCATGAGCCTTTGTTTACATATGAAGTATGGTTCCAGGACGGTTCTACTGGCTCTTTTTTTTTGGCAGGGGTTGTCGGGGGGCGAGGTGGGCGGCGGCAGGGTCTCACTCTGTTGCTCAGTTGAAGTGCAGTGATGCAATCATGGCTAACTATAGTGGCCAACTCCAAGATTCCAGCAATCCTCCTGCCTCAACCTCCTGAGTAGCTGGGATTAAAGACACGCACCCCCATGCCTGGCTAATTTTTGTATGTGTTTGTAGAGAGAAGGTCTCACTATGTTCCCCACGCTGGTCTTGAACTCCTAGGCTCAAGTGATCCTCCCACCTCAGCCTCCCAAAATGCTGGGATTACAAGTGTGAGCCACCGCACCCGGCTTCCACCGGCTCTTGTTGTATCTTTACAAATAGTCTGGTCCTTGAAACCCAAATATCACCCTCTTGTGGCAGAGAAGTATTTCAGCATGGAGGAAGGTCTAGATTATCCTCTAGTTGCATCTTAATTTCACTGGGTCCACTGAACAAGGCTTTCAGAGCAAACATCATTGTGCCTTTGAGCACCTTCAGCAACTTCTTTGAAATCATGGGGGCAAATCTCTGAACATATTTACAGGGGATGGTGAATCTTCTGTCTCCAGATGGCTCACCACAACAAGTTAATCCCACTTCATGTTACTGGTAATTGAATTCTCCCCTGAGAAGGAAATTGTATGAGATCCATGAACATTTGATGTATGGATATTTCTAAACAGCCTGACTTGGAAAAGATTAAAACAGCCTTGTATTCCCAATCCCTCAGACCTCCTCACCGGCAGGACCCAGATTTTAATCTGCTCCAGGTGGCTAAACTCAGGAAGGCTTATATCTCTCAGCATCTTCAATTAATGCCAAGTGTAATCATAGTTGGCAGAGTTCAGGGTGTTCTGGCACGTTCAAGGGACGGGCAGAGAACCTCCCTGCCAAGTCCTCAGAGTCCTATCTTTTGGACAGCACTTTTCATAATCAAAAGCTACCGTGATTAATGAGCTACAGGCAATGGGTAATCCCCCGTACTTAAAAATCAGAACCATGGAAAAAGAAGTAAGAGCAAATTATTCCACATAGCCTTGGGTTTCTTGACCTCAGAAGCTTTGTGCAAAATCTTTCTTTTAGGACCTTTGCCATGCAGACAGCTGAAACCTGACTGAGTAAGAGAGAGGCTGCCTGGGGCTCTGCGTCAGTGAGTGTTATTTGTTTAAATGTTGCCCATGAGCCCAGAGGCGTTTGAAATTGGCCACATTTAAAAGTAAAACAAAGCATCAAGACATTGGGTTTGGAAAATAATTACATAACTGGGCTTGCTTTTTTGCTCGTTTGACTGGCATCTGGTCCAAGGCAACATGAAGCAAGATGCTTCCAGAGCTTGTTATAAGGACAACTCTACAGTGGAAACTGACCCCCGACACTGCTTTCAGCAAGTCCTAAAAGTCCAATTTATACTGCAGGATTGAAAAGGAAGTTTTACCTTAGGAAAAAAATTAGGACTTGAGCAAACGTTTTTCTTTAATTTGATGGCTATGGAGTAGTTTTGTTTTGTTTTTCAAAGAGAAGCTTTGTAAATTTCCCTAGAAACAAGGAAATCAGAGTTGCAGAGCAGATGGAGAAACTAGTCCTTGTATTTAATGCCTTTTCAGAAATACTACCAAGATAATGGAGTAAAAATCACCTCTAGAAACTTAATAGACTTACAAAATTTTTGATGTAGGTAATAAGTTGGCTTTTATGATTACCAAGAGGTCAATAGAAAACAAGAAAATAGTGTTCATCATTCAACTGGATCCTTGGCTTTTTTTTTTCAATTTTATAAATTACTAAAGTTTGTATTTAAATTAAATTTCATTAGTCATTGTAAAATGGCACATTGACTTCATTATGGATTATTTTAA
This sequence comes from Homo sapiens, assembly GCF_000001405.40. Lineage (NCBI taxonomy): Eukaryota > Metazoa > Chordata > Mammalia > Primates > Hominidae > Homo > Homo sapiens. The sequence goes on along the minus strand of NC_000010.11, from coordinate 23,080,619 downwards.
AAGCTGTAGAAATGCAGTCAATTTTATTTTATCACACACACACTACATAAAAGTCTTTGTAATTACTTTGTTTTATGAGACTCCCCATCAGTTGGGTACATTGTAAATATCCCATTCCACAGTTTATGGGTGGGGAAAATGAACCACGTGGAGGTTAAGCTGCTCGTGTTCACATTACAGCAGCAGTGATGGAATTAAATCTGAGCCATTCTCAGTAACGGAAGAATCTGCCCCCATATATGAAATCCGGAGCCCTCCAAGAGTTTTGCAAGAAAGAGCTCTAGAAAGAACATCTCCAAAACTGGAGAAAGCGTCCACACGTGGGTCTCAATTCCGTCCTTTCCTTTTGGGAACAGTCAGTGTCCAGTGTCCTGCTCTGTTGTAAATAACAACAGCAACAACAAATTTACTGCGTTCCGTTTAGCCCAGCCCAGGCAGACTAACAATTCCTAAACAACATGAGCACATGCAAAAGGAAAACCAGAAAGAAATAAACAGTGAATTAAGCCTCCTCCATTTACCTGTCCCCTCCCATAATCTGATTTTGTGGTACCCTAGATTCACCCTTCCTCCCAGCAAGTCCTCTGGAATTCCACTTCGGCCATAAACAAACTCCTGCTTTGAGGCTCAGGTTACTTAGGTCTACAAACACCCATGATCTGTTTCTCAGTCCTGCCATCTGTCAACCTTTGGGTCACTCTCCCGCATTCACTGGGGACATGTGCGCCTGGTTTAGTGTCTTTCTCTCCAGTCCAGCAGCTGGGCAACCTCAGGGTTCATGCCGAGGACTGTGCAACACTCCCACTGCAGGTCTGTGTGCTCAAGTCTCATCTCCCCCACTGCCTCCTTCAGGAAGCTAGGGCATCAGATACTCAGAATGTCTGGACCAGGCAGCTTAAATAAAAGTCTATCCCCAAGACTATCCCAAGCAACTCCCAGTCATAGAATCAGAAATACTTCAATCATTGTGGAAATAGCTCTTAGTCTCAAAATGTATTTTATCTGCAGCAAAGCAGAATTCTTGTTGAAACTGCTGGGTAAGAAGGTTCTAAAAAATTTCTCTTGATTACAAGATAGTAAATGGAAATTATTAATAACCCATTCATACAAGTTTAATGTGTATAAATTATCATAGATATTACTATTGAGCCTGTGGACTGCCATGGCTATGTGATTTAGTGACTATAATAATATTTATAAGGGCTTTTCCCATAGAAGCTAAGTCCCGCCAGGAATCATTACACTTGACTCAGGGGCTTATTTGCTATTTGTTTTCCATTTGTCCCAAATGTTTTTTGTTTTCTCTAAAATCTCATTCCCTGATTTTTTGCATTAATTGAGTTTTTGGCATTTTGGTTCTCTGTTTTTCCCTGTGTTGAATTTTTGAGTCATGCCTCTTTGTATTTGTTTTTAATGGTTGCTCTGGAGGTTACGATTACATCCTTATTACATGCAGTCTATTATACCAGTTCTCATATAAAATCTTAAACTATATGCAGCTGGCTTTCCATATCCACAGGTTCTGCACCTGGGCATTCAACCAACCATGGACAGAAAATATTTTAAAAAACAATAAAAGATAACACTATAACAATATAAAATACAAATAAAAATATAAGATAACAACTATTTATATAGCATTTACATTGTATTAGGTATTAGAAGTAATCCAGAGATGATTTAAAGTATATGGGAGGATGTGAGTAGGTTGCATGCAAATACTATGCCATTCTTAATAAGGGACTTGAACATCTGCAGACTTTGGTATCCGTAGGAGGTCCTGGAACCAATTCCTCAAGGATACTGAGGGGTGACTGCACATCCACTTACCACATTCTGGTCTTTGTGCTGTAAACATCTTACTTCAACATACACCATAAACCCCACAGCACATTGTTTTATTTTTGCTTTATTTATTTTTTATTTTTAAATTTTTTTTTAGAGACAGGGTTTTGCCATGTTGCTCAGGCTGGTCTCGAATTCCTGGACTCAAGCAATCCACCTGCCTAGGCCTCCCAAAGTGCTGGGATTATAGCTGTGAGCCACCAGACACAGTCCTATTTTTGCTTTAATTTACCTGTGAAAACATTTTAAAAATGAAAAAGGTTCTTCTACATTTATCTATATATTTACTATTTCCGGTGTTCTTTATTTCTTTGTACAGATTTGAGTTTCCAACTGGTATTATTTCCCTTCAGCCTAAAGAACATGCTTTAACATTTATTGTAGTGCAGGCTTGCTGACAACAAAGTCTCTCAGTTTTGTTTTTCGGAAAATGTCTTTTCACCTTCATTTTTGAAAGATGTTTCTCCCATTTATAGAATTCTAGATTGACAGTTCCCCATAGAAACCCCTCCTGCCTCTTCAGCAGTTTAAAGATGTTATTTCATTGACTTCTGGCTTGTACTGTATTAGGAGATGTCAACAATTATCTTATTCTCCTACATGTAAAGTGATTTGTCCCCCAGCCCCACCAGCTGATTTTAATGTTTGATTTCCAGCATTTTGACTATGGTGCCTAGATGTGAATATCACTATGTTCTAACTAAGGCTTGTGAAATTCTTCAATTTGTGGGTTGAAATTTTTCCATGAATTTGAAAATTGTTCAGCCATTATTTCTTTAGATTTTTTTTTCTGTCTCAATCTCTCTCTCCTCCTCTTCTGTGACTTTGTGTTTATTAGATTATGTGATGCTGTCTCACAAGGCACTGAAGCTCTGTCCATGTTTTTAAGTTATTTTTTTCTCTCTGTGCTTCAGTTTTGATATGCTGTCTGCAAGTTCACTGACCTTTTCTTGTGCAGTGCTAATCTACTGTTAAATCAATACAATTAAATATTATATTTTAAACATTTTATTTTTTAGGTCTATAATTTCTATTTGCTTCCTTGTTTTTATATTTCTCATTTCTTGGTTGAGATTCTGTATCTGTTAACTCCTTAAGTTCATCTTTTCCTTTAAATCCTTGAACAAATTTATAATAGCTGTTTTAAAGTCCTGTCCAAGAATTCCAACATGTGTCATCTTTCGGTCGGCTTCTATTAATTTATTTTCTTCCTGATTGTGGTCCACTTTCTTCCTGCTTTTTGTCACAGCTAGTAATTTTTTATTGTATGCTGGACTTTGAGAATGCTGCCAGTGCTGGATTTTGATGTTTTTTTTTTAAGTATGTTGGTTCACTTCTGGCATCCAGTTACTTTACTGATGGATTAGTGTGATTTTGCTAAGACTTGTTTTAGGCTTTGTTAGGGCAGGTCTTGGGTAGTCCGTGTTTTAGATGTGGCCTTTCTAGGCTCTCAACTGAATACCTGAGATGTTCAGCAAGTTTTCTCCACACTGACTGGTTGGAACTTTGACATCTTCCAGCTCCAGGTGACCTCTGGAACCTCTGCGCTGCTCAGCTCAGAGGTCCTCAGTAGCTGTTCTCTGCCCCACAGAGTCTTACCCTCCATGTGCGCAACTTTGTCTTCAGCCAAAGATTTAAGGATTTAAAGACGCTTTGTGAATCCAGGACTTCTGCAGCTCCTCTTCTGAGAAGCTGTCTCCTCTATAGCATTCTAACCCCCAAATTCTAGCTGCCTTAACAGCCTTGAACCAAATTGCTGTTTCCTTAGCACAGTGAGACCACTGCTATCTGTTTGGGTTCCACTTTCCTCTTGCACAGTGTGGAAGCTGCCCCCGGGTACCTTCCAAGCCTGTCATGGCAAGTGTACTGTTTCCTTTCTTCTAAAAATCACAACCCTTTGCTCTCTGTTGTCTATGACTGAAAACAGCTGCTTCATGCATTTTGTCCAGTTTTGTGCTTATTATTTTGGAAGTGTTAAGTCTGATACTTCTTAGTTCATCATGACCAGAACCAAAAGTCAGCTCAGGAGTTTTTAGAGCTACAAATCTTCATGTTTGGGGGAAGAAATATTACATTTTAATTTATTTGTTTTTATAATGTGGCACTGAAAAAATATTTCTACTGTTTTCATGCTTCTCTCTTTTCCCCTTCTCTATATCCAGCTCCTTCTTTTTCTAATTATCCTTAATAGGAGTGACTCAAGCTTTGCTTATATGCAAACTGGAATTCTGGCAACTACAAAAAAGTTTTATACAACACTAAATCTGCAAATACTAGAATTTTACTTCTGAGGAATAGAGAGGGATTTACGTTTATAAACTATATAAACAGCTAGGTTTAGAAAGCTTAGGAAAACATTTTTGAGATGGTGTCTCACTCTGTCGCCCAGGCTGGAGTGCAGTGGCACAATCTCGGCTCACTGCAACCTCTGCCTCCCAGGTTCAAGTGATTCTCGTGCCTCAGCCTCCTGAGTAGCTGGGATTACAGGTGCCCTCCACCAGGCCTGGCTAATTTTTGCATTTTTAGTAGAGACAGGGTTTCACCACATTGGCCAGGCTGGTCACCAACTCCTGACCTCAAGTTATCTGCCCGCCTCGGCCTCCCAAAGTGCTAGGATTACAGGCGTGAGCCACAGCGCCCAGCCGGAAAACATACCTTTCATAAAATTTGCTTGCCTTATTTTCCTGACTTGCTTATGCCTGTATGAGCACGGTCTCAATTCTCACTCAAGAGTGTTTCAAAAATCTGTCTTTTTTTTTTTCCCAACAAGGCCAAGGAACCCTGATTCATGCTTCCTAACTTCCCTCAATCTTCTGATTCATTTTCTAGTCTGAGAAAGTGTCTCCTTTCCAAGTATATAGCAGAAAATGTACGGTCTGTACTGTGGCTTTCGTCATGATAAAGTGAAACCCCACCCTCATGCCTATCCACATCATGGCAAAGCTAGAGAGTAGTCAACCCATGACAGGTTCATGAAATGACAATGTTTTAAAGATGCAGTCATCTTACCATTCATAATTAAGAACTGAACACACAGAGTAATAGGAGTTGATTCTTCCAAGCCTTTGCAAGCATTGTGCTGAATTTTAGACCAGAAGGGGCCTTAGAGGTCATCAGATTCAAACTCTTTATTTGCATTTTAGCCAAATGAGATCCATAGAGGCTGATACTTTACCGAGTTTCACACACCTAAAGGATTAGACACAGATCAATAACTTGTATTTTCTGACCTCTAATGCAGATTCTTTATGCTTCACTATGCAAATGCAAGATTGACCTCTTCTGGTTCCCTTGTGTTTTTTAGAGGCGGAGCTGTTTTTCCAACAACTTTTATGCACTACAGGACCCTGTAGGAGGGCCATAGTGAAATCGAGATGATCAAAACGATCATAGCTATTTTGTCTTGATTATCTCAACACATTCTATTTTTTGTTCTCCGTTTATTATCCTAAAGGCCCATGTTTTGATTAAATGTATTCATTTTTTTGTTATAATGAATGCATACACTTTATTTAAAAGTTTCCATTTTACTGCATGTCTTAACAGCTGAATAAGCAGGCCATTGCAGCCTATGTTGATTACATTTTACCTCCCTTCTCTTTCCTTGCCTAGATCTGTCTGGGTTTTTGGATGATTGACTTACAAATGAAAAAGCAGAACATCACATTCCACTTCTCTGAAAGCCAAGTTCATGTGGATCTAGTAATTATCCACACAGGGTAGCATCTATTTTCATGCTTTTGTTAATAAATAATCTTCACTTGAATAAAAATCATCTACTTCTTGATTAGTTATTATTTATAATTTTATAGAACGTTATACTTTCAAATTATGAATTAAAGAGGCATCATCTGCAAACTCACCATACTGTGACTGCTACCTCGTTTAAGGACTTAACAAGTATTTATTACGTGTTTGTGGAAGGTCATAAAATGAAGGACAAGGTATTATTTCCATCTTCATGCACCTCTAACCAACTCTGGCAGTTAATATGTAGATTCACGTGAATGAAAACACAACTGGGGATAAGCTGGGAAAATCCGGGATAGTTTCCTAAAAGGAGTGAGATTTGAAGGAGGTATGGATAGAGAGAGAATTGGGGAAGCTGGAAGATGCAAGAGTAGCAGTGCAGCTTGTAATCCCAACACTTAGGAGGCTGAGGCAGGAGGACCACTTGAGCCCAGGAGTTCAAGACCAGCCTGGGCAACAAAGTGAGACCTCGTCTCTACAAAAAAATACAAAAATTAACCAGGTGTGCTGGTGCACACCTGTAGTCCTAGCTACTCAGGAGGCTGAGGTAGGAGGATTGCTTGAGCCTGGAAGTTGGAGGCTGCAGTGAGCTATGATTGCTCCACTGCACTCCAGCCTGGGCAACAGAGTGAGACCCTGTCTCAAAAAAATATATAATAAAATAAAAACAAAAACAGAATACCAGAGCAAACAGACAGACATAGAGAAAAGAGCAAGCAGGTTATTTATGAGAACTATGTTAGGTTATAAATAAGAACCAATATCTAACATTCCTTGAATTCCAGGAACTCTACTGATCCCTGTATGTTTTTGATTTTTTTCCTTTTTGTATGTTTGTTTTGTTTTAGACAGGGTCTTGCTCTGTCACCCAGGCTGGAGTACAGTGGTGTGATCTTGGCTCACTGCTGCAGTCTCTATCTCCTGGGCTCAAGTAATCCTCCCACCTCAGCCTCCCAAGTAGCTGGGACTGCAAGCACATACCATCATGCCCAACCAATTTTTGTATTTTTTGTAGAGATGCGGTTTCACAATGTTGCCCGGGCTGGTCTCAAACTCCTGGGCTCAAGTGATCCTCCCACCTTAGCCTCCCAAAGTGCTGGAATTACAGGCATGATACACTGCACTTGGGCTCTGTTATTTAGTTTTTTACAAGACTTGTGTCATTTGCCAAACTATGTTAAGTCAAAAATTTTAACACTCCCCACAACCCAGCGCACACACAGGCCACTAATGGAAAACTTAAGTCAGGCATGCACACTCATTAAGTGCCAGCCAGGAATGCTCTGTCAATCCTAACACAGGAATGCCTGACAAGTCAAGGCAGCTGAAGACTCTCTTTGGTCCATGAGGTGCTATCTTCCTGTGTTGTAAGACAGAACGCAGAAGGAGCTCCCTTTTGCAAGGCTAAGGGATAGTGTGGCTCCCAAACAGTGAAAGAGAATATCACAGCACTCACACCATGATGAACAATAGGCGTCTGGAAGGTCACTTACACCAATGTGTTTCTTTTTCCTCTTCAGAGTAAATTTTTAGGAGCTAATCTTTCTGGGAGCTCCACTAAGAAGGAAATCAGAATCTCATCCTAATTTGAGTCAATATTCTAAGAATTTTGAGGCACAAACATTCATTTTTTCATTTATTTTGAGACATGGTCTCTCTTTGTCACCCCGGCTGGAGTGCAGTGGTGCCATCATAGCACACTGCAGCCTTCAGCTCCTGGGCTTAAGTGATCCTCCCGCCTCAGCCTCCTGAGTAGCTGGGACCACAGATGCATGCCACCATGTCTGGCTTTTTTTTTTTTTTTTTGTAGAAATGGGTATTGCTGTGTTGCCCAGGCTGGTTTTGAACTCCTGGGCTCATGCGATCCTCTGCCTCAGCCTGCCAGATTGCTGGAATTACAGCCATGAGCCACAAAATATCCTTTAGAGAAGGGAAATGATATCCTAGTTCTTTTCCTGAGGACTTTTATTCTATTCCACTTCCTGATCAGGTAAAAAGTGTTCTGGGAAACCCTGCCTTCCTTATTATTTTCTTTAAGTTCTCTCCTTTTCTCCAACATAGAATTTATGGAAATTGGAGTGCCTGCAAGAAGGGAGACTTGCCTCTGATCCCCTGGCCAGAGGCTTAACAAGCCAGACTAAAGAGTGGTGGGAGAATTTTTTAGAATACTTGACATGAATTCTCTGGAGTTTGGGGAATACAAGCACACAGGGCCTGCTGCCAACTTTTGTTCTGGAGCGTTCTGAAAGAGGAAGGTCCAGTGGAGAGTTCACTCTGCATCAGCAAGTATTTTTTTGTTTGTTTTTGTTTTTTGAGATGGAGTTTCGCTTTTGTTGCCCAGGCTGGAGTGCAATGGTACAATCTCGGCTCACTGCAACCTCCACCTCCTGGGTTCAAGTGATTCTCCTGCCTCAGCCTCCCAAGTAGCTGGAATTATAGGTGCCCGCCAACACGCCCAGTTAATTTTTGTACTTTTAGTAGAGACGGGGTTTCGCCATGTTGGCCAGGCTGGTCTTGAACTCCTGGCCTCAAGTTATCCCCTCACCTCAGCCTCCCAAAGTGCTGGGATTACAGGCCTGAGCCACTGTGCCCGACCTTCTTTTCTCAGTTTTGAATTGTTGCATTGAGATATTAATTCCTTACTTTTCATTCCTTGTCTCAGGCATCTCAGAGCTTCGACTGACTGAATATATGCAGAGTCCAAAATGAGATAAACAAGCAGTTGAGTATACTTTTATTTGGCTCCAATGCCCTCAGTGTGGTCACAGCTGTCACCGGAAGGTTATTCATTTTGCAATTTTGTGTTCTTGTTTCTAGTGCTAATCTCTCCAGGGCACCGGAAGGTTATTCATTTTGCAATTTTGTGTTCTTGTTTCTAGTGCTAATCTCTCCAGGGCATTAAGAAGGCTAGGCCGGGCGCGGTGGCTCACGCCTGTAATCCCAGCACTTTGGGAGGCCGAGGCGGGTGGATCATGAGGTCAGGAGATCGAGACCATCCTGGCTAACAAGGTGAAACCCCGTCTCTACTAAAAATACAAAAAAAAATTAGCCGGGCGCGGTGGCGGGCGCCTGTAGTCCCAGCTACTGGGGAGGCTGAGGCAGGAGAATGGCGTGAACCCGGGAAGCGGAGCTTGCAGTGAGCCGAGATTGCGCCACTGCAGTCCGCAGTCCGGCCTGGGCGACAGAGCGAGACTCCGTCTCAAAAAAAAAAAAAAGAAGGCTAAAATGGGAATTGCGTGGGTTATTAATAAAGAGACTTTGATTCAGAAATTCACAAAACTGCACATCTCTTTCAGTTGTAAGCCAAGGTGATAGTTTACTTTTCAGGACTGAGTAGCATCTGTCCTATTTCTTGCTACACAGACATTGGGAAAGAAAGAGTGAAACTAGCCAGGTGCAGTGGCTCATGCCTGTAATCCCAGCACTTTGGGAGGCTGAGACAGGAGGATCACTTGAGCTCAGGAGTTCGAGACCAGCCTGGGCAACATGGCAAAACCCCATCTCTCCAAAAAATACAAAAATTAGCCAGATGTGGTGGTATACACCTGTAGTCCCAGCTGCTTTGGAGGCTGAGGTGGGGGAATTGCTTGAGCTCATGAGATTGAGGCTGCAGTGAGCTATGATTACACCATTGCACTCCAGCCTGGGCAACAGAGCGAGACCCTGTCTCTATGTAAAAAAAAAAAGAAAAAGACTCAGGCTAGCCTAAGTGGGAGATTTTTTTCAGATTCTAGGCAAGTGGTTCTCAAAGCGTGGCCCCAGACCAGAGAAGCAGGCTCACCTGGAGCTTGTTAACAGTGCAAATTCTGAGGCCTCATCCCAGGCCTAATAGAATGGCTATTTCTGAAAATGGGGCCCAGGAATCATCAGCGTCCAGCTGATTCTGATGCCCGCTGAAGTGTGAGAACTGCTGCTCCGTCAGTCTAGTGTGAGAACAGGTGCCTTGAATTGAATCATGCTATGAGTACAGAGAGCACATTTCAGCTTCCTGTACTGCAGTCTAGCCAGGTTAGCAAATACAGGGTCATAGTTAATAGCTGGGACACTGAGGACCACTTCTCTTTTAAAGTGGCTTGTGGTTTGGGAACACCACTCCTAAGCCTTAGTTAATGGCGTCAGTAATTACTTGACTGCTTACAATTAGATAATGGTGTCAGCAAATTGGGTAGTTAGTAGCCAATCTTCTGAGGAGCCACCTGAACATGGGCACAGCCCATGGCTGAGTACCCAACCATGACAAAGGGCACATCGGAGACAGATAACCAGATACTATAGAACACATTATTTCTTGAACTGCAACAACCTTGTTACTCCAGACAGAAGAATATTAGCACTTGAGTCACCCAATCTCTGTCTCCCCTCTGTTTTTCTGTGTCCTTTAACAGCCTCTGTGACCCCTGTTTTAAGTGCATGTCCACATCTGCATTTTACAATGGTTTCTATAAAATTGTGACAAGAACGTTCCATCGGAATGTGCAATTAAAAGATAAGTGCTGCCATCAGCACTTTTTTTTTTTTTTTTTTTTTTGATGGAGTCTTGTTCTGCCACCCAGGCTGGAGTGCAGTGGTACAGTCTCGGCTCACTGCAACCTCTGCCTCCTGGGTTCAAGCCATTCTCCTGCCTCAGCCTTCCTAGTAGCTGGGATTACAGGCATGCCTCACCACGCCTGGCATTTTTTTGTATTTTTAGTAGGGGCAGGTTTTCGCCACATTGGCCAGGCTGGTTTGGAATTCCTGACCTCAAGTGATCCGCTCGCCTCAGCCTCCCAAAGTGCTAGGATTACAGGCATGAGCCACCGCACCTGGCCCATCAGCACTCTGAATAGATCTTTCTAATCACTTGAACCCAGGAGGCAGAGGTTGCAGTGAGCCGAGATTGTGCCATTGCACTCTAGCCTGGGTGACAGAGCGAGACTCCATCTCAAAAAAAAAGATCTTTCTGGGCCTTAACTCCAGCAATAGCCAGAAGAGTGTGTGTGCACCCAGCCTGACCAGGACAGTCTTCTCCCTTTCTCATGCGTTTCTGTCTTAATGAGATGGGCAATTGCTAAGGAGAACTTCGGTGCCAGAGGATGGCAGCCAAAGCCTACCTGCCCTGGGCTTCTCCCTATACATGGAGACACTGCTACCACCTAACCCACTACTACCCTGCCCCAACCATGGCCAGTTCTTCCTCTTGGACACATGTGGGAACTGTTGTTCCTTTTTGGGAAATGCCATCATTCTTCTTTGTTTCACTGTTGTCACTATGAGACCCAGGGACCTGAAAACAAATCAATTAGAACAAGATAGGAATTAGCATGTATCAAATAAGACTGAGGAGTAATTACTGCGTGGGTGAACCTGTGCAAAAACAGTCACGCTGGTCGCATATTTATGTCCTGCCATTTGCTAGAAACTTTCAAGCGTCTACTACTGTTACTTTAAAAATGTCTACATGGAAATTCTATCCCCAGCCTAACCTGAACTTAAGCCGGCAGATGAGGATAAGGCTCCCCAGCCTCCCGGAACAAGCAGACAGTTATTAATGGAAATGTTCCACCAGTTCAGGTATGTGCTAACATCTGTTAAAATTGCATTTGTACAGGATTGCATGAATTACTGATACATGAACACATTGCTTTAGCCAAACACAAGCTTTTATGATTTCATGATGAGGCTTCCCAGAGTTCTAGGTTATGACAACCTGACTTTCAAAGTTACACGTTAAAGCAATCTGTTTGCATCCCAGGCTGACTGTGCAGAAGAGATTTGCGGTTGGGACAATCTGCCATTTAAAGAGAATGAGGTCTCTAGTCATTAAGGGAGACAGAATCTGTGGCTGGGACTTTTTCTGGGGCATCCTGAGTAGGTAGCTGTGTGGCCTGTCACAGTGCGGTTTTTCAGAGGAATGTGTGTCATGCGTAGAATAGAGAAATTTATTCCTGAGCATTTTAATTTTTTTTAGAGACAAGTTCTTGCTCTGTCACCCAGACTGGGACACAGTGGTGCAATCATGGCTCACTGCAGCCTCAAACTCCTGGGCTCAAGTGATCCTTCCACCTCAGACTCCTGAGTAGCTGAGACTACAGGTATGCACCAGCATGCCTGGCTAATTTTCTTTCTTTCTTTATTTTTTTTTTTGTAGAAATGGGATCTGACTATGTTGCCCAGGCTGCTCTTGAACTCCTGGGCTCAAGCAATCCTCTGGCCTCAGCCTACCACAGCTTTTGGATTACAGGCATGAGCCACCTGGCCTCTTGAGTGTCCTTAAATAAAAATCAGCAGGTGCAAGTGCCAGGGCCTTGTCAAGCCTCCACTATTGCTGGATCGACATCTCTTCTGCCCATGGCTTTTCCCAGGATCATCTCTGCATTGCTATAGACTCCGCCATCTGTCTCACCCTGCTTTTGAGTTGGTGCATCTTACTGGGGGCTCTAGACAAATTAAGCATTGTTGTGAAGTGCACTGGCTCCGTGCTGAACTTGCTTTTTATTCCACCTACCTTCTTATAAAAAATGTTTTGGAAAGTAAGGGATCAGAGAAGGTTTCTACAGTTTTGGTGCATTATTAGGCCAGGTCCTTGTTTCAGTCTCCACTTAGCCTAACTAAAGACACCTTCCGCTCTGTAAAAAAGGTTATCGTTATGGATCCTGTGGGAATTGGTGGCATGAAGGGACCACTAGGGGGCGCCCAACGCCTCAGAATAGTCCACCTTTAAGTCTCTAGGCCTGGTCCTGGAGGCTCTTGACTCCAGGCTTCCCTAAGGTTCCTGGAAGGCCTTCATGTGTTATTACTGGTTGGACAGAGAAGAGCACTGCCAGCCCCAGATGGGAGTGAGAAGGCCGGTCGGGGAGAAGGTAAGCAATTGAGAAGGCGGAAGGGGCAAAAGGAAACTGGAGAGGGCGGCAGGAAGAGAGAAAAGGAAGAGAGCAGAGGCGTGGAGAAGAGGAAAAGAGGAGGGCGGGGAAAGGGGAGGCTGCGTTTTGCAGGACTGGGCAGCTCCAGAGACAGTGGAACACCGGTGTCTTTTTGGACCCTATGGTACATAGGGGGACAGGGAAGGAGCCCGGTTTGGGCTTAACTGGGGGATGCTGGGAGTCTCTCTGGTCCAGGAGGTCTTAGGCATCTGTGTGCCTGAGGCTATCTGGGTCTCCCCAGTGTCTCCCCACACACCTGTGCCAACTTGCCCACTTCATACTTTTCCTGTTGCCTTCGATTCACAACTCGCCTTGCTCACGTCCTTCTAGAAAAAAACGGTACGTGTTGATGTCACTACCTCCCCGTGGAAGCAGGAGGGGAGGGTGGAGAAAGTGGATTTGGTCATCACTTCCGGCCCTTTAGAATCACACTGCCGGTCAGGCGTAGTGGCTCACGCCTGTAATTCCAACAGTTTGGGAGGCCGAGGTGGGAGGATTGCTTGAGCCCAGGAGTTTGAGACCAGCCTGGACGATATAGTGAGACCCCCATCTCTACAAAAAAAACTTCGAAAAAACTAGCCAGGCGAGGTGGCACGCACCTGTACTCCCAGGTACTAGGGAAGCTGAGGCAGGGAGATTGCTTGAGCCTGGGAGGTCGAGGCTGCAGTGAGCCGTGGTTGTGCCGCTGCACTAAAGCCTGGGCAACAGAGCAAGACCTCAACTCTAAAGAAAAGAAAAAAGAATCACACTTTATTATTAATTATTTTGAACCATGAGATAATAAAAAAGGAAGGACCTTTTTCCCACTTAAAAATGTTTCAGACTAATAATAATTGCTAACATTTACTGGGCTCTTACTGTGTTCTAATAATAGGTGTCAGCATTTAGAAATCTAATGTCATTTAAGGCACGCAGCAACCTGGTGCTATTGTCATCCCTATTGACAGAAGCGAAATGGTTCACCCAAAGCCACACTGCCAGCAAACAGCGAGGCTAAAATGAGGGACCCAGACAGTCTGACTTCAGAGACTGCACTTAAGTTACTTAACAGAAATTAATGTCAGTTAAGTGACAGAACTAGAACTTGAATGTAGATCCTCTGTCTCCAAATCCTATTGAATCCTCTATATCACTGTTCTTAAATTTTTTGGTCTCAGACCCCTTTATTCTCTAAATATTGAAGATTCTAAAGAATATCATTTCTGCAGTTTTTGTGTGTTGCTATTTACAGCACTATAAATTAAAGCAAAGTAATTTAAATATTTATTAATTCATTTGAAACAATAATAATAAACCCACTCCATGTAAACATAAACAACATCTTTATGAAAACATTGTCGGCCAGGCACAGTGACTCACGCCTATAATCCCGGCATTTTGGGAGGCCTAGGTGGGTGGATCACGAGGTCAGGAGTTCCAGACCAGCCTGGCTAACACGGTGAAACCCTGTCTCTACTAAAAATACAAAATTTAGCCGGGCATGGTGGCGGGCGCCTGTAATCCCAGCTACTCGGCAGGCTGAGGCAGGAGAATCGCATGAACCGGGGAGACGGAGGTTGCAGTGAGCCGAGATCACACCACCGCACACTAGCCTGGGCGACAGAGCAAGACTCTATCTCAAAAAAAAAAAAAAAAAAGAAAAAGATAAAGAAAACATTAACAAGAGAAAAAATGTTTTCATTTTCTGCTACATGTCAGTGTAATAATATTTGATACAGAAAACTTAATATAGAAAGGCACAAAGATAAAAACAAAATCACCTGAAATGCCACCACCTAAGAGGGAACGTCTGTGAATTTTGTTTTATATATTGTCCCAGCTTCCTGGGAAGATTATGAATTCCAGACATCGTGCCTTCCAGACACTGAAATAGTAACCTTAAATTGTGGCAATTTAAAAGTGCCTGTAAAATCATCGTAGGAAATCTTAAGGCTGCACCAGGACCTGAAGAGGGTCTCGGTGACCCTCGGCCACATATTTCTAGACATCACTGGAGAGCACAGAGCTCAGAGCCCATTCTAGTTTATTAATAGTATAAAGCATACACCAAAGGCAAATGATCTAGCTACATAAATTTTGTTTCCTGCCCCAGGAGCCAAAGCTAAGCCCTTCACTGCTTTATGCTAAATGTGCATTAAATTGCAGAGGGCAATTGGTGTTTCTCAGCGCTCCAAGTTTGCACCTGCCTGTTTGATACCAGGAGAGGGTGTGGCCATTTCCTCTTGAACTTTGGGTTAGAGAGAGCTGGGTATGAGGGGTGGGGTTCAGGGAAGGTGAGCGAAAGCCCACTCAGGGGTCATCAGCTGCCTGGTGGTAATTCCTGGCCAATCATTTCTCATTCTGTATCTCCCTGCGGCAGAACAGCTCTGAGCCTCCCAGGACACCACGTGATGCCTGCGTTTCATTCCATGCCAAGTTCCACATGCCAGAGAGCTGTCGTAGAACTTTGGCAGGGAGAAGTGTCTGGGCCAGTGGCCTGTGGCAGTTACTGCTCCTGGCTCTCACATCCTTTGTAGAGTTTGTAGGGAATCTAGAACTTACTGTGTCCCCTAGAGAGGGGGTCACCAGACTGACAGAAGCCTGGGGTTAGAACAGAGAAACCGGAGAGCACACAGAATTTATGGACAGAGGCAAATGGCTGGGACTATGATACCAACATCGTATTTCCTTCCTCCTTGAAGGAAGGCCAGATGCCAGCAGTTCTCTCTCACTGGTCTCTTCGTGGGGCCTGGTAGTCTACAGACCCCTAGTCACCAGATGCCATCTTGGGGAGAAATTGGGTAGGAGGCCATGCAGGGAAGGAGGAAGTCTGCCACGTCAGTTATTTATCTGAAAGAGATTATCCAGAAAGAAATAGCAACTGATAAGCAGCAAGCCGAAATTTTTCCTTTCCTTTGCTGGATATGGTGGTGAATACTCAAGAAATTTCAACCAGACCGGGCATGGTGGCTCACACTTGCAATCCCAGCACTTTGGGAGGCTGAGGCAGGTGGATCACTTGAGGTCAGGAGTTCAAGACCAGCCTACGCAACATGGTGAAACCCCGTCTCTACTAAAAAACAAACAAACAAAAACAAAAACAAAAAATTAGCCAGATGTGGTGGTGTGCACCTGTAATCCCAGCTACTCAGGAGGCTGAGGTAGGAGAATTGCTTGAACCTGGGAGGCAGAGGTTGCAGTGAGCAAGATTGCACCACTGCACTCCAGCCTGTGTGACACAGCAAGATCCTACCCCCCCAAAAAAAGTTCCACCCAATTCCAGAGAATGGTTTGTTCTTTCTTAGAAACTCATTTCTTTTAATGTTGTTTTCTCTACATGGTGACAAATGCAAGGTTTTAGTTTACAAAGACAGCATAACGTGTCCTACCCCATCTAAGACCTCACCATACAAACACCTGCTCTCTGCAACCAGTGGAAAGATCTTCCTTCAGCTGTTGGCTGTCAGCAACTTTTTGCAGACTGGTTGAAGTTGGACAGGAATGGTAGTTAGGGCCCGTGTGGTATTATCCATATGCCATATAATCAAAATTATGTTTTCACGCAGGCAGAACAAAAGCAGGATTCCAAGTAGGTCTCAGATCAGTTCCAGATCCTCATGCCAATGTCTTATATCCAGTTCCCCAGCCTCGTTTTACATTTCAGCAAAAGACTGTCTTGCAAACGCAGCGGCGCTTATATGGCCAGTGTCATCTGAGAATGCAGTGGGGTGATTTGTGGTGGGAGAGCTGTGTTAACCGGGCCCGAACTGCTATCCAATATCCCAAACATAAACCTCTTCCTGCGCGGTTGAGAAAGAAGCCAAGGCTTTTGGAAAGTTCACCTTTCATGTGCTGAAGCCTTCCAATTTCTTGGTTGCAGCTGGACATGCTCTCAGAGCAGATCAGACACTCTGGGAAAGAAAAGGGGTACCCCATTGTCCAGCCCGGATCGGGGTAGCGACAGCAGAACCTTCCAGGGACAGCCCACCTGTCTCGCCTGGCCCCGGGGCTCGGCTGAGGATGGCAGGATCCCTGGACTGATTAGCTTCTCCAGAAATAGCTTCATCCAAGAAAACGACCTTTCATCCAACAAAATGACCTTTCGACTTCTATATATTTTATCCTCCCAGCCAAGCATCCTCTCATGAGTATTTATTAAACACCTACCATGCGGCAGACATTGTGCTTGGACACACTTGCCAATTGTTTCCTCGGAACTTGTTTTCCAGGCAAAAGGAGGTGTTGATGGATTAGCTATAAGCCTTAGCTCTCTCCGAAGCGTTTCTTGACTTACGATTGGGTCTTGTAGGAAAATGCTTCATTTTAGTGACTCTTAAACCGATGCCCAGTGTTTATTTCTGATGGACAGAGATCGTGTGATTCGTGCCAGATAAAGATGGGAGCTGAGGGGATTTGCGAGAATTGTAGGTTCTACTTTTGATGTTTTTCCGCAGTAGGTGGGAAGGAGGAGTCTCCCCAAATGAGAAAGAAGTAAGACAGGAGGGGGTCCTGCAGCCTTTGCTTCCTGGGAGGCGCTTGGATGACTCACAGCAGGGAGTACGGAGCAGCCGCTGGCCGCCGCAGCCCTGGTTACTGCTGCAAATTTATCTCCCCAACTACGGCCTCTCCATCTGTTCTAATTACAAATGCAAAAAATAGCTAATTTGCAATGGCATCATAAAGAGGAAAATCTAAGTGATTTAAGAGCTGCTCTGTGTTACGTGGAGCGTGTTTTACACACTCCAGTCAGAGAGAAACTGCTTGCTCCCTGTGTTGAGAGAGTCCCCTCTTCTTGGCCAGTTTCTGATTTGCCCTGACTGTGGGAGAATTATTATAAAAAGTCACAAAGGGCAAGGAGCTGGTCCTGAGAATGGGACACACCCTACTCTGCTTCTGACAAAAGAGGCGGTCACTGTAGTTACAACTCAAGGCCAATAATCTGCCTTGATCTCTAGATTATTTCAACTTCTTGGCAAAATATGTAATGTGGACACAGTACCATGAGTCTAACTATAATACAAGTTATTTTCTTTTTTAGCCAGGCACGGTGACTCACACCTGTAATCCCAGTGCTTTGAGAGGCCGAGGGGTGGGGATTATGTGGGGCCAGGAGTTCAAAAACAGCCTGGGTAACATAGGAAGACCCCATCTCCACAAAATTTTTTTTTAATTAGCCAGGCATCGGCCAGGCACGGCGGCTCACACCTGTAAACTCAGCACTTTGGGAGGCCAAAGTGGGCAGGTCACTTGAGGTCAGGAGTTTGAGACCAGTCTGACCAACATGGTGAAACCCTATCTCTAATAAAAATACACACACAAAAAAAAACTAGCTGGGTGTTGTGGCGGGTGCCTGTAATCCCAGCCACTTGGGAGGCTCAGGCAGGGGAATTGCATGAACCCGGGAGGCAGAGGTTGCAGTGAGCTGAGATCGTGCCACTGCACTCCAGCCTGGGTGACAGAGTGAGGCTCCATCTCAAAAAAAAAAAAAAAAAAAAAAAAAAAAAAATTTAGCCAGGCATGATGGCACGTGCCTGTAATCCCAGTTATTCCAGAGACTGAGGTGGGAGGTGAGAGTGAGAGGATCACTTGAGCCCAGGAATTGGAAGTTGCAGTGAGCTATGATGGCACCACTGCTCTCCAGCCTGAGCGACACAGTGAGACTCTGTCTCTAAAAAAAATGAAATAACAGTTATTTTCTCTTCAATTGTGCCAGTGATGAAATGATAAGAATGACGGTGTTCAGGACATCCTACCCCAAAAAGCGGCACCTTGGCATACTGAATATTTATTTTTTCTTTCTTTTCTTTCTTTCTTTCTTTTTTTTTTTTCTGAGATAGAGTCTTGCTCTGTTGCGCAGGCTGGAGTGCAATGGCGCAATCTTGGCTCACTGTAACCTCCACCTCCTGGGCTCAAGCGAGTCTTCCTGCCTCAGCCTCCCGAGTAGCTGGGATTACAGGCAAGTGCCACCGTGCCCAGGTAATTTTTGTATTTTAGTAGAGACGGGGTTTCACCACGTTGCCCAGGCTGGTCTTGAACTCCTGACCTCAGGTGATCCACCCGCCTTGGCCTCCCAAAGTGCTGGGATTACAAGCGTGAGCCACCACACCTGGCTGGCATACTGAATATTTTAAGCTGAAGGAACTTGAGTAAACAGCAGAAGCAGGAAGGTCCCCCTGGCCTTTCCCTCCCCTTCTTGCCTGAAGCAGGGCATAAGATCCTCATGTGACAGCTGCCCTTCCTATACCCGGAGGAAAGGGACATCCTTATCTCTGAAGACACAGCATCACAGGGAAGAATCTGAACAGGCTGGCTAGGTTTCCCCCAGTTTATTACTATTAGATCATTCTCTTTTTGCCCGATCCCATTTTTCCACAAGTGTCCACACTTCATCAAATCTGCCATAAAAACACACAGCTTTAGCTGTTTCTGATGGGGTCTGCATTTCCTTTTGAAGACTCCCTTGTCATGTAAAACTTAAATAGATTTATATGTTTTCTCTTGCAAATCTGTGTTTTGTTACAGGGACCTCAGCCACATACTTAGTATGGTAGAGGAAAAAGATATGTTTCTCTCCTACAATGGTTTATCATGAATTATCTTAGTAAGGGGATGTACAAAGGTCTGTGCACATGCAAAGTCATAGATGTGAACTTTCTTTTCTTCCTCTCCTCCTCCTCCCTTTCTCCTAGCTTTCCTCCTATGCCTTCTGTCTCTAACTGCAGAAGACCTTATCAATCACTGTAGCAGCAGCAGCATGGTGCAGAGGAAAGAGTGATTTGGAGTCAGGGCTGCCTCTAGATTTCTGTTGTGCTTTGCCACTCTGTGGTTATGTAAAAACAGAGCAGGTGACACCCTCCCTGAGCCTCAATTATCTTAGGTGTGGGTGGGATCGAGCAGCACCTGTCCTCCCTCCCTGACCCAACCTTTCAGTTCATAGGTGAGAAAACAAGGCCCAGAGAGGCACCTGGCTTGGTCTCATGGCTAAGATCCTGCAGGGCTAAGATGAGATCCTGGCCCTTGCATTTAACCCCTGCAGTCACAGCGACCCAGGAGGTGTTAGACACACTCTTGGGATCCAGGACTGTACTGGCTGCTGGAGGAGAGTGGAGGAGAGGTGTGGGGTGGGGAGGGCACAAGCTCTGGTGTAAGCCACAGAACAAGAAGACACTTTCTCTGCTGTTGAGAAGCAGGTTGGTCCTCTTCACTCCTCCCTCAGGAGTAATTGAACTGCTTGCCAGGTTCATCTTGCCCACTGCCAAGATAGAGCGAATTGATCAAGACAGAGGAATTGCAATAGAGAAAGAATTTAATACACATAGAGCCAGCTGAACAAGAGACCAGAGTCTCTTATTATTACTGAAATCAGCCTCCCCAAAACTTTGGAAGCCAGGGTCTTTTGAAGACACTTTGGTGGGCAGGGTGCCAGGGAATGGGGAACACTGATGGGTTGGTTTGGGGATGAAATCATAAGGAGCTGAAGCTGTCCCCTTGCACTGAGTCAGTTCCCCTGGGTTTGGACCCCAAGACCAGATGAGCCAGTTTACTGGGCTAGTTGGCACCCGCTGATCCATTGGAATTCAGGTTCTGAAGAATACCTCAAACACCAATCTTACCATTACAATAGTAATGGTATCCATAGAAATAATTGGAGAGATTTGTAATCTTGTGACTTCCAGCTGTGATGTGGTTTGGATATTTGTCCCCTCTGAATCTCATGTTGAAATGTGATTCCCAATGTTGGAGGTGGGGCCTGATGGGAGGTGATTGGATCATGGGGGTGGATCACTCATGAATGGGATCCCTTTGGTGATAAGTGAGTTCTCGCTCTGAGTTCACTCAAAATCTGGTTGTTTGAAAGTTCGTGGTGCTACCCCCCCCCGTCTCCCCTGCTCCTGCCATATGATATACCTGCTCCCCTTTTACCTTCCGCCATGATTCTAAGTTTCCTGAGCCCTCACCAGAAGCAGATGCTGGAGCTGTGCTGCTACAGCCTGCAGAACCATGAGCCAATTACACCTCTTTTCTTTATAAATTACCCAGCCTCCAGTATTTCTTTATAGCAATGCAAGAATGGCTTAACACAGGCTGCATGACTTCTGGGCCATAACTTCTAATCTTGTGGCTAATTTGTTGGTTTTACAAAGGTGGTCTGGTTACCAAGTAAGGAGGGGGTTTGTTTGGGGAGGGGCTGTTATCATCTTTGTTGCAAAGTTAAACTAAAAACTAAATTCCTCCCAAAGTTAGTTCTGCCTATGCCCAGGAACAAACAAGGGCAGCTCAGAGATTAGAAGCAAGATAGAGTTGGTTAGGTCAGATTTATTTTACTGTCATGATTTTCCTATGTCAAATTTTCCTCACTGTCATAACTTTTGCAACGGTGGTTTCAGTAGGAAAATAACTTCCTTGGGAGTGCTGAGACCTGTATTCTGAATCAGCATTGCCGGGAGTTTATAAAAAAGACCTGGGGCAAATCACTTTGCTCCACTGGGCCTCAGTTTTTCCCTCGCTGTAAAATAAGGTTGAACAAAATGGACTCTAGGAATCCGTCAAGCCCTAAAACTCTATTATAGTATTATTGAACCTAATTGTAGCACAAGCCTTTGTTTCATTAACTGTAGATTTGAAACCCTCATTTGCTCTAGGAATCCTTTGGTTGCTGTAAGAATATTATGACTTGTTATTTCTACCTTTAGTGATGGTATCTATGCAATAGGGAAGATAATAAAAATTCTTTCTGGAAAAATAAAAAATAAAAAGTAAATGGGTCACTCATATAAGTGAACTCTGAATAAGCTGTAAGTAGACTATTTGAAGCAGAGAGAAGAATCTATTTTCTAGGATACTATAATCCCTTTTAAGTGAATTCTTAGTGTGATTATCAGATGATAAGTTCTTCAGAGTTGTTTTGCAAATAAATGATGAAAGAGGGGAGGGGGTGTAGTGAGAGGGTAAGTTCCACTGGTTGATGAGACACAATCCTCAGATTGGTCTCTCACCCATATTTGCAGGAGAGCTTGTTCAGAAATCTGAGATTACATGATACAGGATGAAACTACATCAGAGTCAACCACCTAGACTAGGCTAACCTTTATAAAAACAGCCTCCATCACATAATGTTTAACATGTAAAGATAAGTGCTAGAATTTTCTTCCCTTGCTCACTGTTCTGGCACTTAGCATAAGAAAAATGTCTTCATAACCCCGCGTACTGTTCACTTGTGTTCAACACATGCTCAGGAAACACTACAGATCACATTGTCTATGCTGCAAGCTTCCATACCTGCCCTGTTTCTGCTCCAACTGCATGCACACTTAGGATTCTGTTCCAGAAGCTCAGTGATACCGTCTAGAGCAGTTCAAACAGGAGAACAACTTTTCTTCTATTTTTAATTTAAAGATTAACATAAGTTTTATTTCTATTTTTAATTAAAGATTTGAGAGTTCAAACGGTTTTTAAAAAGGTTTTGAACTTAGAGGAGAGCAAATCAGGTGTCTGTTATTACTTGCTCTGTGGCCTCAGGAATTTTGCACTATGGGCTGGGGTGGGGCTGGTTTGGATATGCCTCGCAGTTGCATTGGACCTGTTGTCCAAGAGTTTCTGGTTAATACAGAAACGCAGTCCTGAGGTGCACAGAATCACTGGGACAGGTGTGTCAGAGAACATTCAGAATAGAAGAAAGGTTGGCAAACATAGACAAAGGAATCAGAGCCTTAAACACCATCTTTCAAAGTCTAGGAAACTGGGAGCAAAATTTCCACTTTTGTTTGGCATATTCTCAGGGTTTTGGAACTTTTCAGAAGCAATACAGAAAAAAAAATGACAAAACAAAAGAAACAGCATTTTCTTTAAAAGGGAAAAAGGAAAAAACTGTTGGCCACTCATTGTCATATCTAGAGAATGGAGAAAATTAAGAAAACCAAAGGGCTTTTTACTTTTCATTTATATGCATGAGTAAAACCTTAGTTTTATCTTGTTGCTTTTAGTGGAAGAAAGACATTTTCAAATTGTATTCACGGATTGATTTTTTGGAATAGATGTAGCTTCTTTAGATTTCATCAGAAAAGAATTCTTTTCTATTATAACTATTTGAAAACAGTATATTTTTAGCCATTAAACAGAACTTTTGGAGCTGTGACCAAGTAGTTTTTGGAGCAGTCCATGAGTTTGGGTGTTTGTGTGGATGGAGTTCAGAACACACTGCTCCATATACGATACGCTGACATTTGAGGAAACAGCAGAAGCAGGAAGGTCTCTTTCACCTCCTTCTCACCCTTCTCCCCTGAAACAGGTAATAAGACCTTCATCTGAGAAGTTCCCACTCTATACCTGTCTTTATCTCTGCAGACACAGGGACACAGAGAACACTCTGAACAAACAGGTCTTGCTAACTTTGTAACCACAGGACCAGCCCAAATTGTGCCTAGTCTGTTGATAACAAAATGTCAAGTTACTTTGTAGGTAAAGCAGGGCCGAAAATGGCAAGCCATGTACTTTTTAGGTAAAACAGGGCCAAAAATTGCAGGCGTGCACAATAGACAAAGCTTTGACCTCTAACAACACCTGGAACCAATGATTCCTTCCCTTAGAACCAAAAAGACCAGGGCATGACCCAAACCTGAATGCTGTAACTCTTTCAGAAGATCTGGGGCAAAAATCTGTCTCGACATCCCTGTGATGGTTAACATAGAGTGTCAACTTGATTGGATTGAAGGATGCAAAGTATTGTTCCTGAGTATGTCTGTGAGGGTGTTGCCAAAGATTAACATTTGAGTCAGTGAACTGGGAAAGGCAGACCCACTCTCAATCTTAGAGGGCACCATCTAATCAGCTGCCAGCGTGGCTAGGATAAAAGCAGGCAGAGGAGCGTGGAAGGACTTGAGTTGCTGAGTCTTCCAGCCTTCAGCTTTCTCCTGTGCTCAGTGCTTCCTGCCCTCGAAGATCAGACTCCAAGTTCTTCAACTTTTGGACTCTCGACTCACACCAGTAGTTTGCCAGCAGCCCTCGGGCCTTTGGCCACAGACTGAAGGCTGCACTGTTGGCATCCCTACTTTTGAGGTTTTGGAACTCAGGCTGGCTTCCTTGCTCCTCAGCTTGCAGATGGCCTATTGTGGGACTTCACCTTATAACCATGTGAGTCAATACTCCTTAATAAATGCCCCTTCATATATACATGTATCCTGTTAGCTCTGTCCCTCTAGAGAGCCCTGACTAATACAATACCTTTTCATAAATGGTCAAACTTGAAGCCCTCCAATCAGACCCTGCCAAGCCAACATTCCTAAATCCTTTCCCATTCTCTCTGATCCCTTAAAACTTGCCCCCAGATCCCACATCTCAGAGACAGATTTGAGCCAGTCTGGCTGATTTTGTAAAAAAGCCTTTCTTTTCTACAAAGCTGGTGCCATAGTTATTGACTTCTGTGCACATTGGACAGCGAGCCCATTTTCTTGATCACAACTTTCCCCACAGTTTATGATAGTTAGATCATTCCCCCTTTTTCCAATCATACTTCACAACTATCTACTGAGTTTTTCATCAGATTTAGCATAAAAATAACAGGCTTCGCTGTGTCTTCAGGTTTTCATTTCCTTATGAAGGCTCCCATGCTACTTAAAACTAACATTAAATAAAGTTGTACACGTTTCTCTTGTTAATCTGTTCTTTGTTATAGGGGCCTCCGCCATGACTCCAGCCATGGGAAAGAAAGCTGTTTTTTTTCCCTACAGTATTTTATTGTACTCAGGCACAGAGACTTCAGAACCTGAGTGAAAAGGCCTCCCCTTAAGCTGTAAATGACACAGTATAAAATAAGTTGTTTGCTTTTGACACAGAAATCCAGTCAGAGCAACTCCAAGAGCAAGTTCTCCGGTTAATCTGACATGACTAATTCAACTAAAGTGGATTTTAAAAAATGACTTTAAAAGTAGACTGCATCCCAATTGCTTCCATCTAAACCACCCTCATTTCCTGTTCCTCTGCATTTTCTATTCCTGCTCTCTCCCCTCCTAGAATTCTGACCTAGCGTTTCCATAACACCCCGTGAACTGGAGGAGCTTTCTGGGTAATTAGCATGCAAATGCGCATTTCAATGCGCAATCATCGACAAGCCTTCAACTCTCCTGCTGAGGGATTGATTTTGTTAGAGGGCTGCAGAAGGTGTGTTTTTCATTTAGACATGCTTGTGTGGCTGTGAACACAAAGGGTAAATTCCATCTAGGCAGTAATTGATAAGGAACCATACGTGAAATGAGATATATTGCCATAGCAAAAAAAAAAAAAAAAAAAAAAAAACAAAAACCTGTGCTCTCTATTGGTCTGTTAGGTGCTGGCTGAAAAACGAGGATATCTCAAGGAATATTAATTTTGAGCAATTCTTTCTTTCATGTATTTAAAATACTGTTGTAAAGAAATTTATTTTAAAAAGTTTCAGATTACCTGCAAAATGGCTGTATTAGAAGTTTATTAGATCATACAAACTCAATGTATTATATCTAAATGTGACTCCCTTAAAAATGAGAGAATAGAGCCTTTGTTCCTTCCTCTTTTTCTCTTTTACTGGAGAGAGGTTAGTAAAGGTTTACTCTGGTGACATTTGGAAATGACACTGGGCTTGCCATTTTCTTTGGTAAACAGTTCTGCTTGGAGTGCCTAAAATATGTATCCTTAAGACCAGATTTCCCTGGCTTTCAGATGAGTTTTTAAAATGTGGTTTTTTGATGGGAAAATATTGTTCCTGTCCGTGTTGATATTTCATGGCTGGGATGACACTTTTTGTTGTATCTGAATGAGACTGGGCAGGGGGGATTCTGCAGCTCAGTTGTCAGGGGAGCTAGAAGCTTTTGGAGCCATCTTTTGGCAAGAAGGTGGTTGCCTGAAATTTGAGCTCTCTGCCTTTTCAACAAGGAGAGCTCAATTGACCCATGGGATGGAGGAGGTAGGGAGGGGAGCTTTGAGGATGAAAATGCACCCCTTCTTAGCATCCAGAACTGTCAGAGGCCTGTGAACCAGAGCAACTCCTTCTTGAATAGGAGCTGGGTAAAATGAGGCTGAGACCTACTGAGCTGCATTCCGAGATGGTTAAGGCATTCTAAGTCACAGGGTGAGACAGGAGGTTGGCACAAGATACAGGCCATAAAGACCTTACTGATAAAACAGGTTGCAGTAAAGAAACCGGCTAAAACCCACCAAAACCAAGATGGTTACGAGAGTGACCTCTAGCAGTCCTCACTGCTACACTCCCACCAGCGCCATGACGGTTTACAATTGCCATGGCAATGTCAGGAAGTTACCCTACATGGTCTAAAAAGGGGAGGTATAAATAATCCACCCCTCGTTTAGCATATAATCAATAAACAACCATACAAGTGGGCAACCAGCAGCCCTTGGGGCTGCTCTGTCTATGGAGTAGCCATTCTTTTGTTCCTTTACTTTCCTAATAAACTTGCTTTCACGTTACTCTGTGGACTCACCCTGAATTCTTTCTTGCTTGAGATCCAAGAACCCTCTCTTGGGGTCTGGATCTGGACCCCCTTCCTGTAACAGAACTATGGGTACATCTCTTTTCTTTTTGTTTTTTTTAAGCCTATAAGGGGACAAAATGTTAACAGTATTTCGTTACCTCTGGTCATGGGACTATGAGTGATCGTTAGTTGCTTCTTTAAATACTTGTCTACATTTGACTCTACAATGAGGCTGTATTACTGCGATAGTCCTAAAGTGTCAATTATTGTTAAAGCTCTCCATTCTGAAGAAGGTCGAGAGGTATCAGGCATGGAGCTAGCTGGTTGTCAGCAGGAGTGAGCCCCATTTTAGCTGGAACCTCATCCTGAGCTGCCCAACCCTGTACGGGCAGCCACCTGCCTTCTGCAGAGTTGTACTGGCCAGAGCATGGTGCATCTGGGGGTGTCTCCTCCCCACAAAGGAAACTTCCATTCTCCGCAAGGTGTCAGAAGAGCTGCCTCTGCTCCCCATGTTCACCTGGCAGGGCTGCAGTGCATTCCTTACAGCTGCTCTTGACTGTGGGACCAGCTTCCAGAACCTTGATTTATGAAACTATTTGGTGTCAGGTGATTTCTCATCAATATCCTATCACCCAACTTTTCATGGTTTGTGGCTGCTATTCCACAAAGCTCAGGCCTTTGAGAAAGCACCAGTGACTCAAAGCACAGGAGAAAGAAGAAGGTCCAAAATGCAACTCCCCAGTTTGGTTCTTACTGCTCAGCTTTCCTTTGAACAAATGACAACACTAGGGACCTGGGAATGGTAGCTGCTGAGGATAGTGTGACTTCTGAGCACAGGGGTGTCCCCAGCCCCTCTCCCATCATGCCTTTCCTCAATAAATGCCTGTGTTCTATACTCCAGACAGGAACACAATCTGCATATTCAGTAGGCCATTAAGTTTAAAAAAAAAAAAAAAGGTCCTGATGAATAGACTGGAAACAAATAGATCAAAACACGTACTCTGTGGTTGATAGAAAAATATTTTTCTTTCTTGCTGTATCTTCCATATTGTCCATAATAAGCAAGTATCTATTAAACAAAATATACATTCTATTTGTTCACCCATACATGAATTCCACAATGAAAGAGTCAGTCATTTGGCTTCAAGTTTTTTATGCTTTCATGATGCAGATTCTCCTAGAAGGTCTTTTACAGTCATGTGGTGGAGTTCATCCTTCTAGAATGAAGGTTTTGGAATTGAGGGACCCCAGAGAGCAGGCTCTGATAAGCCTGAGGAGGTGTGTGGCAGGAGGATGCAGGGGACTGGGAGAAAAGGCTGGAAGGTGAGTTGGAAAATCAGCTTTGCCCATCACAGGGTTTGCCAGGGGTGGAACCTTGTGACTCAGCACATTTTGAATCTTAAGTTCAAACTTGAAGAGCAGCCTTCCTTCTACACACCCTCCCCACTCAGCAATACTGGAATTCCTAGAAAGCCCAGCTGTTGCCTGGAGCACTCAAGATCAGGAAACAATGGCTCTTCTGAGCCCCTCCCTCACCCTTGAATTTCCAGGGCTCTAGTCTTGAGCTCTGCTCTTTCTCTCTGGGAGAAAGGGAAGCGGGAGTCTCTGGATGTTTCACAACAGAAAGTCCCACTCCTGCCACTGAGTGATTAAATATGATTTTTCTTTTAAGAAAAAAGAAGCCTTTTATCATACTCCTAGGGCTGTCAGAAACCATTTGGGCAGATTTTCCTACTCTTGTTTTTACATGCAAAAATGGGAGGTGGATGGGAGGGGAAAAAAATCTTTCTCTTCTAACCATTTTATGTTCATTGGATGAGGCCCTGAACATTAGGCTGTCAAAAGATAGATTAACAAGAGGAAGTCATATTAATTTACTTAATCTGAGTTTTATAAGACACGGGAAGCTTCATGAGAAAATGAAGACTCAAAGAAATGGTTAAACCTGAGTGTTTTTATGCTTGATTTGGTGAAGAGTGGAAAGTCGTGGAAAAATGGGATAGGGCAAAGGTGTATGAACAAAAGTAGCCAACTGGAGGAAACTTGGCAAGACCTGTTCATTCAAATTCTTCTCAGCATCCCTCTGTCTTCAGAAATAAGGATTCTGCTTTCCTCTGGATAGAGGTGTTACCAGAAAGGGATCCTGATCCAGACCCCAAAAGAGGTTTCTTGGATCTCACGCAAGAAAGAATTCGGGGCAAGTCCACACAGTAAAGTGAAAGCGACTTAATTAAGAAAGTAAAGAAAACAAATGGCTACTCCTTAGAAGACCAGCCCTGAGGGCTGCTAGTTGGTTATTTTTATGATTATTTCCTCATTTGATGTTAAACAAGGGGTGGATTATTCATGAGTTTTCTGGGAAAGAGGTGGGGAGTTCCTGTAACTGAGAATTCCTCTTCTTTTTGGACCATATAGCGTAACTTCTGGACATTGCCATGGCATTTGTAAACACTCAAGGCACTGGTGGGAGTGTCTTTTAGCATGCTAATATATTATAAGTAGTATATAATGAGCAGTGAAAGTGACCAGGGGTTTATTTTGTCGCCATCTTGTTTATGTTGGGTTTGGCCGGCTTCTTAACCACATCCTATTTTATCAGCAGGGACTTTGTGACCTGTATCTTGTGTTGACCTCCTGTCTCCTCCTGTGACTAAGAATACCTAAACTCCTGGGAATGCAGCCCAGTAGGTCTCAGCCTCATATTACCCAGCCCCTATTCAAGAGGAGTCGCTCTGGTTCAAATGTCTCTAACAGAGGGAGAGCACATGAAGGTCTCATGACCTGCTTCAAGGGAAGGCGAGAGAGACCTGTCTGCTTCTGCCACTTTCTCAAATTCCTTTGGCTTAAAATATTCAATATTCTAAGGTGCCATGTTTTGGAGTAGCACTTTCTGAACCCCATCAGAGGACATACCTGTCCTCATCTTGGCTCACTCTTACAAAGCACAGCAAGAACAAGAGAGGAGAATTTTCAATTTGCTCAGGAAAATGTCACCAAACCAAACTTGGGTTCACCTACCCAGCGCAGCAAAGTCAAACACTGACATCGGGATTTGCAGCAAGAGAAAGTGAGGCATTTATTGCAGGGCACCAAGCAAGGAGAGTTGGCAGCTCATACTTAAGACCCAAACTCTCAGATGGTCTACAGGTAAGGGTTTTCAAAGGCAGAAAGGCAGAGGTTACAGGCAAAGTCATAAATTCATACATGGAGGCTATACATTGGTTTGACCTAAAAGGCAGGACACCTGAGCAGAGGGGACACAGGCCATAGGTGGATTCAAAGATTTTTCTGATTTGCAACTGGTTAAAGAGGTGATGTTTTGTCTAAACATTTGGGATCAACAGAAAAGAATGTTAGCTCTGGCTTGTGGAAGTGACCTCCTCCCGGCCCCTCAGGAAGAAATTTAGAACAAAGAACTATAGTCAGAATGCAGTCCTTAATTCCCCCCTTATCTAAGGTCTACATGCCAGTGGAGAGTTTTATTTATTTGTTTGTTTGTTTGTTTTTTGAGACAGAGTCTCGCTCTGTCACCCAGGCTGGAGTTCACCCAGGCTGGAGTTCGGTGGCGCCATCTCGGCTCAGTGCAACCTCTGCCTCCCAGGTTCAAGTGATTCTCATGACTCAGCCTCCGAAGTCGCTGGGATTGCAGGCATGCGCCACCACACGTGGCTAATTTTTGTATTTTTAGTAGAGACGGGGTTTCACCATGTTGGCCAGGCTGCTCTCAAACTCCTAGCCTCAGGTGATCTGCCCACCTCGGCCTCCCAAAGTGCTGGGATTACAAGCGTGAGCCACTGCACCAGGCCTAATGAAGGGTATTTTTCATTTAGTAGGATCTGGGTCTCTGAAAAACAGCTCAGGGACATATGTTAAGATCTTTAGTTTCTATAGGGAACCCAGCATTTTGTGACTCTCACTTCCTTGGTTATTCTTTTAAGTTACTATTATCTTCTTGTTTATCAAGTTGCTCATTTACTTCTCAGGGGTCACTTAGGGACCTGGAATTTTCCCTTGAAGGAACTCAAGCTTTTCGTTTATTTCCTGCTTGCTTCCCAGCATGCCCCTAAGAGGGCTCCTTGCTCCCTCTCAAAAGCGGTTTGATCGACTGTTCTCTTTACTTCCAGTGGAGCCCTAGCTAAAAGGAGGGAGGCTATGAATTGTTTCTATTTTTTTCCACAAGTTACCAAATAATTCTTTTAGCTTTTAAAAATTAATTTTATTTTCTAATTAATAACTATAAGCTGTGTATACATTCAGGGTGCATGTGGTAATTTAATATAGTCATATAATTTGTAAAGATCAAATCAGTGTACTTGGGATATCCATCACCTTAAATATTTGTCTTTTCTTTATGCTGAAACCTTTGAATTATTCTCTCGTAGCTACTTTGAAATGCACAACAGATTATTGTAAATCATACCCTACTGATGTATCAAACACTAGCTCTTATTTCTTCTATCAAATTATATATTTGTACTCCTTTATTTTTATGTCTGAAAATCTGGGTCCCAGTGTTACCGATCACAGATTCTTAGGCTCTCATGCAGTGGAAATTGACAGGAGGCTGAGAAACTTTCCCATACAAGCTTTATTGGGGCTTATGTTCAAGCACAAGGCAGACAGTGTAGGAGCAAGAATTCTCCAGCTGGCTCCTGGAGGGTAGGTCTTTGCAGTGTTTTAAGGAGGGTGATATGAAGATCATGAGGTATGTGAGCATCATTACATGTGCAAGATAGAGCAAGGGGGTGCAGGTGCAGGGAGAAATCATGTTAGTACATACATTGCCTGATCAAAAAATGGCACATCAGCCCCTCCTGAGGTGGGGATTTTAGTAGTATAACAAGGCAAAGAGTCAGGATCACTTATTCTCCTGGTCCTGCGTGCATGCAGGTGATTGAGGTTACCTCTCTTGGGTAAGTTGTATGGTAGAATGCTGCTTATCTTAGTTTTCTCACATAGTTTGCAAGGCCTCGTTGTCAGCAGGTATATATGAAAGAAATGCATTAGTGGGGTTGGTGCCACGTTCCTTCCCTGCTCTATCCAAGTGGGGAATGGCATGGATGGGCTGAGAATGGATGATACTCATTGGGGGCAACCTCTGTGTCAGGAACCGTTTCCACTGCTTTATGTTCATTCATCCACTTACTTCTCAAACAACCATATGAGGAGGGAGCTGTCGTCATTGCCGTTTTCCAGGCAAAGAAACTGAGGGCCAGGGAGTGACTTGTCCGAGGCCACTCATTTAGTAGCAGAGCTAGGATCTGAACTGGGTTGTTCTCGGCTGGCGTGTCAGCTGAAAACCACTGCACAGCCTGCCCCCAACCATGGTGCTTGTGGAGGGTCTTTTCTGATTTTGCTCACATCTATGTGTAGCAGGTTTTTTTAAAGTTTATTTTAAGTATCTTTCCGGGTGTCATGCTAATTATAATGTACTAACAATTTACATCTGTAATTATGTACGAGTCTAGGGAGTGAGTGATTCTGTAGCTTGGAAAGAGACGATTCAGTTATTATTCCTTGTGAAAACCAAGGAATAGCTATAGTCTAATAGCTATTGCCAAGTCCCAAGAATAGCTATAGCGTACCACCGGGTACTGGTGCCCACCATCATTTAATATCTTCAAGGCCCAAGGATTTTAGTGCTTATTCCAGTGGCATAAGAACATAAAGGCAAGAAGGTGGGACAACCAACTCAAGTGTGTCCCCAAAACTTTTCATTTCATTGTTTCACAAACAGCAAAACTGGAGTGACAAAACCTTCAAGCTGATGGCATCTTGCAGCCAAGTCATTTAGTACAACATGGGTCTCAAATTTTCTTTTCTTTCTTTCTTTTTTTTTGAGATGGAGCTTTGCCCTTGTAGCCCAGGCTGGAGTACGGTGGCATGATCTCAGCTCACTGCAATCTCCGCCTCCCGGGTTCAAGTGATTCTCCTGTCTCAGCCTCCCAAGTAGCTGGGACTACAGGCATGCGCCACCACGCCCAGCTAATTTTTTGTCTTTTTAGTAGAGTTGGGTTCCACCATGTTGGTCAGGCTGGTCTTGAACTCCTGACCTCAGATGATCCGCCTGCCTCGGCCTCCCAAAGTGCTGGGATTACAGGCGTGAGCCACTGTGCCTGACCGGGTCTCAAATTTTCTAGACAATTTATTTCATGTATTTTTAATTGTCTTTTTTGCGAGATAGGGCCTTATTCTGGTACTCAGGCTGAGTGCTGTGGCATGCTCATGGCTCACTGCAGCCCTGACTTCCTGGGCTCAAGCAATTCCCCTGCCTCAGGCTCCGAGTAGCTGGGACTTACAGGCATGCACCATCACACCTGGCTAATATTTTTAAAAAAATCATTTGTAGAGAAGGTGTCTCACTGTTTTGCCCATACTGGTCTCAAATTCCTGGACTCAAGATATCCTCCCACCTCTGCTCCCAAAGTGCTGGGATTATAGGCATAAGCCACTGCACCTGGCTAATTGTCATATATATATATATATATATATATATATATATATATATATATATGTACACCCATTAACAATGGCTCCAATTTTGTTTTAAAGAACAATCCCATATTTAAGGTTAAGTGTAGATATTGAGAACTTAATCTGAGCAGAGATTTCCAAGTACACTTGACCTGGGGGAATAATTTGGAGCTGAAAGGGCCCAGAATATGCTATTGTGGCATATAAATTATTTTGAGCAGAGGCATTTGAGTTCCTGAAATCTGTCTAAAAGTAGAGCCTCCCAAGATAACTCAAAAGAATTCAATTATCTTAAATTCTCTTCCTGGAAGCAAACAGAGAAGACTGACTCATCACCAGAGGCTGGAAGTCAGCACCACACCTACACAGCCGTTGTGACCAAACGATCATATCTCCTAAGGGCCTATATATCTTTCCAAAAAGTCATTTGTTTTCCCTAAGTGCCCTTTTCTCCCTCCTCTTCCCCAGTTAAGACAGTATAGAAGCCACGAATTCTAACCATCTCTTTGAGTGACACTTTTCTGCGAACTCCCATAAGTACGTGATTAAGTCTGTCTTTTGCTAATCTGTTTTCTGTTAGTTTAATTCACAGGCCCCCAACTACAGAATCTAAAAGGTTAGAGGAAACGTTTCCTCTCTGTCAGAACACCTGCTATGATCCATTCTGACCTTCTCTCTGGCAGTTCCTAGCTCTTATCTGAGCTCTACAGGCTTTTGTATCCCTTCTGCATGGTGTCTTTGAGAGACGTCAACTGCACATGAAAACTAACAGAACATGCCTGTGGTGGACCTACTCTCTATGCATTCTCTCCCATGTTTCTGACTCTGAGGGCTCTGAAACTCAACCAGTGACAGGCTGAGGGCAAGAACTGGCTTCTCTCCTGCAATGATTTACTTTAAAGCTGTGGACTGTGATTCCCGGGGGGAAGCCATTCCCCTGCTCTCACCCCGCCTGCATTTTGGGGCCTTTGAAGAGTGGAAACTTAGCAGTTTACAACTATGCCAAAAACTTGATGGTGAGACTAAAGCTAAGGCTAAAAGAAATCAGATGGTTGATATTAAGAGATTTACCAAGACTTTTCTCATTTCTTGATTTCCTTTCTGGGGATTTCATATTAGTGAGTACATTCTCTGAATGTAATGGTTTAGCAGCATCAGACACAGTAAACTTGAGTCTCAGGACATTTATTTTGTAAGAAACATGTTTGAAAAGGGGCATTTTAATTATCCTGTAAGTGTTTTTAACTCAGCAGTAATGTTTACATAGCTAGTAATCATGGCTCTCAGGCATGGTGAGAGTTTTACTGTTGTTAAGTTTTGTGATGCTCTTTAAAGCCGGCTAGTATAGGTTTCATATTGTTACTTCTGAGTGGGACTCTGAAGTCTGTTGCTGGCGATTCATTGCTCTCTTTTTATTATTTATTCTATTATTATCTTATTTAGTTAAGGAAAATAATAACTGCATAAAGAAAATCTCCTCATTCAACAGTTAATTTTTCTTTTCATTCTAATCCTCAAAGGAGCAAATAATTGCATACAAGAAAAATAAGCTAAGCTTTCTATCCTGTAAGAGTCTATGCAACTAGCGTATTTATCGCTCTCTCTTATTTGTATTAATAAAATGAGACTTTTAATAAAACAATTTTCTGGAAAGCTAAATAAATGAAATCACAGAGCTAGAAAATTGTGTATGCAGATAATGACTATCAATGAGTTAGCAGATAAATGACTTGATAATACAGATATAAATGCATTCATCTAGGCTTTTCAAAGTTTTTCTAAAAGTAAAGACTGTAGAATCAAAAGGACAGCTAGACACAAACTCATATTTTTCAAAGAAAGGAACCTATAAATAAACTAATTGGACTATCACTCGATTTGTATGTCAGATATCTGAGTACTTACAGAGGCCGCTGTTTGCTTCAGCTGTTCTCATCAGTATTATTAACGACTACTTAAAAGTGCTTGATTCCATTTGTATGCCAGCTGTTCTTGTGTAAAACAAACTGGGACTTTCTCAAGATTCAGAGCCTGACTGTCTGCAGCATTTGGGGGCTGATACCTTTGAGCTGGAAAAGGAAATTAATGACTCTTAGCTCATCACTCTGAGGTCAGACCCAGACGTTTGTGACTGAAATATACCTAAAGCAGATGCTGCTCACTGGGGACTTGTCAAAATGGGAGCCTGCTCCTTTCCAAGTTCTGGTGGAAAGAAAGATCTTACCCTATATGGAGCCTTATACATTGTTAGCAGGTTAACAAGAGCCCAAGTCATCTTAACTACACAAACAACCATACTTTAAAAGGTGATAAGGCGAGGTGGGATGGCTCACACCTGTAATCCCAGCACTTTGGGAGGCTAAGGCGAGTGGATCACCTGAGGTCAGGAGTTCGAGACCAGCCTGGCCAACATGGCGAAACCCCGTCTCTACTAAATATACAAAAATTAGCCCAGCATGGTGGTGGATGCCTGTAGTCCCAGCTACTTGGAAGGCTGAGGCAGGAGGATCACTTGAGCCCGGGAGGCAGAGGTTGCAGTGAGCCAGGATTGTGCCACTGCACTCCATGCTGGGTGACAGAGCGAGATTCTGTCTCAAAAACGAAACAAGAAAAGGTAATAAGTATGCCAGTATGCAAGGGGAGGCATTCAAAGTCACAGGCAAGCTCTGTCCGCCAAGCAGCAATACTGAGTCATATAACCATAGGAAGTAATGCTGTATCCTCTCTTAATGAAACACTCACACACAGGTAGCAAAGGTGTTGGTGATGGGGAGTGATTTCAGACATTAGCTCCAAAGACAGAATTTCTGCATTTTGACATTCTATTCTACAAATTCAAAAGTAAAGGTGTGATGCTGGGCACTGTGACACACGCCTGTAATCCCAGCACTTTGGGAGGCTGAGGCGGGTGGATCACTTGCGGTCAGGAGTTCAAGACCAGCCTGGCAATATGGTGAAACCCCGTCTCTACTAAGAATACAAAAATTAGCTGGGTGGTGGTGGTGTACGCCTGTAATTCCAGCTACTCGGGAGGCTGAGGCAGGAGAATTGCTTGAGCCTGGGAGTTGGAGGTAGCAGTGGGCCAAGACGGCGCCAGTGCATTCCAGTCTGGGCAACAGGGTGAGATCCTGTCTCAAAAAAAAAAAAAAAAAGTAACCGTGTGGTCATCATATTTGTTACACTGAAAGGCCAAAGGAAATCAGTACCTAATCAGAAATGGGAGTGATTTTCTTTACCACCCAACTACTTTCAAAAATATCCAAAAGAAAATAAAAATGAATTCCAATTCCATTTTAGTCTTTAAGATCAGTTAGTTTAAGGCATTCAGATAGTCAACAAATATTATTCAAGTTATCCGTTTGCAAGGAGCTCTTGAGAGTAAGGTGTATGCCCAACATAGAATTCCTTTCCATCTCTTCAGGAGAGATCAAAGCATAATAGCTAATAGTTGTCAAATGCTTACAATTGTTAAAGCAAAATAAAAATGGAGGCCACAGTTTAGGTATACCCAAAGCCCAGCTGCCCGTAGCTGTGTAAACAAAACTTAAGTCATCCTGATTTTCCCAAACCTTTCACCATAAAGGTAAACATAACACAAATGTAAGCTTTTTGTCTTTATCAGACTGATTCAGTGAAATTAAACCAATAACCTATCAATAAATCAGCTTAAACAGTTTGGTTTGCCTTAATAAAGACTATATGACAGCCAATTATGAAAAAGACCAAAATCCTTCCTCCTTTGTGCTCTATGAACTGCACTGTTACTGCTGTAAAATTGAGACATTGAGGTCTCCCAGTTTGTGAACTATTCTTTTGTGTGCAGGATAAACTCTTAACATTCTAACTGGATCTGATTTTATTTTTGACGTTATGTTCAGTACTGTACATGGACTTATTTACTTCTGAGAGCAACCTTATGAAGTGGTTACTATTATTACATCCCCATTTTAGAGATGTAGAAACCAAGACATTTGCTAAAGATCCCACAGCTAAGAATGGTTTAAGTAGGACACTCCAACCCGAGCCTCTCTGACTCCAAGGATCTGCATGCTTCTAACCATGATATCACATACATGTGCATTAAGAAAACAGCAACCCCAGGCAGTAAGCATATGAAAAAATGCAAAATGAGTGCCAAAGATGCTATGAGAGAAGGTCACCAGTAGAGCATAAGGCATCAGGGGAAGCTTAGGGAGGAAAGTGAGGCTTGATCTGAATTTGGACTTGAACCTGTAGACAAAAGATTAGTAGGGCAATGTAGTATGATATAGCTGATAACCACCATACTTCTTTACAAATATTCCTTTGGGGTTGCCAGAAAAGAAAGTTGGCCTTGATGACTTATGAGGCCCATCTATTGTGACCTTTTTAATGTAATTATAAATAATATACATATATAATAAGCTTTTATATATCTGTATAAAACATGTGAATATCTATATTTATACATATTATAGGGATACTGGCTAGGGTAAGTTCACATATCCTTGTATGAATCGTCTCTATTTTACAGATGAGAGATTCCATAAAGACTGTTAAGAATTGATGAAGCTATTGGGAGATAATGCTCCATGGGTCTCCCTCGTTCTGCACATCTTCCTGATTGACTTTTGTTCCAGACTATCTTTTCAAGGGTGTTGGTGAATAGCCTTGGCAAATAATATAGTGTCTCTCTTGCTGCTCATTATACTCATTTTTTTTTTTTTGAGACAGTTTCACTCTTGTTGCCCAGGCTGGAGTGCAATGGCGCCATCTCAGCTCACTGCAACCTCCACCTCCCAGGTTCAAGCAATTCTCCTGCCTCAGCCTCCTGAGTAGCTGGGGTTACAGGCATGCGCCACCATGGCCAGCTAATTTTGTATTTTTAGTAGAGATGGGGTTTCTTCATGTTGGTCAGGCTGATCTCGAACTTTCAACCTCAGATGATCCACCCATCTCAGCCTCCCAAAGTGCTGGGATTATAGGTGTGAGCCACTGCGCCTGGCCCTTGCTGCTCACTATAAAGGATTTGGGTTCTCTAAGCTCAGAGTTCTTCTGTAACACAAACCACTGCATTGATAGGCATCCATCTGGGTCTATCCATGTTTTCCCCATGAGACTTGGGAGCAAGGAGATTTGACACAAATAGCCTGGCTCATGCTGCTTGCTTTGCTGTGAGTAATAAAATCCTTTGTCTCTGATCCAGATATCTCATGTCTTATTCCAGCAACAATAAAATTGGCAGTTAGCTTGCAAGTAGGATAAAATCTCAGACCCTTCACAGTTCTTAACAAAAGTATAGAAGATAGGAGGTTTATTTTCTTATGTAGATTGGTCAAATCTGTCCTCATCCTATTGAAAAATAAGGCATCTGTGTTGGCATCCATTGGAATAACATCAAGCAGATCCATCTTAGAGCCCAGAGAAACCAGGAAAGGCAAATGCCAGGGTGGGAGTCTCCCCTGAATACTTAGCTAAGGTGCCCAGGGATTATACTAAGTAAACTGAAGCCTTTCCATGTCCTTATCCTCAAAGTGCTCATCATCTAAAGCAAGGGTTGACCAACTATGGTCCGTGAGCCAATCTGGCCCCCCACCTGTTTTAGTAGATACAGTTTCATTGGTTAGGTATTATCTATGCTGCTTTTGTGCTGCAATAGCAGAGTTGAGTGGCTGCAGTAGAGATGGAATAGCCTGCAAAACCTGAAATATTTACTCTCTGGCCCTACAGAGGGATCTCAAGAGAGAGACAAATGCTTGAAGAATGAGGAATTCCCTTAAAACATGCTAAAGGCAAACAGAACATCATGTGTGCATAGAATAGAGAGCTACACACACACACACACACACACACACACACACACGCACTCACATATACAAATGCATATGCCATCCCCCACCTGTCATTTATATGCATGGTCTTATTTCACCCTCACAACAGCTTTATGAGACATATAGGTTGGAAGCATGGCCTCTGAAGCCAAACTGTGTTTAAATTGAAAGCTTTGCCGCTTACTAGCTGGACAATCTTGGGCAAATTACTTAACCTCTCTGTGCCTGGGTTTTCTCACTTGTTAACTGTGGGTAGTCCTACCTATGCATCACAGGATTACTCCAAGAGTTGAAACTACAAAGAACAGCCTCTGGCACATCGTAAACAATATATAAATATTTGCTATTATTTTTCCTTACTTTCCAGAAGACTAACTGAGGGAGATAGAGGTTAAGTAATTCTCTCAAGGTCACACGGCTAGAAAAAGTGAGAGACAGAACTTGATCTCAGCTCTGATTCTAAAGAGGTGCTATTATATTGCTTCTCAATAATAAAGACATTGAATTTTTTAATCCCTGCTATTATTTTAATTCTCAATAATAAAGGCTTATTGAATTTATAAGTAAAATCACCACAAGAAAATTTCTTTACCTTTTCCAACAATGCTTTTTATTTTTTAAATTGTGATTTGTGGTTTATTTATTGGTAGATCCTACAGGTCTCTTGTACTGTGTGAGTTCCACAAGAACTTTATTTGAATTCACTATATTAATATAGTCCCACCTGACACCTTGATGATTGTCCTTGGAAATGAAGTCCACTTTTATTATTAAACTAATTATATTCATGGCTTTAAAATGATAAACCTAAGCAAAGCTTTTGCTAGTGATCTATATAATACTACTCAGGTAATTTTAAATAAAGAATAGGACTTTTAAATATTAATCCCTAAATAAGTGACTTGACACTATGTATTGTTCCTAGAATATACCAAGAACAGTGATATTTTTCCATATAGTGTTTAGTAAGTTCATCCTACCCCCGTATTCAGTTGAGTTTAAAAACAAACAGTGGCAGGGTGTGGTGGCTCACGCCTGTAATCCCAGCGCTTTGGGAGGCCGGGGTGGGTGGATCACCTGAGGTCAGGAGTTTGAGACCAGCCTGGCCAACA
This sequence comes from Homo sapiens, assembly GCF_000001405.40. Classification (NCBI taxonomy): domain Eukaryota; kingdom Metazoa; phylum Chordata; class Mammalia; order Primates; family Hominidae; genus Homo; species Homo sapiens. Next base: position 23,041,290 of record NC_000010.11, on the reverse strand, counting down.
TGGCAAAACCCCATCTCTACTAAAAATATAAAAATTAGCTGGGTGTGGTGGCAGACGCCTGTAATCCCAGCTACTCGAGAGGCTGAGGCAGGAGAATAGCTTGAACCCGGGAGATGGAGGTTGCAGTGAACCGAGATGGCACCACTGCACTCCAGCCTGGGCAACAGAGTGAGACTCTGTCTCAAAAAACAAACAAACAAACAAAAAAAGAGCATGTAAATACAGCCTCTCTCTAGATAGTTCTAAGGAAAAATGCACCATCTCTTGAAACCCCATTCCTCATCTCCAGATTGCCAGCTCTGGCAGGGGAATACTGTAAGAGATATCTTGCTGAGAAACAAGTTACTTGCCATTAAAAGTAATGACAAAAACCATAATTACTTATGAGATGGGAGGATCACCTGAGCCCTGGGAGGTCGAGGCTGCAGTGAGTTATGACTGTGCCACTGCATTCCAGCCTGCGTGACAGAGTGACCCTGCCTCAAAAAATAATAATCCATTCGATTTTACATGTTATTTTGAGCTTCTGGAAAAGTATTTTTCATGGATGAAGTTCTGCTTCTTTGGCAAGGAAATAATACATTTGATGTGTACTTATTAAAAGTATTAAACACATTTGATGTGTACTTACGAAAAGCACAGTGCAAACTTCAATTCTCATTTATGATGCTTGCTTAAAGATCAAAGCTTGTGAAACGGATTTTATTTAACTGTCCATTTTCCATTTAATTAACAGCTATTTTTAAAAGTTAGTTATTAATTTTAATGAAATGTTTTGATCTCCAGAAGTAAAACTCTGGATTTTGGATCTGACAGAACAACTACAAGTTACTTTATATAAATTGTCTTGAAATGTCACAACCACAACAGTTGCCAGGGTTTTAAGGGACACCCAGGATTCTGACTAAAATCTCTATAGTTTCAGATATTACCCCATATGGTTTGGGTCTAGTTCTGACCAAATTGCACATTATTCCAGGCCAAAGCATATAATTCCTGAAGGATATCCTTAGCACTTTTCCCTCTCGCTGTAGCAACTGAGGAGATCTTGTATTCCAGATGCTGCAGGTACAAAATGGAGGAACTTCTGTCAGCCTGGGTTCTTGAATGACTGTGTGGAACCGAGCTCCCACTATTGACCTATGTTTGATATGTAATGTGATAAAAGACCTAAGCCACTGAGATCTGAGGATTATTACCCCTATAGAAAAGTGTTGCCAACTCTGTTTATTTTCCAAGTGTATTGTCTTTTTCTTATTGATTTTTAGAAGATCTTTGCTTATTGAGAATGTTAACATTTTGCTTGTTAAATATGCTGTTTTTTTTTCTCCCTGTCAATAATTTTGCTTACAGTGTATTTTGCTGACAGGAATTTAAGAGTTTTATGTAGCCAAACTTGTCATATATGTTCTTTTATGACTTCTAGTTTTTCTGGCATAAATAGAATCTCCCTTCTCAAGATTATAATTTTCCCCAAACCAGTTACCGAATAGGCTATCATTTTTCCACTGGGCAAAAAAGCTACTTTTAACAATGCTAAATCCTACCTATATGTATGGATTTGTGTCTGGAGTCTTAATTTTTTTTAATTTTTATGCCTGTACCATCCTAAATTTGCTTTTTATTGCTTTTTAATACATGTTCTAATAAGTGAGACAATTCCTCTGTATTTTTCTATTTCAAAATATTCTTAGTTTTTATACACATTTATTCTTCTAAATACATTTTGCTGTTTGTCAATTTCAGAAAAAAAAGAAATGTGTTGGGATTCTAATAGAAATTATACTAATTTTAGATTTTAATATGGGGGACTGAAATCTTTTTACTACTGAATTTCCCATCAAAGAGCGTGCTGTTCCTGGAAAGGACATCTCCATTTATTCAAGTCTCATTAAAATTCTGTAGTTTTTCTTGCATAGTTCTTGTTAAATTTATTTCTATGTATTTTATAACTTTTGTTGCCATTGCAAATGTATTGTCTTTGTATAATTGGCTGATTATTAAATTTTATGGCTCTACATTTAAACCAAGTAAATCAGAAGAAATGAACTTTGAAAACCTGTATGAGAATTAAATTTAAACTATCTCTGTTCAGTAATTATCTAGAAACTAGTTGAAAGAGACATTGTACAGAATTGTCTCAAAGATTAAAAAAAAAAATCTTTGGCATGCACCAGATTTTAAAAAGTGGTGTATACCCGGGCCCTATCCTAGTAGCTCTGCATAGAACATTTGCCTAATTCCACTTTGATGTTGGGGCCTTGGCCTGTGAAACTTCTTTTCAGAACTTACCAGGAGGTTGGTTTTTGACGATGTTATTTTCTAGGTTACATTTTGCCATCTCTATGAATCTACCAAAGAGAAATTCCCCTGATATTTGTTCCACCTGAGAAACTGGTCTGTGCTTTTATCTAGCAGATCCTAGTGTAAATCCCATAATGGATAAATAACATTTCCCCTCACACTGGCTGCCAGTGAGTATAGAGTCAAATTTCCATTCATCTCTAACAAATGCACTGCATTTTATTGAATTCTAATCTTTGGATCCAAATCTTATTCCTGCTTTGTTGGACTTTTCTACACTTACGCCTGCATTTCATTTATTTTCTTTTTCCTTCTTATATCCCATGGATCTTTGTAATCCACTTTAAATACTTTCTGGATCAAAACAGACTTTAAAATGCAGAGGAAAAACCTACAAATAGGTTTGTATCCCATAAGCCACGCTCTAATTTCATAAAATTCTATGATAAATATAATTACCACGCCATTTGAAATAAATTTATTCTGAAATAAAGAATTATATTATTTGAAATTACAAATTAATACAAAATAATCTTAGCTTTAATTTCTAAAATCAAATTCACTTTAAAACGTCTTCTAGGAAAATGACTATACAGGTCAACACTGGACTTTAAGCGTGACTAGGCAATATGTACTTCACGAGATTAACCACATTAGTAGTTTTTGTCTTATCATTTGAAATGTGAATTTACTCCCCATTTTGTGCTCAATACTAAAACACAATTCCTCAGCAAAGATTTGCTCTACCTTTATGCTTCAAAGTTTTCCAAAAAATAAAAATTTTTTAGTTCTATAAATTGAAAATAATATATTAATGGCCCAGCATTAAAATGTGGAAGAGCAAATCAGAATTGTTTTTAGCTGAAGGTATGTTTCCAAGCTAACACAGACAAGATGAAACCAAAACCATTTTATGGAAATATACTTTAGAAATATTTTTAATTCACTATATTAAAGTGTTTTTAATGATGAATTTTTAAAAATAGAAACAAAAATTTTTAGAAAGGAATTTGTAACACTCAGATCTGTGTTTATTCTATCTAAACTATCAAAATCTTAAATGAAACTGAGACAAGGTGATTGCAAATACTAAAAATTCACTTAGTTTGCTTAACTGAGCATGCCTGAAGCATTCTGGGCATGAAAGATGACAGTCATGAGGCCACAGTGTTGTCCTGGGTGCAGCAGCTGAGTGCTACATGTGATTCCTAAATGACAGAGACGCTCCTCAGGACACAGTGGGCTGGATGAATTTCGACAACAATCAGCTTTATGTGAGGGTCAGTGAGCGGAAAATGACCTAATAAGACAGAACTCTTGCCAAAAGCCTGAAATCAGAAGCACAGCAAAGTTCACTCCAAGCTTCCTAATTTCTACGCAGAGAAAACATTTCTAATACTTTTATTTAAAGTTTTTATTTAAAGAGATAAAATCAATTTGGAGAATGTCTTAGAGAGTGTACACAGTGAATTTCTTGTTTGAGCCTCTCTTGTGTTCGTCTGATGGCTTAAATGAATCTGTAAAGATCAGCCTCTCGACTTCTCAACTTCATCAGTCCACCTGGATGGAACATGAGGTCAATCACGTACATCTCAGGAGCGGGGAGGCCCCCAATCACTCCCTTCCGAGAGTCATTCTGCAGCATGACTTCATTCCACGCTCTACCGTACTCTCCGCGAACTAGGGAGCAACCAATGCCAATTCTATCAGCCAGAGCCTGCAGGAGAAAACAAGAGATCAACCAAGGGTGGTGCGGGAGAGGGGTGGGGAATATCCTATTTGTAATTGCACACCTTGATTGAAGGTGAAATACACAAGTCTTGCAAAGAAATGTTTAGATAGGAGGCTGAAAGATGTGGACTATTGGTATAGGGGCCAATCAAATGTGATAAATTCACTCAAGATTCTGTAGATGCAAAATCTCTGTGTAGGTCCTGCTGGGAAGTCACCTTTTTCAGGTAGTAACACTATTGTATCAGATGGCGAGGGTGATTGGAAAAAAGCTATTCTGTGCACTCTTTGCACTAGTGCATCTATCCATCTTTCCAAACTTCTGGGCTCTCCCTGGCTGTGAAATGCAGTGGGACTGAATGGAGGCATCACCCTGGGGCGGGGGCTCTTTCCAGCTAAACTATTCTGCGTGCCATGGGGCAGGAGAGGCAGAACTGTGGGTGCCTGGTCCTAGGGCTCCTTGCTGCCACCTCACCAGAGACTACGTTGGTTCCTTGGAAACTGTCTCTTGAATTTGCCCTCTGATGATTCCTGATTTTGAGGTTATTAAAACAAAGTATCTCTAATCTGGAGACTACTCAGCCACTTTATAGTGAACAGGAGAGCTGGCTTAGCCTGCCTGGGTCTGGATTATAGCCCAGATCTGAGACCGACTAGCCGCGCACCCCAGCAAGGGACTTGGCATCTCTGGGCTTCCATGGCTTCATCTGAGAAATGAGGGGAGCAACAGTACTTTCTTCATAAGGTATTAGGAAGATGAAGTCAATTATCTGTCCAGTGCTTAAAGCAGCGAACACCAGCAAGGCTACATACTCAGTTAATACTACATAGCACCAGAAGGCAGGAATTGTGTTGTTTTAGAACCCTGTATATGTATATATTAATTTATTTATTACTGACAATATAATGACTGCACCAGGTCACTGTGTCTTGGGTGGACCATGATGATTAAGACATGGTTATCATTTTTAGAGCCTTACATTCTACATAGACCTACTGGTAAAGAATCAACTATAACACAAATAGTATCTGAATGTATGGCACTCATAGTTCAGTGGGGTAGAGAGACAAAAATAAATATATAATTATAAGATGTTTCCAAAAGTAACACTCCGTGTCAAAGCCTTGTAAATCATCAAAACAACCAACCCTGTGGAATAGATGCTATTGTTTTCCCCGTTTTATAGAGGGTAAAACTGAGGTCGCATAATTTTCCTAAGGTCATGGTATGTGGTGACGGAAAGTGAGAGCGAGGGCATCTGTCTCTGGAGTCTGAGTTTTTAATGTCAGGGTAATAACTGCTGCTGACTGAGGTGAAGGAATTCCCATCTGAAACTCCCTGTTTTCTTTGTGAAGTGGGACACAAGGTCACCTGCTTAGAGGGGAGCAGTGCAGATGGAAGGGCTTGGCAAAGGGCAGATGTGGGGCCCAGTAGCTGAAGGAAATAGGAAAAAGCCTGCCACTAGGAGCTGGGAAAGGGTGGCCTATAGAGGAGTGGCCTGTAGGTGGTGTGTATGAGTGAAAAGACAGGCAATCAGAACAAGGCCTGGTTGACAAGGCAGAGGGGGAAGGATGGGAGGAGAGGGAATGGGGGAAATTAGTGAGTGAGTGAATTATTAGGGCTGTGGTATATTTGTCTATCCTGCCTAGGGAAGAAAGTAAAGCCAAACAGGCCAAAAAACTGGAAGAAAATAAGGGAGATAAAGAGTATATATAGAAGGGCTGAAGGATATAGGAGGAGGGGAAGGATAAGATATTTTACCAGTGAGTATTGGTGTTCAGAATTTCAGTGGTGGGAGATTTCTGGGTAATTAATTGCATGACTCAGTTGAGATGTGAGGGTAATTCTGTTTGGCATAATGAGCTTAAGATGCCTGCTATGAACTGAATGTTTGTGTACTCCCCCAAATTCATATGTTGAAGCCCTAATCCCTAATGTGATGGCATTTGGAGGTGGGGGTCTTTGGAAGGAGATTAGGTTTAGATGAGGTCATGAGGGTAGACCCCACGATGGGATTAGTGTCCCTATAATAAGAGACAGGAGAGCATGCTTGCTCTCCACCATGTGAGGATACAATTGGAGCCTTTTCTCTGCCATTTGAGGATACAGCAAGAAGGTGGCTGTCTGCAAACCAGGAAGGGAGCCCTCAGTAGACACTGAATCTGCTGGCACTCTGATCTTGGACTTCCCAGCCTCCAGAACTATGAGAAATAAATAAATGCTGTTTAATCTTCCAGTCTATGGTATTTTGTTATAGCAGCTCAACTTGACAAATACAGTGCCTATGAGACACTCATATAGAGCTAGCTGGCTACTAATCACATACATAGATCTGGAATCAGGGGAGGTTTGAAGGATGAAGGAAATAATCTGTAGATTTTAGGTATTTAGGTACTATTTAAGGCCATATGAAGGAAAACCTCACCCTGCAAAGTACATAAAGGGAGAACAGAAGAGTGTCTGGGTCAGAACCTTGAGGAACCCCAATATTTAAGAGAGACCTGGAGGTGTTCTCCAATTCTTTGACCTGTTAAGAAAGGCAGACAATAGGGAGATCACTAACGTCCTTATTGAGAGAGTGGGAGCGAAAGCCAGATGGCCGTGAGTTAGGACAAAAATGAGAGGTGTGCCAAAGAATGACAAGGAGCTAAGATGACTCAGAATTTTGACCAGGAATGGGAATTATCTATATGGGTAGAAGCAGTGTGGTAGGTCTTTTATTCAGGTAGGCGTGGGCTCAAATTTCAGCTCCATCTATGGTTGACCTTGGGTAAAATTATTTCTCCAGGTATCAGTTTGCTCACCTTTAAATCAAGGGTAGTCATTTCTATATTTGGCATTTTTGAAACTCTTCACAATTATAGTTATCAAGTCCCTGGCATATAGTTCAAAATGATGTTAGTCATGGTAATAGGATTTAAGGTAGTAATTGTAGCTATTATGATAAAAGCTTTATATTTTCTCTTTATATACTGCAGAGTTAAGCATGTTTAGATTTTAAAGGGGAAAATAGCTAAGAGAGAGAAGAGAGTTAAGACAGGAGAGAAGGAAGAATTGATAGAGCAGGCAATCCAAGGGAATAGGAAAGGGAATAGGAAATCCAAGGGAATAGGAAAGGGAATAGGAAATCCAAGGGAATAGGAAAGGGAATAGGAAAGATAATAGAATTCGCTTGGAACTGGAGGTAAGCTGCATGTGAATGCAATGATGTTTATAAGTGTTTGGGAAAGGGTAGGGAATTTATGCATTTAGTCTATAGTTCACATTTTCCCAGCTTCTGTTATATGCCAGACACTGGATATGATGGAGCAAAAGATCACCCCCTCTCTTCAACCTGATCCTTCTGTGATGTCCCCATTTCAGGGAATAATGCCATCATTACCAGCTGCCCCACTCAAAGCCCAGAAATCGTTTTGTTCTTCTCATGTACTCTCTCGCACCACACCTAGGATTTAGCATGGATCAACCACACTTCTTGCTCAGTCACCTTCTAACTGGTTTTCCTGTCTCTAGTCTTGCCCCTGCTCTAATTCATTCCCCATCTGTTGCCTGAACAGTGGTTCAAAATGATGTTACCCTCTTGAAAACTTTCAATGGCTACTGTTATATTTTAGGGTAATAAAATAATGCCCAAACTTACATGATGCGTTATGATCTAGCATTCGCCCCTCCTCTTTTCCTCATGCACACAAACTATTCTACCCTTCCTCAGATAGATCACTGATTCTCATACCTGTATTATTTTGCATAAGATGTTTTCTCTGTTTAGTATACGCTTGTTTTCCTTCTTTACTTGATAAACCCTGTGCAGCCTCTCATACCTGGGTTATATATCAGCTCTTTCTCTGGAATTTTCCCTGACTTCACTTTGGAAGCTGCAAGTCTGGTTTAGGTACCCCTTGAGTGTAGGGACTGTCATTTTAGTATCTCTGTACTCTCAGGCCCTAGCAGAGGCCCTCGCCATAGTAGGTGTATGGTCACTATTGAATAAATATGCTTCTAGTAGTCTGTTGACTATATAGGCAGGTATGTGTGTATATGCATGTTTATATTCATATATATATATGTGTATGCTTGTATATAAGTATATATACACTTATATGTAGATATAAATAAATCTAAATGGTAGAATTAATAATATCCAGTTAAATGTTAGCAACTGGCCTACTCCAGTATGATAAAGACAAAGCATTTTTACTTAATGGCAAATGAGGCAAAATACCTTACACACCTTGAAAAGCAAAGCTCGATGGTAGAAGATTCCTTTTTTGACATGTCCAATCGGTATAACATTGGATTTAAGTTGAAATTTCAGTTCACTTATGTGAAGTTCCCAGCTGAAATCAGGTAGTTTCTCTTTTGGAATCTTACCACCCATTTTTTCTGCTACATACCTGTGTCAATTACATTGAGATCAAATCGGTCAATTTTAATAACTCGCTTAGGATGCTTTGAGTGTAATTACATGTAAATATACATGTAAAAATGACATTTGCTGTGATTTTTGTTGTGCTTTATTTTTGAGAAAGTACTAACCATAAATAGTTATGCTTACTGTAGCATAGCATGCTTACTGTATGCAAACCATCATATATAAACTGAAATTCTAGCAATTTCATTCAATTTGAAGGAGAAAATGAGTGCTGATTTTTCCCAATACTTATAATAAGATAAAATCAATATAACTCTAAATATCAATGCAGTTTTAAAATTTTTTCTTACTCTTGAAAAGTATTTTTAAATATTTTAATCTGAAATCCAAGGAAGGAGTTGAAGTAACATACCGTTATTCTTTCAAGGAATTTAAACTCAGAGACAAGACAAACACACAGAACATTTTCCCATTAGATTTAAGAACATTTTCAAGTTTTATATTTTTATTTTTTCTTTAAAAATTTATTTTAATTTAGAGAAAGACATGGTGTGACTTAACACTGAAGTCAGGAGCAAGGAAGAAGAGGAAGAGGCAAAAAGAAAAATAAAGTCACAGATCTGTGGGCAAGGCAGGATAAATGTGGTATACTTTGCTTGTGGATTTCTCCTAATATTAGGCTGTCACTGAAGAAGTCAGTAAACACACCTGCAATACCCTTTGTCTCTGAAGACCACTACCTTCTTGGAGTAAAGGCAGAATTGCAATTTTATTTTTTAATTTGTATTTATAAAGAGAGATGAGAGTCTCACTATATTGCCCAGGCTGGTCTCAAACTCCTGGCTTCAATACATCTTCCCATCTTGGCCTCCCAAAGCACTGGGATTACAAGCATGAGCTAGCGTGCCTGGCCCAAATTGCGAATTTTAAAGAAATTCCTCTTGCTGCATGAAAAACCAAGCAAAGAAGAACAATGATTTAAAAAAAGAAAAAAGAGAGAGAAAGAGTTGGAGAGAAAGCTGTTGAACTGACTGCAGTTCCACCAAGCCAGGGGTACTTTAGTGAATGGCAGGGAACCAGAGCCATGGGGACATATCTCTGCCTCTCTTTGTATCTTGGTGTGGCCTCAAGTTAAAAAAAGACAATTGTTTGAGAATGATGAAAAGTGTTACTGATAGGAACAAAGCATGAAGAGATTTGACAGATGTTCACATAAGCCAAGACAGAGTTCCGCTTGAGCCATCACTTCTCAAGGACATCAGGAACACTTCAGTAGCCAAAAATGTTCTCTTCCAGTTCTGGCTGACAAAGAGTCAATGATCTGGCAGCTGTGTTACTTGCAGTTGTCACATCCAGGTTTCATGATAGCAACTCACTGCTATTTGGAGGAGATGCAAGCTCCCATGGAGGCTGCAGCTGTTGCACAAGCCAGCAGCTTACCTACTGAGTGGTGTCAGTCACGAAGCCTGTCCTCACTTCTGGTGATTCCTAACCCCTTACAGCTACCAAGTCCAATTCCAGCCTTTACCTGGTGTAATTAAACACTCTAATGAAGAAGACGACTTCACTGGCTTATACAGAGCCCTGAGCCTGCCTAAGCAGCCATTGTTTAGAATGCTCACACCCCACTTAGAGTAACATGAAACACGAAATATCAGAAACAGATCAGAAAAAGAGACATTGGACATTTGTATTAGAAAATTTATCAGTTTACAAATAATTCACAGTAGGATTCCTTTAACTTATGAACACCCCATCCACCTAAGGGATGATTTAATCTTCAAACTTTTGATTCATTCATAACTTCTGCAGGATCACATTGAAAGATGCTTTTCATGGTCTAGCTGAAGAAAATGACAGGCATTTTTCTTGAAGCAATTTCCAGCTGCTATCTCTGATTCTTAGTGAACGTATGACCTAAATAGAAGTTGAGGACTTTTCCAATTCATTGTGTTTCTGTGTCAGAGTCAGAGTGCTGTAAACTTCAATTTTATTTATGGTGTATTTGTCTAAAACATGGCTAAAATGTATATGACACTAAAATTTTTTCAGAAATTAAAAACACATATATACATAGACAACTTACTTTGCCAGATCCTCAATCTGTTCCTTAATATTGGTTATTGGCAGTATTGATTTGGTCACCTCATACACATACATAGAGAAATCAGGGTCAGAGGGAGGACACCATTCTTTGTCAGAGCTTCCTTCACCAACAAATTTTGGTACCACCATAACCTCTTCCTCCTCTTTCACTTTTTCCTCTTCTTTTTTTCCTTTGCTTTTCCTTTGAAAGTAAACAAGGGCAATCAAAATCACATCTTCTGCTAAACAAACAAACAATTGCTCTTGCATTTCTGAAAAGAGCATCACAGAAAAAAGGTACAGTGAACCCTTGAGCAACATGAGATTGAACTGTGTGGATCCACTTATATGTGGATTTTTTTTCAGTAAATACAGTTGGCCCTTCTTATCCATGGGTTCCGCATTCCACAACCAAATGTGACTGAAAATACAGTATTTGTGCTATGTAAAACCCACAGAAACAGAGAGCTGACTTTTCATATATGTGGGTTCCACAGAGCTGACTGTGGGTCTAGAGTATGCATGGATTTTGGTATCTATAGGGCTTCATGAAACCAATTCCTCATGGATACTGAGGAATGACTGTATTTTATACATATGTAAAGTTTTCAAATTTTCATTTTCAATGACAATTGGAGAATTTTATAGAGTCTATATTAGGCAGGACAAACTAATTTTCAAGAGAACATTGTGTGATTGATATATATTATGAAAATCATATATTGGTCTTCTGCACAATTGCCTAGCAAGGTGTCTGGCACATAGTAGTAGGTATGTAATACATATTTATTGAATTGGAAACAATTAGGTTGCCTTCTCAGAGAGCCTAAGCCAGCTACATCATCTGTTACTTCAGTTAAGACCTTCTGCAGAAATAATTTGGATTGCTATTTTTAAGAAAAATTATTCAAAACAAGGAAATAAAGCAAAAAAAACCTACAAAATGAGAATGGCATGTAATCTCCATGACGTACAAGAACAAAGACTCATCCAAGGTTTATCTAGAGAAATGTACTTAGTTTAGTACTTAATAAAGATGAAATTTTAATTAAAAGTTCTGGTCTTAGAGAATTACTAGTTAGCATGTATATTTTAACATGTAGAGATGCAAATAATTCCTGTCCAATGGAAAAGATACTCTCAAAGGTTACAGTTTATTGTCCTATAGGATGTTAATCAATTTGGCATGTAATTCAGCAATCTTTTTTGAATATTCCTTAGTTAAATTGGATAGAAATACCTTCCACCTCAATGGTTCTTTGAACCAGTATGAACATCTTACTGGTTCCCTCCCTAATTAATGAGTCAAACAAAAACAATAGCATGGGTTCTTATTCCAGGTAATGTGGAGTAAGCATACTTCACCCTGTCTGTCCCATTGAATACAGTCACAAAAGCTGGACAGGATGCATGCAACAGCTGTTTGAGGACTCTGAAAAGTAAATAGCAGCAGGAAGAGCAGAGAAGAACAAAATTTGAATTAATACTCTACTGATGATGAGTTTATCCTTCTATTGAATTCCATAATTCCCCATGCTGAAATAAACTTAGCCCAGTAACTGGAAGTGAACATCAGCACAGAGAAAGCTCAAGAAGATGCCCTCTTGAGAGAAAGAAAAAGAATAAAGGAAAGCCCCAGTTTTAATTTTTGTTCTTTCTAATTTTTCTTCATTCTTGTGCATTCTAAGCCCATAAGGAATCCTGTGACAGTGGTGGCACTGGTGGCACTAGGATCCTATAAGAGCCTAAAATTGCTTTATACTACCTCAGACCTTCTGCTATTTGGCTGTAGATATGGGTGCAGTCATGTCAAGAGTGCAGTAGATCAAGGTAAATAAAGTTTTCTGGCTGGAGGACCTAAAGGGAAGTCCCCAAAGAATCAGAAAAAGCAAGGAAGATTATGGAAAAGAAGGAGCTCAGAAAAGCAACCCCATAAGTTATTTATTTATAAATTCCTAGGCTTATCCTGAGTTGTGCATACATGGCTTGACCCTCAACAGCACATACATAGACTTTGAAAACTGAACTACTGGATAGACTGCTATCCAAGTCCCAAAGTGGATACTGGTTGGCATACATGCAGAACCAATCCAAATAGCACTGCAAAGACTTTGAAAATTCAACTGACATGGGAATGACAATCCACAGAAGCCTGGTTGGAATTGGAAGCCTGAACTCAACTTAGTCAATTGTCTGCTAAAACACACCCAAAAGGAATATTCTTAGAATGTAAATAAAACCCATAAATAAGACTCTTAGGACTTATAACTTATTATAATCTAAAATTACTCATTATGTGAAGAACCAAGAAAATCTCAACTCATATAGGATAAGACAATCAATAGACACCACTGCCTAGATGACCCAGATGTTGATTACACAAAGACTTTAAAAATGCTTCAAGAAGTAAGATCAAATACTCTTGAAATGAAGTATAAAAATCTTAGAAATAAATAGAAGACATAAAAATATAATTTTGGAACTGAGAAATACGTAATTAAAAGTTTAAAAGAACATAACTACCTAAATGGGTTTAATAGCATAATGAAGATAAAAGAGGAACTAGCCAATGTTGAAGATAGAACAATAAAAATCATCCAATCTGAACAACACCCAGAACAAAATTGTTGTTGTTGTTGTTCTTTGTTTGTTTTTGAGACAGGGTTTCACTTGTTGCCCAGGCTGGGGTGCACTGGCTGCCACCACTTCTCACTGTAGCCTCAAACTTCCAGTGCTCAAGTGATCCTCCCACCTCAGCCTCCTGAGTAGCTGGGAGCACAGGTGTGTGCCACCATGCTTAGCTAATTTTTTTATTTTTTTGTAAAGACAAGGTCTCACTATGTTGCCAAAGCTTGTCTCCAACTCCTGAGCTCAAGCGAAACTCCTGCCTTGGCCTCCCAAAATGCTGCGATTACAGGTTTGAGCCACCGTGCCTGGATAGAAAACAAAAGATTGAAAAAAACAGTTGACAGACACTCAGGGACCTGTGGTACAATTAAAAAGGTCTAAGATTGATGTCATCAAAGTCCCAGACAGAGAAGAGAAAGGGTACAGTATAGAAAAAAACACATTGAATAAAGAAGGAAAGGCTGAGATGGCTCCCTCAATTTGGTTGAAAACATAAATCTACACAGTCAGGAATTTCAGTGAATGCCAATAAGGTAAACCCAAAGAAATCTACTCTCAGATACATCAAAATCAAACTCTTGAAAACTAAACACAAAGCAGATGACATGACTGTCTATGTAGAAACTCCCAAGGAATTCTCCAAAAAAACTACTATAAATGAGTTCATCGAAGGGTCAGGATATAAGATCAACACACAAAAACCAATTGTGTTTCATATAGTAAGTAACAAGGAACATGTGCAAATCAAAATTAAAACCAAAAAACTGTTTGAAGCATTTACAATTGCTCCAAATAAAATACTTACAGATAAACTTTGCAAAACATGTTGAATTCCTACATGATCTATGTGCTGAATATTAAAAATGCTAAGGAAAGCAATCAAAGAAGACTTAGATAAATGATGAGACGTATTGTGTTCATGGATTTGAAGATGTAACTATTAAAGATGTCAGTTCTCCCCCAAAATGATCTCTGGTTTTAATGCAATTCCTATCAATATCCCAGCGGTTTTTTCTAGACATATAATAGAAAATCTTATTCTAGAATTTATATGAAAAGGCACGGATTTTAGGATAGCTACATCAATCTTGACAAAGAAAAATAAAGTGGGAAGAATCACTGTATTTGATAGTAAGGCTTACTATATAGCTACAGTAATTCTGACAGAGTGATACTAGTAGAGGGATAGACATATGGATGGATGTAACAGAACTGAGGACCAAGAAATAGAAACCAAAAAAATATGCTCCACTGATTTTTGACAAAGGTGCAAAAGCAATTCAATGGAAGAAGGATGGTCTTTTTAACAAATGGTACTGGGGCAATTCGACTTGAGGGTCCACGTGGTGATGAAACTATTCATTATCTTAACTGTGCTAGTAGAGGCATAAACCTACACGTGATAAAATTGTATAAAACTAAATACACATGTAGAAGAAAAATAAACTTGAATAAAATGATTGGATTGTATCAATGTCAATATCCTAGTTATGATATTGTTTGCAGTCTTTTACCATTAAGTATGATGTGATCTGTAGATTATTTTGTAGATGGCTTTTATCAAGTTGAGGCAATTACCTTTTATGCCTTTTTTCAACAGTTTTATTTTTATTTTTATCCTATCAACATCATAAGTAGATGTTGAATTTTGCCAAATGCTTTTTCTGTGTCAGTTAATATAAGTTGGTTTTTCTTCTTTATACTGCTAATATGATGGATTACATTGATTGACAAGCATGACACAGGCTTGCATTCCTAGGATAAAGCCCTCAAGTTGCTCAGATAAATTATTCTTTGTATATACTGCTGAATTTGATTTGCTGGTATTTCATACAGGATTTAGGGATCTATGTTCATGAGGAATACTGATCTGTAATTTTCTTGTAATGTCCTTGTCTGGTATTGGCACTAGAGTAACCTAATGCAAATAGATTGGCATTAGATCATCGTGAGTTGAGAAGTATCCTCTATTTTCCTATTTTCTGAAAAAAATTGTGTACAATTGATGTTAATTCTTTAAGTGTTTGGTGAAATTTGCCAATGAAACTATCTGGATCAAGAGATTTCTTTTTGGAAAAAAATTTTAATGAATTAAATTTATTTAATAGTTACAGGGCTGTTGTCTATTTCATCTTTGGTGAGATCGGGTAGTTTGTAGTTTTTGATAAATAATTGGTCCATTCATTGCATCTAAGTTGCTGAACTAAGTTGCTTGTAGCATTTCTCTATTATCCTTTATTGTGTGTTGAGGGGTTATAGTAATAATTCCTTCTTTCATTCCTGGTCTTGGCAATTTGTGTCCTCTGTCTTTGATTAATTGTCATCTTTGCAGAGGTTTACCCAAGTTATTGAACTTTTTAAAGAAACAGATTTTTATTTCATTGATTTTCTCTATTGTTTCTGTTTTAAATTTCATTGATTTCTTACCTTTATTATTTCCTTCTTTCTGTTTGTGTTGGGAGTGTTTTGCTCTCCTTTTTCTAGTTTCTTGAGGTAGAAGCTCAGATTGTTGATTTGAGACCTCTTTTTGTTTCTAATGTAAGCATTTAGTACAATAGATTTTCCTCTCAACACTCCCTGAAGTGTGCCCCACAAATTTTGATATGCTTTATTTTAAATTTCTTTCAGTCCTACGTTCTTAATTTTTTTTGAGATGTCCTTTTATGTCCCATGGATTATTGAGAAGTGCATCATTCAATTTTCACTTGTTTAGAGATTTTCTTGTTGTATTTCTGTTATTAATTTATAATCTGATTTATCATGATTATTGTACATATTATGTATAATTTCAAGTATTTTAAATTTCCTGAGGTTTTTTTTATGGCTCAGGGTATTCGTGAATTTTCACATGCACTTTTAATGAAACGTGTATTCTGCTGTTATTGTTGGAGTGTTCTACATATGTCAATGAGATCTTGTTGGTTGCTGCTGTTGCTGAAATCTTCTGTATCCCTGCAAATTTTCCACCTAGAAGTTCTACCAGTTGCTGGGGGTTGGGGGCAGTGTTGAAGTCCCAATTATAATTGTGAAGTTGTCAAATTCTCCTTTCAGTGCTATCAGGTTTTTTTTGCTTCATTTATTTTGAGGCTTTGTTGTTTGGTTCACACACATTAGATCATTATGTCTTCCTCATAAGTTAATTCATTTGATCACTAATGTAATGTCCCTCTTTATTTCTAGTAATTTTCTTTGCTCTGTAGTCTAATTTATAAGATATTTTAAAACCCACTCCTGCTCCATAAAAAGTTAATGTTTACATGGTATTTTTGTCCATCCTTTTACTTTCAGCCTACCTATGTCAAATGAATTTGAAGTTAGTTTATTTAAACAGCATACAGTCGGATCATAACTTCTTATCCACTCTGCCAATCTGTCTTTCAATTGGTTTTTATTCCTCTGCTCTTCTTTTCTTGCCTTCTTGTGTGTTACTTGAACATTGTTTTTAGGATTCCATCTTGACTTATTTATGGCTTTTTGAGCATAGCTTTTTGTATAGGTTTTTTAGTGGTTACAGTAGATATTACAATGTACAAATATGGCTTATCACAGTGTACTGGTATCCACATTTTACTGCTTCAAGTAAAGTATGGAAGCCTCACCTCCTTTCAGGTGTCTTTACTTCCTTTACTTTAAAATATCATTGTCTTGAGTATAAGATGTTATACATTTTGTTTCAATCATCAAATGTGACTTAAAATACTCATGAGGAAATGGATAGTCTACTGCATGGAGGTATCTATCTATCTGTCTATCTATCTATCTATCTATCTATCTATGTGGCATTCCTCTTTCTTCCTAATCCTTCCAGATTCTTTCACCATTTTCTTTCTGTTTGAAGAACATTCTTTAGCCAATCTGTTAGGATAGGCCTGCTAACTGTAAGTTGTTTAGTTTTCCTTTACCTGAGAAGGGCTTTATTTGTCTTCTTCATTGCTGAAGAATGGTTTCACCAGATACTTGTGGTTGACAGTTCTTTTCTTTCAGCACTTGAAAAACATGCCACTTCCACCTGGCTTCTATAGTTTCAAATAAGAAAGACACTGTCACTTGAGTCGATGTTTTCCTACAAGAAATGCATAGTTTTTCTTTGGCTGCTCGATTTCAGAAGTTTAATTATAATTAACTTAGTGTTGTTTTCTTTGGGTTTATCCTATTTGGAATCTTCTCCTCTTCTTTAATCAAAAGGTTTATATCTTTCAGCAAATGTGGGGAGTTTTCAATCATTACCTGTTTGAATACTCTTTCAGCCCTACCCTCTCTCCTCTCCTTCTGGAACTGCAATGATATGAATGTTGGATCTTTTATTATTGTCCCGTAAGTCCTTGAGGCTTTGTTCATTTTTTTTTCCAGTTAATTTTTCTCTTGGTTATATAGATTGAGTGAATTCTACTGCTCTGTCCTCAAGTTCACTGATTCTATCATCTATCATCTCCATTTTATTATTGTATCCTTCCAGTGAGACTTTTTATTTCTGTTATTATACTTTTCAGTTCTATAATTTCTATTTGGTTCCTTTTTTATAACTGCTATTTTTGTTGTTGAAATTTTCTATTTTTTCAGTTATTTCAAGAAAATTTGTAATGGATTGTTGAAGCACATTCATGATGACTGCTTTAAAATCCAGGTCAGATAATTCCAACAACTGATTTATCTTCATGTGGGCATTAATTGATTGTCATTTCTCATTGGTATTGTGATTTTCTTGGTTCCTGATATGACAGGTCTTTTGTGGGTCATAATCTGGCTATGTTGTCTATTATATTGGGAAACTCTGGCTCTCTTTATGTATTTTAGCAAGCAGTCTCCCTGGAGTTCTGCAGAGAGGTCCTGGACTACTTTTGTAGGCAGTGATTCCAATGACACGTTAATTTTCAGAGACTTTCAGTGAGTGTACGTGTTTTTCTGCTTGGTTTAACTAGGCTGCTGGGACTCCCACTGGTCCCTCCTGGTGTTATCTGAAGGAATACGAGGGGTTTCCCCGTTCTGGGACTCTCTGTGAAGGATAGGTATTTCAGGGCTGCAAGGACCCAGAGGCTTCCCTAGGCAGGGGCTTGTTGTGGCTGGTTTCCCCCAGCCTGTGTAAGATGGATAGGACCCTTGTGGCAAGATGTCTCCCTACTATCATCCCCCAGTCCATGTCTCTTGGTGAGAGAAGGTAGCCTCAATGCCATGGGGACAAAGGAGTGCCCTGTACCAGGGTACTTATTGTGCTTAGGTCCCTCTTGCAGGTTCCACCCACCTGCCCAGTGTTTCTCAGTGGGAGAGGGAGACTCAGGCTTATTGGGACAAAGCAGATTCCCAGGCTGGCCACATCCTGGTCTGAGCAGGTCCCTTCTGGCCACTCCAGTATCTCTGGGTGGGAGAAGCAAGTCTCAGCCCCTCAGGTATACTTGCTGTGTCTAGGTCCCTCTTGCTACTCCTGCCCAGCTGCCTTGATATCTCTTGGCAGGTCTAGGGGTAGAAGGGGGAAAAGGGAAGTTGTCTCTGGCTGTCAGAAGAGGCATTTGCTTACCCTAGATTCCTAGTGTTAGTGGGGCTCCAGTCAACCCCCTTGTCATTGGCACTGAGTTTGCCTAGTGTTGTCAAATGACTACTGGTTGCTTTCTGTTGCTAGGCTGGGGGGCCTTCTGTTAGATGAGGGAACATAAGATGCCCTGCTGCTGTGTTTTCCCCCAAGTCATAGGGTCCCCAGCCAGTTCACCTTCTTCTTGCCTCCTTTGGAGTTCTCCTTTGTTTGCCTCTTGCATTATTTCCAGGGTTAATAGTTCTATTTAGCAGGGAGGAGCAAAGAAAAACTAGTCTGTGCCAACTTGATCTGCAGGAAGTCATCAAGTGATTTTTGACAAAGGTACAAAGATAATTCAAGAGAGAAAAATGTTGCTTTTCATCAAATGTTCCTGGAAAAATTAGGCATTCATATGCAAAGTAAATTTCCACATAAGCCTCACATTGTATGTAAAAATTAACTCAAAATTAATGCTAGCCCTAAATAGAAAACCTAAAAGCATTCAATATTTTGAAGAAAACAAAGGAGGAAATCTTCTTGATCTAGGGTTAGCCTATTATGTATGTAAACACTCTATAGATATAAATGTAAATATACATATTTTTTCAAGGCATTCACCAAGAAGCAGGGAGTTTTTAGACATGACACCAAAAGCACAATCTATAAAAGAAAATTTTGACAAATTTGACTTCATCAAAATTAAAAACTTTTGCTCTGAGAAAGATACTGCTAAGGGAATAAAAAGACAAGGTACAGAGTGGAAGAAAATATTTGCAAGCCACATGGTCAACAGAAGACTCATATATAAGACAAAGAATGCTCATGACTGAACAGTAAAAAAACAAACAGCTTCTGCACAGCAAAAGAAACTATCAACAGAGTAAACAGGCAACCTACAGAATGGGGAAAAGTATTCACAAACTATGTATCCAACAAAGGTCTACAAATATCCAGAATATATACAGAACTTAAACAATTCAACAAGCAAAAAATGAATGACCCCATTAAAAATGGGCAAAGGACATGAACAGACACTTCTTAAAAGAAGACATACATGCAGCCAACAAATATATGAAAAAATCTGCAACATCACTAATCATTTCAGAAATACAAATCAAAACCATAATGAGAATACCGTCTCACACCAGTTAGAATGGCTATTACTAAAAAACTAAAAAATAAAAATTAACAGATGTTGGCAAGGTTGTGGAGAAAAGGGAACGTTCATTCACTGTTGGTGGGATTGTAAATTAGTTCAGCCACTGTGGAAACAAGTTTGGAGATTTCAAAGAACTTAAAACAGAACTACCATTTGACCCAGCCATCCCATTACTGGGTGTACACCCAAAGGAAAATAAATCATTGTACCAAAAAGACACATGTACTCCTATGTTCATTGCAGCACTATTCACGATAGCAAATACACGGCATCTACCTAGATGTCCATCAACAGTGGACTTGATTTTTAAAAATGTCGTATGTATACACCATAGAATACGATACAGCCATAAAAAAGAATAAAATCATGTCCTTTCCAGCAGCGTGGATGCAGCTGGAGGTCATTATCCTAAGTGAATTAATGCAGGAACAGAAAACCAAATACCACATGTTCTCAGTTATAAGTGGAAGCTAAACATTGCATACACATGGACATAAAGATGAGAATAACAGACACTAGGGCACTGGGGGCTACCAGGTGGGGGAGGTTGAGAGGTGGGGAAGGGTTGAAAACCTACCTGTTGGTATTGGGCTCACTACCTGGGTGACAGGATCATTCATATACTAAATCTCAGCAACACACAATTTACCCACGTAGCAAACCTGCACCTGTACCCTCTGAACCTAAAATTAAAGTTGAGAAAAAGCAAAAACAAAAGCCCAATTTAAAAAATGGACAAAATACTTGAACAGATACTTCACCAAAGAGGATATAAAGATGGCAAATAAGCACATGAAAAAATGCTAACAGCATTAGCTGTTAGGGAAATGCAAATTAAGATCATGATGAGATACCACTATTTACATATTAGAATGGATAAATAAATACTAACAATCCCAAGTGCCAGCAAGGATGTGGAGCACCTGGAGCTCTCATACATTGCCAGTGAGAAAGCAAAATGCTATTGCTATTCTGGAAAAGTTTGCTAGTATCTTATAAAGTTAAACATACAGTTACCATATGACCCAGAAATCCCACTCCCAGGTATTTACCCTAGAGAAATTAAAACTGGCTGTGTATGGTGGTTCACACCTGTAATCCCAGCACTTTGGGAGTCCAAGGCGAGTGGATCACTTGAGGTCAGGAGTTCGAGACCAGCCTGGCCATCATTTAGTAGAAACCATCATCCATCTCTACTAAAAATACAAAATTAGCTGGGTGTGGTGGCACATGCCTGTAATCCCAGCTACTCGGGAGGCTAAAGCAGGAGAATTGCCTGAACTGGGAGGCGGAGGTTGCAGTGAGCCAAGATCATGCTACTGCACTCCAGCCTGGGCAACAGAGCGAGACTCTGCCTCAAAAAAACAAAACAAAACAAAACAAAACAAAAACTTACATTCACACACACACATGAATGTTTATAACAGCTCTATTCATAATCAACAAAAACTGGAAACAACTCAAATGTCCTTTAACAGGTGAGTGGACATATACTGTGGTATATCCACACAGTGAAATAATACTCCAAAATAAACTGCTGATACACAAAACAATTCAGAAGAATCTCAAAGGCATTACACTGAGTGGAAAGGCCAGTCTCAAACGTTACACACTGTATGATCCTATTCATGTGGCATTCTCAAAAAGACTAACAGGCGTGGCTGCATGGTGATGGCTTGCGCATGTCATCCCAGCACTTTGGGAGGCAGAGGCAGGCGAATTGCTTGAGCTCAGGAGCTCCAGACCAGCCTGGGCAACATGGCGAAACCTTACAAAAATTAGCTGGGTGTGGTGGTGCATTCCTGTAGTCCCAGCTACTCGGGAGGCTGAGGTGGGAGGATCACTTGAGTCCAGGAGGTTGAAGTTGCAGTGAGTGGAGGTTGCAGTGAACCAAGATCACACCACTGCACTCCAGCCTAGACTATAAAGTGAGACCCTGTCTCTAAAAAAAACAAAACAAAGCAAAACAGAAAAACAACAGTAACAGAGAACAAATAGAAAATACCAGGGGTTAGGATTATCTGGGGTGATGGAACTGTTTTGTATCCTGATTGTGATGATGGTTATACAAATCTCCACTTTTGTTAAAATTCATAGAATTGTATACAGAAATCAATTTTAAAATAAATCTTGCTGTGTATTCACTTTATATTTACATGAGAGTTATGATTTTACTTCTACACAAATTGTATTCTAACACCATAGATGGAATGTCTGTCTTTACTCACTTTCTGCATCTCACCCTAGGGGATGCTGGTGTGACTTGATGACCTGCACCCCACTTTTTACTCTGCACCAAACACCCCTAAACAGCTTGACACAAACTTGAACATTTTCAGTAGCAAAGGAGACAATCATCGTTTCGTTAAAATACTTCTGAGCTGGTAAATAATGGCTTATCTGTCATTTGTGCCTTGGCAAGGCTTACTTTCTCTACTTTCCACTGCTAGCTGAGAGCCCACATTGGGAGAACCAGCAGTGAGGCTGGACAGCCCTCTGGGAGGCAGTGGGGAGGATGTCCACAGCCACTCACTAGAGCAGCTTTGCAAGGAACTCACGGAAATCTAAAAGGGGAGATGCAGGGGTCAGGGGAGTCACAGCCTCCTCACTTCACAGCTGTGCCAGGATGCAGCCTATCCTCTTCCAGTTTTTGGCTTTAGCTGTTTTTCCTTAAAAATTACCAAGGTGCGGCCAGGCATGGTGGCTCACGCCTGTAATCCTAGCACTTTGGGAGGCCAAGGCGGGTGGATCACGAGGTCAGAAGATCGAGACCATCCTGGCTAATGTGGTGAAACCCTGTCTCTACTAAAAATACAAAAAATTAGCCAGGTGTGGTGGCAGGCACCTGTAGTCCCAGCTACTCGGGAGGCTAAGGCAGGAGAATGGCTTGAACCTGGGAGGCAGAGCTTGCAGTGAGCAGAGATTGAGCCACAGGACTCCAGCCTGGGTGACAGTGCGAGACTCCGTCTCAAAAAAAAAAAAAAAAAAAATTACTAAGGTGCAAGTCTAATAAATGATACCATTATAGATGCCTTTTTGGTTTTGAAGCACACAGGCTCTCAGCTGAGCCACAGTCACGCAGAGACAGATCAAGAGGCACCATCTATGGCCAAACATGACTTTGGGCAGAAGGTCTAAAAATGAACGAAATGAGAACCTAAGTTTCCAGGACTCCAGACAGTTTGGTTACTCCAGTGTGGGCTGGGAGGCTGTTCTACAACCCCAGCTGTGACCACAGACCTGCTTCCCTGCCCAAGGACTTTAGCTCTTTTGCATGATGAGAGAAGTCTCCAGAACAGGCCTGGGTGGGACTTTGAGTAGGTGGAGTTCCAAGGAGCACAATGCTGTTTCTAATACCTGACTTGCAGTCAACACTGCTGCTAGTTCCTTTCCATTTTACCAGTAGAATTTTGTCAATTAACCAGTGATATGCAAATAAATGCTTCTGTTTATTATTAAAAAGAATTGTTGCCTTATCTAAATATCTACCACACTGCTCTCCGTGACATTAGCCTGCTTTCTGAGGGCAGATTTTCTTACACACCTTGTTCATTATAATAGGATCTGACAATATTAAGATTAAACAGTAGCTTTGATTGCAGCTTTTATTTTGTTACCTTCTTGAGAACAAGGAACTTAAAACAACAAATGTGTCAGAGGGTCAAGAAATCAAGAAAATGGGGCTAGGCCAGACCAGGCAGGTGAATTACCTGTTTTGTTTTGTTTTGTTTTGTTTTTTGAGACGAAGTCTCGCTCTGTTGCCCAGGCTGGAATGCAGTAGTGCGATCTTGGCTCACTGCAACCTCTGTCTCCCAGCCTCAAGCTGATTCTCCTGCTTCAGCCTCCCAGGTAGCTGGGATTACCAGCATTCCCCACCATACCCAGCTAATTTTTGTATTTTTAGTAGAGACAGGGTTTTAGCATGTTGGTCAGACTGGTCTCAAACTCCTGACCTCAAGTGATCCGCCCATCTCGGCCTCCCAAAGTGTTGGGATTACAGGTGTGAGCCACCATGCCCGGTCAATCACTTGTTATATACTCATGCATATTGAGCATCTGTTACACTAGCAGTAAATTAGGGGGTTTGGGAATTATTTAACTTTAAGTATTACTTGAAGCACAAGGTGGGAGGGAAGAATTGACTGAGGTCCAGATGAATTTTCTTTTTATTTTGAAGAAAAGAATAGAAAAATAATCCTGTCAACTGCTATTTGAGAATTACAAAGCTCTATATTCGTTTTAACAAGTACAAAAAGTTTTATACTTTCTAATTAAATATTATATTTGCTGCAGCTAAGTAAAAGAGAGAGGTTAATCATGTATCATTGAATGCACCCACCATGCATTCTAATAAAATCTCTAAGCAAAAGTTAGTATTTCCCAGAGAGATCATCTTAACCCCTTTCTCTTATTTGTAAAAAAAAAAATAATAAATTGGACATTGTCACATACATAGTTAAGATTTTAGTAAATTAGAAACCAATACTAGGAAGGTCAATTAGAAGTGCAGGAAGCACAGATAGGTTCACCTGTTTTCTAAAATTGCAAGGTGGTGGTGTAAGATTGGAGAGCTCAGTTCCAACAGTCAGTCCAATACTTCGTCACTGAATAGAGTGACTATTCAGAGTTACCTACAAAACAGAGGCAGGAGTGTGTCTCACAGAGCGTGCTGCCTGATGTAAGAACAAGGAGTCATTTGGCATGAAGGAGAAAATATCTGATACACCTCCAGGAAATGCAATCTTATGAATGATTAAAAAGAGAGAATTTCCGGGAACTCCTGAACTGTAGTTTCTTATTGCTATAAATAGAAGCATTTCTTTTGGACTTCTTTCCCATGAAGTCTGCCAGGTTATATTAATAAGGGCTTCAGTACTTAAATAAATTTCATTTCATGCATATGGAAATAAACACTTGGAAATTATAAAATTAACTCCGGTAAAATTAATTCTCAGAGCATCAGTTTTTGGTTAAAGACAGCAGAACTTTTACCTCTCCTGCAGAAACTTTAGCAAAACTACCTCAGGAAACAGGGATTTACTGTGGGATCCAAAGCTCTAAGGTTATTTTTCTACATTCATAGGTGGATGAAAAGGAGAGCAGGTAAACATATAGAATATTTGGCTGGCTCTAAATCGCTTATTGACATTTTCAAAGTTTAATCCCTTGCTCCTTTTTGATACCATCAACTATTGAAATACATAATTTTAGGACAAGGCTGGTGGGAGAAATACAGGTCATGAACCCAGCCCTCTTGGGGTTTCAATTTAAGCAAGAAGATTTTGTTATGTGGAAAATAATCACAATACCAGGCAGCATTCAATAAATTCCACATGAGTGATAAAGATGTGAAAGTCTCCAGGAGTTCAATGTTGAAAGAAATGTATTCAAATTGGGTGTCCTATTCCACCCAATTTATTCCAAAAGGATGGGAACAAGGCGTTGTTCAAAGTAGAGATAGGATTTGTTCTGGGTAGTGTCTGATTGTGTGAGTGTGTGTGAGTGTGTGTATTTCTTTGTTGTCTGTCTTCTCACTAGGATGTAAGTTCTATGAAGGCAAAGGTTTTTGTTTACTGCTGTATCTCCAGCACTGGAACAATTCCAGGCACATAGAAGGCGCTCAATAAGTATTTGTTGAATGAATGAATTGTAGAAAAGAAGGTAAGAAGGTGTTTACATGTGACTAAGAGACAATATCTGTTTCTGAAAGACTTTAGTAGTCAAGATTTGGGGGAGGAAGCAACAACAGTTTAAGTTATGGGTAAAAAGAGGGTAGTGGGAAATTATTTTAAAAACAAAAATGTTTTAGGAAATCATTATCCTGTAGATCAAGATTGTGTGAGTGACAGAAGTATTAAATAAAGCATTTGCTGTAAATATCTAAAAGGCTCTAGACATGATCAGCATGGAAAGAGGATATGAAAAAGGAGACAGAAAAACAACTAACTTTTAAATGTGTGTAATAAACTCATGTTCAGTCAAGTGAACGTTCATGAAAACTGGTCTGAATACAAAAGAACAGTGTAGACAGAACTTATCACACATTTCACAAACAGATCTAGTGAATGCTATTTTTAAATGTTTACATTCAAATGTTCTCTATAAGGAAAAGCTTTAGAAGAAATGTTAGATATGTTGGTTTCGGTGAAGACTAAGGAAGGAGGAGAGTGGATAACCAGGGAACGAATTAATCACGTCTCCTATGAGTGTTTTGCCATTAAGGGGAGTACAACTAAAGCCTTCGAAACCAAAAGTAATATGGTGCCTGGTCACCCAGGAGACAGAGTTTCAAATTTACATGCTGCATGGTAATGAGATTCATCAGGAAAAAGAAATCCGTACTTCCCCTTTCTCTTCTCCATATTAGAACACTTCACATGTAATTGATCTTACTTCTTTCCCATCTCTTCTCTCCTCTCCCTTTCAAAAATGTAGCACTCCATGGTTCTCGATGTCTCATTATTCTGTCAGTATCTCTCACTTTTTTAATTTATTTTTTTCCTTTATGATCTTCTTTTAAATTTTTTTTTAACTTTTATTTTAAGTTCAGGGGTATATGTGCAGGTTTGTTACATAGGCAATTTGTGTCATGGGGTTTTTTTTTTTTTTTTTTTTGTACAGATTATCTCATCACTCAGGTATTGAGCCTAGTACCCATTCATTATTTTTCCTAATCCTCTCCCTCCTCCACCCTCCACCCTCCAGTAGGCCCCAGTGTGTGTTGTTGTTCCCCTCTATGGGTCCATGTGCTCTCATCATTTAGCTCCCACTTATAAGTGAGAACATACAGTATTTGGTTTTCTGTTCCTACATCAGTTTGCTAAGGATAATGACTTCCAGCTCCATCCATGTCTCTGCAAAGAACATGATCTCACTCTTTTTTGTGGCTGCATAATATTCCGTGGTGTATATGTACCACATTTTCTTTATCCAGTCGATCATTGATGGGCATTTAGGTTGATCCCATGTCTTTGCTATTGTCTCACTCTTTTTAACATAAAATATTCCCAATGGCTTTTCAGACGAATGCAGTTAAAATATTTTATTCTATTTCCAGGAGTCCAAAGTTTTAATAGTCATAAGACAAGAAGGGTTGACCAAAAGACAGGCAACAGGACAACAGGGCTATGGCTAATCTACCCCTCAATGGACCAAAGGCTAAGAAGGGAAGAGAGAAGGGACGCACATTGAGCCCCTAAGTGTGCTAGGTGATGGTCAGGCACTTTCCTGACACCATCTCTCCTCTTACAGCAGCTCTTTGAGGCAGGGATCATCATTTTCATTTACAATTCAGAAGACCAAGGCCCAGTTGTGTCTGAATCCAAAGTCTCTGTGTTCTCCTCATGCCAACAATCCTCTTAAATCCTAGGAGTGCTTCAGGGTTTATCTTGAAGTGGGGAGTGAGCTGCCAGAATGTGCAGAGGAAGAGGGAGAGTGAAGACAGTACAAAGAAGGAATAATTATTCTCATTTGTTTATATTTGTTCTCCCTGGACATACTGTAAAGGAGTCAAACATCTGTTCCTTTCAACAAACAGCATTCAATAATTAAAGTAATTTTTAATATTATTAATCAATAAATAATTTTTTACTGCCCCTGATGAGCCTGATACTATTCTAGGCTCTACGGATATAAAGATAAAAAAAAAAGCGTGGTCCCAGATCTCAAACAGCTCATTGTTCAGTAAGAAAGACAAATAAATCAACACAAATCAGTGCAGGCTATGGAAGAGATAGAATCCATTCACAAAGGAGTTTCAGTTTCATGGGATGACTAAGGGCTGTGTTCTGGAGATCTAATGTACAGCATGGAGACATTATATTATATTTAATAACACTGTATTGTACACATGACATTTGCTAAGAGAGTAGATCTTCAATGTTCTCACCATGAAACTACAAAAAATGAAAGAGAACTCTGAGGTGACAGAAGTGTTAATTAACTTAATCGTGGTAAACATTTCACAGTGTACACAGATATCAAAACATCATGTTTAAATGTACATAATAATTCATTTGTCAATTAAGCCTCGATAAAGTGAGAAAAAACTATAGCTAAATAATTAAAAACCCAAATTCACAAAAAAATGGGCACAAAATAAATGTTTATCCTGGTGTGATCAGAGAAGGCTTCACAAAAACAAAGCTGTAAAGAAAATAAAGAATGAATAGGAACTTGCCACAAAACAAGCAAGGCTATTCCAGGGTGGGCCATGCTTGGAGTATGGGCTTCAGCTATAAGATGAGAGGGAACTTTGTTTTAGGCAGAGTCATATGATCTGACTTTCATTTAAAAAGGTGTGTAGTGGCTGGCCATGGTGTTTCACGCCTGTAATCCCAGCATTTTGGGAGGCCGAGGCAGGCAGATCACGTGAGGCCAGGAGTTTGAGACCACTCTGGCCAGCATGGCAAAACCCCGTCTCTAATAAAAATAAAAATAAAAATAAAAATTAGCTGGGCATGATGGCACGCATCTGTAATCCCAGCTACTCGGGAGGCTGAGGCCCGAGAATTGCGTGAACCTGGGAGGCGGAAGTTGCAATGAGCCAGGATCACACCATTGCACTCCAGCCTGGTGATAGAGTGAGACTCTGTCTCAAAAAAAAAAAAAAAAAAGGTGGGGGCTAGCACCTCTGGGGGCACATGCATGGAGGACGGGTTTATGGAGGGCTATGCGAAAGTGGGAGGATTTACAGTACGATAAGGAGGTTGATGTGATTGAATAACATAAAGGCCTGAACTAGGGAAGTAAAAGTGAAAATGAAGGGAAGAAATAGATGTAGGAGAGTTAAGACATAGAGTGGATAGGACTGTCTTGGTCATTCCATATTGGGGATAAATGAGAAGGACTTCAAGATGGTTCCTAGGCATGGGTGATTGTATGGGAATATGATTAACATGAACAAGCACAGGGAAGAGAGGGGGAGGGAGCTTGGGAGCTGCGGTGAACAATGAGTTCAGGTTGGAACATATTGAACTTAAGGTGCCTTCAGAGTGATAGGGCAGAATACTCCACCAGGCAACTGGACACACAGGTCTGGACTCAAGAGAAGGGTCTCAGCTTTGGAGTGGGAGCTAAAACTATGGAGAGTAGGAACAGGAGTACTACTCCTGGAGAACATTGATATTTACGGTATTGCAAAGGATGAGAAGATAGCACCAAGGGCCAAAAAAGAAGGGATTTATCTATAGAACAAAGCGACATGGATCTAATGAGATCAAGATGTGAGTGTTTCACAGTTATGGAAAATATCAGTGTCAAATATCACAATAAAGCAAACTATAGCTGTGTGAAGATCAGCAGCTTGATATTCACAAGTACACAAAATGAGTTCCCACCCAGAAGGATTGCCCAAAAAATTTAGGATTAAGAACCAGATTGAGCTGTAAGAAAAATAAGACAATTGTAAAAATCCAAGAAGAGCAGAAGAACCAAAGATGAAAGCTGATGTGTTCATTCGTCTGGGTGAGGACCAGAGGGAAAGGTGCACTTTGATTGAGGGACTATATGTACAATAAGGTCCTGTGGCTGCTCATCAGTCAAGTGGCCTGTCCCTAGCAAGGGAGCAGAAGGCTGAGTCTTTCCCAGGGCCATAGCTGGGTGGACTAAAGGGGAACACTTGTCTCAGAGGCAGCTGACATTCTGGATGGCCTGTGAAAATAAGATTGCATCTCCTGAAAATGCACGAAGAGACAGAGAGAGATTGTATTTGATTGCTGCCAGGCTTTTGAACTGGAAGGCTGTTTTGGAATTGGGGCCAGATTTGGTCCCTTAGCAAACCAAGGTCACATGCAAGCTACAGTTAGAGGAGAGGCTGTAAAAAAAAAGCAAGCAAGGAAGCAAGTGCAAGTAAGTTACCATGCAGGTGGAGGGAGTAAGAGAGAGGGGAAGAGAGATGGGCAGGCCCTGCAGTTGTCACCTGTCCCATTGAGGACCCTCTGCATCCCTGCACTGAATTCCTTTATATCCTTGTATGGTTGGAGTGGGTTTTGGCTCCTCGAAACTTTTTAGTACAACAATAATAATAGCAACAGAAACTGACACTGGTTGAGTGTTTACCATGTGCCAGGCACCGCGCTAAGCATTTCACACGTAGTGACTTACTTGAGGCTTACAACAGCACTATGAAAATGGTTCTATTTTTATTTCAGTTTTACAGATGAGGAAACAGAGACAAAGAGAAGGTAACCCATTTGCTCCAGATGCATCATTTATAAGTGTGGAACTTGTCAGAAATAACCTTTTCCTGCCAAAGTTTGGATTTCTGTTCTTTTGAATAAATGTGAATGCCTATGAGTGCCAGCCAGGCACTGCGCTAAATACAGGAGATGAAAATAAACTATTCAAATTAGAACATTCCTTGTTCTTGAGGAGCTTTTAGTCCAGTGGGGAGAGGCTCAGAGAGGCCAAAGGGTAGGGCAGAGCAAAACAAAGAAAAGGACAAGGAATGGAAAGGAAAGGGAAGGAGAGAGGAGGGAAGGGAAGGAGAGAGGAGGGAAGGGAAGGAGAGAGGAGAAAAGGGAAGGAGAGAAGAGGGAAGGGAAGAACAGGGAAGGGAAGGGAAAGGAAGGAAGGGGGAGGGAAGGGAAGAAGAGGGGAAGGAAGGGAAGGAGTGGGAGGGAAAGGGAAGGAGAGGAGAGGCAAGGGAAGGAGAGGAGAGGCAAGGGAAGGAGAGGAGAGGCAAGGGAAGGAGCAGGGAGAGAGAGCAAAGGAGAGGAGAGGGAAGGGAAAGAGAGGGGAGAGAAGAGAAGGAGTGGGGAGGGGGAGGGAAAGGGAAGGAAAGGGGAGGGAAAGGAAGGAGGGGGAAGGGAAAGGAAGGAAGGGGGAGGGAAAGGAAGGAGAGGAGAGGAGAGGAAAGGGAAGGAGAGAGAAGATGGTAGGTCAGGGAATGGGAAGGAAGGGAGAGAGAAGGGAAGGGAAGGGAAAGAGAGGGGAGAGAAGGGAAGGGAAAAGAAGAGAACAGGGAAGGGAAGGGAGACAGGAGAGATGGGAAGGGAAGGAGAGGGGAGGGAAAGGAAGGAGGGAGGAGGGAAAGGAAGGAGGGAGGAGGGAAAGGAAGGAGAGGGGAGGGAAGGGAAGGGGTGGGAGGGAAAGGGGAGGAGAGGGAAGGGAAAGAGAGGGGAAGGAAGGGAAGGAAAGGGGAGGGAAAGGGAAGGAGAGATAAGAGGGTAGGTCAGGGAATGGGAAGGAAGGGGAGAGAGAAGGGAAGGGAAGGGGAAAGAGAGGGAAGGGAAGGGAAAGGAAGAGAAGAACAGGGATGGGAAGGGAGAGAGGAGGGAAGGGAAGGACAAAGAAGCGGAGGGAAGGGAAGGAGAGGGAAGCTGGAGAGAAGGGAAGAGAAGGGGAGGGAGGGAAGGGAAGGACAGGGAAGGGGAGGAGAGAGCAAGCAGAAGCTATGGGACTGGAACCACAGGGATGGATGAGTAGCAGTGATGAGAATATTGAGCAACAGAGACTCTAACAACAGAGAAGAAAGCCAGAGCAGAAAATAAAGCAGTCTGAGGATGAGGGCAAACCACTGCGTACGCCTTGGGAGACTTGGGGCCCAGCCTCCTTGGAAAGCAGGGGTCTGGTATCTGTTCCCCACAGCCTCCAATGCCACCGTGGCCCTTACAGGCTTAAGTCTACCATAACTCAATACAGTTTTTCAAAGAATCCAGGAAAGTTCTCATAGAAGAAGTATGTTTTAAAAATATGTAAACATGTGGGGCCGAGCAGGGTGGCTCATGCTTGTAATCCCAGCACTTTGGGAGGCCAAGGCAGGCAGATCACGAGGTCAGGAGTTTGAGACCAGCCTGGCCAACAGGGTGAAACCCCATCTCTAATAAAAATACAAAAATTAGCCGAGCATGGTGGTGCACACCTGTAATCCTAGCTACTTAGGAGGTTGAAGCAGGAGAATTGCTTGAACCAGGGAGGCAGAGGTTGCAGTGAGCCAAGATGGGAGATGGTGCCACTGCACTCCAGCCTGGGCGACAGAGCGAGACTCTGCCTCAGAAAACAAAACAAAACAAAACACAGACCTCAAAACGACATTATAATTGTCCCAACCAAGTAAGAGCGTTGCTCTATTTGCCTCTCCTCCTCCTCATTCCTTCTCCCATGGAGGGTCAGAGATGGTGAGGGAGGTGGGGAGGGCCGTGGAAGCAAAAGTGGGGCGGGAGGAGAGAGCGTGGGACCACACATCTGGGTGTGGGGTTCCCCACCTGCAAAAGTCAGCAGTGGGAGGCAGAAACCCTCACACCAAGTTGGTTACCCAGGGTTGGGCTTTCAAAGGACTGATTAGAGACTGCTGTCCCTGTTGCCAAGTTTTAATTAAAGCGACTGTAGGACCCTGTTGTTCCTACAAGTGATCCAAGTGACCAGAGTTTTTGGCCAGAGCCAGAAGACAATTCTCTCCGGGTAAGTTTTAAAGAGATGGTAAGAGACAAAAATCAAGTTTCTTTTAAATTTCATCTCATGAGTCTTGCCTGGTTCAACACCCTGATGTCAGAAGAAAGCTTCCTACTGAAGAGCCACCCCTCCCTTCCACCAGCCTGGCTGGGTAATGAGGAACTCAGGACACTTTCTTACCTCCATCCTTTTTCTTTGGTGGCGCTTTTGCTGAGAACAGTATTTCGTCCAGAAGCTGGCTCTGATTTGTCTTCTATGGGAGATCCAAATCCAGCACTAAAATGATAACTATTTTTTCTTGTCATTTGAAAAAAAACCACAACCAATTTCAATCATATGGAAAACAACAATACATTACATTTGCATTTAGAGCTTACAAGGCATTTTTACTTCATTATACAATTTTTACTTCATTATATAACTTGATTCCTTTCCCCATGATGAAGCCAGGGACCCGGTGTTATTTCGTCCACAGCTAAGGAAACGAAACCCACACAGACACTAAGTCATGTGGCCCAAATCACTGCAGGTCCACAGGGCGAAATAGAAGGTGAAACCAGATTTCCTGGCTCCTATTCCAGAGATCTTTCCCATAGCAATGTAAAAGGCAATTATGCAATTGTATTACCATAAGAAGAATAAAAATCAAGTTGCCCCAATCTAAAATCTAAAACATTTTTTCACACTCAAATTAAAGGGGAAGCTGTTTGCATACAGATAAAACATCATTTTCTTACTTGTTCTTTTCTTTACTTGATCTTCTTAAGGAAGATGAAGAAGAAATACTTCGTCCATAACCAACATCTGATTTATCTTCCATAGATGAAGGTGGAGAACTAAAATTTTACACATTTAAAATTATATATAGATTAAAATTATTTGTCAACAGATGGTTTTATTCCACGAAACAGATTTTTTTCTGAAAGTCATAACTGAAGCTGACTTTTAACAGTGACATACTGTTTTTAAAGTATAAAGGAGAAGTCATTTTTTCTTTGTTTGTTTTTTGAGACAGGATCTCACTCTATCGCCCAGGCTGGAGTGCAGTGGTGCGATGATGGCTCACTGCAGCCTTGACCTCCGGGGCTCAAGCGATCCTCCCACCTCAGTCCCCCAAGTAGCTGGGACTACAGGCATGTGCTACCATACCCAGCTAATTTTTGTATTTTTTGTATAGATGGGGTTTCACCGTGTTGCCCAAGCTGCTCTCAAACTCCTGAGCTCAAAGGATCCTCCTGCATCAACCTCACAAAGGGTTGGGATTATAGGCATGAGCCACTGCAAGAAGACTATTATAAAGCCTTTCATAAGCTAGAACAGAAATTATTTGTATAAAATGTATCACATAACTACTATATGGATATATAGATATACACGATCTCTCGCTCTCTCTCTTTTTTTTTTTTTTTTTTTGAGACGGAGTCTTGCTCTGTTGCCAGGCTAGAGTGCAGTGGCAGTGCAATCTCAGCTCACTGCAACATCCGCCTCCCGGGTTCAAGTGATTCTCCTGCCTCAGCCTCCTGAGTAGCTGGGATTACAGGCGTGCGCCACCACACCCAACTAATTTTTGTATTTTTTAGTAGAGACAGGGTTTCACCATGTTGGCCTCGATCTCTTGACCTCGTGATCTGCCCGCCTCGGCTCCCAAAGTGTTGGGATTACAGGTGTCAGCCACCGTGCCCGGCCATGGTCATTTTAAAGAAGACCATGGAAGCTTTAATTTTTAGCTCTATCATTTACTTCTTATTTCAAAGAAAAATGTTGGGTGGTAACTGTACTCCAGCACATAGTCCTGGAGAATTGTAAACATGATTCATCTCGGTTTGCTGCTATTTACACTTTCTTCAATGACTCCATGGTAAGAGGCCTTGACTTCAGAATACACTTGAAATTGACTGGCAGTATAGAGTCAAAGAAAGAGAGCAGAGAGTGCATTGATTTGCAGTGGTGGCTATTTCATGGTTATTCCATGTCGGGCTATGAGTTTATGAGCCAGTGTTTATTTTCATGGAGGTGCTAGATACAGGAGAAAAGGGTCTGGGAATCTTTGCATATTCACACGTTGGTGGAGAAACAACAACAACAAGCAGTATGTGCTTCCCTTCATCCCCTCTCCCTGCAGAGACTCACACGTAAGATTTACTGTTGATTAAGAGTACAGCCCGTAGGTCACTTGGTTCTTGTAAGCAGAGCTCCTTCAAAGGCAACAGTTTGGTGCCGGGATTTATCTGTGAGATAATTTAAGGACCAAAAAGTAGTATCTGCAGGGGTCATATTTTCGAAAATGAATACAGATAGAATATATTCTCAGCTGTTTGCGGTGTCTCATTTCACACACACAAACACAC
Source organism: Homo sapiens (assembly GCF_000001405.40). NCBI lineage: Eukaryota > Metazoa > Chordata > Mammalia > Primates > Hominidae > Homo > Homo sapiens. The sequence continues at coordinate 23,006,763 of NC_000010.11, read as the reverse complement.
ACATGTACAATATACATATATAAAATTAGAAATAGGAACCTGAAGCTTGTGGATGTTCTTGCCTTTGGGCAGGACAGATCCAGTTCCTTATCATCTCGATTGCTTTACACTCGGCTGTTTCATCCCATCATTATCATCTTGGCCCCTGGAAGTATTTGGATTGGCAAATCCATCTATATACCTAAGGGAGAGCTGACTGCCTGCAAAAGTAACTGAATACTGGAACAGATGACTAAAAGTGTTGTGAGTGTATCTAAAAGTAGGCTAGACAAAGCCCTGTGCAGGCAGTTTCACAAGCCTGGAGGAAGAGGGCTAGACTAGATCACTTTTGAGATCTTTTTCCAATTAAGTTATAGTTGAATCCCTTTCTCATCCAAGATACATTTCATGGTCCTTTGGGAAGAAGGCAAAAGAGAGCCTTTTAAAATAAGACCAATCCTGTCATTCTTCTGCCCAGGACACTGCCACGGTTCCTGTTCCATTCAGAGTAAAGGCCTTTAACCTGGCCTTCGTTAGCTCTCTGGTCTAGGGTCTGCTCTCCTCGCACTTTGCTAGCCCAGCTCTAGCTGCACCGGCCTTCCTGCTGTGCCTAGCACATGCCAAACATATATTCACCACACGGCTCTTGCACTGCTTGATTCTTCTGCCTAGAAAACAACCCCAGATTTGCCCAGGACTTCCCCCAGCCCCAGATTTGCCCGGGACTAAGGTCCTCACCTGCTGCAAGTTTTGGCTTGGAAATGATCACCCTCTCAGTGATACCCACCTGACTGCAACTTCTAAAATTGCAACCGCCCACCTCAGGGCTCCCCAGCATTTCAGAGCCCCTCACCCTCCCTCTGCCCAGCTCTCTTCTCCCTCCATGGCACCTCTCATTTCTTTTTTTTTTCCCCCTTTTTTGAGATGGAGTCTAGCTCTGTTGCCCAGGCTGGAGTACAATGGTGCCATCTCGGCTCACTACAACCTCTGCCTCCCAGGTTCAAGTGATTCTCCTGCCTCAGCCTCTCGAGTAGTTGGGATTACAGGTGCGTGCCACCATGCCCAGCTAATTCTTGTATTTTTAGTAGAGACAGGGTTTCGCCATGTTGGTCAGCTGGTCTCCAACTCCTAACCTCAGGTGATCCACCCGCCTCGGCCTCCCAAAGTGCTGGGATTACAGGCGTGTGCCACCGCACCAAGCCAGTGCCTCTCATTTTTACCCTGGGATATCATTTATTTCAGTATCATGTTTGGTGTTTATTCTCTGTCCTCCAGCACTGGTACCATGGAAGCGGAGACCTTGGTCTCCTTTGTTCACTGACGTATTCACAGCCTCCAATATCCGAAACTTATAACAATATTTACTGAATGAATCAGAGCATCCCCCTTTAAAAAAGAAATTGTCTCGTTAAATGTTTTAAAACTTCATGACCAAACACGTTTTGTCACAATTTTATCTGATCTATGGCAAGGTTTTCCTGGTAAGTGTTCTGCGATCGTTTTTCGGCTTTTCCCGTCAGTTTTCTTGTTTGTTTTCCCCCCTTGGTTTGGTTTTTTTTTTTTTTTTTTTTTTGAGACGAGTCTAGCTCTGTCGCCCAGGCTGGAGTGCAGTGGTATGATCTCGGCTCACCACAAGCTCTGCCTTCCGGGTTCACGCCATTCTCCTGCCTCAGCCTCCGGAGTAGCTGGGACTACAGGCACCCGCCACCACGCCCGGCTAATTTTTTGTATATTTAGTAGAGATGGGGTTCCACCGTGTTAGCCAGGATGGTCTCGATCTGACCTCGTGATCCGCCCACCTCGGCCTCCCAAAGTGCTGGGATTACAGGCGTGAGCCACCACGCCCGGCCCCCCTCTTGGTTTTCTTAAAACAGCTTTGTCCTGATGCTGCAACATTCTCTTTAAATTATCATAATTGAAGGAGATGGGCTTCCTGGGAGCAATTTCTCAGTGGTTTGTGTGTGTTATGGAGTACGGCAGTGGTGGCAGGAGGTGGGGGAGGCAGAAGGGAGAGTAAGAGTCAAGTTTTAGGCAAGCTGTTTTGAATTATTCAAATTTTCTCTAGTTCTCCACTACCACGATGGAGTGCTTCCTGCAACCGGGGCTCAGTGATGTGACTTATGGCCCTGTCTCCTCTGCTTCTTGGAACCAAATTGGTCCAAGAAGGCTTCTGCTGTCAGCCTCACTCCCCGTGTCCTGAGTTCTTGCACCTGCCTAGCAAACCACATCTACAAGTTTTGCACTTCTGAGTTTTCCCATGACCTCAGGAAGGATACAGTGTTAGTGGTGCTTGCTTTCTGAGCTCTGCCATCTTTAGCCCTCTTGCTCCTGTCTGTGATTTTTTTTTTCCTTTTCCTTTTTCTTCCTGCACAGCTTCTGCCTGATCTTGGCAGCTTTTGGCAACCCTTAAAATTGTTTGAAGTCTGCAGATCATATCTGCTTCCTAGTTTTGCTTAAAATGGGATTTGTGGGTTTTTAACATTTTCCCCATTCTCCTCATTGCTTTTGGTTTCCAGAAGAAGTAGAAAATACTGACTAAATCAGTCATGTAAAAAGTGTCCTTAATATTTTAATTTCTAGCTTTTCACTTCTCTCAACATTCATGTAATACAGATAATAGAGCCCCCAAATTTTAAATGCTACTTTTTTTTTTTAAAAGACAGGTTGGAGGGCAGTGGTGTGATCATAGCTCACTACATCCTCGAACTCTGGGCTCAAGCCATCCTCCTAACTCAGCCTCCTGAGTAGATCAGACTACAGATGCATGCCACCATACCCAGCTAATTTTTTAAAGTTCTTTTATAGAGACAGGGTCTCACTATGTTCCCCAGGCTGATCTTGAACTCCTGCCTCAAGTGATTCTCCTACCTCAGACTCCCAAAGTTCTGGGATTACAGGCATGAGCTGTGTCACCTGCTCCTTCTTTTATACCTTTTTTTTTTTGACAGGGTCTTGCTATGCTGCCTGGGGTGGAGTGCAATGTCTATTCACAGGCACAACCATAGTGCACTCTAGCCTCAAACTCCTGGGCTCTTGGTCTCAAGCAATCCTCCTGCTTCAGCCTCCTGAATAGCTGGGACTACAGATATGCATCACCAGGCCCACCCAGCTCTTCTTTTGTATCTTATCTGAAACTTAAGACTGCCTCTAGCAAGCTGATTTAATTACAAGTAAGCAGATTCTAGTTAAAACTGAACAAAAAATGCAAAATCTTATAACTAAAGTTAAGAATGAAGTGCTGATTTTCAAGTTTCTGCCTGTAAAAATATAAATTACATTAGGTGATGATGAAATGGCAATGTAATGGCATCAGGATTAAAGAAAAATTATTATTGTACATACTAAACTACAAATAAATGCTGTCACTTACCCGACCATAATCATAGAATCCATCGTTAATTATGTTACTTGATGACAAATAGCCAGTCTGGCTGTATTTCAGGGAAAGATTGTTATTGAGCAACTTATTATAAGCTGCCTCACTGAATTTATTTTTCCGAGTTCCTGATACGTTAACTTCTTCAAGGATATCTAAAGCCCTGTCAATAAAAGCAAAAAGCATTATTTGCTTTATACAAGCCATCCAATACTGAGTCTCCACTTATATACCGACTTCAGATCCTGAAGGAAGAATGGAGATGGAGCTTAAAGCCTCCCCCACCCTCTTAGATAAAGTAATACTGATAGAATTATGAAGACAAATCTGCCCTTCTTAAGGATACATATGCCAAGTAGTAACTCATGTTCAAACAGGGGAAAAGGATGCTTTTGGGGGAAAAAGTTCTTTGTTCATCTAAAAACAAAATTAGTATTGGACCTCAACTTTTTCATCTAACTAGACAATATATGCAAAGAAGCCAAATGTTTAGAAATTAATAAATGAAACCTGTCTATAGAAACTTAAAACCTGGGGCTAGATGTGATGGCTTATGCCTGTAATTCTAGCACTTTGGGAGGCTGAGGCGGGCAGATCACTTGAGGTCAGGAGTTCGAGACCAGCCTGGCCAACACGGCAAAACCTTGTTTGTATTAAAAATACAAAAAAGTAATCCCAGCTACTCAGAAGGCTGAGACAGGAGAATTGCGAACCCAGGGGGCAGAGGTTGCAGTGAGCTGAGATTGCACCACTGCACTTTAGCCTGGGCAACAGAGCGAGACTCTGCCAAAAAAAAAAAGAAAGAAAAAAAGAAAAGAAAGAAAAAGAAAGAAAGAAAGAAAGAAAGAAAGAAAGAAAGAGAAAAGAAATGAAACTTAAAACCCTATTAGCTGATGTGTTAAAGGCAACAAACTCATCTGCTTTTGGTCAACAGAACTGATTGGTGAGGGTGGTGAAATGCGGAATTCTGGTGAAAGTTTTAGATGGGTGGGAAAGAAATAGAGGTGATAGACACAGCTCGCCCATTTAATTTTAGCCTTGAAAGTTGAGAGACAAATAGAATTTGTTTGGCAGTAGCAGAAGAAAGTAAAAGAGAAGCATTTATCAAGATAAAGGGGTTAGAAGAAAATACTGAAGGTGATTTTTTCAAGGGCAGTGAGGGAGCGGTGAATCGGGACCCCCTTGCCTCCAGGTGGTTCCTTCCAAGCCAAGGCCCGCCCTGGGGACATGCAGCGCTTCAGCGGACTGAGAGAGCAGCGGAGACTTGGCTTGAAATTCCTTGGGCCTAAAGAGTGTGCCTCTCCGTCTTCTGCTCTTCATCTGAGCCAGAAACTTGAGATGGCATCCACTCACCCGAGCCTGCATAATTCATTGGCCGTCAGCTCGTCACCAGCACAGACCATCACTGCCCAACTGGCGTGCTTCCTCACTTCATCATTCTTGGAGCGTAGCAGCTCTACCAGGGGCTCCAATCCACCAGAATTTCTTAACTAAAAGCAGAAACCAAAATGTTACACATTAAGAGTGTAGAATGTAACTATTTGTGCTTTTAAAAAAATCTCATTATTTGATTGCTAAAAGGTTTTAACTATGTAAAAATGCTTCAGAATGTGTCTATCTTTAGGTTTATTAAATTCAGGGGTGAAAAATCTATTGCAAACCCTTACACAGAGAAGCCCGGTTTTCGGGCCCTGGGAAAGTATCCCAGGGAGGTCATCCTGATTTTACGTGGGACGGGGACTGCAGCAGGAGTCTGTCTTCTCACTGCCCACCCGTGGGATGCCCGATGCTTATTCACTCTGCTCCTGAACACTGACTATTCATTCAGCTCAGTGATAGACAGAGTAAGGGGCCCCCAAAGATATCCTCATCCCTGGAAGGGACTCTGCAGAGATGATTAAGGGTCTTGAGATGGGGAGGTTATCCTGGATTAGCCAGGAGGGTTCAGTGTAATCACAAGGATCTTTATAAGAGGGGGACAGAAGGTGCTGGAAGCAGAAAAAAGACACGTGATGGAAGCAGAGGTTGCAGTGATGCACTTTGAAGATCCAAGGAGGGTCACAAGCCAAGCAATGTGGGAAGCCCCTGGAAGCTGAAAGGGCAAGGACATAAGACACAGCTTCAGACTTCTGACCTCCCCAACCATATGATATTCGATTTACATGGCTTTAAGCCAAGTGATGGTCATTTGTTACAGTGGCAATAGGAAGTTAACACAGTCCCTAAGATTGAGGCTGGATGAACCGATGCCAGCAAGGACCCCCCCATGTCACTGTGCACGGCCACCAAGTCAGCACTGCAGCCAAAGCAACACTCAAGCAATTCTCCAGAGAAAGACCCATCTTTGCTATCTATACACAGTGTCTTCTCTTCATTTCTCAAAGGACTGAAGAGGAGAAGAAAAAGAAAAGAATTGGATAGAACTTCATTAATTACATTATTAAAAGACATCACTCGTGTATAAAATTATTCCAATCAGAAAAAAAAAAGATTGGGCAGAGTTCTTGTCTCATGTCTGAAATGTAATGCTGCATTATCTATGCAACTGGAGGATAAAAAGAATGTTCTTATTCTACCAGCTTGAATGTGTAGTATCCTAAGACAGGATCCCTGTGGAATCTCTTCCACTTTCAGTCACTCTCATCACAAACACAGGGGCCCTGGTGGGGCTTACCTGTTATCACACATTACTTGGACAGCTTAGAAAGTTCACTTGAAGCATCCTTATGCTTAGCAAGCATAAGGTATAATATGAGATAGTAATCTAACACCACATGTCCTTTAGGCAAAGATTTAATTTATTCATTAATTCCTCCATTTATTTGTTCACTCATTCATTTAACAAATGTTCATTCAGCATATATTATGTGCCAGGTATATATTAATGACATGGACACAGGGATGAAAAATCTCAGTTCCCTTCCCTAAAGTCTCAAGGAGCTTGTAGTCTTTTACACAGAACCAAAAAATTCAAAAAAGGAAGACAAGGGGTGCAATGGGAGCATAGAGAAAGATGTACCCTAGTTTGAAAACTAAAGTAAAGGCCTTCTGGGGGACAGGAGGGTAGAGCTGGATTTTGAAGAACTAATAGGAATTTATCAGGTGGGGGAAAAGGGAGAAAGCAGAGAAATCAAGCAGGTATAGCTGTGAGAGCAGAGCATTCTGACATAATTACAAGCAGTGTGGCATTTCTGGAGTGTAGAGTTCCACCTGGACAGAGTTGGAGCTTACAGCTTTAGGTAGGCAGGTGCAGGTCAGGAGGGCCCCTGCAGATGTTGCTGAGCAGCTTAACGTTCCCATTGAGGATGTGCAATGATGTGACCAGGGCCACACGTTAGAAAGACAAGCCTGGAGCCAGTAAGGGGAATAGGAGGGGAGGGAAAAAAGTAAAGGGTCTCCTGCATATTCCAGGAACTAGGTGGGCTTCCCTGCAGGCTGCATGGAGGTACAAACAGGACCCTTGTTTGTCACTGTGCTCCTGATACCCAGCAGAGCACCTGGCACGCAGTACTTGGTAAATACATATCTGGTGCCTACCGCTACCTGAGTGGGTGAGCACAAATGAAGTGAGTCAATGGGAACAAACAAGGGAGACAGAATAGAGATCAAGGAGACAGAAGAAAAAGATTAGGCAGTTGTTTGGGCAGACAGCATGGGCCCAAGCATGTGAAACTTGGGCTCTGGACCCAGATGTGTTCTCATATCCCTGACTCGCCACTTACCAAGTCTGCTTTGAGCATATTTCTTTAAGCCTCATTTTCCTCATCTGTAATATGTGGATTACAAACATACCTATCTCAAATGAGGCTTAAATGCATGTAAAGTGCTTAGCACTGGCACATAGTAGGTGCCAAATAAACGTTGGTTTTGTTATTTTTATGGGACAGAGAAGAACAAAGTCCCAGGCTGTTCAAATGAGTGCCATGGTGACATGAAAATGTGAGAAAACTGAGAAAAATAAAAGGATGTTTGTTGATTTAAGTCCAGTTGTATTTTTATTCTTTTAGGAGGCAGAGTCTTTTTGTAGAGATGCGGATCTCCCTATGTTGCCCAGGCTGGCCTCGAACTCCTGGCCTCAAGCAATCCGCCTGCCTCCACCTCGCAAAGTGCAGGGATAACAAGTGTGAGCCACTGCACCTGGCCTAAATAAAGTTTTTCTGAAGATTTAATAGGATCACCATAAATTATCAAGGACATTTTTATATAATAGATTTTCAGATAAATGCAATTGTATGTTTTAAAAATAAGAAATATAAGAGAAACACAAGAGTACATATAATAACCCACATGTATAATTTAAAGAGTCCTAGTAAAAAGCACACCTGTTTGTCTACTATCCAGCTTAAGAGATGACCATTTCAATGACACCGAACCCCTAGGTGTTCCACCCAATTACATGCCCCCCTTTCTCCCTACAGAAGCAACCGCTTTCTTGAATTTCGGATTCAGCATTCCCTCAATTTTCTTTATAGTTTTAACTTATATGTATGCATGCCAAAACAGCATAGTGCTTAGCTTTGCATACTTTTGAACGTTACATAAATGGAATCATAAGTATGTATTTTTCTACAACGTGTTTTTGCTTGGCATAATGCTTGTGAACTCATCGCTGTTGACATGTGGGGCTGTAGCTCATTCATTTTCACTGACATGAGATTCTATTTTATGGCTACAGCACGATGCATTATCTATTTTCTTAACAATTGGACAATTTGTTTGTTTTAGATATTATTTGTTTAGATATTATAAACAATGCTTCCTGGTACACAGAGGCAACAGATTCTCTTAGGTATATACTTAGAAACAGAATTGCTGGGTTTATAGGGCATGCTCACCTTCTTTGCTAATTAAACAAACAAGACAAGACAATGCCAATTCGTTTTCCACTGTTTTACCGGTTTTGAAGGACTTAAATGACAGGTAGGTTCAATCACTTAAAAATGTTTCCAATGAATCCACCAGTAGGTACTAACCAGAAAAATGAGAGAACACATGTTATTAAAATTCTCACCTCAGTCCGGGCTTCAACGTCACACGCAGTTGCGGTGACAGCGAGAGCAGCTTTGCTCTGCACGACTGTGTTTGCAGAACGCAGTGGGCTGATGATGGCATGCATGATGTCGTGATTCTGTATGTTCAGGCGCAGGGGCTCCTGCATGGCCATGTTTGTTAATACTGTAGCAGCGTTGGCAATGGCTCCATCTCGTTTACTAGACAGGAGGTTTATTAATGGATCAATACCATCAGCTTCAGCAGCAGCGCTGAGTAAATGAAAGAGAAATGAATGTGATTCATCTGAATTCAAAAAATTATCTTTGGAGCATGCAACTAAGCTGCTAAAACAAATGAGTACAGAAATACGATTTTAGAAATAAATTAATTTGCCATGCAATGAACCCAGAATTGAGTGCTAGTGATTTAAATGGAGTCTGGGAAATTTTGAGCTATGAATGAATTTAAATAATTCTTTTTCTACTTGTACAGCTTTTGGTTATAGAAAAATATATCATTACTACTTTTTAGAAACCTCAGAAATAGACGACTACTACTTCTTAAAAAAAAGGTACAACCATTATTATTATTATTTTTATTTACTTGTAAGACCAGGAAATTCTATTTAAAGAAACTCTTGTGTGATTTCATACATGAACCATAAAATTCTTAGAAAGTTTTCTTGAAGATAAAATATTCCTAGCTATTAAGAAAACAAAAGCCTTAAATAGTAGGAATGAGTGAGCATGGGAACTCCTGATTTAAGTTAAAATTCATTAGCCTGTCTTCCTCTTCTTCAAATTAGGTTGTTAATTGTAGGCAAAGATGAACAGGTTTGAAAGCAGCAAATCATTCTGCATGTGAATACTGCTTTTACAAATTAAACATTAAAGATCAAAGTCATGATATGTATATAAATAGATAATTTTAGTAATGTAGGCATATTCAGTTATTAAATTTCCTGTCTCTAGTAAAAGACTACAGTTACCATTAATATACTAACATTTTTTCACAATTAGATAGCCTAAATCTTCTTTTAAGAGCACAGAATAGTCCTTGTTTTTGAGCACCCGGTTTTCCCGGGCAGTCTCCCATCCAAGTTCTAGCCAGTCCCCACCCTGCTTAGCTTCCAAGATGAAGCCAGGGTGGAAGGGCTCCAGACACCAGCTGTCCTTATTTTTAAATCAGTTTAAAGCTCATAGGTAGTAAAAATAAAAATTAGAGCATTTTAATGAGTGGAAGATACTTTAGTTATGTTCTTCAATGTTTGGAATTGCTATAAATAGGAGATGTTCCAAGCAATAAGATAAAGAGAGCATCCTGATTTTAAAGGGAGACCCAAAATTCTGTTTTCAAAATCCATTTAAATCATCATAGTAATAGAAGTCAAGACAAGAAAAATACTTGAGATGTCAATAATATGAACATCTAAGTTTTTGACACATTTTTTCATTTAGGACTATATAATAATAACCAAAATTAAAAAAAAAAACAACTGAAGCTATATGATTCAGCCCATCATCCTGTATGGTGATGAATTAAATTTAATTTGGTACTGTCACTTCAATTTGCTTATTGTGAAGGAGGACTCACAACCTCAAGAAAAGAAGTTATGACAATTATCCATCAGAGAGGAGGTAAATGAAATCTCCATAAAGAGACTGGTAGCCATAGGTGTAAGCAGGCTGTGACTGGGGCACCAGCTCTGAAAGAAACTGAACCACAGTGACTGGGCAGGAACGTAATGAAGAGGGACAGCAGCTCTGGAGAATGAAGGGCTCAGTTGGTGTCACCCTCGCAGGACCACCTCCCACCCTGGCTTATATAAACCAGTCCATCAAACACACCACATCCCACAAAGGCAGAGCCTTGCTTCGTTTCTACTCATTCTCCAGTCCTTGTACATTTAACCCTTCTGTGGTATCTCCCATTCTTTCTCTAGGATGACGTCCCTTAAAATTAAAATTTGGTTAGATGACATGTAACCAAAATTGACCTCTACAAAAATATCCAAAGGCCCTATATCACTCACTATAATAGCCCGAGGGTCAGCATTTAATTTCCTTTCCTAGGGGATAAAATAAGCATTCTTAAGATAATTTCACTTTTCATCTTCTCTCCTATTATTAATTGGCATGGCGTTCATTAGGTTTTATGAAAGAGGGAGAAGTTGGAGGTTCTAATATATTAGTTTATCAGAAACATCTCATATTTTTGCAATGGAAATACTGAATACCTTTTACAACTGCCAGCAAAAATGTTAAATTATACATATTTTCTAATTAATAATATATACTTAACCTCCTTAAAAATTAGTTTTTTCCTTTGACTTATTTTTGAGGTATTTAATGCAATCAGCCCCTTAAACCAAATACCTTGTATTTGTTAATCATTATAAATATGCTTGGCCAAAATGCATGATTCCTTTGTCACTTGGTGGTTTTCCCTCGAGAATGTTCACTTTTTAAAACATCCTGTAGAGTTAAGAAAGAGCATACAATCGCAGGGTACTTCAATGGCATCCAGGATAGAAACAGAAGTATTTTAAGTAAATGCAAACAATAAATTCTCAAATACTTTGTCTTTTGTGTGTACCAGGGAGTTTTTGGAAAACTAAAGGAGTTCGCAGGGTCATACATCATCTTTTTCTTTCATCTTGAAAACTAAGAAACGAAGAAAAATTGGATCATGGAAATACAGGAATTTACATCAGGTATATCCGAACAGTCAGCCTTTCTGCTTTGATTTTGTTTCTTTCTTTCTCCTCTACAAAGGCATATTTTGACTTGGTTCATTTATATCTCTACCTTCTGCTCTTTTCTTTGCTCTTGATGGAGACAGTAAAGGGAAATGCATAAAAAACTAGGTGTTTAAAAAACCAAAGATTCTAGTACACAGTGGAATATAGCTTTTACTAAATTGAACATAAATGCCAGCACAGAAAGATGAGTCGTGCAGGCACAGCTGGCACAACCTGCATTATATGTACATATTTGCCCGTAATTTGCTATATGCAGCACTAAGTCTAAAAAGAATAATTGAGATTAACTTATTATGGTGGTAAATTAAACTATTATTCTTACCTTAAAAAAACTAATTTTATATACAGAAGTAGAGCCCAGAACTTGTACTTTAAAAAACAAAAAAGAATTGAACAAAATTCTTTTTTGAAACAAAATTGTTTGTTTAAAAAACAAAAAAGAATTGAATTAATTCTGTTTATTTCAAACCTCAGACATTCTGTTGTATTTTTCCCTGTACACAAGCTGAAGCCTGTCATATTTTTAAAGCCATTATTTTGGTTTCCCAAATAGTATAGCATTATCCAAATGAATGGGATGGAAGTCAAACTGCTTTGTTTTAAAATCCAGAATTATAGGGCCATATGTCATCACAATAATTTGAAAATATTTTCTGATATTTACTATCATTAGTCTCCATCCAGTTGGAGTTTAATCAAGTAAGAGTTTAAAATGTAAATTGGGAAAAAAACAAACTAAAAAACAAATATGGGAATGTATGAAAACATCTGTTTATATCATTTGATATATGTAAACAGAGGTGAAGCTTGACATGTCATGTGACGTCAATCTATTAGCAAGTCCTGACTATTTTCCTCCTCCATATTTCTCAAATCTCTCCCTTCTCTCCATCCTCCCACAGAATCCAATTCAGCATCCTCTCTTGTGGGTTGATATAAATAATCTCCTAAGAGGTCTCTCCTCACCCCCTCCAGTCCTTCCTCCGTCTTACAGCTAAAGTGATGTTTTAAAATTATAATCATATTGCTCCCCTACTTAAAACTTTCACGGTTTCCCATTGCTTAGGATAAAGTTCCCAATTTTTTCTTTTTCTTTTTTGTTATATTTTTAAATTATTTTTCTAGAGATGGAGTCTTGCTACGTTGCCCAGGCTAGTCCCAAACTTCTGGCCTCAAGCAATCCTGCCACCTCGGCCTCCCAAAGTGCTGGAATTACAGGAGTGAGCCGCCATGCCTGGCCTACCCCCAAATTTCTGACATGGCCTCCAAGGCCTTACACAAGCGGCCCCCACTTCTCACGCCAGCCCCATGCACCCCCAGCCCCTCGCCGCCTCTTCCTGTTGCTCCGTGCTCTAAGCTTCTCTTGCAGCCTTCAATATGCCAGGCTCTTTCCCACATCAGGGCTCCCCTGCGCTCTTCCCATTTCCTGACATCCTCTTCCCCCAGGACAATGCCCAGCCCTCTTTCACAGCTCAGCACAAATGTCTTTTCCTCAAGGAGGCACTTCTGGATCCCCAAAGGAGATTTCTTTTTAACATGAGCTCAGAGCATTTGTGTGCTAAATATACACATTTCTTTTTGTTTAAAAATATGATGTTCTGGCATAAATGTTTACATCAGAAAAAAGTAACAATTTAAAAATGTTATTTTGCAGCACTCATGAATGGAATTCAGCAGATTTTTCATTCAAATGCCCAAGCCCCACAATAAAAGAGCACTTACAGAAAGGATGCTAAGAACATCACTGAGGAAAAATTCAAACACAAATAGCGTCTATGGCTCACTAAAAATATTGTGCGATTTCATGTCTGTGTCTTTGCACTTGTGGTCCCTTTGTCCCAAACACCCTTCCCTATCCCTCTGGCACTTGTGGCTGGAGAACACTAGCTCATTCTTCACTCTCTGCTTACCTGTCCCTTCCTCTGCAAAGTCATCTGTGACCATCACGGCCCTCCTTGTTAATCACTCCCTCTGCTGTGCTATGTCTGTACCTGGTACTTACCTCTTAGAGGTAATATTTGAGTCTTATTTATATTTCCGGTGCTGAGAAGATCAATGTATTTTAATTGACTCGAATCAACTCAAGGTGAGTGAGCAGAAATTCGCTGCAGGTATCAAGAAGAAGGGAGGGGGAAAGTGCTTAGCTCAGCTTTAAGTTTGCAAGAAGGGATAGGATCCAGCAACACTGCGATTTCCAGTTTTATCACTTACAGCTGCTCTTGAAATTGGTTCATTTCCTCCCTGCCCTCATGCTTCTCCAATTATACAGTGAGGTAATTTTTAGATGGTATTCAAGAAATAAAATTTTACACTTTAGACAACTTCTTGGGAATATATTCTTCTCTTTTATCAAGGGATGTCTCTATTTTGTCTTTGCAGACATTGTTGACTCTGTTTATTTTAGTGTGCACCAGTTGACACCATTTGGTACCTTTCAGAGTTGAATCCTTGCTTCAATTTGAGGTTCACATTCAACCCAACTGCAAAGTCTAGTAACATGAATCAAGGGTGACCTTGGGCAGAACAGAAATCTGTTTAACAGAGCCCACATACAGGGTAATATGTGGAACCCGATGGAACAGATGGTGATATTGGCAATAAGAACCTTGTTTGTTAACAGTGATTACAACCATTCCCACCAGCATGACTTTTCATGTCTCCGTGAGTTTTGTCACACCAAGGAAGACATATTGGCGGCAGACACTCTGCAAGTGGTCAGGGGCGGTGTGTACGCAGCAGCAACTCAGAGCTGGCATTTTTAAGCCTTGCCGGCTGCAGGAAGTCTGAACAGGTGGAACACTGGCCGTTATGATAAACAGGTCTCCTGGTTATCACAGCCAGATTTGGAATGCTGTAAACAGAATTCCTGACTCTTGTTCCAGCCAGTTTCTCAACAAAGGTAATGATCCAAGAAGTGGAGTGTGTTTGCTAAATTGGTCAATTTCTGAGTCCAGAACAAGGATCATCCCGCCACAGCCCCACAGCTACAGGACGCTAGTATATGTGCCCCTAAACTCTGGCTGAACTCCAGGTTGACAAAACTAGCCAAGAGAATGTTCTTCTTTTAAAGAAATATTATTTAAGAAGTTTTTCACAATTAAGGGAGACAACCAATTAATTGTAGGCTTATGCTTAAAATGAAGGTTTTAAAATTAACATAATTAAAGTAAAGCCTAGCCACAGGGAAAAAAATGTGTTTGCATCTATAGCAAAATAAGAAAAATGCCCCCCGCAAAATGCTAGGAAATATGTGAAACCGAATTGATTACATCATATTGATGCACCTTAGCAGGTTTCATTTTGAGACTTTCAGAATTCTCTTTGATGTTGCAGCCGCGGTGACATTATGCTCTCTCAAAGAGAACAGCATGACTGCAAAGAGAATAGTGAGTGCTACCCCAGCACTTCCACAAAGAGCATGCATGTTTTTGCTACCGATTTTGAGGCAGTCAATCAAAGTCTGGGGAAATCAAATGTAATTTCCTCCCAAGTGACACAGAGCCTTTATTGACCTATCTGTTCAATCACAATACTTCACTTCCATACATGCTACCTTGTTTCAAATGCTAGAATGCCCTACTCATAATTAACTACCTGCCATCAGCAAAAAACAACTCTCTTTTGCATGGCTGACTTGTCTCCTAATAAAATAGAAATGATGGTCAAGGAGTTAGGATATTCATAATAAATGACTTTTGCAGCTACCAAATGTTTCTGTTTAGCCTGGAAATCAGCGTATTTACATATCTGTCAATGACAAGGGATACAATCCCAAAGTAATTAGAGATACCATGTTGTTGATTTTCTTAACTAAATAATAAGGATGCTGAATGCTCTAGTGCCACAGCAAACAAAAAAAAATCCCTGCGCTTGCCAGGACTGGTTTATTCTCAGCAGCTCAGATGTCACTTTTTCAGAGAGCCCTTCCTTAACAAGCCCTGTATCATTCTCTAGGCCCCTTCCTAACCCCGGGGCCATGGCCCTCTTTCCACATTGTGCTGTTTGAAGTTTACCTATACTGTAACAATTCTGCAATTACCATTTTAAAATTACTTGTGTACTGCTGGCCTCCCTGACTGAAATGTAGGCCTGATGTGTTCCTTTCCTGTGGTACCCCAAGAGCCTAGCACAGTGCCCAGCAGGTAAAGGATACCCAGATAATGGTAGAATCATTACCAAAAAAAAAACCTAAAACAAAACAAAAAAGAAAAAACAAAAAAAAACCTACAGTCAAGGTGGTAAGTTCCCTGTATTTTGGGGTGAAATGATAACAGCTGTACCGACGGATCACATCCGGCCCCCAGTGGAAGAAGCTGGATTCCAGACTCCCTGTGATACTGGCTAGGGGGTAATCTCTTACATGCACAAAATACAGTAGATTATATAGATTCATTTTTACTTGTTTGTTTCATAGTCAAAAAAGACAGGATGCAGAGAGACTAAAACTTGCTCAAAGGTAAGTTAATCAACAGAGACCGGAAAAACAAACACATGGTTTTCTGACCTTTAATTTATTAGTTTTTACATTTTTCAACCTCTTAAGCTTTAAAAAGTATAGTATTTTCAGGAAAACAAAAACCAAAAGAATTTACTTGCTTTAGGACATCATTCCTTAGGGAATGGAAAATGAGAAGGAGGAGGAGGCAGAGGAAGCAGAGAGGAGGAGGCAGAGGAAGCAGAGAGGGGGAGAAGGGAGACTAGGGAAAGGAACCCGGGGAAAAAGGTGGAGGGAGGGTCAGAAGCAAAGAGAAAGGGAAAGGAAGGGATGAAAGATGATTTCAAGGTGCCTACTGGAGTGAGTACAAGGAGTGCTGGAGGAATTCAAAGAGATCATGAATTTCAGCACAAGGGAAATTTCTGGTGGGGAAAATGTGGAGAAGTTAAGGGTCCTGGAGGCACTGATGAGGAAAGAATGAGAGAAAAGTTGCCGGGGTGGAGAGTAAGAGGTTCAGCTCCTACCAGCTCCCTGGGGACCTACAGAACAGACCACCTCTGTGACTGTGAGTAAGCACCGGGCCTTGGTTTCCTCATCTGCAAAATGGGCATGACAATAATATTCCTTCCCCCATAGGACTGCTCTGGGATTTAATGATATATTCCACTCAAGGACTTAGCTTAATACCTGGCCGATAACTGCTAGCTTTCAACAACATCATCATCCTCTTAACATTCAGTGAGCCACAAGGGTAGAGAGTTTCAGATCATGGAAACGTAAGATCATATTGTAAAACTTGTGTGTGTGCATGAAAATTTCATTTTCAGACAATTTTTAGCTAAACAGCAAAATCTCCTACACCTGCAGAGCTAGAGCTGGGGCAGTTTCCTCAGAAATCCTACTCAAGCCTTTCACTCAAGTGTAATCAATGAGTGGTAAGGACCATTTCCAGTGTGAAGAAAAATCAAGAGAAATGATTAACATAAAAAGTCAAGGGTTGGTAAAAATAACCTTATATAGGTTTAAGTATGCTTCAAATTGGAAGTGGGGGGGGGAAATCACACAATATAAAGATTTCCTCTGAAAATCAGTAATGTTGGAAATTAAACCTGAAAGAGAGTACTAGCAACTTTAAAACGAGGTTATGCAAATATCAGTCTCTGCACTGTAGGTAATAAAAGTAGCATGGATAATTTTCTAATTGAACATTTTATGGGATTCACTTGGCCTCACAAAATCAGTAGCTAATCAAATTCAAACTGTTAGTCAAGGTCAGGTGGGCATCCACTGACATGAAATGGGGATAGGGAATCCACTTGTTCTATTGCAAAATTCAGCTTTTCATTCTCTGTTTTCCAAATTCAGTATGATTTTTCCAATCCAGTATAACCAATGTTTAGAATAAGATTCCATCAGACAGGGAGGAATCTAGGCTCTAAGGGGCAGAAAGAAAAGCATCCACTCAGTAAACTTGGACAGAAATAATGCAAGAATAATTCTCAGGTTTACCATGAGGACTTTTCCCATTTATTTTATCTATTAATTCCAGAGGACTTTTAAGGCATTAATTAACATGTTAAATACATTCTTCCAGAGCTCATCCTTAATACAAAACAAAACCTCCTAAAAACTTATGAAATTAGCTATCTTGCAAGATACTCATCTTGTGAGTATTCTAATTCAAAGGATCTAGAATTTTACAACAAAGTGATATAAATAAGAATGTAAAACAAAATCTATTATACAAAGTCAAGAGCAAAAAATCGACTCTAGAGAAACCATAATAGCAATGAGATTTCTTAGATTATGTTGTTCAAGAGTATTACATTTATCCTATCTGGTTATATAGCACAGAAGATGTCCAGCTACCGGTACAATGAATGCGTCAAAACATTTGTAAATGACTACACCTTAATAGGGGACAAAGTCAAACACAAGCATCTGTTAAACACACGTTTAGCAGTAGAATATTATCTCTAAAAGCAGCATGTTGAAATGATTTTCAGATCGGAATCTTTTAAAAATGTTTTGGAAATATTATCTTAGATACACTGGAGAGTGTTCCAAATTAAATTAACGTACGTTTCATTAAACTACAGAACCATCCTTCCATTACCTTTTTTGCCCCTCCCCCAACGTCCTCCTAATCGGCCACTAGGGGTCAGTATGAAGACGCAGTTCCTTGCATTGTTAGAAAATGGAACTCTCCGAAAATGAAAAACCCTATGCAACAAAGACAATAGCTGTACAACCTTAGCAATATTAAATGCAACCTATACATCAAGTCTACAACACGAACTTGCATTTTTCATGGGACTACGTTTTAATTTTGTAAATCACTGTGGATTATCTCTATGGTCAATGCTTCTTTAGTAAAAAGTATTCTCAATGACAGGATTACTTATGTAAGTGGGTCTGTGTAACTGGCCAAGAAGTGTGTTCTAAGAATAGGGTGTTAACATTTATTTTTCAAAGGGTGATGGGACACATGTCTAGCCATTTCATCTCTTCCTGTACAGGGATGGAGAAGGAAAAGTGGAACTTGTGGTTTGTATTTTGCTAACTTTAAGAGATTTTTCCCCCCTTCAAAATGACCATCATCATTCACTGCACTCAGCCTTCATTCCACTATGAAATATAGGCAATTCTAAGGAGAAACCATTAGCCTAAAATCAATAGAATAAAAGAAATGGTAACAATAAATACACAATACATTATCTTCCCACCAACTTTACTGAATGGGAGAGAAATTTTTCAAAAGGTTTGAAAAGTGCTTTCTATTTCTGCTGGAGAAACTTAACATTCCAGGAAATCATTAAGATCATGCCCCTCCCTGACAATACTGAAATGATTGATAAAGGACTTTGGTCACTGTGAGTAAATGCAGCACTGATTTTTGTTGAAGCACTAGATGAAGTATTGACTTTTCTTGAAACACTGTGTGAAGTTCTGTATGTGGCATACGTTCTAAAGTTTTCTCTACAAATTGCATGGCATTCTCAGGCATGATACTCCATGAATAATTCTAATAAGTATTAAAATTAGTCAATGCTTTATTTCTATATTAGCGAAAAGAATGTTTAATACTGATAATACAAAATGACAAGTTATCCATATATAACGAGGACATTCTAAGCTTCCCAAAGCACTCAAATGCACATCCATATAATTTGGGGGCATTCTATCTGTTTGTGGAGTCCCTTTGGAGTGTACTGCTTACAATTTCATCATTCCCTTGTGCGGTCCTGACCATAGGGAACACAACAGCAAGACAGTTTCTGGGGAAGAGCTTTTTGTCTCTGGTATTGTAGAAGCTGGCAATGGGCCAGTAATCAATCAATTAATTTTTCAGTCACCACTATATGTGCTAACATTTAGAACTTTCTTGGGTCACTGCTGTCATGGAAAGTCAAAAGGGGTACAAAAAATAAAAAATAAAAAGCAAAGAAATGGTAATAAAAGGGTCTCTAAGATTTAGGTAAATCACTCAGTTCTTCATGGGGATGACATGGAATAATTATGAAGAATCAGAGTTAGTGTGATCTATGTGTAAACAAGGGACTTATGATCATGCATTTACTGTAACAAAACTTCAGTTCTCACTTCTCTATAGTTATTAAAATAATTGTAGTTATTACTGTGTATATTTTTATTTTGTTCATTGCATTTTATTTCCTAAGATAATTGCATCTTTTGAAAACTGTCTAGCCAACATTTATACTAATCTTTATTAGTTCTGAACATTTATTCTAATCTTTTCATAGTTTACCAGTGGCCAAATTTAGTTAGCATTGCCAAAGGGAAGTGAAAAACACTGAACCCTTTTTCTTCTTGGAACAACTTAAACTCTAATTCTGATCAGATCCAACAGATGGCAGTGATGTTATAAAGTAATAGTTTAAAACATTCTTTTAATGTGTAGGGTCTGCTCCTCAGAGAATAAGTCTCTCAGTACTTGCATAAATAATATGGAACTTTGATATGATTAATTGGATAGAAGCATACAGGATAAATGTAACATGAAATTTAGCTGAAAACAATATTTCCTATGTCAAAAATAAACGGTTTTCTCGTTTTCAAAAGGCATTACAAATTGTTAACTGTAAAAGAGATTAGCAGTATACCAAGAAAAGATATGTGTCCAAACAACTACATTTTTCTATAAAATTCATTATTGCTTCTTGGTTTCCATTTTTATTTGTTCCTTTCTACAGGCATTGTTTTAGCCTTCACACCTTTTATTTATTCACTTAAAAATAGTTTTACTTTGCTTTCTCCTTCTTTCACTGCTAATAAGTGAATCTGGCTGTTCTTGTCCCCTTTTACTATGCCTTTATAAAAATAGTTATTTTTATTCTTATTCATTGCCTTTTCATATTTGTACCCACTTTAAGTTATCTTTATTCTGTAGATAATAATTAGAAGTATCAATAGGAGGCTCTTATAGGGAAGCCTCCACTGTTGCTTCTGTTTTCCAAGTTATATAAAAACAAAGAAAACAACACTGATGATTGCTTTCTGTTTTAAGTAATGGCCATTATTGATTGTTTGACAACAGACTTTGTTTGTCAAATAGACTTTGTTTTCATCACTTTTCTTTTACTTTTGGGTTTTTTGTTTTGTTTTGTTTTGTTTTGGGTTTGTTTTTTTTTTTTTTGTTTTTTTTTTTGAGATGGAGTCTCACTCTGTTGCCCAAGCTGGAGTGAAGTGGCGCGATCTTGGCTCACTGCAACCTCTGCCTACAGGGTTCAAGCAATTCTCATGCCTCAGCCTCCCATGTAGCTGGGATTACAGATATGCACCACCATTCCTGGCTAATTTTTGTATTTTTAGTAGAGATGGGGTTTTGCCATGTTGGCCATGCTGGTCTCGAACCCCTGACCTCAAGTAATCCACCCGCCTTGGCCTCCCAAAGTGCTGGGATTACAGATGTGAACCACCTTTGCCCGGCCATTTTTTGGTTGTATTTTTGATGTAAGCCTATTTTCCTTCGAATGCCTACTATGGGATGGACAGTGTTCTAGATGCTTGGGATGCATCAGTGAATTAAATAGATGAAGGCTGCTCCCTTCATGGATGCTAGTGGTTGGTGTGTGGCGCGGGGGGGGGGCGTGCAGTGCAGGGGTGTGGGGGTGCA
This sequence comes from Homo sapiens, assembly GCF_000001405.40. Lineage (NCBI taxonomy): Eukaryota > Metazoa > Chordata > Mammalia > Primates > Hominidae > Homo > Homo sapiens. The sequence continues at coordinate 22,986,083 of NC_000010.11, read as the reverse complement.
GAAAATAAATGATGATAAGTGTACCAGGTGAGTTACATGCTATGTTAGAAAATGATAAGGGTATGTGAAAAGGGCAGCAGGGAAGGAGCGTTGAAAATATGCATGTGTGGAGTGCAATCTTAAGCCGTGTGGTAATGCTAAGTAGCTTCGCCAAGGTGACATTGTAACAGAGATGTAAACGGGGTGAGGGAGAGAACCACAGCCTGCATGGGAAGAGGTTTTCCAGGCAAGAGGGTGTCACTACAATGACCTAAGGCAAAATACTCCCGGAAGCGGAATTTACTTCCAGGATATATTTTATGTCTATTTTACTCTACAACATTAGCCCATTTGTAAGTAAAAGGATTCATGTTTGTTAATAATTTTTAACTACCATCCATATCCACGTATCCATAACTCAAATACCTGGAAATTTCACATAACCACAACATACACGAGAATTATCTGTGGGGGTAGGGAATGGCCTCTGAGAAGCAAAAATTATGTACATACCAAAGAGGCATCAGGCCCTCCTGTATGGCTTTTGTGTACAATTTGATAAAGCTGGGTTACCTGGAATCCAAGCTTTTCATGGACAGAAAGGAAGGATTTGAAAGGAACTCTGACAGGGAGGAAGTTAGAGCTCTGCCAATCAGATCCACTGATAGCAGTGAAAATGAAAAACTGACAGCTCTCAGAAGCTTGATAAGGAATCAACAAAATGCATCGAAGGTCAAAGGAGCTGCCCCCCTGAATTTATACCCAGTGAGTGGGACAAGTAGCCCCCCTTCCCCAAGGGGCACTGAGAACACCTCCGAGGGTCACATGGCAGTCATTTAGTCAAAATGGCAACCATAACTTTCCCCACCAAAGTTTAATAACAGCATAATCAGTTCAAAAGGCTGAGAGGGAGCTCACTGCAGAGGCTCAAACCTGTAATCCCAGCACTTTGGGAGGCCAAGGTAGGAGGATTGCTTGAGCTCAGGAGTTTGAGAGACCAGCCTGGGCAACATGGTAAGACCCCATCTCTAAAAAAAAAAAAAAAAAAAAAAAAAAAATGAAAAATTAACTGGGTGGGATGGTGCATGCCTGTAATCTCAGCTACCTGAAAGGCTGAGGCAGGAGGATCGCTTGAGCTCAGGAGGTTTAGGCTGCAGTGAGCTACGATTGTACCATTGCACTTCAGCCTGGGCAATAAAGTGACACCCTGTCTAAAAAAAAAACAGAAGGTTGAGAAGGAAAGATTTTAGAAGATTTTAATTCAAATTTATCGCAAATTTTTAAAAGTTTTTTTGGATTAAAAAAGTAAATTTTTAAAAATCCACTAAACTTGAGTATCTAAGAAACCTCATTCATGAATACCAAATGGGTAAGATCTTTTGGCATCAATTAAGGTGATGATCAGATTACTTCAATAAAGTTGAAAATCTTCTACATAGGGCTATGAATGGTCTGATTATTTATTTATGATTGCTACTAAAATTGCTCATCATCATACTATTTTATTATATTTGAGTGTGTTTTTTTGTTATGAGAAAGCAAGATGTGTGAAAATCTGAAATCAGATACATTAGACTATAAATTAATTTACATAAAGATTATAAAATTCTATTTTTAGATTACAAAAAGATTTTAATTAAAAAAAGCATTTGTTAGTTTTACAAAAAGCGTTACCACAAGTACATTTCTCCTTCCCTGTGTTGATTATTTAATTTAGAAAATTTTGATCTACCCACAATTTTCCAAGCAAAAACCTATTACATAAAGGAAATTGCACCAACATTATATGTTACCATGACAACACCAGCGATTACTCAATGCATGAAATGAGCCTCCAATTCCAGAAGATGCCCTGAGTTTAATAATTAGAGTTTAAAAATTCACTTTAGGCACATTAAGATATGCGTGTAGGAGAAGGGTTACGTTTTAACTACACGAAATTAGTATTTGCAACACTTATGTGCATTTTTAAAAATTAGGATAGCAATGATCAGATATTCAAACATCTATCAAATGCACCTGGAGGAAGTTAACTCTGGGCTTTTGTCTCCTATGCTACTTATGTATGACAGAAAAATAATTAGAAAACCTTGATTCCAACCACCCCAGCAGCAAAGCCACGATGCTTCCTGGGGAAATGATTGAATGGACCGCTACTAAAAGTGATGCCAGAAATACTCACCAATGCTGAGTTTAAGCTAACAATTTTTAAAAGACGATCTGAGTAGAAAATTATGTTATTAACAATAACCAATCACATTTGTAGTCACTTCTGTTATATTTGGCATTACTAATTAAACTCAAGGAGGCTTCTAGAAGGACTATGTGGTTTATTCGTGTTCATTCCTTTTGATTGACTCCAGAATCTTTTGCAACCTCAGTCTTCAGCATTTGGCATAAATCTGTCAAATTTGATTCCATATCCTCCTCAAAAGCATTCATCTTCAATATTTTTTAGCTCAGAAAATCCCAAGTAAAAATTATATAGACCTCAAGGAATATTCAGAAAGCCACTTTCATTCATGTTCCATTTCCCTTACAAAATACAAAATTTAAAAAAAACAGAATGGACAGTATATAATAGGTTAAAGAAATAACTGCAATTAAAAACTTACAAGAATAAAATTATATTATGTAACTAAAGTTGACTGTAGTAGAGAAGTCGGGCATCATTTAGTCCTGACTGACCTTTCTATGGTAACAAAATGGAACTAGGAGTCAGATGACAAAAATCTGTAAAATAGATAATTAAACTGAGAAAGATAATCTGAAGGAAGTCCCTTTTAGAACTACTTACCATCCTAATTTTCTATGATTTTATGTAAAATAAAGCAAAAAATGTAGGCCAGGCAAATTCACATCAAATCAAGACACCTATACACTCTGGAGGCCTGTTAAAAGTATTCTAGATCATATACAAATGTAAATGGACTGGAGCGAGAAATGGTTTAGTGTCTCTGATAAGATTTTTTTTTGCACCATGTGACCATACTGGAAAAACCACTGAATATGCTATTTTCAAACTGCTACTTAGAAGGACTCAATATTCCAGAAATTTGCATGCTTTCATAGAGATAATGATGACCCTTAATTTAGGAAATTACTGTGTCAAAGATTGTAGCTATTAAAGGAACACAGTTTTGTTTTGACACTTAATGCATTCCTCTTATGTTTTTATCAGGCAGTTAGATTTGTAGTCATTGCATTAGGATCTTATAATTTGTGTGGGAGAATAGAAAGGGAAAGAAAGGCTAAGAACTATTAAGTATGTGATGGAGGCAGAGGGAGATTTAGTTCAAGTTAGAAAAAGGGTAATTTTAGCCATGATATCACAAAGCAATAATAAATGAAAGCTAACTAACATACCAAATGAGATGGAGGCAGGGCAAATAATTATTTTATTTATGGAAGCTGCCTTCAATAAATTCTTACTGTCTTATAAGGCAGTCTTAATCTCCTGTAGAGGAAAGAACACAGACTTTGGAGTCTGACAGACCTGCATCGATTTCCAGCTCAGCTATTTCGATAAAAATGTGTACCTGGGAAAATTAAGTAAGCTTGAAAAGTCTCAGTTTCCTCAACTGCTGGCAGATTATTTTGATAATTTTTAAAATGAGTATAAATTACACACCAGAGTGCTTGGGATATAGAAGGCATTCCTATTCCTTAACTTTTCTTCACAGTATTTGCCCATAATATGCTTTGGTTTGTTTGTTTGTTTGTTTGAAGCGGAGCCTCGCTCTGTTGCACCCAGGCTGGAGTGCAATGGCACGAGCTCGGCTCACTGCAACCTCCACCTCCGGGGTTCAAGCGATTCAGCTGCCTCAGCCTCCTGACTAGCTGGGATTACAGGCGCATGCCACCACGCCCAGCTATTTTTTTGTATTTTTAGTATAGATGGGGCTTCACCATGTTGGTAAGGCTAGTCTCGAACTCCTGACCTCAAATGATCCACCCACCTTAGCCTCCCAAAGTGCTGAGATTACAGGTGGGAGCCACTGACCTTTTAAATGTTTCTATATTATCTAATGTTTATACCCTTTTAAGATGGATCTTTAAGCATTTTTCCAGATTTATCAAATGCTCATCCGATCTTGTCTTTAACATTTCCAGCATTATTCAGTCTTATTTGCAGAAGCTTCTACAAGAGTCCTCTTGGTCCCTGAAATCAAATGGCCTGCACATTTTCCCAACAAACTCAGAAACAGTAAAGATTTTGTAATATTTTTGGAAAACAGACCCATCTGATGATTCTGTTTCATAAGGGATTCTGAAGAATAACCCCAAGATAGACCATCTGAAGAAATTCATAGACTATCGTGAAAGTCAATATACTAACAGGAGAACATCTTGGACTGTGAATTGTCCCACAAGTCAGTGCTGGGTGAGGATCTCTGAACTTACTTTGCATTAGCAGGGTTGCAAGTGGTTAGGTTTGCCAGGGCTAGAGCTGCTGCTTCCCGTACCTCTTCATTGTCACTTTTTAGCAACTGAATTAACTGTGGAATCCCTACAGAAAGAGAAAGGTAAAAATGTGACTTTTAAAATGCCCATGTGCACTAAAATACGGTAACCTAAAAATGCTCAAAAGAATTGTTTCCAGTTGACTTACCCTGATTATTGAAAAAATCTTTGCTGCCTGAATTCTCACACATTGCTGAAATAGCTTGGGAAGCAGCAATTTTAGTTCCATCATTTTCAGAACCCAAAAGGGCTACAAGGCACTTTTCAACCTCTTGTTCATGAAAAAGTTTTCTATTTTCAGCTTTCATACACCAAAGGGAAAAAAATTCAGAATTTTAATGCAAAAACTGCGAAGTATTACTACTTTCCCATCCAAAGTCTAATAGGAATTCAAACAATTTGGTAGTTTTAGTACCAGAGTCTAAACTAGACAAAATCTACAACTATTTAACTTTAGAATACAGTAATTATGCAAAATGAATCATGGATGTTTTTTCCTATTCCCTTGTATGAGATCAATACTACGGCCAAGGAAAGTCTGTACTAGGAAAAAGGCAAGTTTTTGGATTTAGCAAGCACTGATTTAACACCTGTCATGCACCTGACCTGGTATTCAGTGTTCACAGGCTATTTGTTCACTAAGGACAAAATCCAGTTTATCTGATGGTTCTTTTAAATATAAAACCCAATATTGGAAGAATGCCTAAGATGTGCAAACTGGTGAGCTAGATGCTTACGACCTTCAGGAGAAGAGCAGAGGAGAGGAGAAAGTAAAAATGAGTTGTAAAGTATGATCCTGAGTCTTAAGAAATTTATAGTCTTATATCAAAATATAATCATTTTTTTCTCAAATGACAATACATACTTAAGTAGCAAAAATTAAAATAATTATTTAATTAAATAAAGTTATGTCTAAGTACATACCATTATATTCATCCCATTTAAAACACTAACTTTGAAACCAAAGTATTTTTAATGTTCTTTTGTTCCCTAAACATTGTTTTCTCTTGGCTTCATTTGATTTTTTTATAAATGACAATCTCATTACTATACTAACGTAAATACTGCATTAAGCTAAATGAGAACATTAAAATAATTTTTTGTTTTGTGTTCTATTAATTCTATTTTTTATGTTCTAGCTAATTCTAAAGAAGTTCCTCTTTATTAAAGTATGTTCTAGAAAAAATATATTAAATTAAACTGTTTTGATGAAATAAAGATGTACCAGGGACTGGTATAAAATGAAACAACCTACAAATAATTCCTTACTAAATAATTTGGTTCCTTCAAAAAATTGTCATAGATTATTTATTAACACCCTTTGTAAAGTTTATAAAATTAGCCTTTATAAATTCTATTTTTGTGATTAAAATGGAAGAATGTGTGATATGCACTCAAGATATATAAGAGAAGAATATTCTATTAGAATAAGAATTTTTGCAAAAAAATGCTGATAATAATTTAGGTTACAATATTTACATGTGGAACTCATTCATTACTTATACACATGTTAATTAACTTGTTTTTTTCAGAAATATTTTCAGAAATTAACATCAGCTAGGTTTCCGTTGTAAAGTTATGATTTCTCCCTTCCTTCAACGATGACTCAAAAAAAATCGTCCTTTTTCGCAGAAGCAGTATCACGTTTAGATGGCACCATATTTGCAAATACTTTTGGCCTTTGTTCACCTGATACACAGATATATATTAAATAATCTGGCCACAACTGGCACAGGCTAAGTTATTAACGCTCCTGCTCATTCATTTTAAACCAATCATGAACCATGTCCTGTAATCCTATCATTTTAATCTCTTGTTCCTTTCATTTACCATTAGAATTCAGGCAGGCCATAACTTTTTTTCATAAAAAAGCTTCAGTTAATACTTAACTCTAAAGTATGTGGCTCCGAAAATGTTTTAAATATACACGGTTCTTATTATTTTTCACTGAATAAGTAATATCCAAAACTTTTCCAGAGTCTCTGACCTAAAATGCTTAGATTTCTCATTAAGATTTCCCTGATGGCTCTAAACCAAATTTTCTAAACAGAACCCTCTTAGCATGGATTCTATCAGGAAAATTGGCCAAAATGATTAATTTGAAAAAACGAACTTTGGAGTATGTAGATGTTGCATTCAGAAAACAGTACATTTACAATTCTTGAAAAGATTTTTAAAAATAATTTAAATAGATACTGAGGGCAATTAGTTTCTCAACCTTGCTGGGACTGTTCTCAAAATGCAGCTGTGTTCACTAAACCTTAAAAGTGCTGACTGCAGCATGGCTATAATAGATTTAAAAGATGAATTAACATATTAACCAAATACTTTCCTTGAATTGCTACACCAAGGAGTATTTGTGTTTTAATTACACAGATCATAAAGATGGCAAGATAGTTATGCTACTAATAGCATAATGTCCTTTAAAAATAACATTTGTTCAGTACCCCTAAAATAAAAAGCATGACGTTTTCTTACTGGAAACAAATCTGTATGTAATGATGCTTTCCTTCATCCATTCTCAGAAGTTGCTATTGTGCCACTTTTGCTCCTGCTGAGATGTTAATGCCAGTTCATAAACCTCATGGCAACATGGTAATTAACACCTTCCTCCTACTGGTACCAGGTCAAAGGCATATTGATTTGGGCTTTCCACAGTTGAGATGCATGTTAAAAGTTTACTCAACAAACAACACTTAAAGAAAGTGTGTTTATGAGTTTGGACGTTTCGACTGTGTTTCTGACATACAATGACAATGCATGACCTTGTCTAAAAAAATATTCTTATGATGATGGAAAGTAAAAATAAGTGTATAAATTGCTATTGATAGTTACATTGTATAATAACAGTATAAGGAGCAATATTTGTCAAAATCTACTTATAAATGGAGTTTTCTAACTGTGGGAAATTTTTTAAACTTCTTCATGATTATATGCTTTCAATACAGGAATATTAGGATATAGCTTTCTTATTCATTGTTAAGTTTTTAAGAGTTTGCCACTGTAACTAATATAAAATAAGACATGTCTGATGAAGCTGGCTGTGTCTGGCAGATAGAGGTCAAAGCAGGCAGGAGTTTATATACAAAGTAGACAAATGATATGGTTTGGCTGTGTCCCCAAACAAATCTCATCTTGAATTGCAGTTCTCGTAATTCCCACATGTTGTGGGAGGGAACAGGTGGTGATAATTGAATCACAAGGCCAGTTTCCCTGATCCTGTTCTCCTGATAGTGAGTTAGTTCTCACGAGATCTTATGGTTTTATCAGGGGCTTCTCCCCTTTGCTGGGTATTCACTCTCTCCTGCCACCCTGCAAAGAGGTGCTTACTGCCATGATTATAAGTTTCCTGAGGCCTTCCCCAGCCCGGCAGAACTGTGAGTCAATTAAACATTTTTCCTTTATAAATTACCCAGTCTCAAGTATTTCTTCATAGCAGTTTGAGAACAGACTAATACAACAAGAAATACAGGTAGGACCTGAAAAGAAGGCAGAATCTAGAATCCAGGCAGGAGGAAGAGGTGGATATGGTAGATCTGGCCAGATAATAAGAGTTAAGAGGTAAATAACCAAAATAGAGGAGAATAATTAGGCAATGACAAAGATTTAACCTATCTTCTAGCACTGGCCTCAAAGATGTTGGTTCTGCCCTAATATTGTGTTCTGGTCAGAAGTGGGCAGTACTGCCCAAAAATGTCATGGCTAAGGCAGATCAGAGTCCTTAGGGGAAATCCTGCTTCTGGAATGGAGAGATTTTCTCAAAGCTCTGCACTTCCAATGAGAAGAGCATTCATTCATAATAATTTATTGGGATATGTGAACAGAGAGAAAGTTTGAATCTTCGTGGAATCATCTATCTTTCTAGAGGTTCCAAGAATCAAGCTTTCAGACCAGATATCTCCTAGGCTATAAGAAAATTAAACCACCTCTGCATTCACTGAATTTGAAGACCTACCTGGCATACTTTTTCAGTTTTTGTAGAGTTGCCAAAGATGAAAACAATTTAAGAAGGAAGGAGGCTATGTCAGAAGGGATGGAGGAAGATTACCAGTTGAATAAGTTGAATTATAAAATGGAAGTTTGCACAGTAATAGAGGAAACCTGCAAGACCATGGTGAAGGAGCCCGACTTTAATACAGATGGGCAGTTGGTTGAATGATGTTAAGGTAGATCTGGGAAATGGAGGTTCTGCTCAGCAATGGAAGTTAACTTTTGTGCTGTGCTTGCTTGGTATTCCAATGAGGGCCGGGTTACTTTAGTTCATGCACAGGTTGTTGCTTTAATCTACCATAGTGGGAACAGGTGAAGGTCTGGTGTGAGAAAACTGGTAGCAGATGTAGAGCAGAGTGGGCTATACTAGGTTACAGCACGAGGAAGCAGGTTTTTTAATTTCTTAAGGACAGAAAGAGAAACCAGTTATTTTATTGACACCTTGAAAATTAACAGAATTAGAAAATTTGAGATTTCCTCTAAATCTAGCCATTTGAAGAACATGGATACCAATAGATCAAAACAGCATTTCCCAAACCAGAATCCAGACAAAAGGCCCAAACCAGAGCAAATGAGTATAAAATTATGGTCGAACAAAGTTATACAATCCAGACCACAAGGGAGAGTTTCTGAGGAAGAACAAATTGATAACCAATGGCCATGTGCTTGTGTAAAATAGAAGAATCTCTGATGCCAAGTGGGGCTATCTGGATTTGATCCTGCTTATTCTAGCTCAAGAGTTATTCAGAAGACAGGTGGGCTTCAGGCAGTCCGTGAACTCCCTGCAATTATATGCAGAATGTAGTGTATTTGTGCATTTTCAGAAGGTTACTCTTTGTTCAGATTGTCAAAGAAACTTAACACTCCCCAAAGTGGAGTGTGGGCAGTATAGTTGGATGTGCTTGGAAGCTGTCAGAAATACAGGCAGGAATTCAGAAGACAGGTCAGAATTAGAAACAGATTTGGGATTCATAAGCAAATAAGGAGGCAGCTGAAACATTAGTCATAAGTAAGAGTGCTCAGGGAGATTTTCAAGAGAACAAGACATAAAACAGAAGGCAAGTTTAGGTTGAAATAAGCTGAGGAAAGTGGTAAAGGTGAAGGCTGGTCTGGTAATTTGAAGAACAATCAGGAGAGAGGGGTGTTTTGAAAACGATGGAATAAAAGAGTTTACAGGAGGAGAGGGCAATCAGCAGTGTGGATTCCCACCCAGAGGTCACGTTAAAAAGGACTGAAAATGCCTCTGCAGGATTTCGGAGTTGAGAGGTCAACGTCAAATTGTACAAGGACTATTTTGGCAGAATGGCAGAAACAGAAGTCAGGTGCAGCAGGTGAAATGATGGAGATGAGCTGAGGAGATGTGGCTATTTAAAATGGACTGATCTGTCAAAGAGGTTGATAAGAAAAGGAGAAAAAGAGGACCCTGGGGCAAGGGGAAGAGAGGAAGAAACAAATTTCCACAAGTCACCCAGGCCACAGACAATGAAGGGCCTCTTAGAAAGCTCTGAACTTATATCACCTTCCTCTTATATAAACCAGTGGGATCAGGAGAATCGAACTCTGGCGTTGCAATACTGCATTATGGGAAAGTCTCCTCCTCATCCACAATTGGGCTAAAGGAGTCCACTGCCCTTTCAATTGATGGGAAAACAGGCAAAGGGCACCCTGTAGGCTTCATCTATTCATTAAAACTAGGCCCAGGTAGAGTCCTCTGCATTCCATGATGAGCATTAAAAACCAAAATTATGAAACACTGCATAGAAAGGAGAACAGAGATGGTCTAAAAATAAGTATTCATGAGGAAAAAAGATTAAGTGAAACAAAAACAAGAATCCAAAGTATAGTGGAAAAAACTAGCTTCCTGAATTAGGGGAAAAAATCATGACTCTGGAGATCAAAAGGCTTGCCTGTGTAGTGGAGACAGTGGAGAGGGGGACTTAGACATATTTCGGCAAAATTTTCAAACTCAGGATAAAAAATTCTACCTTAATACAGCAAAAAAATCATATATGCAAAATAATGCAAATCAGGCTTGAACAATACAAAAGCAATCTTCATAGATAAGCTTTTCATTTTTGTTTTTTTGAGATGGACTTTCTCTGTTGTTGCCCAGGCTGGAGTGCGATGGTGCGATCTTGGCTCACTGCAACCTCCACCTCCTAGGTTCAAGTGATTGTCCTACCTCAGCCTCCCGAGTAGCTGGGATTACAAGCATGTATCACTACACCTGGCTAATTTTTTTGTATTTTTAGTAGAGATGGGGTTTCACGGTTTCACCATGTTGGCCAGGCTGGCCTTGAACTCCTGACCTCAGGTGATCCACCCGCCTCGGCCTCCCAAACCGCTGGGAGTACAGGCGTGAGCCACCGTGCCTGTCATCACTTCCATAGATATTTAAGGAGAAATGTTATGATGCAACAATTCCAAACCCAGTTAAATTGTCATATATGTTTGAAGGCAACAAACCTATGCACAGGTAAGGTAAGGTCTCAAAGCATATCACTATTGGATATACCTTAAAAAAATTTTAACTGAAAAATATACTCTGGTTAATTTGAGAAATGAATCAAATAAAATCTTAAGGACAGGTAAGCTTTATTATGAGAAATTGACAGCACACACTGAAACAGATTCAATATGTATATAACTCTAAATGACAAATGTGGTTAAAATTGAATGTAATGACAGTGATTCTTAAAAAAGAGAGTCTTGGCCAGGGTGGGGCTCATGCCTATAATCCCAGCACTTCGGGAGGCCAAGGCAGGTGGATCACTTGAGGTCAGGGATTCAAGACCAGCCTGTTCAACATGGTGAAACCCTGTCTCTACTAAAAATAAAAAATTAGATGAGCATGATGGCACGCACCTATAATCCCAGCTACTTGGGAGGCTGGGGCAAGAGAATCACTTGGACCCAGGAGCCGGAGGTTGCAGTGACCTGAGATCACTCCACTGCACTCCAGCCTGGGCAACAGAGCGAGACTCAGTCTCAAAACAAACAAACAAACAAACAAAAAAAAACAGATTTTAGAGAGGGGAATCTATAACCTCTTATTGATCTTAGAAACATCAGAAAGGGAAAGAATTGTGGAAGCAAAATTGCTAAATATCTAAAATAACTATAGTAACTTTATCTTTAAAATAACTGTTTATAAAAGTTTTTAAAATCTATACAAAGAAATGAACAGCATAGAAAAATAAACAGAAAGCATAAAACATAAAACATGATGTCAGAAATAAGGGTGAATATAGTAGCTATAAAAATAAATCTAACAATATTTATTTGCCTTGCCTTTTGGACCTAGTGGTAGTGAAGATTTCCCAATATTGCTAATCTCTGGGGACCTCATCATCTCTTGCTTATTCCCTTAACCCTAATTATACTTCTGAAAGTAGTTCCTTCATTTGTCTCTTTTAAAACCATCAGGAGTCTCCAGAATTTTTTTTCTGCCAAGACCATGTTTGATAATACATGGTAATCTTAATATCAAATTAGAATCAAAAGCTAAAGAGCAATAAAAGTGAGATTTAAAAAAATCAGTAGTGGATAAAAAACATAAAGTGAAGTCATTTAATATAAAATTACAAGAGAAAGGCCGACCGCGGTGGCTCACGCCTGTAATCCCAGCACTCTGGGAGGCCGAGGTGGGTGGATCATGAGGTCAGGAGATCAAGACCATCCTGGCTAACATGGTGAAACCCCGTCTTTACTAAAAATACAAAAAATTAGCTGGGCCTGGTGGCAGGCACCTGTAGACCCAGCTACTAGGGAGGCTGAGGCAGCAGAATGGTGAGAATCTGGGAGGTGGAGCTTGGAGTGAGCCAAGATCGCGCCACTGCACTCCAGCCTGGGTGACAGAGCGAGATTCTGTCTCAAAAAAAAAAAAAAAAAAAAAAAGAAAGACAAAGAAAAAATTACAAGAGAAAATAAAAATAATATAGTGGGAAACTTCTAACATACTACTCTTCATCTGTGACAGATCATATAGCTAAAAAAAGAATAAGGATAAAACTGTACAATATAATTTATAAAATTGAACTAAAAGATAAACTCTGCATTCTACAGGAAATATATCTTTTTGTCTATTCAGAAAATATTTATTCATTCCATCCATTGTTTATCCTTATCTTAATATCCTTAATATAGAAATGAATTGCATATGATAAGTGTTTATTTAAATAGTAAGCAGAGTATGCCTTTCCAAGATTTAATAGAACACTTGTACAAATAGATCCTATACCAGGCCTCAAAGAATATGCAATACTAGTCCAAAGCAAAGTTTGCATTTTTAACTATAAATCAAAGATGTTAGGATTTATTATTATTATTATTATTATTATTATTATTATTATTATTAAGGGTCTTGCTCAGTTACCCAGGCTGGAGTGCACTGGGATGATCACATCTCACTGCAGCCTCAAACTCCTGGGCTCAAGTGATCTTCCTTCCTCAGCCTCCCAAGTAGCTGGGACTACAGGTGCACAACATCACGCATGGCTCATTTAAAAAAAATTTTATGTAGAGATGGGGGGTCTTGCTCTGTTGACCAGGCTGGTCTTGAACTCCTGGTGTCAAGTGATCTTCCCACCTCAACCTCCCAAAGTGCTAGGATTACAGGTGTGAGCCACTGTGCCCAGCCCCAAAATGTTACAAATTAAAATGAGGAACTTTGAGCTCTGGGTACTGACTGAGAAAGATGATCTGGGGGCTCCCTGCAGGTCCTTCCCTCAAAGGGTTGGCCCAATATGCTAATGTAGTTAAGAGACTAAAATACTTGCTGCATAAGACTGAAATGGAAAATAATGATAAATCAACCTATCTATAGATAATATAAAATGATGGTGCATACTTTTAAAATAGCTTTCGTAATACTTATCAACACATTTCAAGGAGGGTATAATAAACAAGAGGAAGTCCTGAAGAGGTAAGAAAATGATCCCAGGATGGCCTGGGGACATGCGTGGAGAGAGACTAAACAAGATCTGAATTCTTCGGTCTGAAAAAGTGATGTTTGAAGGGAACATAATACAATCACAGATGACATATATGAAGTAAATACAGTTAGTCATTAGATTCTAACATAAAGACAGGAGACACAACTTGAAACTGGAATGTAGTTATTTTAGAACTAACAAAAGGAAGTAGAATCAGAAAACATTAAGTGCCAGAAAGGATTTAAAGACTATCTGCTTGAATTCCTTTCTATTACAAATAACCAATTTCAACAAATGATGCTAGGAAAAATTTATGTCTACATGAAAAAGAACGAACTGGGACCATAATTTTATACCCTATATAAAAATAAACTCAAAATGGATCAAGACCTAAATATAAGAGCTACAGCTACAAAACTCCTAGAAGAAAACATAGGGCAAAAGCTTTGATATTTGGTAATGAGTTATTGGATATGACACCAACAGCAAACAGCATAGCCAACAAAATAGATAAATTGGAATGCACCACAATTTAAAACTTTTTGCATCAAAGCACACAATCAACAGAGTAAAAAGGCAAACCACAGAATGGGAGAAACTGTTTTCAAATAATATCTGATAAGGGGTTAATATCCAGAATATATAAAGAACTTCTGTAACTTAGCATCAAGAAAACAACCCAATCAAAAAATGGGAGAAGGACTTGAATAGATGTCTCCAAAGAAGATATGCAAGTGGCCAGTAAGTACACGATAAAGATGCTTGAAGTTGCTAATCATTAGGGCATGCAAATAAAAAGTACAATGAGATAGCACCTCACGCCCATTAGGATGGCTACTATCAACAAACAGAAAATAGCAAGTGTGGGCCAGGATGTGGAGAAATTGGAACTCTTGTGCATTGGTTATGGGAATGTAAAATGGTACAGCTGCTACAGAAAACAATATGGCAGTTTCTCAAAAAAATTAAAAATAGAGGACGGGCATGGTGGCTCACACCTGTAATCCCAGCACTTTGAGAGGCTGAGTTGGGAAGATTGCCTGAGGTCAGGAGTTCAAGACCAGCTTGGCTAACATGGTGAAATCATGTCTCTACTACAAATACAAAAATTAGCTGGGTGTGGTGGTGCGTGCCTGTAGTCCCAGCTACTCAGGAGGCTGAGGCAGGAGAATCGCTGGAAGCCAGGAGGTGGAGGTTGCAGTGAGCTGAGATCACACCACTGCACTCCAGCCTGGGTGATGGAGCGAGACTGTCTCAAAAAAAAAAAAAAAAAAACTAAAAATATAATTACCATATGATTCAGTAACTCCACTTCTAGGTATATATCCAAAATAATTGAAATCAGGGACTCAAAGAGATATCTGTATACCCACATTCTTAGCAACATTATTCACATTAACCAAAAGGCAGATGTAACCAACTGTCCATCCATGGTTGAAAGGATAAACAAAATGTGGTCTATACAGGCAATGGATATTCTTTGGCCCTAAGAAGGGAGGAAATTGTGACACATGCTACAACATGAATGAAACTTAAGGACATCGTGCCAAGTGCTATGCATTTGCAAAAGGACAAATGCTGTATGATTCCATATATATGAGGGATCTAGAGTCATCAAATTCATAGAGACAAAGAATAGTGGTTGCCAGGAGTTTGTATGAGGAAGGAGTGGGAATGATTGTTTAATTGGTATACTTTTAGTTTTGCTAAATGAAAAGATTTCTGTGGATGGACAGCACCACAAAAATGTGAATACATTTAATGCCACTGAAATGTACACTTAAAAATGATGAAGACGGTAAATTTCATAGTATTTGTATTTCACCACAATTTAAAAAGCAAGAATAGGATTGATTCCTTTTCTTCAAGCAAAACCGCTCCCCTTCTTGAGTTCTTCAGTTCTGTGAGTGGCACCATTTTACTTCTAGCTGTCTAAGCCAGAAACCTGGCCTCATCCTTGGTATCGCCTTCTTCCTCTTTCAACCAACATAGTCATTCAAAAATACTCACACATGTGCTGGTGGTTCTCCTTGCAAAGTGCCTTGAGCCAGTCCTGAACACCGCATCTCTGTTTCAGGGCACCTTCACATCTCACCTAGATTACTACAGCAACCCCCTTTTGGTCTTCTGTGTCTGGTCCTAAACATTTCCAATCTCTTCTCCACTTTGCAACACGAGTTCTCTTTCTTTAACAAGTGAAAATCCATGATGTTCCCTCCCTTCTGAGTAACTTCAATGGCTCTTTGTTGCCATTAAAATAAAGTCCAAAATCCTTAACTGGGCTTATAATGTCCATGAGCACTGGGCTCCTCACCACGTCCATAGCCTGAGCGCTCAGTGTTCTGTGGCTTTCTGGTCATTGGCCATTCTGAAAACTTTCGGTTCTGGAACTTACCATGTTATCCCTCCTCTGGCTTTTATACACCCTGTTCCTTCTCAGAACCACTTCTCCTCCTCCATCCCATCTGAACCTTCTTTGACCAGACAATTTATCTTATTTACTCTAGGTCCTAGCTTGTTAATCACTGATTTCAGAAATATTTTTCTGATCCAGGTCTGTGCTGGGAGCCTTCCTGGGTGATCCTGTGTTTCCATCATTAATCACTTTGAACACTGCATTGTAAGTGCCTGTTTACTTTCCTGTTCTGGGTGAGAACTCAGTAAGAAATCATGAGTAAACGAATATATACATTGTTCTGGAGAAGTTATAGTTCACTCAAAATCACTTAAGTAGGTCGTTACAATGCCAGTAGTGGAACTAGTACTAGAACTCTAGTACCAGGAACTCTGCAGCATACTTTCCAGTACTGTGGCACATGATGGGTAGGCATCATCAAACTCACCACCTCAAAATGAGTGAGAACAGTCTTAGAATGACCCAGCCACATTTGATACATATAAATACTCTCCAAAGAGATGCTGAGATACGCAAACATTTCAGGTTTGGCATTGTCCGTGTCTCCCCATTTTACTTCTCTTCGGGTCTCACTTAGCTAAGAAGAACTAGGATAGAAGGAAGAGAGAACTGACCAGCTAGAATAATGTCTAAGTTCCATTTGATAGAATACTGGGTAAACCAACTTTTGCCAATATGAAGAAACCTTGATTTCACAACCAGTCTCTCAAATAGGCATTTATAATGTAACTCATGAGGCCCCTCTATGCACACTACATACTGGATGGTGAAATCTTGCTTACTGCATTAAAGCTTTGTCCTGAAGAAATCCAGTGTGTGCTGAAAATGGAGTGTTTCCCATAGTATACATATCAATATACAGATGTGAGTATATATGTTTAGAATATAAATCACTTAAAATAGTCAATGCTGTCATCATTTCTAAAAGTGGTGCAGAAGGGGAAAAATAAGATCACATCTTTTATTAGATAAAAGACTCCAAATATACATAAATTAAAACTATAATTTCATCTGTGCTTGTGCTGTAATTAATCTCTCATATTTTACAGATTTATATCAACATAACTTGTCACTGAAATGCAAATTGTATTATGTATATAGTATGAGCATATTTTTCACAGCTATGTAACATGGTGCTACTAGACTCCAGCTGAAACTTGAAAATTACTTTATAGATATCATTGTGAATGTGGATTTCTTCAATGCTCTCAGGTTCACAAACAATGCATACCTTCTATATAATTCCAAATTCAAGTGAAACAAAGGCTTAAAACTTAATGTAGAAATGAATTGTATTTTGAAAAATAGGATAATGAAATCATATTGAGTTCTTCATATCCCTGACAAATCTCTAACTCATTGGAAGTGAGATGAGTTTGGACTTAAGTAGTAAATATAGCACTATTCTCAAATGGTTTTTTAAAAGCAGACAAATGCTCTAGTGTTGATTAGTACTAATCAAAATTGAGACAAGAGGAATTATATATGTTTTGTTTATATAAAATAAGACATGGCAGGGTGCAGTGGCTCATGCCTGTAACTCAGTCAAAGTGGGCAGATCGCTTGAGCCCAGGAGTTCTAGACTAGCCTGGGCAACACAGCAAAACCCTGTCTCTACAAAAAATACAAAAATTAGCCAGGCATGGTGGTGCATGCCTGTAGTCCCAGCTACTAGGAAGGCTGAGGTGGGAGAATCACTTGTAACCTGGGGAGGTTGAGGCTGCAGTGAGCTGTGATCACGCCACAGCACTCCAGCCTGAGAAACAGAGCAAGATCCTATCTCAAAATAAATAAAATAAAATGAGACATACGATCATAAGCTGCTTTAGTAATGGCTTTTGCTGCATTCTTCTGAATATCAGGAATTGTAGAGTTTTCTGCAAATGACAGGAGCTTTTTAAGACCCCCTGTCTGCTGAATCTGCACCATAGTATCCATGTCTTCAAGGCAATTGGCTATCACTGCAAGTGCTTCTATATGAAGGTCATTCAATTCCTAATAATAAAAGCAAATACAACTTTAGAAAGTTGTACTAAAATGTACACTTCCCAAATTTGACTACAAGAGGAAATAAAGTCAGTCAGAACACAATGTCATGATTTTTGTTGTGACAGAGGCCCCAGGGAATAGGAGTTCTGCTTATCAAAGTAACATCACTCTTCTTGGCCATGTGCCCTGTCTTTTCTCCTTTCCCTTACTCCAAAATGTTTTATGGATAAAAAGTAATGCTAGGGAGGAAACTTCCAGAAATGGTAGTCAATGAAGTTGCTCATACAGTCTTCTGCAAAAAACAATTTTGAAATCTGGAGAAAACATTTTTTGAAAAAGCAAGACAGAAGCTGATGAAAATATATACTTTAAAATAATTTGTGACTATAACAGAAGTATTGCGAGTGTGTGGCCGTCTTGCCTGAGGAAATCTACTGAATCCCCACAGGCATGGAAAACTGCGGTTTTACCTAAATAGCTAGAAATGTAAACGGGAAATCCCAAAAGTGAGAAATGCTCAGAAAGGATAATCCACCATCATGAAGGGAAGGAACTCACTTTCACAGCAAATACATTGTGGCCAATGTTCATGGAATTCACTGGTTTTACCATGTTTCCCACCATCCTGAAGCAGCTGGCTTGATAGAATGGCCTTTTGAAGACTCAGTTACAGCACCAACTAGGTGGCAATACCTTGCAGGGCTTTGGCAAGGTTGTCCAGAATGCTGTATATGCTCTGAATCAGTGTCTACCATATGGTGCCGTTTCTCCCATAGCCAGGATTTGTGGGTCCAGGAAGGGTAAACATCACCCAAGGATTTTGCATCCTCTTCTGGGGTAAGCATTGGGAAATATTTGGTTGTTTATAGGATAGTTGTATCACGTTAGCTAAAAGTATGATCTCATTATTGTCTGAAGATTATGATTTAAGAGGTATATGGGTACCAAATTGACAAGGAGAAAACCTGTGATGAATTTTTATCTGGGCCACAGTACCCAGATATTTGGCCAAATATTATTCTAGATGTTCCTGTGAAAGTACTTTTTATATGAGATTAATGTTTAAAACAGACTTTGAGTAAAGCAGATTACCCTCCATGATATGGGTGGACCTCATCTAATGAGTTGAAGGCCTTAATAGAACAAGGCTGATCTACCTGGCCACAGAGGGAATCCTGCCAGTACAGCACCCCTGGACTCGAATTACAACACTTCTCTGGGTCTTCAGCCTACTGGTCTAACCTGTGGATTTTGGACTTGCCAAGCCTCCAAAATCACATGAGCCAATTCCTTAAAGCCACTACCCACCCCCGCCCCCAAACACACACCCATTGATATGGTTTGGCTCTGTGTCCTAACCCAAATATCTCAAATTGTGATCTCTAGGCAAATTAAGTAACATAATCCCCACGTGTCAAGGGAGGGACCTGATGGGAGGTGATTGGATCATGGGGGCAGTTCCCCCGTGCTGTTCTCATGACAGTGAGTGAGTTCTTATGAGATCTGATGGTTTTATAAGTGTTTGACAGTTCCTCCTTCACATGGTCATCTGCTGCCATGTAAGATGAACCTGTTTCCCCTTCTGCTATGATTGTAAGTTTCCTGAGGCCTCCTCATCCACTAGGATCTGTGAGTCATTTAAACCTCTTTTCTTTATAAATGACCCAGTCTCGGGCAGTTCTTTATAGCAGTGTAAAAATGGACTAATACACCCATATACACATGCACATGTACAATATACATGCATCCTGTTGGTTCTATTTCTCTAGAGAACTCTAATATAGGGTATAACCCAAAATCTGAGTATAAACTATGCCCAGACCTCTGGCTGACTACTAAACTATACATGCGTGGAGAAGACCCCAGGGACCCTGGTGAAAATAAACAGGCAAGGACTAGAAAGCATATCTTCTCCTTGAAGAGGGAGCTGTGCTAGGTGAGATTGATTAATTTACTGCTTTTAAATACAGTGCATTCCTCAATCCATGTGCAGCTCATTTGGCAGAATGCTGAAGCCTTACTGGTCTGAGGTGTCAGAGGTCAGAGCCTGAGACTGACAGAGGAGCCACAGGTGACCAGCAAACTGCAGAAGCTCTGGGGAGAACTCCATGGAGTCAGGCTAAAAACAGCAGCAACCAGAAACTGTAAGAACTGAGCAGAGATACCAGCTGCACCACTAGAGAGACAAAGTGTGTAGCTCACTGCCTAGTACAGCAAAATAGCCACAATCCTCAGAAGGACACAACAGAATCTGGAATCACTAGAAAGTATTATCTACAATGCTCATTCTTAACCATGCAAAGAAGAAACAGGAAAGTGTGATTCAAAGTCAGAAAAAAGTCAGTCAATAGAAATCTACTCTGTTAGGGACAGGTGTTGGTGAATTAAGTAATTAGAGACTCTAAAGCAGCTATGATAAATATGTTCACAGAGGAAAGCTCAATAGAGAAATGAAACTTCAAACATGGAAATTTAAGACTTGAAAAGTACAAAAACTAGAAAGAAAAATTTACTAGGTGGACCAAACGGCAGATTAGAGATGCCAAAATTGCATAAATTGAACAGAGATCAAAAGACGTTATTTAATCTAAAAAATTGAAGAAAAATGAGCAGAGCCTTAGAGTCCTGTAAAATATCAAGCAAGATAACATATATGTAATTGGGTTCCGGAGGGAGAGAAGGAATGGAAAAAAATATTTGCATAAATAATGACTGAAAAATTCCATGATTGGCAGAAAACACTAATTTACAGATCTAAGAAGGTCAAGCACCCCAAGCAGGATATATAATTATATCACTTCCATGCAGAAGAGAAATGCAGAAAGCCAAAGATAAAGAGCAAAGTGTTGAAAGCAGCCAAAGAAAAGTGACACATCACGTACAGGAAAATAGTTCAGCTCAATGGCTGAATTTTCATCAGAAATACTGGCATTCAGAAGAAATTTAAAAATGCTGAAAACAAAACTAGCAGCCAAGAATTTTGTATCAAGCAAAAATGTCTTTTCAAAATTAAAGGCAAAAGGAAGCAACTTCCAGATAAATTTAAAAGACAGAATTTATGCCATTATATTTACACTGTAAGAAATGCTAAATGAGGTTCTTCAGGTTGAAGGGAAATGACCCTGATGACAACATGGATCTACAGGAAAAAATGAAAAGCATCAGAAATCATACATATGTGAGTAAATATAAAATACTAAATATTGATAGATGAATATATGGATAGGTACTACACAAACACATATGAACATATAATTCTTAATATCTTAACACATGATATAGGACTCTTCAAAACAAAAAATTATTACATTGTATTGTTGGGTTTGTAATGGACACAGATATAAAATATGTAACAATATTAAGAGTAGGAAAAGTAGAGATACATTGTTAAAAGGTTCTAGTATTTTACTTGAAGTAGTTCAATATTAACTCTAGACTATTATAAGTTAAAGTTAAGTTGCGTATTGTAATCACTACAGCAACCACTAAAAATAGAACAAAGAAATACGGCAAAAAAGCCAAGAGACGAATTAAAATGTAACACTAAAGAAAAAAAAAAAACACTACGGGGGGCCGGGTGCAGTGGCTCATGCCTGTAGTCCCAGCACTTTGGGAAGCCAAGGCAGGAGGATCACCTGAGGTCAGGAGTTCGAGACTAGCCTGGCCAACATGGTGAAACCCCTCCCCCCAACCAAAAATACAAAAATTAGCTGGATGTGGTGGCACGTGCCTGTAATCCCAGCTAGTTGGGAGGCTGAGTAGGAAAATCACTTGAACCCAGGAGGCAGAAATTGCAGTGAGCAGAGATCGTGCCACTGCTCTCCAGCCTGGGTGACAGAGCAAGGCTCCATCTCAAAAAAAAAAAAAAAAATTAACACTACAAAAGGCAGGAAGAGAGGAACTGTGGAATAAAACAGATCAGACAAATATAAATGGGAAGCTTAACTATAACCAAATCAATAATCATATGATAATTGAAAACTAATCAAAAGGTAATTAAGTGGAAACTGACATATTAATATGTGTTCAGTCCATATACATATATTATCTCTTTAGTTCCTTTTAAAAAGTGTTTTATATTTTTCAGTGTATAGATTTTGCAAAAAGTTTGGTAAATTTATCCCCATGTAGTTCATATTTTAGGAAGGTATTATAAGTTCAATTGTACTTTTGCTGTTTTGTTCATTGCTCACATATAGAAATATGATAAATTTTTATGTATTGAACTTTCATCCTTTGACCTCGATAGATCTATTTATTAGTTCTAGTAAGTTTCTGTAGTCTTCTTAAGATTTTCTGTATAAATGGTCATGCAATCTGAATAAATACAGTTTTACGGCTTCCTTTCCAGTTTGTTAGTCTTTTTTTTTTTTTTTTTTTTTTTTTTTTGTGTGTGTGTGTGTGTGTGTGTGTGTGTGTGTGTGAGACAGAGTCTCGCCCTGTTGCCAGGCTGGAGTGCAGTGGTGCGATCTCAGCTCACTGCAACCTCCGACTCACGGGTTCAAGTGATTCTTCTGCCTCAGCCTCCCTAGTAGCTGGGATTACAGGCACGTGCCACCATGCCCAGCTAATTTTTGTATTTTTAGTAGAGACGGGGTTTCACCATGTTGGGCAAGACGGTCTCGATCTCCTGACCTTGTGATCCACCCACCTCAGCCTCCCAAAGTGCTGGGATTACAGGTGTGAGCCACCGTGCCTGGCCCCAGTTTGTTAGTCTTTTGTGTCATTTATTTATTTATTTGGGCTTATTGCCCCGGTTCCAACTTCCAGGACAATGCTGAATAAAAATTATGGGAGCAGACACCTGTGCCTTCTACCTACTCTTAGGTGAGGATGTGGAGAAGAATTTTGATGTTTCACTCTCTATATTTTTGTGTTCTTTGAATTTTTCCCACTAGAATATATACATATATACATACCAGTTCTTAAAAAACCCTTCTCACATATTTCCTAGCTCTAACCGTAGGCAAGTTATTCAACCTCTTTGAGAGGCATTTTTCTTATTTGTATAATAGGATTAACACTATAATAGGTATATATGATTATATATGTAATGATAGAATTATTATCAATACTTTCATTTTATAGATAAAAATACCATCACATTCCTCAATGAATTACAAATTTAATAAAATCACAATGCCTGCCACCTAGTAGGTGCTTCCATCCCCTTTCCTAATTAAAAGAAGACAGGTAAAATATCAGATAGGTGAGAATACTATGGCATATCAGATAAACCCTGTGGTTAGTCACTTTCTACCTGTGTGACATAAGGCAAATTAAGTAACATTTCTGGTTTCAGTTCCCCTTTTAAAAAACAGGATAAAATGTGTACTATATAGTGTTACTAGGATTTTGCATCACAAGTGTAATTATAGGGGATCACATATGGGATCCACAAATCAAAGGCGGGTAGGTCCACATGGCTGGGAACATGCTTGTGCCATCACTGCTCTTTTATATTGTACTTCATTTTCCCAGTGTTGTATCATCAAACTGAGTTCTGGTTTTTTTAGAAAAAAATTTAACAATTGGATAGTTTGAAACAGAATACAAAGTTACCACTCCGTTTTTCTCCTTCAATATGTTCCTATCTCTGGAATTTCTAAGAGGTACTTCAAGTAGATTTCTGTTATTAGAATTAATTGAATTTACTAAATATTAAAGTAGGGATACTGGATCTGAAATCTGTTTATTACTGTTTCACTAAGGAATTAGTGGCGAAAGACACAGGACACATTCAGAAGAGATCTGAACCACTCAAGTCAATTAAACGGTTTTCAATAAACTGCTAGATGAGTTTTTCTAACCAGGAGATCCCAGAAGGCACAGACATTCTTAAAGTTTGATTCTTAAGGAGCTTATTAGCAACTATGGACATTTAGCTCCAATATTATTAAAAGGTATCTAGAAGGTAAATTACGCTTCTGCTTTATCCCAGAGAAAACCATAATGAAGGTTAAAAGACTCACCCTAGGTGTTTCAGGAAATCAAGAGGAAGATCATAGACAAGAATTTAAAAACCTTAAGTCTGCTAAACTAGAAGATTTTTAAAATTAGTTTATAATAGTGTCTACAATTAGCCTGATTTAAGCAGGCCAATAAACTTTATGTAGCAATAAGCAAATTAATCTATTACACTTAATACACGTTAAGTATAATAAAATTTCATTTTTAAACATTTGGGAGAGATACATTTCCTCATAGAGGGTGGAATGAATGAAACTAAATACCTTAGTTTCTAGGATCTTAATAAGATGGTCCAATCCTTGATTGTCTCTTAGCATTGTTCGAGACTCCTTATCATTTGCAATAACACCTAAGGTTTTGAGAGCCAACAACTGAATCACTGGATATTCTGACTTCAAGAGATCTAAGATAGGAGGTATTGCATTTAGTTCTTGAAGTTTAGCTCGACACTGAAAATCCTGCCACAAAATACAGATGATCAATAATTTTTTTAAGCAAAATACATCCTCAAGAATGGAGAAATTCTGTTTTCTAACACAAGAACATAAGTTATAATTTGCCCATCTTTTATTCCAGATTCCCTTCCAAAATAACTCAAAAAATAAGAAATCTTTCAATTGACAACATCAAAATTTATTTTAACTGTAATATGTAGACATTGTCTACAACAGAAAATATACATGATCTATGACTTTTATCTATTGTTTATTATACAGCAAATCCTGATTAAACAGCAGTATAATAAAATCTATGCATAATGAAATTCTTCTCACACTTGGATATACTGCTTCAAATAGTAATTAATGCAATGAAATGGCATTGATTCCTTATTCTCTCATTCAAATGGATTGTTTATGAAATACCTATTAGCATGCAGTACTGTTGACAGGCCCTCTGCATGCAAATTTACAGCGGGTTTATTCAGATACGTGACCTTTATTTAAGACATTTACACAATCAAGGGGTCATTGTAATCTAGACAATTGTTGTGCCTCTATGTCTATGATTCTGTGTGAGTGAAGAAGTGGGTGGTTGGGGGAGTTTAAGAAAACAAGCCAAGAAGCCATGAAAAGCTCCCAAACTCTTTTAAGACATGACACCTTTGATCAAAACATGGTAAATATAAAATAGTACTAAAGGTGGAAAAGGCTCCAATTATAGCTTAGCTTTCCCCTGTCCATCCTTCAATTGATTGCTAATATTCAGCTTCCTTTAGACACAATTGTAGATTGCTTTTTGTCATGGGTTGAATTGTGTTCCCCCAAAATATATGCTGAAGTCCTAACCCCAGTACCTCATAATGTGACCTTACTGAAAACAGGGTCATTGCAGATGCAGTTAGTTAAGATGAGGTCATCCTGGAGTAAGGTGGGCCCTTAGTGGTGTCCTTGTGCAATTAGTGTCCTTAGGAGAGAGAGACAACAGAGGGAGAGCTTGCTGGGATGCAGCCACAAGCCAAGGGATGCCACCAATGGATGGCCACTACATGAAGCTGGGAAGAGGAGAGGAAGGGTCCTATCTGGTCTCAGTGGGGACGCGGTCCTACTGACACCTTGATTTTGGACTTCTGGCCTCCAGAACTGTGACTGTCTGTAGTTTTAAGCCACCTAGTTTGTAGTACTTTGTTACAACAGCCCTAGGAAACTAATACACAGTTTTTAGCCAGTACTGCTGTTAAGAATTGTGAGGTAATCATTTTGATTTCTTCTTAAGACAATAGAGAAATACTGCTCTAAGGAGTCTTGGGATTTAAAACACAAACACACAGGAATATTTAATCAAATGAGGTAAAGCCAAAGTGACCGGAGAAGGGAAAAGAGGGGCTGAGCTTCTTTCTCAGGGTCTCTTTTTTAGGGAGGGAGGGGTGAGGGTGAAACCAGTCCTGTCGAGTAGCAATGGCATACTGGGCCAGGAATTTTGCTTTTGCTGCATTTTGACATGAGCCTATTTGTCCCTCTTTGCCTGAATACATTGCCTCTGCATTAATCCTCTTCTTCACTCTCGTTTTGGTATCTCCTCATTCCCTACTCTATTAATGGCCATTTAAAATTTGTGTCTTTCCAATTTCAGGTGATCTAAAGCTCATCAAATGTGCATGCTAATTGTTAAGGAATCTAAGCAGCAGAGAAGGCTGTTCAAAGTGTCAGGAAGCTGACCTGCTGTGGGCGTGAGGGTGTGTGTGTGTGTGTATGTGTGTGTATTCTGGGGGTTGGGGTGCAAAGGACAGGACTGCAGGGGAGGGGAAGGTTGGCAGTTTCTTTCCGTGACAAAGGAAAACAGCACAGTGAGGTAGCATCTTGCTATTGTGGACAATGAATTCTGTCCTGCATACTCAAAAATGAAAAATCACTAGATTTTTAGCAACAAATAAGCCTAAACCAAAATCTCAGTACATTGAATAGGGTATATATTACATCCAATGTGCTTAGACCACCAGGGTTCAGTCAATAGTAGCTGCGCAGTTTCCACATATTAGATTTCCTGTTTCAAAAGAAGTACATTTTATTTGAATGCCATTCTATTCTTTAAAAACAAATACATTTCCAAAATACTTTTTCACAGGAGACAATGACTTACAAAATGTGAAAATTGAAAGATTATCTACATTAAGCTTCCATTATTTTTTTCTCTGAATGATAAATACCAGTAACAAGAAGATCTGATGATGCAAAACTGGTGCATTTTTAAAAGCTTTTTTCTATTTTTAATGGGAAAATAAATTCTAAAATGAGCTTTCATCAGAACGCTTTTTAGAAATTAATCTTACCTGCACCAAGTTGTAAATGCATTCCATAGAGTTCTTCTTTACATCCGGGTCAGGGCTACTCAGTAGTCTGATGAGTGGCTCTAATCCCCCATGTTCAAATATTTGCACTTTACTGGTGTACTCTGCAGACATGTTTGCTAGACAAAGACTAGCAAACTCATGGATAACTACTTCTTCTGTGTATCAAAAATAAATAACACAAGTATGCCAACTGCTTATTATTCAGCCACTACTTTAAAATATGCTTTGGAAACCAAAGCTCCACAAATTGTATCTTGCTTAAAGCTCACCTCTTTTATAAACTCAAAATTGAGCTGTGGTTTGAGAGATTTTAATAACACTTTACAATATTTCATGAATGATTTTCAATATATAGTTTAATCAAGTGTAAAAAACCAGTTCCATTTTTTAAAACAGATATAGAATGCAAAGTTACCTTCTGGAGCGAGCTGGGCAATGACAGAATTCATGACATCTAACTCCCTTAACAATTTTTTAACATCATCTACAAAGGAAGAAACAGAGTATTGATGTTTATTAATAATAATAATAGGCCGGGTGTGGTGGCTCATGCCTGTAATCCCAGCACTTTGAAAGGCTGAGGCGGGTGAATCACTTGAGGTCAGGAGTTCGAGACCAGCCTAGCCAACATGGTGAAACCCCTACCCTACTAAAAATAACAAAAATTAGCCAGGTATGGTGGCTTGTATCTGTAATCCCAGCTACTTGGGAGGCTGAGGCAGGAGAATCGCTTGAACCTGGGAGGCAGAGGTTGCAGTGAGCTGAGATCACGCCACTGTACTCTAGCCTGGGCAACAGAGTGAGACCCTGTCTCGAAATAATAATAATGATAATGGTAGTATCTACTGAACAGTCCCTTATGAGACAGGTAATATTATTATCTCATTTTACAGATAAGGAAATTGAGGCTCAAAACCACAAAGCAAGTGGTGGGGCAGGTTTCAAGCCTAGGTAGGGCCAACCCCACACATTCTCTAGCCTGCCTATATTCCTCGATCATGAGCTGTACTTCCTTCTAAGACACTAGAAACAACCATAAAAGTGCAAAGTGTGCCTAGAACACATATCAGAAGAGTTGAGTCACTGTGCCCTACGTTTATTTATTGTGTAATAGTAATCTGTGTGTGTGTTGCTGGGAAGGTATTTTTAAATTCTGATTTTAATAAATCTTGTACAGAATGCAAGTAAGATTACCCAGCCTATTTTAATTAATACATCTTGATTGCTTACATTCAATTTGATTATTAGAAATGCCAAAAATGCTTAAAAATAAGTATATTGACTGTTTTAAAGTACATTTTTATACTATTTTTGTCAGCCTAATTAAAGTTAGACAGGTATGCCTGTGTGCAGGGCTCTAACCTCAGTTCCACTACTAACCACCTGCATGATTTGGGGCAAATAAACTAATGCTTTGAGATATATATCCTACTTTTAAAATAAAGAATTGCATAAGACATATTACAAAGGTTTGTGTGTGTGTTTTTGTTTTGAGACAGGGTTTCGCTCTGTCACCCAGGCTGGGGTGCAGTGGTGTGGTCATGGCTCACTGCAGCCTCAATCTCCTGAGCTCAAGCAATCCTCCCACCTCAGCCTCCCAAAGTGCTGGGATTATAGGCGTGAGCCACCATGCCTGGCCACAAAATATTTTTGTTTCTCAAATTCAATGGTATGTAAGTAGAATAAAACATAAGAAATAAAAAAATCTTCCCTTTTTTGATTATAATTTTCCTTTTTTTGTTTTTGGTTAAACATTCATTATGATACTAACATAGAATTGTTACACAGATAATCCTTGTGATAAATTTAGGAAGGCCCATAATTCAATTGAGTACTGCCTTATTTAACTTCTGTATGCCTCTGTTACCTCAGATGTAAAGGGAATAATAATAGTACCTACCTCACAGGGCTGTTAGATAGGATTAAATGATTTAATATATCAATAGCACTTAGCACAGTGCCTGGCCCCTTGTCAGTGTATGTTAAGTGTTAACTAGTATTACCATAGTCTAAGTTGGTGGGTCATGCACTCCGCCATGACTGTCCTCATCCTGTTGCCATCTCCGGAAACACTCCCAGGCCCCTGCCTTACAGCACAACTACCATCAGAGCTCTCAAAGTCACTGCCTTCCACTGACCCCTCGCACAGGGCCCCATCTGCTTCCAGCACTGCAGCTGCCCGCAAGTGCAGTCTCTGTAGCTGAGGCTGTAATGGCACAGACGCCACACAAAACCGCCCTTCCACGTCTCTCCCCAACTTCCACTCATAACTGTCCCTGAACACACTCATACCACAATCCCTGCTGGACAAGGAATAAGGAGGCCTCACTGTCATCACACGGGGTCCAGGGAAAATGGCGGGCGGTGGATGGGCAGGAAGACTAGGAAAGAATCCGTGCTTGTGTTTTGCTGAGATTATCATAAGACGGGGAAAGTATAATGATTTTAGCCATGTACCACGATAGGCATGTGTTTAGTCAGAGCAGCCTAAGTTTCATGTTAGAATTCAGTCTCCACTAAGAGTGTCATTTAAAATTTATTATGAGTTACAGGGTTTTTGGTGGCTGACTCAAAAACTACTATTAGAAAATGACAAGGAAAATATATCCTGTTCATAAGTCAGAGACTGCGTTTATTGGCATGGTGTTCAAACTGATATTCTAATGGACATAATAGCATCTTTTAACTAATATTATACCATCATATTATATGATACTAATACGTTATTTAATATATAATATATAATTACATATTAATATATCATACTAATATATTAATATATTGATATTAATTGTATATTGATATTAATCACATATTAATGTTAATTATGTACACATGATTAATATTATTCAATATATATTATATATTAATATAATAATATGACATATATGATTCCAAGCAAGTAATAGGTCTGATTTAAGGAGTAAGTGCACTTTCTAAAATTTATTCTTTTGAGACAGTCTCACTCTGTCACCCAGGCTGGAGTGCAGTGGCGCAATCTCAGCTCACTGCAACCTCCACCTCCCGAGTTCAAGCGATTCTCCTGCCTCAGCCTCCCAAGTAGGTGGGATTACAGGCACCTGCCACTATTCCTGGCTACTTTTTGTATTTTTAGTAGAGACGGGGTTTCACCATTTTGGCCAGGCTAGTCTTGAACTCCTGACCTCAAGTGATCCACCTACCTTGGTAAACGCACATTTAAATTTATCTTTTGCAAAATATAGTTTGCAGTTTCAAAAAAAGAGTTTATCAAAACTCTTTAGGCTTTGTTCACTATGAAATATACATGAAATGTAAGATACATATAGGCAGGCAAATTACATTACACTAACTCAAGAAAAATAATTTTAAGAGAAAATGATTGCTCTCTCAGCTTGTAGGACTACATCACCAATTCTGAGAGGAGTTTTTGCATGGATGTGCTTGCACATGTTTTCTTATTTTAAAATTATCCCTTAAAATGTGAAATCACACATTTGCTGCATTATACTGATAAAATGTTTTTGTGAACATGAAAGTCAGTTTAAATAAAATTGAAACAAATTCCTTAATGTTAAATTTAAAAGAATGATAATGCATTAACATGGGATTATTTGATTATTTTTAAAAGTTGATACTTACTATTAGAAGCCAGGATTCCAAATATCATAGTAGCATTTCTTCTTACAATTTTGTCTTCATGGGTGAGTAGCTTAGTTAAAGGTTCCACAGCTCCAAGTTCAAGGAGGGTTGTTTTATTTTCCTCACCTGACATCACACGTAAAACAAAACCACACATGGATATTATCGATCTCATCAGCATTCTGCCTTGTGCCATTCCAATTTCTTATTTGCCATTTGCCTTTCACATTACTCTTGGCTTCCGTTCGTATTTCCCTCAGAATAAACTTCAAGGACACACATCCCGGACATTTCCTCCTCTCCCTTCCCCTGTTTACAAAGCTGGCTTCATCTTGTCTTCAGTTCTGAGCTCACATTGCACCTCCTTGGAGCAGTCCCCCGCAATCACCCTATCTAATTCTGTCACCACATCCAAGTCTGTCTTACCCCTCTTTATCCTGCTGTATTTTTGTCATATCACTTAACAACCTCTGTGTTTTGCTTGCCTACTCCACGATAACTCTCCATAAGGACAGATGCCCTTTCTGCCCTATTTTCTCATACCTTTGGGTGCCTAGGACAGTGCCGGTCATGTAACAGACACTCAACAAATACTTCCTTGCATAATTAATTAGTTCTAGCCCTTTTTTGTGGATTTGTTAGAATTGTCTATAGATGTCATCACATTAATTTTATGTGCCAAAGCGACTGAGCTAAGGGATGCACAAATAGCTACTAAAACGTTTCTGGGTGTGTCTGCAAGGGTGTTCCTGGAAGAGATTAGCATTTGAATCTCTAAACTGAGTAAAGATGTGAGCTCACCAATGTGAGTGGGCAATATCCAATCTGTTGAGGGCTTGAGTAACAGAGGGTGTAAAAAGGAAAAATCCTCTCTCTTTTTGAGCTGGGACTTCCATCTTCTCTTGCCCTGGGACATCAGAGCTCCTATTCTCAGGCCTTGGAACTCTAGGACTTTACATCAGCTTTGGTTCTCTGGCCTTAGGACGCAGACTGAATTACACCCCTGGCTCTCCTTATTCTCCAGCTTGCACATGGTATTGTCGTGGGACTTCTCAGCCTCCACAATCATGTGAGTCAATTCCCATTACAAATCTTTTCATATATATCTACATATGTCCTATTGGTTCTCTTTCTCTAGAGAATCCTGACTAATACAATGCAAAAGATAACTGTAATAATAGAGAAAACAAATTGAGGAGGGGTGTTTATGGGAACTCTACTTCCCATTTTTCTTTTCTTTTTTCTTTTTTTTTTTTTTCTTGAGACAGGGTCTTGCTCTGTCACTCAGGCTGGGGTGCAGTGGTGTGATCATGGCTCTCTGCAGTCTCGACCTCCTCGGCTCAAGCGATTCTCTCACCTCAGTCTTCTGAGTAGCTGGGACTATAGGCAACCACCAACATGCCTAGCTAATTTTTTTTTTTTTCGAATTTTTTTGTAGAGATGGGGTCTCACTATGTTTCCCAGGCTGGTCTCAAACTCCTGGGCTCAAGTGATCCTCCTGCCTCAGCCTCCCAAAGTGCTGGAATTACAGGCTCCACAAGACACTGTGCCTGGCCTCATTTTTCTATAAACATAACATTGCTTACAGAAAAAAAGTCTAGAAAATTTTTTTAAAAGATATTCTACAAATTGTGAGAAAAATTCTGCAAATATATGTCTGATACAGAAGTAAGGGATGTATATCCAGAATATATAATTTCTAAAACTGAATAAGAAAACAACCAAATTTTAAAATATATGTGAACAAATGATTTGAACAGATACATCACCAAAGAGGATATACAATGACAATAAAGTACATTTTTCTCTCCATCATTAGTCATTAGGGAAATGCAAATTAAAACCGCAATGAGATACCACTTCACACCCACAAGGATTGCTGTAATCAAAAAGATGGACAGCATCAAGTGCCAGCTAGTGTAGAGAGAAACTGGAACCCTCATAAATTGCTGGTGAGAATATAAAACAGTACAAATCACTTTGGAAAATGGTTTGGCAGTTTCTTAAAATGTTGATGTACACCTACCATATGACCCAGGCAAACTGTGGTAAATCCATATAATGGTAGCAATAAAAAGAAATGCTACAATATGAATTAATCTCAAAATAATTAGGGTGAGTGAACAGAGCCAGATTATGTCATCTTCTATAAATCAAATAGAGATAGTTCTATCCCTTTTTCTAATCTGTGAGAAAGTTTTTAACTACAAATTTTCTGGATGCCTTCTATTTCTTTTCCTTGCCTGATTGCATTGGCTAGAATCTCCCATACAATGTTGAATAAAGGTGATGATAGCAGACATCCTTCTCTTGCTCCTGATCTTAGGGGAAAAGCATTCAGTTTTTTACCATTAAGTGTGTTGTAAGCCATAGGTTTTTTTTGTAGATATCTTTTATTAGGGAGAGAAAGTTTATATCTATTCCTACTTTGCAGACATATTTTATCAGGAGTGGATGTCAGATTTTGCCAAAAAGGTTGTTTTGCATGTATTAAGATGATCATATGGTTTTTCTTTTTTCTTTTAAAAAAATATATTTTTTTCTTATTGCTGCTGTAATAACAAATCTAGTGGTTTAACAACACAAATTTATTATCTTATGGTTTGGAAGTCAGAAGTCTGATATATATCTCAGTAGGTGAAATTCAAAATGTTGGCAGGGCTATCTGTGCTCCTTGGGAGCTAAACCCAATGGCAGAATCCATTTCCTTTTCTTTTCCAGGTAGCATTCCTTGGCTAGTGAGCCCCTTTCGTCTTCAAAGCCAGAAATCACGCCCTTCTGACCTCTGTGTCCACCATCATGTCTTCTCCAATTCTGACTCTCTTGCCTTCTTTTTTCACCAATAAGGGCCTTTGTGATTGTGTTGGCCCAACCTAGATAATCCAAGGTAATCTCCTCATCTCAAAGTCAGTTGGTTAGCAACCTTAATTCTATCAGCATTCTTATTTATCCCTTGTCATGTAACATACTATTTTCATAGCTTCCAGGGATTCTGATGTAGATATTTTGGGGTTATTTTTCTACCTACCCCACACGGTAAAATACCTTGATTAATTTGCAGTTATTAAATCAACCTTGCAATCTGGGAATAAGTCATTTAGTCATGATGTGTTTGCTTTTTTTATACATTGTTGAATTTAATTTGCTAACTTTTGTTTAGAATTTTTACATCTATGTTAATAAGGCATACTGACTTGCAGATTTCTTTCTTTCTTGCCTTTTGCTGTTTGGGCCTTTATACAGTAGTGGTGGCTTCACAGAATGAATAGGGAAGTATGCCATCCTTTTCAATTTTCTGAAAGTATTTGTGTGTAATTGGTATTATTTCTTCCTTAAAGGTTTGGTAGAATTCACCAGTAAAACCATCTGGACCTGGAGTTTTGTTTGTGAGAAAGTTTTTAACTACAAATTTCAGTTTTTGTAATATAGAGCTATTCAAGCTGTCTTTTTTTAGTGAGCTTGGAAATTTATGTCTTGAAATAAAATTGTCCACTTAATCTAAGTTGTAGAATTTATTGGTATTAATTTATTCATAATATTCCTCTTATCCTGTTAATATCTGTAGGATCTCTAGTGATGTCCCTTCTCCCACTCCTGATATGGATAATTTGTCTTCTCTCTTATTTTGTCTATCAATCCATCTCGAGGTTTATCATTTTTATTGATCTCAAAAAGCAGCTTTTCATTTTTATGGCTCATCAATTTTTTTGTTTTCTATTTCATTGATTTATACTGAGATATCTATTATATCCTTATTATTACTAACTTTTGGTTTAATTTGTTTTTTGTTTGTTTTTTGTTTTTGTTTTGAGATGGAGTCTCACTCTGTCGCCAGGCTGGAGTGCAGTGGCATGATCTCAGTTCACTGCAACCTCCACCTCCCTGGTTCAAGAGATTCCCCTGCCTCAGCTTCCCAAGCAGCTGGGACTACAGACGCATGCCACCACACCTAATTTTCTGTATTTTGGTAGAGACAGGGTTTCACCATGTTGGCTAGTATGGTCTCAGTCTCCTGACCTCATGATCTGCCCACCTCAGCCTCTCAAAGTTCCGAGATTACAGGTGTGAGCCACTGTGCCCAGCCTTGTTCTTCTTTTTCTAGTTTCTTAAGATAGAAGCTGAGATTACTGGTTTGAGACTTTCCTTGTTTTCCAGTATAGGCATTTAGTGCAATAAACTTCTCTCTAAATACTTTGAGTGGCACTTTTGCTGTGTTTTAATTTTCAATTCTGATTTTTGTTTTGATTTCTTCTTTGATTCATGAGTCATTTAAAAGTATGTTATTTATTTTCTAACTACTTAACAATTACCCAGAGTTTTCTGCGTTATTGATTTCTAATTTAATTCCATGGTGGTATGAAAATACATTTTGTGTTATTGGAATCACTTAAAATTTATTGAGGCTTATTTTATGGCCTAGAATATGATCTATTTGGATAAATGTTCTGTATCCACTTGAAAAAAAAATGTATACTCTACTGCTCTTAAAGTGTTCTATAAATATTAATTAGGTTAAATTCATTGATATTGTCAAATCCTTTATATCCTTTTATATTTTCTGTCACTTGTTCTTTTATTTATTGAGAGGAGTATTTAAATCTCCAGCTTTAATTGTGGATATCTATTTCTCCTTGCATTATTAGCTTCGTGTATTTTGAAGATCTCATATTTGGTACATAACTGTTTAAGATTTTTCGGCCAGGCGCACTGGCTCATGCCTGTAATCCCAGCACTTTGGGAGGCCGAGACAGGTGGATCACGAGGTCAGGAGATTGAGACCATCCTGGCTAACACAGTGAAACCCTGTCTCTACTAAAAATACAAACAATTAGCTGGGTGTAGTGGCGGGCGCCTGTAGTCCCAGCTACTTGGGAGGCTGAGGCAGGAGAATGGCGTGAAGCCGGGAGGCGGAGCTTGCAGTGAGCCGAGATTGCGCCACTGCACTCCAGCCTGGGTGACAGAGCAAGACTCTGTCTCAAAAAAAAAAAAAAAAAGATTTTTCACAGTCTTTTGATTAACTGATCCCTTTATCATTATAAAATGACCTTCTTTATCTCTGGTACTACTCTTTTCTCTGTTTACTTTTATAATATTAATATTTCTGTTACTAATGCTTGGGCTTTCTTTTGATTCATGCTAGCATGACATATCTGTTGTCATCCTTTTGCGTTATTTTTGTCTTTCTATTCTAAATGCACTTCTTGAAGGTGGCATGTGGTTTACTCTTGCTTTTTATCCAATATACCAATTTCTCCCTGATAATCAAGGTATTTAGGACATTTATATTTAATTTGATTTTTGATATGGTTAGATTTAAATCCACCATCTCGTTTTTTACATGCCCCATTATTCCATGTTTTCTTTTTTCTTCATATTCAGCCTTCTTTTCTATGTATTCTGTGAATATTACTGATTCCATTTTATTTCTTTCATTGGCTTATTTAATATTATCCTTTATTTTGTTATTTTAGTGGTTGCATTAGGGTTGCAGTATACATCTTTAACTTAACACAGTCTACTTTGAAGTGGTATTATGCCACTTCACATATGAGATCCTAACAATAGTATACTTCCATTTTTTCCCTTTCTATGTTGGGGCTGTTGTTGCCATATATTTTATTTATACATATGTTTCAAGTTGCACAATATATGATTATTTTTGTTTAATAAATTTGCTTTTGAAGTGATTCAAATAACAAAACATATATGTTGCCATTTCTAGCACTCTGTATTCTTTTTTGTAGATCCATGTTTCCATCTAGTGTTAGTTTCCTTCTGCCTAAAAGGCCTCTTTTTATTATAAGTAATAGTGTAGATCTGCTGGAAATAAATTATTTTAGCTTTTTATATTTGGAAAAAAAACATTATTTCACCTACGTTTTTGAAAGACCTTTTTTCTGGATATGTAATTCTGTGTTGAAAGTTTTTATTTTTCTTTTATTCTTTTAAGATTGTTGCTCTACAGACTTCTCACTTGCATAACTTCTGATGATAAATCATCCTTATTTATAATTTGTTATTATCTACTGTCATCCTTATCTTTATTTGAATGTAACATGTTTTTACTGATTCTGGCTTCTTTTAAGATTTTCTCTTTATCACTGATTTTAAGCAATTTGATTATAATGTACTATGGCATGGTTTATTTCATATTCTTTGCACTTGGGTTTTGACAAACTTTTTTGGATCCATGGACTTAGAGTTTTCATCAGATTTAGGGAAAGTTTGGCCATTATTTCTTCAAACGCTTTTTCTGTCCCTGTCTCCCTTTTTCAGAGACTCCAATTACACATATATTGGACACTTGAATTTTTCTCATACCTCATTGAATCTCTGTTCATCTTTTTAAAATCTCTTTTCACTGTCCTTCATTTTGGACAGGTTGTGTTACTATGTATTTAAGTTCATTAATCTTTTCTTCTGCAATGTCCAAACTGCATTAATCAAAGCCTATGTGTTTTTCATTTCAGACATTGAAGTTTTCATCTCTAGAAGTTGTATTTGGATCTGTCTTATAGCTTCCATGTTTTCACTTTCTAAACATATAGAATACAGTTGTAATTAATCTTTTAATGTCTTTTCCTGCTAATTCTAACATCTAGGTCAATTTGATTTACTCATTGATATATATCTTATTATGCGTTTTTTCTGCTTTTTTTCATGCCTGGTAATTTTTTTATTGGATGCAAGATATTGTGAATTTTACCTTCTTGGGCAATGGATATTTCTGTATTCTTAAGATTTTTTTCAGGGACAAATTAAGTTACTTGGAAACAACTTGATCCTTTCAAGTCTTGCTTTTAATATTTACTAGGTGGTACTAGAACAGTGCACAATCTAGGACTAATTATTTCTCATACTGAGGCAAGACTCCTCTGTGTATTCTACACAATGCTCCATGAATTCTGAAGTTTCTGCCTGGCTGATGGAAACAGGCATTACTCCTAGCCGTATGTGAGCACCAGGCACTGTTACCCCAATCCTTTGGGTGCCTCTTGTTCCAACTATTACCCTCACATGTACATGCTGTTCACTACTCTTCTAAATACAAGAATGAGACCCTTTACAGAGCTCCTGAGTTCTCCTTCTGTGAAACTCATTCCTCTCCTTTGCTCTGTCCTGAAAACTCTGAATACCTTTATTTCTCTGGACTTTCAGGTTTGTCTTCTTAACTCAGAGAATCCACCAGGTTACCTTTTCCAGTGCTATGGCCAAAAAGCTCTCTAAAGTCAAAAATCTGAGGCAATCATAGGGTTTACTTCCCTTGTTTCCCGTCTCTCAGTGGTCACTGCCCTTTATTGTCTGATGTTGATGGTCTTGTCAACTGTTATTTCATATATCTCGTTTATTTTCTTCATTGTTTCCACCAATAGAGTAAGTCTACTCTACTTTCACATATTGGGTCTGTTTCATTCATTGTTACAGGCAGTAGAGTGGTCCGTCATGGCCAGAAACCAAAGTCCTATCATTTTTTTTTTAATTTTAGAAAATACTACTAGTATAAAACATCAGACTTAAAATTATTTCTGTATTGATTTCATATGAAATACATGCCTATTTCTTCATGTCATGCAAAAAGAGATAACACATAATTAGATACACGTGACAGCCAGATGATGTATAATGACTCCGTAAGACTGAATGGGATTCATGCTGCCATAGATGCACAATCCAATATCTCCCTGAAATTTGACCCAGGATTCTACACCATCCACTCAAAAAGATATAGTAACTTCCAGAAACACTCTGGTTTACATCTGGATTCCCAATGATGACCTGAGTGACAAAGCAAGGTGAGTATTATACCCTTTGCTAATTGAATGATTTGTTGTTCTCTCATTCAGTTTCCAACACAATATGTCAAGTATCATTTATTTAAAACAAAATTGTCCCTATCTTAGTTTGAAATGGTTTATTAAAAAAAACCAGTTTAGTTACACTAAACTCTCAATTAAATTAATATTCTCAATTAAAATGTCATGCAACATAATAAAAGTCTAATCATTTGTAATAATATGAAGACTAAAATATAGGCATCTTGTATGTTTTTAAATCCTCTATGAATAAACCTTTCAGTAGAACCTGATGTGTAATATTTATAATTTTTAAATGTTTTATGTTTTACAACAATGTTAGTTTTACAGAAAAGTTACAAAGACAGTACAAAGACTTTGCACATACCTCAGACCCAGTTTCCCCTATTATTAACATTTGATATTAGTATGGTACATTTTTTACAGTTAATGAACTAATATGAAGACACTGTTATTAACAAAAGTACTTAGTTATTCGGATTTCCTTAGTTTTAACCTAATATCTTCTTTCTGTCCCAGGATCCTATGTCATTACTCATTATGCCTCCATTATGTGAATTTCTCAAACTTGCTTGTTGTAGATAGCCATGACAGTTTTGAGGAGCATTGGCTAGGTATTTTGTACCTGAACCGGGATTTGTCTGATTTTAAAAATCATTATTAAACTGGGGTTATAGATTTTTAAGAAAAATAACACAGAAATAAAGTGTCATTTTCATCACATCATATCAAGAGCACCTAATATTGATAGGACTTATCACAGTTGGTGGTTTGTTTTCTGTTTTTTTTTTTTGGTTGGTTGGTTTGTTTTTTGAGACAGGGTCTCTCTCTGCTGCCCAGGCTGGAGTGCAGTGGCACAGTCTCAGCTCACTGCAACCTCTGCCTCCCAGGGTCAAGCAGTCCTCCCACCTCAGCCTCCCAAATAGCTGGGACTACAGACATGTGCCATCATACCTGGCTAATGTTTCTATTTTTTGTAGGGGTGGGGTTTTGCCATGTTGCCAAGGCTGGTCTTGAACTCCTGGGCTCAAGTGATCCTCCCACCTCAGCCTCCCGAGTAGCTGGGACTAAAAGCATGCACCACTACACATGGCTAGTTTTTGTATATATATATTTTTATATATAGAGATGGGGCTTTGCCACATTGCCAAGGCTGGTCTCAAACTCCTGGGCTCAAGTGATCCACCCACCTTGGCCTCCCGAAGTGCTGAGATTACAGGCATTAGCCACCATGCCCAGATGTGTGGTGTTGATTTTGATCACCTAGCTGCGGTAGTGTTTGTCAGGTTTATCCATTGTAAGCTTATTTTCCCCATTTCTACATTGTACTCTTTGGAAATAAGTCACTCTGTACCTCTCCCACTCAAAGAGTCGGAAGTTACATTTCACCTCCTTGAAGTCAAGAGTGTCTACATAAACTATTAGGAATTCTTCTGCATAGGAGATTTGTCTCTTCTCTTCCATTTATTCACCCATTTTATTTATATCAGTATGGACTCATGGATACTTATTTTCCACTTGGATGATAAGCCAATACTGCTTTACTTTGTTGTTCTAATTGTTCCAGCCTTGACTATTGGGAGTTCTTTTAGCTTCTGTGACATTTACAATTTCTAAAACTACAATGAAACTTTCAGAATGACTGTTCTACCCAGTGACTAAATTACTCCTTAAGATTAAGCTAGGAACTCAGGAAGAGAGATTGCTCTTAGGTAATGCATTAAATAATATCCTGGTTGTCTGAAATAATTCATCCGACAGCAAGTAAGTTAAAGACTAGGAAGAAAAGTGCCCAAGAGGTAGTAAATATTTTAAGAAATTAATGAAACAGAAAGATAAACTGAAAAAAATCCAAACCTTTTAAAGCAAATTTATAAATGGCTTCACATGCTTTAGCCAAAATTTCCTCTTCTGGAGAATTAAGCATTAACACCACAGTTGCTGCTTTTTTGCTTTCAATCATTAATGGGTCAAACTGAAAGGCAGAAAGAAAACTATCAGTTTCACATATGAGCTTTAAAAATCACATTAAAAATGAATGGGTCTTAAAACTTAAAGAAAATGTAATCTTGCAAAAAGGATGTGGTCACTGCCCAATAAGTGCACTGCAAAGTTTTTCATTAAAAATACATCAACCGCTAGAGAAACAATTGTCAGCATTGGAATGCCTGGGGTATGGTGGGAAGAGCCAAATGTTTTGGAATCTGACAGGTCTAGTTTCTCAATTTAGCCATGTGGAATCAAATGAATTATGCTACTAGAATGTCAATTTCTTTTTCTGTTTGATGAGGATAATAGTACCTATCTCAAAGGTACTATCTCAAAGAAACAAGGAAAGGAGTAGAGGTCATGTATGTAAAGCACTTAGCACGTCATCTGGCACATGACAGATGTTTATCAAATGATATAAATGCTTACTCAATATACACAATCCTTGAATACCTGTATATATTTTATTCCATGACCATCTCAATAATCAATACTTGCTTTCCAACCACTAGACTCTAGAAAAGCAGGAAGTACATATGTAAAACAATAAAAAAAGCAGTAGAAAAGAGCATATAACAAAATGTAAAATTGAATAAAACCTGGAACAGGGGAAATGATAATATAGTCTAAAGAAAAGTATAGGACTCTAAGAAGACCTGTTTCCTGAGAATTCATGTGTTATTGAAATGCATAATTGAAACGAACTATTGTTCATAGCACATAGAGGCTTTCTGTGGTCAAGGAGAAAACAAATTATTACACTATTTTTCTTCCATTTCCAGAGACTAATGAAGGATGGAGTTCTGCTTGGGATAAAGGAAAAAAACTGTATTTCAAAGCTTTAGCTGGTTCTTTGTGTTGGCATTCCTATATAGACATCTTACTATGTCATGGAATATTTTTAAGATTGTTTCATTTTAGGTAGAGAATGGAGAAATATATTACTCTGATTACTCCAAGGAAACATGATTGTGTGAGTTTGGAAGAGTAAAGAAGAAAGAAGATAGCAAGAAACAATGACCTGAAAGGACACAGCCAGGATAAAATTTCCCTTTTGGAGGAGAAATGGCTGCTGAATTTTAGAACGGCATTGTCTAGCACCCAAAGTAAAGCTGCTGTTTTTCTATGGCTCCCACTATACTAGAAGCTATAAAAGTTACAAAAGTCTTGTTTGTTCTTAAAGCTCGTAGACCCTTTTAGAGAAGACAAATCTTCAGTAAAAAATCAGTTGTGTACAACAGGTTGGTGGCACTTGTGATTCTAGACATGATCCAATGAGAAAAGGTGGCCTCTAGCTGAGCAAAGAGGAATGGCTGGGATGCTGGCTGCAACACTAATCATGAGAGCAGAAGGCCCTGGAAATCCACAGAAATCTTAAGGGAGGACTTCTGAATGTAGTTAGGGTTTGGGGCTTGAGAACCATCCTCTTTAGGTATTAAAGGGTAGCCCCAGAATGCCCGAGGACCTCACATCACCCAAGTGACACATGTGGCTCACTGACCATGGTTTTTTTTAATCTGAAAAGTTAGGAAGCTGGAGTATGATCTCTTCCAGATATAAAATTCTAGGATTTTATGAAGTGCAAAACATATGGCAGAAACAATAAATACTATGATGAGAGTGGGGAAATTAATTTGAAACTGGGGTAAATAGAGAAAGCTCCATGGATGTGGTAGAAC
This sequence comes from Homo sapiens, assembly GCF_000001405.40. Taxonomy (NCBI): domain Eukaryota; kingdom Metazoa; phylum Chordata; class Mammalia; order Primates; family Hominidae; genus Homo; species Homo sapiens. The sequence continues at coordinate 22,944,450 of NC_000010.11, read as the reverse complement.
TTCAGATATGATTTGAAGAACAGATAAAATGGGATGGATGGCAATGAGAAGGGAGGATATGCAAATGGGGAAAATAACACAAGATGGTTTAAAATGGGAGTATTTGTTTATGGTGGATAAAATATTAGCTTGACCAAATAGAAAATATACAACAGGAAGCAGAAATAATATTGAATAATAAGAAGAAAGACCTCAGCAAATGACCTATACCTTTCCTTCTCCTGACTGCTTATTGAAGATAATCAACAAAGGTCCAAGGGAAAAGGATTGTGACTCTGGAATTTTATGTCTGGCTAGGTTGTCATTCAGATGTTCAGGCGTTCACAAACTCAAAAAGTATATCAACCATACACTCTTAAACAAATTGCTCAGGCAAAACCTCCAGCCACAACTTGGGAGGACCAAAATATAAAAACAACTGTGGTGGATCAAAAAATACAGTAAAATGTATTTTGCTGTTTAGCTTACTAAATGCTGCAGATGATGTGAATCATAATACAATTTTTTTTTTTTTTTTGAGATGGAGTCTCACTCTGTCGCCCAGGCTGGAGTGCAATGGCGCGATCTTGGCTCACTGCAACCTCCACCTCCTGGGTTCAAGCTATTCTCTCTGCCTCAGCCTCCTGAGTAGCTGGGATTACAGGTGCCCACCACCATGCCTGGCTAATTTTTGTATTTTTAGTAGAGATGGGGTTTTGCCATTTTGTCCAGGCTGGTCTTCAACTCCTGACCTCAGGGAATCCACCTGCCTCAGCCTCCCAAAGTGCTGGGATTACAGGCATGAGCCAACTCACCTGGCCAATGCAATTCTTAAGAAAGGATTCCTGAAGTGATGATGATTTATAAGGGAAAAAAAACTAATAATGGCTTGGAATTAAAACAGATTTTTTTTTTCAACAAAACAGGTAAAGAAAATTTTTGGTTTTAAAAAAAGAGGAATGTTGCCCAGCTATTATTTATTTTTACATATTAATGTAAATTAATAGAAAAAAATGCAGGTTAAAATGTGTATTTAATAGATACGCTACCAATAAGTAACCAAAGTTCCACACTGCCAGAAAGAAGGGAAAACAAAGGAAAATTGCTCAACTCAGAAAAGGGACAGAAAATACAAAAGAAATTACAAGATGAAAACATAGCAAAGAAAAACCACAACTTCAAATAAAATGATAGGAATAAAATCAAATAAGTCAATGATCAAAATAAACATCACTAGGGTAAATAAATCCAACTAAGGCTGTTAGATTGGATTAAAAAGCAAAATTGACTCTGTTTGTGTTATTAGGTATTTCTTCCACTTGATCTTCCAGAATATTAATTCAGAGCTCTCCAACTAAGGTATAGAACATTTCTAGTATCTTTGAAGGTTTCCTCACACTCCTTTCCTAAGCCACCCTGCCCCCATGAGAGATAACCATTATTCTGACTTTTAAAATAATCACTTAATTTTCCATTTTTGAACTTCATATAAGGAATCATACAACATTCACTCTTTCATATTTGGTTTCTTTAGCTCAGTGCAATACCTGTTGCAGTTCTTTCACATTTTTGCTTATATAGCTAAGTCATATTTCTTATGGCTATATAATGTATTCCAGTATATAAATATACCAGTTTGGGTTCTTTTCTTTCCAGTTTAAGGAAATCATAGGTCACAATGAATATTCTTTTACATGTCTTTTTGTGGATACATACATTTCTCTTGGGTATTTATCTAGGAATGGCATTGATGAGTCATGGGGTAGACATATATTTCCCTTTTGTAGGTACTGTCGAACAGTTTTCCAAAGTGGTTTTTATCAATTTACATTCCCACCAGTTATGAATGAGAGTTCCACTTGCTCTACATCCTCACCAACACTTGGTATTATCAGTCTTTTTAATTTGCCTTTCCAAAGCTCTTCAATCATAGTTTTAAATCCATCTGCTTTTCATAGTTATTGTAGCTGGAGAAATGCCTGCTGCTGCCTGCTACCACTATATCCTAGGCAGAAGAGAAGTGTTCTCATTACTTTTGAAAGTTCTCTCCTGTCTCTTTTACTAATTCTGACTCAGTAGCATCCATCTATCATTCAGCTTTGTCTTCTGCTATTATGCTTGAGAATACATTAATTTTTCTCTATCTGCCCATAGATGGGTTTCCTGCCGCACCCACAGTGTTCAGGCTCTGAGGGGTTCTTGGTAGCCAACCAGCAAGTGGTGAAAGATACAACTTGACTTTTTCAACTACTCCCACTACAGAGATTCTTCAATTGCATTTGGATCCCCAGTCCATTTACTCCCTCTGTTTTCTCTCCCTTTATCAGCTTTCTCCCTTATTCCCCTCTTAAGTTGCTTAGATTGCATGTTCTATTATCTGAATAACACTTCTGCTAAAGCATAAACCTCCTTGTCTCTCTGTCTTTTCATCAGATGAATCTTCTCAAACCCAAACCACAAGTGAACACTAGTATTTTCTTCTTTGCATTTATACCCAAGTGTCCAACCATTCTCAAAGAATGTTAAACTAGAAGAAAATTAGTATCATTATAAATTCATGACCAGCAATTGAGAGGGCCTCACTGCAAACCAGGTTTCTACATTTCTTTTGTAAACTTGATTTTTCCTTCTCAAAAGAACAAAATTATTTCAAACATTTCTACTATCCTTGAACATTTAACACTCTTACTTCCCCCTTTCTTTCCTCCTCACCCAGCAAAATTTTCAGAAAAAATAAAGTTACCAGATGGAAACTCCATCAACTTCCAACTTGCAGATTCAAATCTACCTATATCTGCACATGTTCTATTACATCAGAGAAAATATCCAAGGCCAATCCCTAATAGGTGCTTTGGCTTTTTAACTCATTCACCTTCATTAATTCATTTATTTAATAAACATTTATTGAATCCCTATTAAGTGCCAGACGCTAAGAATAGCACATTAGATAACTCAATCTCCTATTCTCACAGAATGGACACATTCTCATCTTACTTTATATTATTAATAATCTCTTCTGTCTCATGAGTAGTCAACTCCTCCCTGTCAACTAAATTCTTCCTTTACTTCTTTTGAATCCAGCTTACAGAGGGCCAATTTAGATGTAATACAATGCAGTAATTTTCAGTGTAAGTTTGATGAGTTTTGAGGAATGTATACATCTGTATAGAATTTTAAGAAACATACACATCTGTATAACCAACCATTCCAAGCAATATGTGAAAGTTTCCATGCCCCACAACATTCTCTCCTGCCTCATTGCAGTTGATTCCCCTCCTATGACTGGTCCCAGACAACCACTGATCTCCTTTCTTCCACTGCAGATCAGTTTCGCCTGTCCTATAATTTAGTAGTAATGAAATTACTACATAGGGACCCTTTGTGTACGCTTCTTTCATGTGGCAGAATATTTTTGAGATCCATGTTTCATGGATCTCATTTGTTTTTACCTTTCTTTTTACTGCTGAGTAGTATCCCATTGTATATCACGATTTGTTTATCCATTCAACTGTTGATAGACCTCTGGGTTGTTTCAAGTTGGAACCATTATGTATGAAAGTTGCCATGCACATTTTATACAAGTCTTGTTATGGACAAATGTTTTCATTTCTCTTGAGCAAATGCCCAGAAGTAAAATTTCTGGCTTGTCTGGCAAGTGCATGTTTAACTTTATAAGAAAATATAATTTTGGGTCACTGTAGCTCATGCCTGTAATCCCAGCACTTTGGGAGGCTGAGGCAGGAGAATCACTTGAGGCCGAGAATTCAAGACCAGCCTGGGCAACATAGTGAGACCCTGTCTCTACAAAAAGTGAAAAAATTAGCCAGGTGTGGTGGCATGCACCTGTAGTCCTAGCTACTTGGGAGGCTGAGGTGGGAGGATCGCTTGACCAGGGAGTTCAAGGCTGCAGTGAGCTACAGTCATACCACTGCATTCCAGCCTGGGCAAAAGAGTGAGACCCTGTCTCAAAAAAAGAAAAAAATACAATTTATTTTTCCAAAGTAGTTCTACCATTGGCATTCCTGCCAGCAATGTATCTGTATCCAACATAGTACTTTTATCTCTTCAGTTATTTAGGTCTTAGTTAATTTGTCTCAGAAATGTTTTATAGTTTTCAGCATATAGGTATTGATTTTATTTTGTTAAACTAGTGTCTAAGTATTTCATTGTTTCTTATGCTATCGCATAGCCTTTTTTGCCATCATGTATCTTAAACTTGTGTTATTAGGTGCATAACACTTAGGACCATTAAAAAATAAACCTTTGTATCATAAAATGTCCATCTTTTTCTCAGGCAATATTCTTTGTCCTGCAATTGTAATGTATTTCATTTGGTATTAACATAGGTGCTGCAGATTTCTTATGATTAGTGTTTGCATGGTATATATCTTTTTTCATGTTTTTACTTTTATGTGTACCTTTATATGTAAAGGAGGATTCTTATAGACAGGTGAGAGTTGAGTCTTGCTTTTTTACTCAGTTGGACAATCACTTTTTGTTGGAATATTAGGTTATTTATATCCAATGTGGTTGTTGATATGGTTGGGTCTTAATTGATCATCTTGCTATTTGTTTTCACTTTGTCACATTTGCTCCCTGTTCCTTTTATTCTGCCTTTTTTCAGTTGATTGGGTTTTTTTAGTATCCCATTTTACCTCCTCTATTAGCTTATTAACTGATTTTCTCCTGGTTATAGGTCACATTTTCCTTTTTTGCACACCTAACAATTTTGTATTGGATACTGGGCATTGTGAAAATTATGTAGCTGAGCATCTAGATTCTTTTGGGGGCTGGGGGAGGAGAAGTGTTCCTTAAAGGATATTGAATTTTGTTCTGGCAGGCAGTTATCTTACTTATGGATCAGGTTAATCTATTTAAAGCCCGTTTTTAAGCTTTATTAGGTAGGGCAGGACTAGAGAAACCTTTTCTATAGGGCTGGATAGTTTAGCCACACGACTATTAACGCATGACTTTTCTGGGGACTCTTATTAATGCCCCAGGTATTCAATAAGACCCTCCATGCCTTCCAAGCAAATTACAATGCTTCCCAGACCGGTGTGAGCTCTAGAGAGGGTTTGACTTAACGGCACCCTGAGAGTTGTTCATGCATGTCCTTTGCCAGGTGGAGTTCCACCCCATACAGATTAGACTTCAGAGAATCCAGAGGACCATTAACTGGATTTCTGGAGCTATTGCTGTATGTTGGTCTCTTCTTTTTGGTACTCTACCCTGCAAACTGCAGCCACCTAATCCTCCTTGAACTCTGATTTCTTGAAGCTCTTTTATTTTAAAATAAAAACCAACTGTCCTTAGATAGTAATCATCCTCTGTACACATTACCCTTCCTTGTCTTTCACAATCAAAAACCTTACAAATACTTACTTTTCTTACTCTAGCTCCTTGCTGCACATATCCAATCTTACTTTCACCCTCAGTGACTTACCAAAATAGTTCTCACTAAAGCCACCATCTGGGAGCACCATGTCACATGTCACCCAGGACTTCTTGAGAGTTTTATTTCATTTCTAAAGAAAATAATACAATAATACTTGAAACTATAGAGAGTTATGGTGTATTTAATTGTCAGGCCTCCATCTCTCTGGATACACTTTTTATTGTTTTTATTCATGGTGGTTTGGGGGTTGAAATTCCTTGGGCGACTAGGCTTGCTTGCTTGCTTTTCTTTCTCTTCTTCCACAGCTGTTATTTTTCTGAATTTAACACACTGCATTATGTCTTTGATTTACATGTCTATTTCAGTATGTTGTACTTCCATTCACTCCATTGCTCAGGCTTGATCTCTCAACTTGTCCCCTTCTCACACTCCACGTCCTACCCATCAGCACATCCTGCCAGCTCGACCTTCAGAGCTCATCCTCACTCTGGCCACATCTCATCTTCTTCACGGTGACTTCCTGGGTCCAAGCTGCCATTGTATCTTAACTGCACTACTGTGACAACCTCCAAGCTGGTCTTCCAATTTTCATGTTTCTCCCACATTGTAGCTAGAACGATCTTATTTTTTATTTTAAATATAAATCAGATGTCACTACTACTCTCTTTGTCACCTTCCAACGAATTCTCCTTTTTGCACCTTAGGGAAAAATCCAACTTGCTTAACATAACCTAACGTCCTACGTGGTCACCACCATCTCTCCATCTTTGTGACCCCATCCTACACCTCGCTCACTAATCTCCTGTCACACCAACCTTCCTGGCATTCCTCAAACACACTGCATGAGGCTTTAGTTACTGTGGTCTGGCTGGGGTCCCCTCCCAGATATTTGCACAGATTACCCCCTCATTTCATTTAAGTGTGTTTTGGTTGAGATCCCACAAGAAGGCCTGCCCAAGATTCTATTTAAAGAGGCCCCATCACACTCCTTACCATATCATACTTTATTTTTCTTCATTGATCGTATCACTACCTGAATTATATTATTATTAATTGACTGTTTCTCCCACTATAATATAAGCTGCCTTGGGGCCTGAACTTTCCTTTCTCCCCATCTTTATGCCCAGGATGTGGAGGAATGCTTGCATATGGTAGGCACTCTATATTTGTCCAGCAAATAAATACATTTCTTTAGGCAAAGGACCATGCTGTTTCTCTGTCTCCATCACCTATGAACAATACTGGGGTGATGGTAGTACTTGGAAAATGTCTGTAAAGGAATGTATTAAAGTGCCCCTGGAAACTTTTTCTATGCTTGTGGCCTTAAAGTGCCTTAACTGTGTACTGTTTGCTGATGTCAGGAGAGAGGGCTCTAAATCTGAGGTCCATGGAGCTATCAGTAGGCTTTGAAGGTACATTCTCTATGTGAAATCATATGCAAAATACTTGGAGTACATTTCAGAAGGAGGAGTTTCCACAGATCCCAACCTACCTTCATAAGGTTCCTTGATTGCCCCGCAAACTCCTAAGAACCACAGCCTTAGATCATCTTCACCACTTAGGGCACTTCCCCTCATGTCCCAGCTGGCCATCTTCTCCACCAACCCACATCTAAAACAGATTTCCCTTCCCTCTTGGAACTTTCACCCCAGAGACCTCACATGTTTCTATATTTTTAAAGCTGATTATATAAGTGTGTGAATAAGGATACTATGGTTAAGGATGGGTATGTCATGATCACCACAGAAGAACAAGTCTCAGAGGAGTAGGTAGAGTATACGAAAATACATTTAAACATAAGCTTTAGTAAATATCATTTAATAGTCATGTGGTTATTTAAGTGTGAATCTATAATAATTAAAATTAATTTTAAAGACCAGGTGCAGTGAGTCATGCTTGTAATCACAGCACTTTGGGAGGCCGAGGGGGGAAGATCTCTTGAGCCCAGGAGTTCGAGACCAGCCTGGGCAACATAGTGTGACCCTGTCTCCACAAAACATACAAAAATTAGCCGGGTATGGCGGTGTATGCCTTTAGTCCCGGCTACTCAAGAGGCTGAGTAGGGAGGATCAGTTGAGCTGGGAGGTGGAGGCTGCAGTGAGCCATGATTGTGCCACTGCACTCCAGCCTGGGAGACAGAGCAAGACCCTATCTCAAAAAAGAAAAAAAGATAATATGGGGTATGAGAAGCTTAAAGGGAAGCTTGAGACTGTAAGAGTTGCAATCCAATAGGCTGACAAAGGAGAAATACAAATGTTTGGCAGAGAATAGAGAAACTTGGCATGACATTTGTTTCTCCTACAGAGCCTGCACCATTATAGTAATTTTTTTATTAAAAAGGGCACTGAGAATAAATGATAGCTATAACAGAGTGCCACATGACTAAATAAATAATACTGTGCTGTCATTACATATCCCATCTGCTTTCCCATGAGAAAGTCAGTCACCAACAAGCTCATTGAGAAATTATAATTTCATGCTCTGTGCAAAATAAATGATAAAATTATTTACAAAAAGAATGAAAGAAAATGGAAGCATTTTGGCTAAGTTTTGAATTTTAAGCCCAGTCAATTAGAGTGGCCATAGGCTTCTAGAGATATTTTTATGTCTCTGTTAAGGAATAATACTGTCTAGAATAGCGTTTTCCAACAGAACTTCAGCAATGAAAACGTTCTGATTTTGTGCTATCCAATATGGTAGTCACAGGCCACAAGCAGTTCTTTAGCACTTGAAATGTAACTGATGGGACTGAGAATCTGAATTTTTAACTTCTTTTTTAAAAAATAGCGACAAAGTCTTGCTATTTTTCCCAGGCTGGTCTTGAACTCCTGGCTTCAAGCGATCCTCCCGCCTCAGCCTCCCAAACTGCTGGGATTACAGATGTGACCCACTGCCCCTGGCCTTTAAAACTAATAATTTTAATCGTTATAAATTCAAATTTTAATAACCACATGTGCCTAGTGGCTGGAGTATTAGCACAGGTCTAAAAAAAATACAAAATTATGAAGATGACCTCAGTGAAAATAAATCATCACAGTTGAGTGATTTTTATGGTGCCGATAAGTACAAATAAAAAGCTTTCACAATTTCTATTTCAATATGTTTACTACATCAGTGGTCCCAGATCATGAGGTGCTAATTGTGTAGGAAAAGACAGAGATAGATAAACAGGAGGAGGTAGACAGCATTCATCTAATAGGAACTTTCAATAGAGAATATCTAGACATCCGGAAAAATTTGCTAAAATGTCTAAAGATTAAAATGAAAGTAGCTAAAATACCTTTTAGTTTACTTTATAACCTGATCAAAGTAGCAAACTTTTGGAGTAAGGTGAGCAAGCTGAAAATTATCCATATTGTTTTATATATGTATATTGTTTATGAATTTATATTTTTTATTAATTCATAGTGTTTAGCTGTCAGGAGGGAGAAAGATGGGAAAAGAAGTCCTTATAACTTCTTTACATAGCAAAATAAATGATAAAACAAAATTATTTACAAAAAGAATGAAAGTAAATGGAGGCATTTTGGCTAAGCTTTGAATTCTAAGCCCAGTCAATTCGAGTGGCCATAGGCTTCTAGAATATTTTTATGTCTCTGTTAAGGAATAATACTGTCTAGAATAGTGTTGTCCAATAGATCTTCAATGATAAAAATGTTCTGATTCTGTGCTGTCCAATAGGGCAAGCACAGGCCATTTATTTATTTATTTTTTAAAGTCCATAGTAGTGTTGTCAGTCTATGACAAAGAATGAAAGGTTGAGTTCTGAGATTGATGAAGGAGGTCCAGGAAAACTCAGGAGACCTCACCCTCTTCCCAGGAATTAGATTTGGTTGTGCAGCTGAGGGGGCATGTTGCACTACTTTCCATTGCTCTGATTCTATACTCACCCTGCTTAGCTTCCTGTGTGCATTTAACTAAGGAAAGAAAGTCCTGACTCATTAACATAAATGTTCAGTTAACTTGATACTTAATCATTACGATTCCAGGGCCAGGTCATAGTCTCTTGGGAATTTAGAGCTTGTGGCTTTATCCACTGAAGCTCAATCACCTCTGAAATATTAAAAGACTACAATTTCCATGCTTGCAAACTCAAAGATCTGACCGTAAATCATGATGGCCACACACCAGGCCTCAGGGGACTTCAGTGGCCAGCTGGTCGTCCATGCCTCATCCCTGACTTCCCTGTCTCCTTTGACAGTTCATACAAACTTACTCAGTTCTGTAGAATGATGAACAGCACCCTCAACTATATCATTAATAATAATAACATCTACCAAGCTCTTACCTAATGCCAGGCACTGTTCTAAGCATTTTACATTGATCTAACCTTCCTTCACTGATGTGAGTGGGTATTCCTATGAATTAAGCAGTATCACATCCTCACTGTGGTGCACAGAGGTTAGAAAGTTCACCCAAGTTCATAGATGGGCATAAGTGGATAATGGAGTAAGGACCCAAACTCAGGCAAGATAGCCCCAGAACCGGTACTCTTAGACACTGAATATCTCGCCTTATACTAAATCATGCCTAGTAGAGTCATTTCTATTAGGAATTCTTTTATGCAATATTCCACAGTAAATTTTCCTTTTGTTAAAGCACCACAAACAACCTTTTGGCCAGATATGGAAATGATTTGGAAAGGAAGAATATAGTTGTATTGGTAGATCAAGCCGTGTCTTTTCCATATGTAGGCATCTTCTTAGCTAGTGTCTCTTTTATGAGAAGGAAATGTAATCAGTACTATATCTGCATATATTAATGTTATGACAAATGAGAATATTCAGAAAAGCAAAGGGAGCTTTTTGTTCTAATCCTAATACCAACACTTTTCTTACTGTCTTTATTACTCATTTTAAACTATAGAGGAAAGCCTGATAAAAATTAAGGTCTTTGGAAACAATATTTCTAGGAAACATATAAGAAGCAAATTACTATTGGCTGACAGAGAAAAGTTTATTTTCTTAAGTAGTTATATTTCTCTTTAAATGTGGTTTTCATTTACAATGTGTACAACAAACCTTTATTGACTTTAGAGGTATATTCTGGAACAAGTTCCAGGTTAAGATACTGTAAATTGTGGCATACTGCTTTGAAGTATGAAAACAAATACTGTAGAAAAGGGCTTAGATATTATTTTAATACCACTCTGTCAGTTTTTGTTTGTTTGTTGGTTGGTTGGTTTGTTTTTTGAGATGCAGTCTCGCTCTGTTGCCTAGACTGAAGTGCAGTGGTGGGATCTCAGCTCACTGCAAACTCCGCCTCCCAGGTTCACACCATTCTCCTACTTCAGCCTCCCGAGTAGCTGGGACTACCAGCGCCTGCCACCACCCCCGGCTAATTTTTTGTATTTTTAGTAGAGACGGGGTTTCACCATGTTAGCCAGGATGGTCTCAATCTCCTGACCTCGTGATCCGCCCGCCTCAGCCTCCCAACACTCTGTCAGTTTTATAGTCAGAGTAGAAGTCCCCTGGGAAAGGCAGGGAAAAGTAAGGACCATTGGTCAATGTTACACCCGCCATTGGCTACCTCCAAGGCTGTTGGGAGCTGAGGAAGCAGGAGTTCTATTTTGTTAATGCTAGGACTGTGTTTCTCAAGTTCTCCATTGTGTCCCCAAGGATTGGAGTCCAGAGGACAATATCAGCAAGACATTATGAAGTTATAGAAAGTGTATTAGCCATATACATCTATTGTTTATTAGCCCCGTAATTCTAATTTTTATTAGAATATGTTTTTGCTAATCAGATGCCATTAATGCTATTTGGTAGCAAAAAGGGGAGTGATACAAACCTTGGATGCAATGAAAAAAAAAATAAGAGAATCTGCAACATTTTAGGAATATGTCCTAAGAGAAGCAGCCAGAATGATGAAACATCATGAGATCACAATGTCTACCCCTGCAAAGCCTTCCTGGACCCGGGAAGACAGGCACTTCTGTAGATTTTGTTCCCAACTGTATTGAAGTATCATACCCAGTGGATTGCACAGGGGTGCAAGTGTGTGTTTGTGTGTCTCAGAAGCAGAGTCCAGAGGATTCTCATGATAATAGATCTTATTTTCCAAGTGCTACGTGCCAAGCACTAAGACCTTTATGTAACTTATTTTGTTTTAATTCATACAACAACGGGAACGAGTTTGATATTATGATTCCCATTTAGGAGCTAAAGAAAAACCGAAATAACTTGGCCAAATTTGGCAAATTGGCCACAATGACACAGTTGGTAAGAGGCAGAGCTGGCTCAAGGCCCCCAGTGTCTTAACCACAAAGCTCCCAAGGGGGCAGATTTCTGCCATTAGCCCAGTTTCCTTCAAATTTGAAATTGCTGTGAGTCTGTGGACTCCACTTATTTCTTTTCTATTCCTGATTTATCTGAAGGAAATCACACCAAATGTCTGTTTCAAAATAAGTTTCTAAACTGCAAATTGTCCAAGGTCATTTTTCACTTTTAACACAACCTTTCAATAATTGATAAAGTTTAAAGAGAGAAGATAAAATCCTGTTTTTAAAGACAGAGAAGAGCTTTCAGTGGGGAATGAATTACTTAGCATTTGGAATAAAAATGATGATGCCAGACTAGTCTCTCGATAGAACTGGAAAGGATAGGGACTTCTCACGTGCAGTGGTCATCACCAGACAACCTTATATACATATCTAATAGCTATAGCAGAACTTCCAGTTATTTTTGAAAATTCACTTGATTAATTAACATAAATGAGAGGCTGGCAAATGTAAATGGTAAGTATTTAAAAGAACAACCCAAACTATTTATTCATTAACTATGCTATAAACATGCCATCTACATACTGGAAAAGCTAATAATTACTCTCTAATTGTGCTAATTATATAATGACAATGTTGTAAATGTTTGTTTATGTAATGTTAGATTTCTCTGACTAATCTTATCATTAGTCAGACTTTGGACTTCTGCCACCGCGTATTCATGTATATACTGGTACATGCCAAACTGTGTGAACAATTTATTTTTATAACTGGTTGTTAAAGTGCTACTAGTATTCAAATCAGAAACTTACCACATCCTTAGGAGGAGGCTCTACTTCCTTCTTTATCTTTTTACCCATCCTGGAAAAAGATGCAATATATGGTTAAAGTGACATTTGCACATACATTTCTCAATTACCTGTGCCCTTGAGAGGAGGTTTATTTTCTCCTTTAAATTTTTACCTCCTAAAACACAATGCAATACATGTAAAAATTATCACATATGTACAAATATGTCACCTACATCCCAATTTCAAACTCTGCAATTTTAAGGAACTTATTGATAAGATCATTGAGTGTTAGTCCTGGCTTTCAGTTTAGAAAGGAGGTGAATATATTAGTGGCATAACTTAAATAACAAGAAATCATTTACCATTTTTATAGCTTGCTTATGATGGGCTTAAGAGACTAAGCCCACCAAGTTACTTTTGAGACCTGCAAGAATGTTTGTGCCACAAAGGCAGAGGTTTTTGTCTATTTTCTTGCACTGATCTATCCTAAATACCTACAACAGTGTCTGGTACATAATTGGCATTTGATATTTATAAACCTCATTAACTCCATTTTTCCTAGGAGTAATGATCTCATAAATGGTATACAAAATCTACCAGGTCTTGAATCAACATTTGTGTCCTTTGCCCGGATAACAAAAAGTTTTCTTTCATAATCCACAGCTTAGTAAAAAAGCAATTAAAAAATCTGAAGAGATATATTCTGGGGAAACTGAGGTTACTTCCTTTCCACTTGTCCTCATATGTCCATGTCTGTGTGGAAAAAGTGAAAGGAATGGAATTTATACATAGTTAACATACCACAGAGGAGTAACCAGCCTGGGTTCAAAGAACTTTTCAGGCCGGGCAGGTGGCTCACGCCTGTAATCCCAGCTCTTTGGGAGGCCGAGGTGGGCGAATCACGAGGTCAGGAGTTCAAGACCATCCTGGCCAACACAGTGAAATCCTGTCTCTACTAAAAATACAAAAATTAGCCGGGTGTGGTGGCACGTGCCTTGTAGTCCCAGCTACTCAGGAGGCTGAGGCACAAGAATCACTTGAACCCGGGAGGCGGAGGCTGCAGTGAGCCGAGATCGCACCACTGCATTCCAGCCTGGGCAACAGAGTGAGACTGTCTCAAAAAAAAAAAAGAAACTTTTCAAGATGTTAATGTCTATTAGAATAACCCAGGAAATCTATCTAGTTTTCTTCAGTGAGAGTTTGTGGAATTATGTTTGACATCAGGGCCATCTTAAACGGTATATCGTAGGAGCAATCTTAAACGGTATATCATAGCCTTAAGGAAATTACCATAGTCTCAGTAGAAATCCTAGGAAGTAGAAAATCCTTGGGGAGAATCTACAGTGTCAGGGTTAGCTCAAATTGCATGTCAAGGGTCAAAAGCAACTCCTAGCATTAGAGACACTGACCAGAATTTATCACATACATTAAAAAGCCACGTCTTCATAGAAACTCCTAGATACTTCTGAAAGGCATTTATTCTAGGTCTCTAACTTCAGACCACACTACTTTTAAGACTTTGGAGGGCCTGGGCAAGCTTATTCACACAATAGCCAATATATTAAAATGTTAAAATGTGCCTGCATCGCCCATTAAATGTCATTTGCATCATAAAAACTTTTGAAATTTGTATTTGAAATTACTCAGCAATCAGTACATACACCTGGAAATTCTTGTAAAATGAGAAAATTGTTTTCAAATGTAATAAAAATTTATATTAATAAAACATTTAATTAACACTAATTTTTCAGTTCTCTTTTCATATTTTAGAGCCAATATAAGCATTTTTTTCAAATCTCAAACATCTTCCTTAGGTGCTTGAAAAGTGAACAGGCCCTAGACCTTGTGCCTATAATATTTCAGGCAGAGAGGCAGAAACTATTCTGGGCAAATGAGAATCTATCCTACAATTAATCTCTAGGAAAAAAAAAAGAGAGAGTTTATAGCACTCTATAACCAATTCCAAGACAGAGCAGCCTTTGATTTATAAAATAATTGCTTATGAATAATATTCAGGAAGCAATTTAATTACACCTGCATAAAGTTGTTTTAAATCATCTGATTTTCACTTAGGAACTAATTTTTCCTACTTCAGGATAGTGTTTTTGAGCAATTGCATAGTGCAGAGGTTAGAAGAGCTTACACAGACAGTATTGCAATGATAGAGTGTCTCCTAAGCTAAAGAATGAAGTTAAAAGCCTATGTGTTTTATCATGGCCCGGCGTGGTGGCTCACTCCTGTAATCCCAGCACTTTGGGAGGCTGAGGCGGGTGGATCACCTGAGGTCAGGAGCTCAAGACCAGCCTGGACAACATGGCAAAACTCTGTCTCTACTAAAAATACAAAAATTAGCCTGGAGTGGCGGTGGCATGTGCCTGCATTCCCAGCTACTGGGGAGGCTGAGGCAGGAGAATTGCTTGAGGCCGGGAGGCGGAGGTTGCAATAAGCTGAGATCACCCCATTGCACTCCAGCCTGGGTGACAGAGCGAGACTCTGTCTCCTCCCCCAAAAAAAGCCTATGTGTTTTATCACCATATTGGGTATGATAGTTAATGGAGGAGAGACTGAACAGCTGACATAGGTCGGTGGCAATGAGCTATGGAGATGATCCTTACAAGGGTAATACATTTCACTGTGGAGAATTTGGAAAACAAGGGCACAACGAATAAAATAAAAATCACCCAAAGATAAGCTCAGAGAGATCAATACTATTTCTTTTCTTTTCCTTTCCTTTCCTTTCCTTTCCTTTCTTTTTCTTTTTCTTTCTCTTTCTCTCTCTCTTTCTCTCTCTCTCTCTCCCTCTCTCTCTCTCTTCTCTTTTTTTCTTTTTCTTTTTCTTTTTTGAGACAGAGTCTCACTCTGTTGCCCAGGCTGGAGAGTGGCCTGATCTTGGCTCATTGCAACCTCCACCTCCCAGGTTTAAGAGATTCTCCTGCCTCAGCCTCCTGAGTAGCTGGGATTACAGGTACCCGCCACCACGCTCGGCTAATTTTTGTATTTTCAGTAGAGACAGGTTTCCCCACATTGACCAGGTTGGTCTCGAACTCCTGACTTCAGGCGATCCACCCGCCTCAGCCTCCCAAAGTGCTGGGGTTGTAGGCGTGAGCCACCGTACCTGGCTTTGTGTGTTTTTCTAAAGTGATTTTAACATCCTGCCTCAACTTCTATCCCCTACTTTCACCTTCCCTTCCTGGGTTCATATTCCTACTAAATTCTTATATTAACAAATAAATTCATGAAGTCTCAGTTTCCCTTCATTGCTTTAATAATCTCCAGTGGATTAGCATAACATGCCATTACAAATATTTTAAAATCCCTTAGCTATCTAGCCAGTCTCTGATTGTTGAAATTTGTTTCTAATTTTCTGGAAATATGGACAGGGCTGAAAGAACGTCCTTGGACATAAAATTTTCATCCATTATCCCCAACTATTTCTTTAGGATAAATCTCTAGCAGTAAATTAACTGGGTGAAAACTTCAGGGCATTGGATATGCAAACAACTCTGCTCTAAAAATGCATCTTCTTGACTACTGGAGCCATTTTTTTTTTCACGAGTTGATTGGTCCTTTGTATTTGTTCTTCGTGAACGTTCAGCCTATGATTTTAAATATTTTCTAATGAGTTCTGCTTTGAGAAGATTTAAAGAGGAGGAGGGCTCAAGAAATCGAGGCCACTTCTGAGTTGCTCACAGTCAAGTAACGGAATCTGACTTGATCTCACCTCAGATCCCCTCTCGGGCCTCAGTTTTGTCACCTGTTGAATGGGAGGTGGCGGGATGCTTACGAAACCCACCCCAAGCCCCGTCTAACCCTGCGGGCGCGAGGCAGAAACTAACAACGCCCAGCAAGGTGTTGCCTCACTGACCCAAGCAGTCTGCGCCCACGTGGCACCTTCTCCTTTCCCAGGTTTTCCTCAGGCCTCTGCCTTGGGCCTCCCCACCCCACGGGGTTACCTTTACCTGCCGGGAGATCCCGCCGAGTAGCTAGCTGCTCCGCAAACCCAGCAGACGAACCCCCAGTCCCTTGTTGTGCCTCGTTGCTAGGCGACGCCACGCCGCGCCGCGCCTGCGCCCTGGGAACGCTCGGGGCTGCTAGGGCGCCCATTGTCCCGCCGAGGGCAGCGGCCAGTGCGGGAGGAGCCAAGTGCGTCCGCGATTACCTGAATCCAGTGCTTTAGGGGAGAATGGAAACTGGGGGTGGAAGCTGTAAATCAAGAGGCAGTTCAGCCTCAGTTTCTGGCCCAAGGACTGGCTGTGGGTTCAAATACGCAAATACTATTGCATTCTTCCAAATAGAGGCGTCAGCCGGAATCTCTATGCAGATGAAACCCACATCAGCCACCTCCTGCCCAGGCTCCGTTAAGCTGCAGACCTGCACTGCCACATCTCTTTGCACTAGGATGTCCAATCCGTTTCCACAGAACTTCTCATGGCCCTTCAAAGCCCCGTTCTCTTCCTCTTTCTTTCCTCTTCCTGCCATTCTTCCAATTGCCTAGACTCAGAAGGAGCTTCAATTTCCCTTCTTCCTCCCATGCCCCCCAACCACAGTCATCACTTCAGCCACTTCTTGGCGGCTTACATTTTGTTTCCTGCTTGTTCCCTTTCTCATATCCTTATTGTCACTTCAATCCAGCTCGTCATTTTTTGGCCTTCTGGCTGAGAAATTCAGTTGCTCTCTGCTTACAGTTCTTTCTACGTATCACAGGCAAATCGGCCATCCAGAAATCATCGTTCCAGTCTTGTCACTTCCCTACTCAAATGTCAGCGGCTTCCTAAGATAAATTTTCAACACATTGGCCTGGAATTTAAGACCGTCTGCTCCATCTCTACTCCATCTGTGCAACCACATTTTCAACCGATCTCCACCATCCAAGCTCCAGCCAAACTTACTGTTCCCGAAATTTTCCACACTTTTCTCTAGATTTTCTTGCTTATCTGTTCATCACTTCATTTTTCAACAAATATTTATAAAGTAGCTTCTATTTCCCAGGTCATGTGCAATACCTGAAATATTCTCTCATTTCCACTTAATTAAGCCCAGCTCAAATGCCATCTTCATAAAATATTTTTTGATTGCCTTTAGCAAAAAGTCTCTCCCTCTCCTCTTAGACTTTGCAAATTCCGTCTCCTACCGGCCCCTGTTGGTCTCCCAGTCCTAAGAATGATAGATGCTTCTTATAATTGCTACTTTTATATATCTTATGTTCTCTTCTCACCATTTAAATTGCCTGATAAACAGCTTTATAACAATTATTTGTATTCAGTTTTCCATGGTCAAATATCCGGTGTGACTTCTGTATAGAAAAGATCTTAAGTAATGGTCATGAAAGTAGGAAAAGGATTAAGACCAAGTAGCATCAAGGAAACTAAGGAGGGAGTTTCAAGAATATAAGCGTCATCAAGTGTTATATGATTGGACCTTGAATAATATACACCTGTATTTTCAGCCTCTCCCTGTCTTCCACGTTTTTTCCTGTTGGTATATAATTATGTTGAAGCCCCTCCCATGCCTCATCTAAAAAGCAAAAACAAATAAAATCCCTTTGATGTTGTTGTTCCTTCTAACTATTATCCTATTGTTTTCTTTCTCTTCTTGGTCATGACTTTTCAAAAAAAGTAGCCAGCATTAGATACTTACATATTTTTAACTTCCTATTCACTCTTCAGACTATAGTGACCTGTTTTCATCCCAGCACTAAAACTATCCATATCCATTGGATGCTTCTTAGCCCTCATCTTGCTTGACATTGCTGCTGTATATAATACTCAATGACACCTCATTCTTGAAACTCTTTTCTTGGTTTCCTTGGTACTACTTGCTCTTGATCTTCCTCCTACTTTCTTTTATGACCATCATTTAAGATCTTTTCTATACAACAGGGTCTATCTATGTTGCCCAGGCTTGTCTTGAATTCCTGGCCTCAAGGAATCCTCCTGACTCAGCCTCCTGAGTAGCTGGGATTTTATAGGGATATATGCCCTATTGTGGTTTTTTTACAGAATCTTAAATGTTGAAATTTCCCAGGGATCTGTCCCTTGTTCTCTTTTCACACTATATGCTTTTCTAGGTGATCTTATTTATATTTGTGACTTCAACTATTGCACATATGTAGCTCCTCATCAGACTCCGGTACTGAACTCTAGACCCATATATCCTACTTGCTACACAGTTCCACCTGGATACCCACAGGCACTTCAGTCATCAACACTACCCACCTAAACTCATCATTTTCCCAGTATAGACATGTTTTTCCATTTATCTAGGGGTACCAACAGGTGTTCTACCCAAACAGACCACCAAGTCTGACAGGCATCCTAGACTTATTCTCCTTTTCATGCAGTTAATTATTGGATTCCCCTAAAAGTTTCTTGAATTTATTCTCACCTTCCAATTCCCATAGCCCAAGTACAGAAAGTCACTGTCCTTTACCTGAATTCATCTAACAAGCCTTCTGGCAGGTCTTCCATCCTCTAGACTCATCCTAGCTTCAATTCATCTTCTCCAAGACAATCAAAGTAATCATTCTAAGATGCAAATTTAATTTGTCTGTGTCCTTGCTGGCTCCAATAGCTCTAACACACAAATGATGAAATGCAACAAGATTCTTAAATTGACACTCAAGATCTTTCTTGTTCTGACTGACTGCTTCCTACTACAATAGCTTCTGTCATTGTTCAAAAATATAGCAAACTGCTCAGCATTCTCCAAGTACACCATGACATTTTGAGCCCTTCACTCCCCTAATCAGCCTGAAAACCACTTATTCATCTTTCAAATTTTAACTTAGTCATCATTTCCTCCAAAAAGTCTTTATTAGCTTCTTCAGACAGAGGGAAGCATTTCTCATTCGTTGCTATAGCTGTACCTTACACTTGCTCTATTTGTTATTTTCACATGATACTGTAATGTATTTGTTGACATGTATGTCTCCCCACCTAGGCTGTTTCTAAATGTTCTTCAAGTAACTAAAGCTTTTTTAATACTCACTATGAGACTGGCAATTATGAAGTGGTTAAAGTGCACAATTAAATCCACACCGTAATCCTGTGAGGTCTGAATGAAGTACAGGGTGATTAGCAGAAGGTCACTCTACTAGTAAATGGTAAAGACAGGACTTGAACTAAGGTCAGCTTGACTTTTATATCCATGTTCTGCACCAATATATCATACCAGCCCATCCTGAAATTATAGTGTTATAACAAGTTGTGATTTATTTTATTTTATTTTATTATACTTTAAGTTCTGCACAATGTGCAGGTTTGTTACATTTGTATACATGTGCCATGTTGGTGTGCTGCACCCATTAACTCGTCATTTACATTACGTATATCTCCTAATGCTATCCCTCTCCCCTCCCCCCACCCCATGACAGGCCCCAGTGTGTGATGTTCCCTTGTGATGTGTTTTTATGAAATAATTAAAACTACTGCTTTAATTCTTGTTTTATAGACTTAGTCTTTGCTGAGTATGTCAAATTTGGGCGGGAGATCATGTTTATTTTAACATATACAGTTGGATGGGTTTGGACAAGGGTTTGCAGTTGTGTAACCATCACCCCAGGGAAGTTTCAGAGACCATCTCCAT
Source organism: Homo sapiens (assembly GCF_000001405.40). Classification (NCBI taxonomy): domain Eukaryota; kingdom Metazoa; phylum Chordata; class Mammalia; order Primates; family Hominidae; genus Homo; species Homo sapiens. The sequence continues at coordinate 22,924,481 of NC_000010.11, read as the reverse complement.
CATCCCAAATTTCCCTCATGCCCCTTTGAAGTCAAATCTCTCCCTCTAACTCACTTCCCTGGGAACAACTGCTCTGCTTTCTCTCCCTATCATTTTGGCTTTTCTAGAATGTCTTATAAACAGAACCATGCAATATGCTGTATTTTGTGTCTGGCTTCTTTAATTTAGCATAGTTTAGGAGATTTGTCCATGGTGTTGCATTTATCCATAGCTTATCTCACTTTATGGCTGAGTGGTATTGCACTGCATAGATGTACAACATCCATTTACTGATTGATGGACATTCTGGTACTTTCCAGTTTGGGACTGTTATAAATAAATATGGTTAAATATACAGGGTGTTGTGTGAACGTGTTTCTCTCTTCTTGGGAAAATACCCAGGAGTGGAATTTCTGGGTCTTATGTCATGTGTATGTATAATGTTATAACAACCTGCCAAATTGCTTTCCAAAGGAACTATACTGTATTTGCATTCCCACCAGCAAAAATGAGAGATGCCATTGCTTCATGTGTTCTACAGCACTTGATGTTGTCAGTCCTTTTAATTTTAGCCATTTTAGTGGGAGTATAATGGTATCTCCCTCTGGGTTTAATTTGCATTTCCTTCATGACTAGTGATGATGATCCCATTCTATGTGATCACTAGCCATTTCTGTACCTTCTTTTGTGAAATGCCTGTTAAAATATTTTTCCTACTTTTAATTGGGTTGTTTGTGTTCTTGAGTTGTAAGAGTTCCCTGTATAGTGATGATAATCCCATTCTATGTGATCATTAGCCATTTCTGTACCTTCTTTTGTGAAATGCCTGTTCAAATATTTCTCCTACTTTTAATTGGGTTGTTTGTGTTCTTGAGTTGTAAGAGTTCCCTGTATATCCTGGATACAGGTCATTTGTCAGATATACATTTTGGACATATTTTCTGACAGTGTGTGGCTTATCATTTTGTTTCTTAAAAATATATTTTGTACACCGGAAGCTTTCAGTTTTGATGAAGTCCAATTCATTCATTGTTTCAAAGGTTAGCCTTGTTTTGTTTTATTTCATTTTGCTTTTGCCCTGCCTAAGAAATCTTTGCCTAGTCCAAAGGGAAGAAAATAGACTTCCTTTTATGTTTTGTTTTAGAAGTCTTCCAGTTTTGATTCTTATATTTGGGTCTATGATCCATGTCACATTAGTTGCTGTATATGGTATGAGATGGTTTGAGAATCACAATTTTGCATATGAATGTCCAAATGTTCTAGTACCACTTGAAGAAAACACTATTTGTGTATTGAATTACTTTGGCATCTTTGTCGAAAATAAATTTACCCTTTGTAAGTGGATCTATTACTAGGCTCTATTCTGCTTCCTTGATCGATGCATCTGTCCTCACACTAATATTACCACGTTTTGCTTATTGTAGCTTACAGTAAGCCTTTAAATCAACTAACAGGAGTTATCAAAAAGATCAAATTTGTTATTTTTCAAATTGTTTTGGCCATTGTATGTCCTTTGCATTTTCCTACACATTTTAAAATTAGCTTGTCAATTTTCATCAGAAAATCTGCTGGAATTTTGGTAAGAATTACATTTAATCTATAGATAAATTCAGGAAGAATTGACAGCTTAATACTGAGTTTTCTAAATTATTAACATAGTATAGCTCCTTATTTATTTTAAAATTTATTTCTTCATGTGCAGGTCTCACACTTACATTTTTAAAAGCTTGCATCTGAGTATTTTTGTAAGTTCTTATGCTATTGTAAAGAGTATTTTTTAAATTTCAATTTTGGAATGGTTATTTCTAGTATAACAAATACATTTGATTTTTATATTGATCTTTTCTACTGTGATCTTGTTGAGCTCACTTATTCTAGTAAATTTTTTGTAGATTCATTAGGATTTTTTATGTAGACGATCATGTTATCTACCAGTAAAGACATTTTTGCTTCCAATCTGGCTATCTTTCTTTTTGAAACAAAAGTTGTCTTGCCCTGTTGCTCAAGGTAAAATCTTTAACACAATTTTGAATAAAGTGGTAAAAGAACATCTTGCCTCATGCCAAATCTTAGGGAGAAAGCATTCAGCCTTTACCATGAAATATAAGCTTTTAAAAAGTGCCCTTAATCAAGTCAGGAAAGTTTCCTTCCTCTCCTTGTTTGCTGGTGAATTACTGTAGTGAATTAAGCCGAAATCTGTCAAATGTGTTTGCTAACATCTACTTTAATAATTGTATGGTTTTTCCTCTCTGGTCTGTTAACATGCTGATATTACACAGAATTATTTTCAAATGTTGAACCAACCTTGCATTACTGGATAAAGTCCCACTTGGATATTATGCATTACCATTTTACACAAAACTGGATTTGATTTGGTAATATTCAGTTAAAGATCTTTGCATCTATACTCATGAGGGACTTTGGTTTGTAGCTTTCTTTTCTCATAATGTCTTTGATCTTGGTTTCATGATAATGCTGGCCTCAGAAAATAATTTGGGAGGTATTTCCTCTTCTTCAATTCTCTGGAATTCTTTATGTAGAATTGGTAAGTTTTCTCCCTTTAATGTTTGGTAGAATATATCAGTGAAGCTATCTTCTTTTTTTCTGTGGGAAGGTTTTTAATTATGAATTTTATTTTTAGTAGATACACAGCTATTGAGATTATCTATTTCTTCTTCAGTGAGCTTTGGTAGTGCATGTAATTAGATGAATTTGTCCAGTGTAGGTAAGTTGTCAAATTTATTGGTATGAATTTGTTAATAGTATTTCCCTGAGTTATTCTTTTAATATCTGTATTATCTATAGTGATGTCCCACTTTCATTTGTGATATTACTAATTTGTAAATGGATTCAATCACTTCTCAAAAGAAGATATTTATGCAGCCAACAGACACATGAAAAAATGCTCATCATCACTGGTCATCAGAGAAATGCAAATGAAAACCACAATGAGATACCATCTCACGCCAGTTAGAATGGGGATCATTAAAAAGTCAGGAAACAACAGGTGCTGGAGAGGATGTGGAGAAATAGGAATGCTTTTACACTGTTGGTGGGAGTGTAAATTAGTTCAACCATTGTGGAAGACAGTGTGGTGATTCCTCAAGGATCTAGAACTAGAAATACCATTTGACCCAGCCATCCCATTACTGGGTATATACCCAAAGGATTATAAATCATGCTACTATAAAGTCACATGCACACATATGTTTATTGCAGCACGATTCACAATAGCAGACTTGGAACCAACCCAAATGCTCATCAATGATAGACTGGATTAAGAAAATGTAGCACATATACACCATGGAACACTATGCAGCCATAAAAAAGAATGAGTTCATGTCCTTTGCAGGGCCATGGATGAAGCTGGAAACCATCATTCTCAGCAAACTATCACAAGGACAGAAAACCAAACACCGCGTGTTCTCATTCATAGGTGGGAGTTGAACAGTGAGAACACATGGACACAGGGAGGGGAACATCACACACCAGGGCCTGTCGGGGGGTTGAGGGGCTGGGGGAGGGATAGCATTAGGAGAAATACCTAATGTAAATGGCGAGTTGATGGGTGCAGCAAACCAACATGGCACATGTATACCTATGTAACAAACTTGCTCATTGTGCACGTGTACCCTAGAACTTAAGTATAATTAAAAAAATAGATTCAAAATTATATATCCATATAACAACCTGCAAATGAAAGTTTATAGCAGCTTTATTTATTATCACTAAAAACTAGAAGCAACCAAGGGGGTTTGAATAAACAAACTGGTGTATTCTTACAATTGAATGCTATTCCTCAGTAAAAGAAATGAGCTATTAATTTACATAATAAAATTGATGAAAACAGACTAGTGGTTGCTAGAGTTTTATAGTAGGATGAGTATTTGACTAGGGGAAGCACAGGGAAATGGAATTTTTAAAATGGCAAAGTTGTAGGGATGAAAACAGACTAGTGGTTGCTAGAGTTTTATAGCAGGGAAAGTATTTGACTAGGGGAAGCACAGGGAAACAGGGAATTTTTAGGGTGATGGAACTAATATGATCTTATAGTTGTAGATACATGAGGCTATACTTTTGTCAAAACCCATAGTACTTTACAGCATAAGAAGTGAACCTAAATGCATGCAAATTAAAAAAATTTATTCAGGGGATTGGAAGAGCCTACGATGGAAAACAGACCGTGATAAAAGAGCTTAACTGTGTTACAAATGTGTGACATAACCTCACTGAAGCAGGCAGGGAAAATGAACTGATCTAATTAACTTTGGGAAACCATGTTTTGACTGGAAACTCTAAGACTAAAAACAAATGGAACAGTAAATAAATAGTGTATTCTACCAGGAAAAGTTGTTTCTCATAGAGTTTATGAAGGTTAATAATTCTGCAGTGATTGTACATTTATTTTGGAGGTTGAGCAAATAAATGTTAAGCGGTGGGAGCCATGTTTCCTACTATTGTAAAGAAAAGTTATGGATAAACAAGGCAGAGGACTAGAACAAACTAGGATTGGATCAGAATCAGTGCAAACTCATATTTAGCCTAATATATGCACAGATGAATAGATACAGAAATAATCATAAATGTGTTTCTATGGGTCAGTATACATTCATATATTCCCTAACTCTGTCTACCAAGAGGACCTAAAGGCAGTGACATTCCAGTAATAAGTACCTCTAGCACCCAGGTCTTTGTTTCTAATACCATTCTCCAATAAAGGAAACCGGGGCTCCTTGGAGAAATAATTTATTCTAAGTCTTGGGCAGGATATACACAAGATTAATCTGGAGCATCTTGTATTACCAGAATGTAAGGAAGTGCTCAGAAAACAAAAAATGAGGGTATGTTAGAAGGACAAAGGAGTCAACCTGAAGGAGCTTTTAGAGGTCAAAGCTAGAAGCATTTGAGCACCCAAATAAATAGCATAGTACTGACTGTAACACAAAGTATTAAATAAATACCCATCAGTCCATATTGATTTAAATAAATAATTGAAAAAATAGATGGGGATGAGGAAACAAATAGAAGACTTCCAAATGTTTTATGTAGATAATCCTCCTTCTCAGAGGTATAGCTTAACTCTTTCCATATCCCCACTCTTGAGTGTAAGCTGCTCTTTGTGACTTGCTTCCAGAGAGTAGATTATGGAAAGGAGAGAGGGACACTAACTTTAGAGTGGAGAACCTGGGAAACACTGCCTCATCCAGGTGGTCAAGGTTAACATTATTCCATGATAAGTCATGTTTGCAGAACGTAGTTTGGTAAAATTTTATGGTGGCTGGGCATGGTGGCTCATGCCTATAATCCCAGCACTTTGGGAGGCCAAGGTGGGAGGATCGCTTGAGTTCAGGACTTCAAGACCAGTCTGGGCAACATAGTGAGACTCCATCTCTACTAAAGACAAAAAGTTAGCCAAGAGCGGTGGCATGCACCTGTAGTCCCTGCTACTAGGGAGTCTGAGGTGGGTGGATCACTTGAGCCCAGGAGGTTGAAGCTGCAGTAAGCTGTGATTGTGCTGCTGGACTCTAGCCTGGATGACAGATCAAGACCCTGTCTCAATAATAAATAGTAATAATAATAAAGAAACAAAGATGTGATGAGAACAGCACTTCACCTTTGCATGCTTCCTTCCGAAACCCATGACCCCAGTCTAACCATGGAAAAACATCAGAAAAACCCAAATTAAGAAACATTTTGAAAAGCAGAAAAAAGACATTAGGGGGAAACTAGTAAAATCTGAACAAACTATGGAGTTTAGTTAACAGTCATGTTGCAATGTTGGTTCTTTTGTTGTCGCAAACGTGTCATGGTAATATAAAATGCAAACAACAGTGGGAACTGGGTGAGGCGCATATGGAGACTCTCCATACTATATTTACAATTTTCTGTAAATCTAAAACTATTCTAAATTTAAAACTTTGTTGTAAAAAACATACAGCAATTTCAGCCTGCTCTTTGTTAAATCTTGCTATCTATTCATTAAAGAAACCAGGTAACTTATTTGTCCTTTTGTTCGTGATTGTTTTCCGTAATGTGATTTAACATGGTGGTCTGTAGGCTGTTTTATTCTATAAATGGGTGTTTATATCCAGAGAGTGATACATTCAGGAGCAATTTTTGACAGTAACCCATCACAGGCGATGCTATATATTTCCTATTGTGTCACATCAGAAAACATAAAATTTCTGGATATCTCCCGTTTGATGACTTAATGAGTGGGTTCAGGTGTTATTAGCCTGATATCTCCTCTATAACATTCCATTCAGCTTTCTTTTTTTATCTATTAGTTTGAGTAGCCATTGAGCATAATTTTCTGGGTCCATGATTTCATTAGATGTTTGCAGAATGTTGATCTTCTATGTCCTCCATTACTTCTGAATTTATTAGTTATAGTTCTAAGATCTTTTCTCATCAACTATCTGATTAACAGGAAATACAGTTCATATAGGAAAGGCAGGATAAATGTTCTATTCTTTCGTTGTTTTTACCAGTTTTTGGGGGGTAATGCATTGTTACCTAGAACTTCCAAAGGTAATTAATGAGTTTTGGTTCTTTGTTTATTAGCAATATAAACACATGGGTTTCTAACAGATATATTAAAATCAATCATAGTCACTATTATTTTTGATAAATTGTCCTATATTGGTCAGTGGGAGCCCTTTTTTAAAATTTTCGTTTATTTGTTTGTTTGTTTTAGAGACAAGGTCTGGCTCCGTCATCCAAGCTGGAATATAGCAGTGCGATCATAACTCACTGCAACCTCAAATTCCTGGGCTCAAGTGATTCTCCCACCTCAGCCTCCTTAGTAGCTAGGATTATAGGCACACAGCTAATTAAAAAAAAAAATTGTGAAAACAAGGTCTCACCATGTTTCCCAGGCTGGTCTCAAACTTCTGACCTCAAGCAATTTTCCTGCCTCTGCCTCCCAGAGTATTGGGATTACAGGTGTGAACAACTGCACCCAGCCTGAGAGCCCCTTTAATTTTCAGTGTCCTTTTGATATGACTCCAGTAGCCTTTTATAGCTTCCCTGTTGTTTAGTATGAAACACGTTTCCAGCTCATCTTACATATTTTATGTCCCCAAACTGGAATCCAAAGAACCTAGGTTCATTATACTGGAAAATGGCATTTAGAGACCATAATCTAGACACTAGGTTGCTCATTGCTGCTGGGTCAATCATTGCTTCTAGGCCGTTTCAGAAGCCTGGTGAAGCCATGCATTCAGCACACATTGTAAACCAGAAATCCAGAGGTCCAGACTGTGGATATGAGAGGTAAGATAATCAGTGTGTGACAGTCATAGAAACTCTCTTGTCCTGTAGCCATGGCTTCTACTAGGCATTTAAATCTCTAAACCTATCTTTTTTTGTCTCAGATCTAACAGGTATACCAGAAGTAATCTGCCCATCCCATGTCCCTTGTAGTTCTTCTGTTTACCACATTGTGCTATGGCAGTAGCCACTGGGTCTGTCAAAATTGTGTCCAATATGTCCTGGGCAACAAAACCAGACCCAATCTCTACAAAAAAGTTAGCCAGCTGTGGTGGCACATGCCTGTGGTCCCAGCTACTTGGGAAGCTGAGGTGGGAGGATGCCTTGAGCTGAGGAGTTGGAGGCTGCACTGAGCTACAATCACGTCACTGCATTCCAGCCTGAGTGACAGAGTGAGACCCTGTCTCTTAAAAAAAGCCAAAAATGTGTCCAATGGGTACTTCTTTCCAGAAAACCACAGATGACTTCCAATTTTTAAAGACATTCTCTCAAATTAAGCAGATTCTTACTGTTTTCAAATTCAAGCAGGTCAAATGACCAGTCCTGGATTTCTATCTTTGATCTTCTAAGGTCAAAAACCACTCTGGTTCGAAGTATTATATCATTCTGTTGCAGAAAACAAAATCAATTCTAACTAGCAGGGAATTTAACATGTAGTGTGGTTGCAAGGGCTGGAGGAACAGTTTCTAGGCTCAGCTTGAGAGATGAATTTCTTTTTTTTTTTTTTTTTTTTTTTTGAGACGGAGTCTCGCTCTGTTGCCAGGCTGGAGTGCAGTGGCGCGATCTGGGTTCACTGCAACCTCCGCCTCCCAGGTTCAAGCGATTCTCCTGCCTCAGCCTCCCGAGTAGCTGGGACTACAGGCACATGCCACCACGCCTGGCTCGTTTTTTGTATTTTTAGTGGAGATTGGGTTTCACCATGTTGGCCAGGATGGTCTCAAACTCCACACCTCATGATCCGCCCACCTCAGCCTCCCAAAGTGCTGGGATTACAGGCATGAGCCACCGCACTTGGCCAGAGAGAAGAATTTCAAAATAATATTGCAGAAATGGTCAACCAAGAAAGCCAAGAGATCAGGAAGCTTAAGTCACTTTCAAGCAGAATAATGAGGATAATCTTGGTTTGGCATTTAAGTTCACTAATTTTTCTCTTCCTCACCCTAATTAGGCTAATTTTTTTTTTTTTTGTCTTGGAAAAGTTATCAAGTGAAACAATAGTGCCTAGCAAATCAGGCCAGCTCCACCCCACAAAATTTATATCTCAAAGAGAAAAAGCTTTGAACTTCTTAAAGCATGTGCAAGTTCAAAATAAGAAACAAAATTCTCTTGTGAAATCAGATTCAACAGTATTACATTAAGTTCAATTTCATAGCTAAAGCCAAGTTCCATGTGTAATTGCAGAATCATTCAATTTAACAGCCTATGTGAAAATTTGAGAACAGCAAGGCAAAGTCATAGAAAAGATGTCACTTTTATATAGTACCATTAGTAGATGCATTTATGATGTGAGGTGACACAGAGGAAGCACTACTCTAGAAAATATTTAAATCAAACAAAGACTGATGACTCTATGGACATTTCTAGTAACGTGCAGTTAATAAATCTAGTTAAGACTGCCTAAAGAGAAATGCTTGGAAAAAAACATTATCTGTCTTACAAAGAGTTACCAAAACAAAGTTCTTGAAATAAGATACTTAAAGTACTATATGAATATGTCAGAAGAAATAAAATACACTAGAAACACTGTTTAAATGGGTGTGATACTGCTTTCATAGTAGTTAGCGGCTTTACATAAAAAGTTCATTTCAAATACTATGAGTAAAAGAATCCATCATTTTAATTACACATAAATGTTAGTGTAAAACTTTTTCCATGCATCTATAGTCCACATTAAATGATATTCTCAAGATAGCGAATCCAAGCCACTGTAGTCATATCTGTTTTCAGCTCTATGCAAAGAATTAAGATCAAAAAAACACTCTTTCCTGGTTCATAGCACAGAGTATAACCAATGAAATTTTTTGTTAAGAATAGCTGAGCTCAAATAACAATTAAAATTTATGTGAGTATAAATTATTCTTACTTTACAGAGTCGAAGATTAGTTGTAAGCTTAAAAAAATGTGTTAACTAACATTTTCAAGCATTTTAATACACATGATCCAAGTTTGGAAGGACCACAAGAAATACAGTAATGTGCACTGTCAATATCCATGGACTTAAGAAATCACTACTGATGTTTTAGTAAGTGTTGGACTTTGTGTGCTAAAGAGTTAGAAAGACCAGTAAAGCTGTATCTATTTTTGCTGGAAGAAGCACTTTATTAAAATTTTGAAATAATAAGAAAACATTTTAAAAGATTCAAAACCATTTGTTATCACAAACTATTTCAATGTTGCATTTGTCAAAGAAAGGAGTTGTGTTTAAAAGTGATAAGCCTATGAAATATGATTTTAAAAGGTCAGAGAAGAAATGATCTGATAAGAGCAAGAAAGCAGTTTTAATTCATTAAAGACAAAGCAAGAATATGCTACTTTTTACATCTACTTGTGTAGTCTCTGACAAAATCACCTTAGTAAAAAAAGTGAATATTCTTTGTTATATATTTATGATAAAGAAAATGAAATAAAAATTACTGTGGATATATTAAATACTGATTTCATAATATAAATAGCTTCACATCTTTAAATGAGATCATTGGCTTTGCCCCTGCAAGTATTTTACACACACACACACACACACCCCCACACACAATATCTCATTTACAACTTGAACCTGTAGCATGTAATTTATTTTCTTTTATTTTTTTGTTTTCAGAGACAGGGTCTTGCTCTGTTGCCCAGGCTGGAGTGAGCAAGGTGACTATCAAGAATATGTAAGATTTTGTTGAGAAATTACTGTATCCATAGTCCTAGCTACTTGGGAGGCTGAGGCAGGAGGTTCACTTGAGCCCAGGTGTTTGAGGCTGCAGTGCGCTGTGATAGTGCCACTGCACTCTAACCTATTGACTTCCCCAAATCTCTCCCAGTTTGACTGGAAGGCTCAGTGTGACTTACAAATATTGTCATTTTCTGTAAGTATCTTGGTGTGAAAAAGTTTGAGAGGCACTCATCTAAAGCCTTACCGACCACCATTAAGTTCCTGGCTGGATCTACAGAATTTTGTTCCCAACAGTCCTAGTCTAGTAAGTTGGCATTATCCATACATGCAGAGATCATAAAATGTGTCTTTTATGTAATTTTTAATGAAACTTGGTCTTACCTTCCCTAAATCAGCCAATTTTCTTTCCTGATATTGAAGTATTTGAGCAGGAAGTTAACTATGTTAATTCGTGTTAATTTCGCAATGTTATAGTTGTAGGTGAACGTAAACTAGGACTAGAAGAGGTAAGAAATCATGATGGATTTTCCCACCCCACCCCAGAAAACACTCTTGCTGCATCTAAGTTATTATGGACCTTCAGACTCAGCATCTTTCTCCCCTAGATTGTGTCATAGTCAACATATCTATTTCCATGCCTAGATGACGTTTTATCTCCCATGCGCTACCCACAAGTCCTTTGGTGCTGTTAGTGTCAGAAACTAATTAAACCACATGATAGTATCAGCTCTCCCATTTTTAGCAACCCGAGAGTCTTAGCACAAAAAAACTTCATTTGACTCAGTAGATATGTTCTAGAAAATAGATTTTTTAAAAAAAGAATTTTTGAAATCTAATTATACTTTGAGAACAGTAAGAGAGTTTACTATTTAGAGAAATCTGAGAATGAATTACTTCACAGACAAAAAGCAAAGAACCTTTACTAGGGACTGAAAGTTAGTGTCCCCCCAAAATTTATATGTAGAATCCTTAATCCCCAATGCGATGGTATTTAGAGGTGGGGCCTTTGGGAGATAATTAGGATTATATTAGGTCACTAGAGTAAGGCCCTCATAATGTGATTACTGCCCTTAAGAGGAAAAAACATGAGCTCTGTCTCTGCAACATGAGGATACATGAAGAAGGCAGCTGTGTGCAAACCAGGAAGAGAACCGTCACCAGATATTGAATCTGCTCACACCTCGATCTTGCACTTCTCAGCCTCCAAAACTGTGAGAAATAAATGTGTGTTGTTTAATGCACTTGTATTTGTTATAGCAACCTGAACTAAGATAACTCTTCAGTAAAGAAAGCAATTATCTATTGTTTATCTACTTTTGAAATCTAAATTTGCCTCAAGTGAAAGGGTACATCTGTACAATACTAGGTAGATGATCACAATATGTTCCTTTTAATGCAGTCTTTGAATTCATTTCCATCCAAATTGAATTAGTCATATGGTTTATTGTTGTAAATCAACTGAAATTAGTCGAAGATAAATAATAAAAATGTAAAGACTTCTGTTTTCTTTAACATTCAGTTCAGTGTTACCTATGTAAGGAAAGCTATAAACAGTGTGGTAACCTTTCACCGTTTCTAGAGCTTAAGCATACATATGCCAATATGTACCATAAATAGTTGCTATTTCTCTCAACAGTAGATTGCCACAAGGCAGTTTCTTCCACCACACTGTGTTATTTAAAAGTTATCTGCTTTGTTGGCTGCCGTTCAAGGGCGCTCTTTGCCTGTAAATCCTCTTTACCTCATGCTATGGGGGAAGCGAAATCTTGGCACAATTTCAGAGTGTTTGTATTCTTGTACCGAGGAGAAAAAAAAAAAATTAATGGCTCCAAAGACTGACACTGCTCTGCAAATGGTCATGAAACAGTGGGAAGTCCTGTTGGCTATTCAGAAGGGTAACACTACCAAGTGCCCACAGCGAAAAATAAGATCCCCTCAGACGAGAGGCAGCCACTCTATAAAAAAGATCATTTAAAAGCCTGAATGATAGAGTTTCAAAGTAAATAAGGCTCATTGTGTACTTGACTCCGGGCCTTTAAAATCAGCTTAACTTAGTGGACGAGGTCCTTAAGTAGCAATCATTTACTTCTTAGACAAGTTTTTACATTCTTTTGACTCTGAACTTGGTTTCTGTAATTTGCATTGTGGAGATAGCAGCTTGTTTGCTAGTGGTTGTGAAGTTTAAGATAAAATAGGGTACATTTCGCTTAGAAAAAGAGTAAAAACAGATGTCTGAGACAACCTACCCCTTTGAGATAACATCTTCTGTGAGGGATGCTCCAAAATGGCTTATTCCAGTGGTGGAAGAAATTCTTCTACCTGGAATGTGTAATTCATACTGGTGGATAAACAGTAGGTACTCCTGTCAGAGCAACGTCTAGGTAAAAAGTGGTTCCCCTAGGTTGGCTTCTGACATTTAGTTTGTCTTAAAAAACAAACAAACAAAAACCAGAGTAACTGTGCTGGTTTAAGAAAGGATCCCCTGAACTGAGAAGAACTAGGTTAATCTAAAACCCAGTTCCAAATCACCAGAATAAACTATACTGAATAGAATGTGGTTGAGAGGCTCCCCCAAGAAGGCCAGTGTGTTGAAAGTAGAGGGAATGGATCAAAGAGCTCTTCTTTTTGCCTGTTGTGAGCTGTAAGGTAATCCTACAGCATGTGGAACTACTGAGGCCAGGATCCTGGGTCTGATCTCTCTAGGGTTTTCTGGCCAAACTGGGCCAGAGATTTTGGCTTGATCAAGATGATACAAGATTACTGCTAGAAAAGGAAGTCTGGGCTTGAGTCTTTCCAGTAACATGTGGTGACTACCACCCTGATTAGAGAGGATCCTATGGCCTGCATTTAGAAGGCTCTTCATGTTTGAAGGCCCAGCCCAGTCTGCTTGCATCTGGTTCCAAGGCAGCATTATTTTGGGCATAGTAAGTTTTGTTTCCACAAATTATTAGAGTTTGTGGTCTAAAATTGTGCAGAATTGTCCCCACCCAAATCTCATGTTGAAATGTAATCCCCAATGCTGGAGGTGGGGCTTGGTGGGAGGTAATTGGATCATGGGGGCAGTTTCTCATGAATGGTTTAACACCATCCCCCCTTTGGTGCTGTTGTCACGATAGTGAGTTCTCATGAGATCTTGTTGTTTAAAAGTATGTGGCACCTTCCTACTCTCTCTCTCTCTTACTCCTGCTCCAGCCATGTAAGATGTGCCTGTTTCCCCTTCACCTTCTGCCATGATTGTAAGTTTCCTGAGGCCTCTCCAGCAGCAGAAGCTGCTATGCTTCCTGTACAGCCTGCAGAACTGTGAGCCAATTAACCCTCTTTCTTTACAAATTACCCAATCTGAGGTATTTCTTTATAACAATGTGAGAATGGACCAATACATTTTCATTTCAAAATTGTTATATTTTCCATCACTCATTTCAAGATTTTAAATCATATGCAAATACTTAACACTTACAATTAACAAAAGTTTAACTCAAATACTTGTACAATAGAAAAAATAAGTAAAGGATGATGCATGATGATCAACTATAGAATCTTTTGAAATAAGTGGAAGGGAAAGAATCCCACTTTTTTTATTATAGCACATAGATATATCTAACAATGAAAAGTTTTAATTATTAAGTATTTAAAGTTTTAATTTTTAGTTTCAAGTAGAGTATAACCTGTGATATTAACAATTGAAATTATGTAAGGTGATGAAAATTATGACTCTCCAGAGATTAGTCGCCAAGTCAAAGGGTTAAAATTGTTTTAATTTTTAATAGACCTCAAACTTCAAGTCATCTTGAAGGAGTTAATAATTTTTTGAACAGTTGATTGCAGGCATGGCGGATTTATTTTAAATATGACTCCTGTAAGAATTAAAAAAAGAGGAATAAAATATTCTGCAATGTTTATTTAATGAAAGACTGAGACCAACTTCACACAAAGACTAAGTAACAAAACAAACTATTAAACAGAAATAATTTTCTTCATCACATTAATCTAAGCTTTTCATCATGAAGCTGATATATTGAAATAAAGAAAAAGTCCAAAAAGAAAAAAATACCAAAATAAAGATATTTCATTTTCTGTTACTCAAAATAGGGTGAGATTTTTACTTCACCTTTAATCTCTACCTTTTGTAAACACATTTCTACCTGTGCCGAAAGGAAAATGTAGTTCTACATATATTCCACTTCTTACATAATTTTTTTCATTGCAGTCACAGCATGACTACATGGTCCTTATACATGAGACCTTGTACATACAATACTGAGCTACTGGTTGATATGATTTGACTGTATCCCCACCCAAATCTCATCTTGAATTGTAGCTCCCATAATTTCCACATGTTGTGGGATGGACCTGGTGGGAGATAATTGAATCATGGGGGGTGGTTTCCCCCATACTGTTCTTGTGGTAGTGAGTAAGTCTCATGGGATCTGATGGTTTTATAAGGGGAAACCCCTTTCCCTTGGCTCTCATTCTGTCTTGACTGCCACCATGTAAGACATACCTTTGATCCTCCTTCGTCTTCTGCCATGATTATGAGGCCTCTCCAGCCATGTGGAACTGTGAGTCAATTAAACCTCTTTCTTTTATAAACTACCCAGTCTCAGGTATGTCTTTATTAGCAGCATGATTTCAGACTAATACAGTAAATTGGTACCAGTGGAGTGGGGTGCTGTTGTGAGGATACCTGAAAATGTGGAAGTGACTTTGGAACTGGGTAACAGGCAGGGGTTGGAACAATTTGGAGGGCTCAGAAGAAGACAGGAAAATGTGGGAAACTTTGGAACTTCCTAGAGACTTATTGAATGGTTTTGACCAAAATGTTGATCATGATATGGACAATGAAATCCAGGCTGAGGTGGTCTCAGATGGAGATGAGGAACTTACTGGGAACTGGAGTAAAGGTGGCTTTTGCTATGTTTTAGCAAAGAGTCTGGCAGCATTTTGTCCCGCTGTAGAGATTTGTGGAACTTTGAAATTGAAGGATATGATTTAGGGTATCTGGCAAAAGAGATTTCTAAGCAGAAAAGCATTCAAGAAGTGACTTGGGTGTGCTGTTAAAAGCATTCAGTTTTAAAAGGGAAACAGAGCATAAAAGTTCAGAAAATTTGCAACCTGACTATGCAATAGAAAAGAAAAACCCATTTCCTGAGAAGAAATTCATACTTGCTGCAGAAATTTGCATAAGTAACAAGGAGCCAAATGTTAATCACCAGGACAATGGGGAAAATGTCTCCAGAGCATGTCAGAGACCTTCATGGCAGCCTCTCCCATCACAGGCCCAGAGGCCCAAGAGGAAAAAATGGTTTCATGGGCTGGGTCCAGGGTCCGCCTGCTGCATGCAGCCTAGGGACCTGGTGCCCTGCATTCCAACTGCTCCAGCCATGGCTAAAAGTGGCCAATGTACACTTTGGGCCATGGATTCAGAGTGTGCAAGCCCCAAGCCTTGGCAGCTTCCATGTGGTATGTATTGAGCCTGATGGTGCACAGAAGTCAAGAATTGAGATTTGAGAACCTCCATCTAGATTTCAGAGGATGTATGGAAACACCTGGATATCTAGGCAGAGGTGTGCTGCAGGGGCAGAGCCCTCATGGAGAACCTCTGCTAGGGCAGTGCAGAAGGGAAATGTGAGGTCAGATCCCCCCCCCAACAGAGTCCCCACTGGGGCACTGCCTAGTGGAGCTTTGAGAAGAGAGCCACCATCCTCCAGACTCCAGAATGGTAGATCCACCATCCTCCAGACTCCAGAATGGTAGATCCACCAGCAGTTTACACCATTCACCTGGAAAAGCCACAGACACAATGCTAGCCCATGAAAGCAGCCAGGAAAGGGGCTGTACCCTGCAAAGTCACAGCGGTGGAGCTACCCAAGGCCTTGGGAACCCACCTGTTGCATCAGTGTGACCCGGATGTGAGACAAGGAGTCAAAGGAGATGATTTTGGAGCTTTAATATTTGACTGCCCCACTGGATTTTGAACTTATGGGGGTTGGAACCCCTTTGTTTTGGCCAATTTCTCCCATATAGAACAGCTGTATTTACCCAGTGCCTGTACCCCCAATGTATCTAGGAAGTAACTAGCTTGCTTTTGATTTTACATGCTCATAGGTGGAGGGGACTTGCCTTGTCTCAGATGAGATTTTGGACTGTGGACTTTTTAGTTAATGCTGAAATGAGTTAAGACTTTGGGGGACTGTTGGGAAGGCATGATTGGTTTTGAAACATGGGAGAGGCAAGGGGTAGAATGATATGGTTTGGCTGTGTCCCCACCCAAATCTCATCTTGAATTGTAGCTCCCATAATTCCCATGTGTTGTGGAAGGGACCCAGTGGGAGATAATTGAATCATGGGGTCATTTTCCCCCATACTGCTCTTGTGGTAGTGAATAAGTGTCACAAGATCTGATAGTTTTATAAGGGGAACCCTTTTTGCTTGGCTCTCATGCTCTCTTGCCTGCCACCATGTGAGACATGCCTTTGCTCCTCCTTTGCCTTCCACCATGATTATGAGGCCTCCCTAGCCATGTGGAACTGTGGGTCCATTAAACCTCTTTCCTTTATGAATTACCCAGTCTGGCATATGTCTTTATTAGCAGCATGAGAACAGACTAATACACTAGTCCTGCTCTTTAACATTCAAATTCTAACAGTCATTAAACAACACTTGTGATTTTTTTTCTTTGAGTCCATTAATGTTGATTGTACACATCATTTTTCATGTGGGCCTTGCAATTTTGGATGTTCATTACATTGCTGAGCATTTTTTCTTTTTCTGAGTCTCACTATTTCACCAGATTGGTCTAGAACTCCTGCACTCAAAGGATCCTCCCAGCTCAGCCTCCCATACACATCTTTGAACATTTTAGTGAACATAATGCAACTCAAAAAGTATTATTCTAATGTTGGCATTACTAATTGCATCACTTGGAAATTTGAATAGAATGTATAATTTATACTTATGCAAATTACTGTGTTAAAAAGGATTAGTTATTGTGAAAAGAAATATTTGTAATTTCTATACACTAACTACAAAATCTTGAATTGTAATTTACTCATCAAAATGGACAATAAGCAGATGACACTAGAAATTCCATCATCCACTAGTCCTGAATACAGCAACTTAGAATGTAAAGGGTCTAAGATGGTCCTCCATGCAAGACAAAACTCACCTTAAGAGCTAAAGTCAAGCTGTTATGTATTACTTTGGCCTTAAAACCAAGGCCACTAGATTCCATTTCCATGGCAATTTACCCTATGACCCAAGCAAAGCATCCAGTGTTTTGGAGATATGTAAGTGGTAGAAATATGTAATTAAGCATGAATGTAGATTTGCCAATATTGTAACTATTAGGAAAATTATATGATGGTTAAAACTACTTATAAAGCATTGTTGTGCTATACCAGCAATATTAGTAGAGAAGCCAAGATTCTTTAAAATAATATTCGTATTCTATAATTTATAGAGATTTCCATGCTTTAAGGTAGAAGAATGGAATTTTGAAGATTTTATATAAACATATGAAAATACTAAGTAATTTATAAACATATTTTTCTTGACAAATAAAAAGTGACGAAGTGAAAGTTTAAATGATCAAGTGAAAATAGAGTCCACTGACTGACTTCGATTATTAGAACTGTTTGAATAAATACTGAAAATACAGTTGCTGACCCTGTGTTTGGGAGGTTATTGTTGTTGTTTGCTTTTTTCTCCCATTTTTTTTTGAGACAGGGTCTTGCTGTGTCACACAGGTTGGAGTGCAGTGGCACAACCACAGCTCACTGCAGCCTCAGCCTCCCAGGTTCAAGTGATCCCCTCACCTCAGCCTCCTGAGTAGCTGGGACCACAGGCAAATCCCACTACACTTAGCTATTTTTTAAAAAAATTTTCTTGTAGAGGTGGGGTCTCACTATATTGCCCAACATGGTCTTGAACTTCTGAGCTCAAGCAATCCTCCTGCCTCAACCTGCCAAACTACTGGGATTATAGGCATGAGCCACCATGACTGGCCAACGCTGTTTAAGTAAAAGATATATCATTTTCAGATAAAATGACTCACTATAGAACCAAGATACAAGGGATCATGAGAATAATGCCTAAAATGCACAAATTAAAAATTGTCTGAGTATTTCATATGTCCCTGTTTCCATAGTTTATTGGTATGTAATTCAAGACAGATTATTTACTTGCCTCTTCATTTATTCTAGAAGCCTGATACTACTGAATCATAGGAAATAGCTGAAGTCAAGGAAATAACTGAAAAACCTCAGAGAGAAAAAGCAATGAAAGGCCATCATATTTTTTCAGAAATTCTTTTCTCTTTTCATTCATAAACATCTTTATTTATATAAATTAGAGAACCAGTGGTTCTCTTTGTTGGGAACCTGAATCTTTCATTTGGAGAATTTCATCAACTTATTTTCTGCTATTTATATTTTGAATGCTGTGTTTGTTTCTGTTTTTATTATTTTAAAGAAGACTGCAGTTGCATCTCTTACTCTTTTTTTTTTTTAACAAGAGTTAGATTTACTTATTTAATAAGTTGAGCCCACCATTTTTTAAAGAGAGAATTAATCATGCGTTGTTTCAGTAGATACAAAACTGATATTAAAGCCATTACTTCTATTTTAAAACCTTATTCAATGTAACTCTTGGGTATCCCTAGAGAAATCACATGCAGAAAGGTACTGTTTTAAATATGAGAAGTTTACTGTTTTTGAAACTCTAATTCAGGCAAAGATCAACATTTCAACCCCAGCAGTTAGGGAGTAGAGAACCTCCACATGGGAAATAAGTTTTCTTTGTAGAAACACAAATATTTATTCAGATTGTCCTGTTTGTTTACTCTCCATTTGCCTTAGAAGAAATAGAAGAAATAGAAATATAGAGGGACTGGAATGCCCTTCACCTCAGGAAGTTGAATGCTAACATTTCCTTACCCTTGGAGAATGGGAAATTTGTTTTTTGGGGACTAATGACTCAGGATCCAGGCTTAATGGAACTTCAGTGTCCTCTGTGAAAAAAATAAAGAGGGCAGATTGGGTTTAAAGAAAAAAGCAAAGCGCCTCTGAAAAATACAAGGTTGGTCAGGGGCTTCTCACAAACTGGAAGGGGTCTCTTCTCACTAATGTCCTTTGTTTTTGGTCCAAGATTCCATATTGCACTTAGTTGCCAAATTCCCTGAGTCTCCTTCAGTATGAAACAGTTACCCAGTCTTTTTTTTTTTTTTCCCTTGGTCTTTCATGACCTTGACACTTATGAAGAGCATTGACCAGTTATTTTGTAGAATGCTTCTCAGTTTGGGTTTGTCAACAGTTGCTGACGATTAGATTGAGACTGTGTATTTTTGGCAAGAATCCCACAGAAGGGATGAGGTGCCCTTCTCAGCACATCATATCAGGAGGCACATGGTGTCAGTTTCTTTCCATGGATAGTGTGCATTTTGACCACTTGTTAAGGTTGTATCTATGGTGGTGTCTCCACTATAAAGTTACTCTTTTTCCCTTTGGAATTAGTGAGTACCTGTTGAGAGATACTTTGAATCTGTGCAATATCCTACCTGTTTCTTATCACAAGTTTACCCTTAATTTTAGCACCCAACAGTGATTCTTGCCTAAAATTATTAGTATCTTGTTTGCCTAACAATAATTTATTTCTATCATTTCTTCTCCACAAACTAATTGGATTTGTATTGTTAAAAAAATAAAAAGAGTTCTCCTTTTTCCTCCACTTACATAAGAATATTGGAGAATATATACTGAACAAAAATTTTGGAATCAAGGAGAGCTTTCTAAACAAGGCCCAAAATAAAAGTAGCCATAAATGAAAAGATTGATAAGTTTAAGCATATAACCAAAAAAAAAAAACCTTCCGTGAAAGCAATATACATACACAAAATCAAAATACAATGAATTAGAAAAATATATTTCAAATGTATACTACTACCTATGTGGTAATATATAATATATGCAAAACTCCTACAACTTAAACAATCCAACAACCTATAGAAAATGATTAAGGAATATGCTAGTTAATAGAAAAGGAGCTACTACATAATGACTTTCAATCATGTGAAATTGGCTCAACTTCAACCTCACACAGAATAGGGACACAGCCCATGGTTATACAGATTGGACATCAAGAATTTGAGACGGCACTATTCATGTCAGGGTGTATTTAAAACAATCTTCCCGGATTTATGCAGTGCACAACTTTCACAACCATATGGCAGCTCTGCACATAAGAGAAATGCAATTTGTCACCATAATGTGATACCATTTTTCACTCATCAGAACATCAAAAATCAAAAGTTTGATAATACTCTCTGTTAGAGTATGGGAAAACAGGCACTCTCAAACTTATGGGATTTTAAATAGGTACAACCTCTGTAGAATAAATTGCTAATATCAAAGATTAAATGCACAAACCTACACATATAAGAAATAGCATGTGTTCAAGAATATTCATGTCAGCATTATTTGTAATTGAAGGGAAAAAAACCTAAAAATCTCTAAAGAGGGGACAGATTAAATGATTTATTTACTGATTAAATACTATGCACCTGTTAAAAAAAAAAAAAGGACAAGCTGGGCATGGTGGCTCATGCTTGTAATTCTAACACTGGGAGGCCGAGGTGGTGGATCATTTGAGGTCAGGCATTTGAGACCAGCCCGGTCAATATGGTGAAACCCCATTTCTACTAAAAATACAAAAGTTAGCTGGGTGTGGTGGCATGTGTCTGTAGTCCTAGCTACTTGGGAGGCTGAGGCAGGAGAACTGCTTGAACCCAGGAGGCAGAGGTTGCAGTAAGCTGAGATCAAGTCACTGCACTCCAGCCGGAATGACAGGGTGAGACTCTGTCTCAGAAAAAAAAAAAAGGGGGGGGGAATGAAATGTATGTATTGATTTGGAATAATCTCAAAGAGCTATTAAGTTAAAAACGCCAGGTGTGGACTCATGTGACTATTATGCCACCATTGGTTGAGAGGAAGATGCACAAGCAGGTAATTACAGCTGTCCCATCTGGGGAGAATTGGATGGCTAGAGAGGGTAGGAAAGAGACTGATTTTTATGGTATAATATTTGGTACCTTTTGTGTAACATGATTATATTACCTATTTAAAGATAAACAAAGTAATGTTTAAATTAGAAATTAAAGCAAAACAAATACTAATTAATAATGTGTCTAGGCAGTCTGTACCCAAAATACCCTACCAGCCTTGACAAAATCAGGGGTGTATCCAGTTGACTCTGTAATCCAGGGACAATGGTCCTCACCTGTAGGGGCATTCTGAGGTGATAGGACACACAGCCAGCCCATTCTGCTGCTGCTGAGACTGCCATGCCAGTGTTCTCCTGATCCAACCATGAAGAAAGACTGTAATTCCTTAGAAATCTATGAATTTTGGAAACAAATCTATCCCCACCTCTCTACTGCCAGTGGGCACTTACCCTATCCCGCATTGTAAGAAACTTGAATGTTCCACTGTCTGTTTCACCAATGACCTTTCTTGTTTTTCCCCTCTGCATCTCAGGAGGATAAGAAGAAGCAAAAAAACTTACTTGTATTTTGCCCACACTCCATCTCTGGAATTAGAAATGTAACCTAGTCCTTCACTAGACAAATAGAGATTCAGAAGCAAAATTTTGATAAAACCAAGGAAGAGTCTTGACAATTTAAATTCGATTAATTAAATTTCTCTCTTCATTTCTCTTCCAGGATTTTGGCCCATCATATATTTCTGAACTAAATACCTCCTATTTCAGTAATATATATTAAAGAGAATAGCAATGATGATATTTATACCACTGCTTTGTTTTAGTAAGGTATTTCATACGGTTTGGCTCTGTCCCCACCCAAATCTCATCTTGAATTGTAGCTCCCATAATCCCCACATATTGTGGGAGGGACCTGGTGGGAGGTAATTTAATCAAGGGGGCAAGTTTTTGCCATGCTGTTCTCGTTATAGTGAATAAGTCTCACGAGATCTGATGGTTTTATAAAGGACAGTTCCCCTGCACACTCTCTCTCTTGCCTGCCACCATGTAAGACATGCCTTTGCTCCTCCTTTGCCTTCTGCCATGATTGTGAGGCCTCCCCAGCCATGTGAACTGTGAGTCTGTTAAACTTTTTTTTCTTTATAAATTACCCAGTCTTAGGTATGTCTTTATTAGCAGCATGAGAACAGACTAATACAGTATTTATTTAAGAAGCATTGTCATTTTATAGATGTTTTCTACTTCATTTGAGTGATATGAACAGAGCTAGGGATACATGTACAATATTTACAAGAAAATTTTAGTCTTTTATATAAACCCTATCACTAAGTTACCAGTTCTCAGTCTAGGTGATTAGAGGAAAGAAGAGTCAGAGAAGAAGATAGAAAACTGCCAGCTTCAGGAAAGACAAAGAGTCAGCTCCCAAGACAGCTCTTAGGAGGAGGTGATTTAAGCTGAATTCCACAAAATGATCACATTTTAGCCAGGTTGACAACGGGTATATCTCATTTCAAGTAGAGGAAATAATATTGACAAAATACATTTTGTAGACGGCAAGAAAGTTATCATGACATGAGCTGATGGAGCCCATAAGAAGGGGCAGGAGATGTGGCTGGGAAGATAGCATGGTACCTTAGCCCAAGGGGTTTGTGGAAGCATTTTGAGTTTTATGAGACTCATACTTCAGACTTTGAGAAACTACTTTATAAAATAAGCAAACAACTGAGGTTCATAAAATTAGACCAGTTTGCACCAAAGAAATCCTAGACGCAAAGACAGATGTATGTATCACCAGTACAACAAGGATCCCTTCTCCTTGCACTAAACATGGCCCTTTTGAGGGAAGGAGCATTAAGAGAAAGTTGGACAGTTGTTCTCTCTGTTGGTACAAAAGCTCAGACAAAGAGCAGCCAAGTGCTAGGAACAGAAGCAACCCCTTTCTAAGTACTGCCATGTGTTTTTCTCCCCAGATTAAACACACTGAACTGGGATGGAAAAAAAAGCAACCTTTGAAAAAATAAAAAATGAAAATATTACTCGGGTGTTCTAGTAAACAGCCTAAAGTAGCACAGCACCAGAAAACTGTTGGTTGGGATTTTGGGGGCTAAGATCTCTTTATATGGCCAATTTGGGCGAATATTATCCCACAAAATAAAAGAACCTTAATCTCAGGTCTTTTTGGGTTTATAAAATCTGCCAACAAAATCCTCACTTGGGTGTTGATGGGTTTTCCTCTGCCCGACTGTGGCCTGGCTCTGAAAGAAGAAAAAGAGGCAAATGTTAAGCAAGACCATTTGAACTCTCTCTCTCCCCAGGGATAGGCCACAGCTGGCTTCCTCTGACTCCACTAAGAATTCATATTCTTCTGAAGACCAATGACAGCCTTTTCCTCCTATTACTATGACTTAGGCCATTTGTCTTACAAAATAATACCCTTGCAAAGGTTTGGGTGTTTGTCCCCTCTAAACCTCATATTGAAATTTGATCTCTAACATTGGGGTTGGGGCTAATGGGGGTCATTTGGATCATGGGGGCAGATCCTTCATGAATTGATTAATGCTTTCTTTCAGAGGTGAATGAATTCTCACTCTATTAGTTCTTATGAGGGCTGGTTGTTAAAAAGCTGGAACATCCCCCCTTCTCATGTGACCTCTGCACATGCAGCTCCCCTTCACCTTCTTTCATGAATAGAAGCAGCCTGAAGCCCTCACCAGATGTAGATGCCCAATATTGAACTTTGCAGTCATTAGAACCATGAACCAAATAAACCTTTTATTTAAATAAATTACCCAGTCTCTGATATTTCTTTATAGCAACACAAAACAGACTAAGACAGCCTCTTACTATGCTAAATGAATATTTGCCTCCTACCTAGGCCTGTTTTCATTAAAATGTGCTCTGAATTTAGTGGAAAATACTTCTTTGTGAGCCAAAAAGTGGGGAAATGACCTTTCTCAATTTGTTTAACTTTGATTTCCAAGTTCCTTCCATGATGATGGGGTGAAAAAGGAAGGGACATGTCACACATTAGATTCTCCAGGAAGTAGTTGTGGTGATAGAGTTAGGGGTGTAAACCTTTAATTATGAAGTAAAAGTTACAAAAGGCAAAAGGGAGAAAGCAGGACTGGGCAGCAGGAGCCATCAGACCACAGTACAGACAGGGCAGGGTCTTTGCCACCAAAAGACAAAACTCTGAAGCAAAGACTGCTCTTCTAAAGAGTCCTGCACTGGGGACCATACCGAGAATGGTGTGACATTGTCTTAAAAAGCTGAGGCAGATCTCCCAGAGCCTCAGTGAACTTTGTGTGCATGAGAAATAAATCTTTGTTGTCTTCAGTTACTGAGACTTGGGAATCTTGGATATGAGGGTTCATGACTTTAATCCATTTAAGGAAATTTTTGGCCATATTTCCTCAAATATTTTTCTGCTCTGCCTCCTTGACTAGCTTGTCCTGACTGATACAAAGTACCTAGATAAAAATCTATTAACAGGTCCTTCTAATCCCTCCTAGTAGCTGCTGCTTTACTATGTACCTCCACCATTGTATACACAAAACTGTATATTTGTTTTCTAGGGCTACTGTGACAAAGTAGCATAAACTGGATGGCTTAAAACAAGAGAAACTTATTCTTTCATAGTTCTGGAAGCTAGAAATCTGAAATCAAGGTGTAGCCACGTCCTTGTTCTCCTCAAGGCTCTCCAAGTCCTTCCTTCGGCTCTTTCTAGCTTTTTGTGGTTTCTGGCAATCTCTGGTATTCCTTGGCATGTAGATGCATCACTCTAATATCTGCCTTTGTCTTCATGTGATCTTCTCCCTTGTGTGTCTCTGTGCTTCTGTCTCCACATGGCATTCTCCTCTCTCCACATGGTATTATCCTCTCTGCATCTGTGTTCAAATTTCCCCCCATTTTATTAGGACACTAGTCATCAGCTTAGGGCCTACCCTAATCCAGTATGACTTCATGTTAACTTGATTACCTCTGCAAAGACCCTATTTCAGAAAAAAAAAAAAAAATCACATTCACAAGTACCAGAGGTTAGGACTTCAACATATCTTTTTGGGGGATGTGATTCAACCCAAAACAAACTGTATTGTTTTTATTTGCTTATATGCAGATTTTCCTTAATAAACTGATAATGTCTTGAGAGCAGGAAGCTCTTTACCCTTACTCTCTTCATTTCTAGCATAGCATCTAAATTATATTTAGGTATTCAGTAAATGTGTGTAGAAGGTGACAACTAAATTAGAGCACTGCTTGCATTGATAAAGATCAATTTGAAAAAAGAACATAGGTAAAATGGTAGAATACTAAATATTTCCATTTTTGGCAGCAAATCCAAGTCATTATATAGAGTCCCACTTATACACATTTTGGTTGTAGACAGGAGAAAAATCCAACTGATACTGTCTTAAAGAATTTTATTGGATCATATATCTAAAAAGCCCACGGTATAGGTCATTTTTATGTGATTCTGTGGCTCAATGATGAAACCAAGAGAAAATATATATTTCTTCTTTGAGCCATGACAGAGAACCTGATACAGAACTAGTCATAAACAACTGGAAAATTGGGCAAATTATCTGCAACAAACAACAGTTTTTATTTGGTTGGGGAGGTTATTTTTTTATTTCAATGAGTTTTTGGGGAACAGGTGGTGTTTGGTTACATGAATAAGTTCTTTAGTAGTGATTTCCGGGATTTTGGTGCACCCATCACCCAAGCACTGTACACTGTACCCAGTGTGTAGTGTTTTATCCCTCACCCCACCATCCCACTCTTTCCCGAGTCCCCAAAGTTCATTATATCATTCTTACACCTTTGCATCCTCATAGCTTACCTCCCACTTATGAGTGAGAGCATACAATGTTTGGTTTTCCATTCCTGAGTTACTTCACTTAGAATAATGGTCTCTAATTCCACCTAGGTTGCTGCAAATGCCATTATTTCATTCCTTTTTATGACTGAGTAGTATTCCATAGTGTGTATATATATATATATATATATATATATATATATATATATATATATATATACCACATTTTCTTTACCCACTCATTGATTGATGGGTATTTGGGCTGGTTCCATATTTTCACAATTATTAATTGTGGTGCTATAAACATGCATGTGTACGTATTCATATATTTTACACATAATGACTTCTTTTCCTCTGGGTAGATACCCAGAATTGGGATTCCTGGATCAAATGGTAGTTCTACTTTTAGCTCTTTAAGGTATCTCCACACTGTTTTCCATAGTGGTTGTGCTAGTTTACATGCCCATCAACAGTGTTAAAGTGTTCTCTTTTCACTGCATTCATGCCAACATCTATTTTTTTTATTATTATTATTATGGCCATTCTTGCAGGAGTAAGATGATATCTCATTGTGGTTTTGATTTGCATATCCCTGATAATTAGTGATGTTGAACATTTTTTCATATGTTTGTTGGCCATTTGTATAGCTTCTTTTGCGAATTGTCTATTCATGTCCTTAGCCCACTTTTTGATGGGATTTGAAACAACAGTTTTTAGATATTGCAGAACAAATATGGTGAAACTGATGATCATCGTTTTCACCTAGAGGCACTTTACAGATTAAAACTATTACGCTCAGCAAGCAGTACCCCAAAATACCATTTTGACATGCTGGCTGAATGAAGGAAGTAGCCTCGAGGTCTCTCTCTGACCTTTCCCTGCTTGCCTGTTTATCTGATCTGCTTACTTTCCCTAAGCACCAAGAGTGACTATCTTTGGAATTTCCATCTGATTAAGAAAGTTTCTTTCTAAAAAGAATGCGGTTGTCTTAAGACCTCCTTCCTAGGAATCACATCAAACAACCAGGAAGGATTAACTACCAGAGAAGATACTGGGAGTTACCACTCCTTAACAAACTTTTCATCTATTTTCCTGAGGGCAGGTCTGAGAGATTACCTGGGAGGCTTTATCTGCATACTAAGACGATCTTTGTTCACAGTGAAGTTCTGTTCCTCACCTTCCCACCACTTCCCCCCAGAGCTCAGAAGAACTTTGTTTCAGGCCCTGTTCTTTGGGCTCATTCATTTCCCCTGAGAAGCATTCACTTCTACATCCCTTTCTCCTCTACCACTGTGAAGAAGGGTGCATAACATCTGGTCCTCACTGGGTTATAGGGTAATCATTCTCCTGCAATTCCCCCATTCAGTGCACACTAAATAAATTTGCGTTCCTCTTTCTCCTATTAATCTGTCTATTGTCAGCTCATTTTTCAGTGAGAGGGAACCAAGTGGACCACAATAGTTTCATGAGCTGAGGAGAGAGGGATTGGAATTTGGGAATGTCGAGGTAAATGGAGTTTGCAGGGCAGAAAATTGGGGAAGAGGGAACTGTGGAGAGCTCCAGAAACCTGCAAATCCACACAAAGTTCTATTGAGCTTTTGGCTGACTACTAAGCTGTCCATATGCAGTGCAAAACTCCATGAGGCCTTGCAACGGAGCTGTAAGCTAAAAAAAATTCCCAGAGCATAGATGGGGGTGAGAGATGTTTTGATTTTTTAACTAGCTAGAATGGAGTGAATATATTGAAAACATGGAATATCTGGAAGAGACCAAAGAAGGGTTGCAACTTAATAATAGTGCTGAAGTAGCCTGGAGTAAAGGCTATTTTAGACCCACCTTACCAAAGCTTGTAAATAGTTACCAAAAGGATCAATCTGATCCACAAATAACTTACTGCCCATAATAACAAAATTCAACGTTCTTTAAAGTTTTTAAAAATCCAGGCACTTAATAACATAATATTCATAATGTCCAGTATCCAATAAAAATTACTAGATATGTAAAAGAGCAGAATACTCTTTCTCATATCTATGAGAAAACAATCAGTTAATAAAAATAGGCCCAGCATGATAGTGATGATGACGTTGGTAGAAAAGGACTATAAAATTGCTGTTAAAAATACGCCAGGGCCAGGTGCAGTGGTTCCCGCCTGTAATCCCAGTACTTTGGGAGGCTGAGGCAGGCGAATCACGAGGTCAGGTGTTCGAGACCAGCCCTACCAATATAGTGAAACCCCGTCTCTACTAAAAATATAAAAATTGGCTGGGCGTGATGGCATGTGCCTGTAATCCCAGCTACTCTGGAGGCTGAGGCAGCAGAATCACTTGAACTGGGAAGGCAGAGATTGCAGTGAGCTGAGACCACACCACTGCACTCCAGCCTGGGTGATAGAGTGAGACTCCATCTCAAAAAATAAATAAATAAATACAAATGACATAAAAATAAAAATATACCAGGAAATGAAAGCAATACATTAACATAATGAGGAAAGAAATGAAACTATATAATAAAAACTTCTAGTATTGAAAAATACAATATCTGAAATAAAAATTCACCAGTTGGACTTAACAGCTTATTGGACTCTGCAGAAGAAAAGATCAATGAACTTGAAGATATAACAAATAGAAACTCTTTAATATAAAACACAAGAGAAAAATAGCTGGAAAAATAATGAGAGATCCTTAGTTATCCATGAGATACTATTACATATGTTAATTGGAGTCTCAGAAGGATAGGGAGAGCAGAAAAATATTTGAAGAAATAGTGGCCTCAAATTTTTTAAATTTGATGACAACTATAAATCCATAGATCTAAGAATCAGGATAAAAATGAGGAAAATTACACTAAGATATATTATCATCAAATTGCCAAAAACTGTGGGGTTTTTTTCCCCAAGATAGTGGATGGGAGGCATTGTTACCATGTCTTTCCCACTTGGAAAGACAAAATAGTGTGTAGAGATTACACTGTGAACTTTTTTCCAAGAAGCAACACAGAAACTTAACAGGAAAGCTGAAAGAAACCACAGATCCTTTGAAAGAAGCATTGGGCTGCAGCCTACACCATGAGCCAGCCACTCCCCAGAGTGTGAGAGGGAGACAACTGCCTCCAGGATATGCACTCCCACTGGGGAACCTAGCAATCCAGGCCATGGGGGAAAGCCTTACCCCTACCCAGGAATGAAGCTGATTTAGTGAACAGTGGGGAGAACACGAGAAGAACCAGCATCAAGACAGGCTTTGTGTGCACTCCCAGTCTGCCAGGGATGAAGGGAAGCCATTCCTGATTCTACTTCACAGACGACCTTGCAGAAGTCTGCCAGCTAACTCAGGTGGTGGTCACAGGTTGATAGAAGTTCCCAACTGAGATTCGTGATATGATCTCCAGTGGGGACACGCTCTCTTGGCCAGAAGTGAGGGACAAGTGGGAAGTGTACTGCAGCCACAGGCGTAGGAGCTGGGCACCCCTGCTTCTTGTGCAGACTGGGAGGGGTGTGGCCTGAAAGCAGTGGTTGCTGTCTTCCCCAGAAAGGCTTATGGCCTGGGGCAGTTTTGAGTTATTGAGCGCAGATTGCCTTGAACCTAGCCAGCTGTTTCTAGCGAAAACTGCGGGTGTAAGATATGCTTTGTCAAGTGTGTGGGAGCTGGGTGGGGCTTACTGCCTCCTGCTACTTCCCACTTTCCATACAGACTCTTCTGTGCAGCACAGGCAACTGCACTCCTCCCTGGAACAGTACCTCTGCCTCCAGAGAACTGCCCTCTAATCCCTACCAGGGCCACTGCTTGCACCTACCTGCATGTGGAGAGCCAGAGCATGAACTTGCCTGACCCAGTTACCACCCGGCTTTGCCCAGCCACCCACCCTGGTGGGTTAACAAAAAGGACTGAAACTTTTGGGAGTCCTATGGCCCTGCCCATTACGTGAGTTACCAGGATACCTCCCCTGGGTAACACAAGGCAAGCACAAATCCCACTGCTAGTACAGCAGCTATTTTGCAAGCACTGCCTCCTGGCTAAAGGCCACCCAGCACACAGCCCATCACAGCAAGGGTCCCCAGTCCCCGGCCACAGACCAGTACTGGTTGGTGGCCTGTTAGGAACTGGGCCGCACAGCAGGATGTGAGTGGTGGGACAGGAAGCATTACCTCCTGAGCTCCGCCTCCTGTCAGATCACCAGCAGCATTAGATTCTCATAGGAGCCGAACCCTATTGTGAACTGCACATAGGAGGGATCTAGGTTGCATACTCTTCACGAGAATCTGTCTACAGTTTCATCCCCAAACCATCCCCCACCCACCACCAGCCCATGGAAAAATTGTCTTCCATGAAACTGGTCCCTGGTGCCAAAAAGTTTGGGGACCACTGCATTACAACATCTGCAGGCACAAAACGACACAGCATGCAGGAAGAAGAAAGCTTGTGTGTGACCTCAGCTATCACAATTGCCTGCATTACTCTAGATAACCAGGAGGTTCCTGAGTCTGTCCACATGACCAGTTCATTACTATTACAACTAGCATTTGAGAAAGTCAACACACTAAGGCTTTTTATAACCAAGGAATCTCACAGAGTCCATGCCACTCCCCTGCTACCCCCATCAGAGCTGGTGCTGATAGCCACAGCTGGGAGACTTGAGAACAGGTCACATCAGTGGACCCTTTGCAGACATTTCCCAGCACCAGTGTGGAGAGTGGCAGCCCCACTGGGCAGCTAGGTCCAGAGGAGCAGCAGCATTCACAATAGTCTGGCCTCGGGGACTCCTCCTCCTAGAAGAAGGGGGAGTGCACTACATCAAGGGAGCACCCCATGGGGAGAAAGAATCCAGACAGCAGGTCTGCAGTCCCAGAACTTTCCATTTGTGGGATGTTTCTTTCATCAGAGGCACAGTGCAGTGCTGGGCTCAACAGGGAGCTGGTCTGCAGCTCCACCCAACCATCAGGCAATTCTGGTGCTTATGAAAGGCCTTGAAGAAGGAGACTTCTGTGTGTCCACCACTGCAGACACAGCTGGGGCTTCTCCCACAAGAGATCAGTAGGGGTGTACCTACAGACAGTCTTTCTGGACCACTTCAGGGTGACTGCATTCCCACAGGAAAAGTGCCCTCTAGGTTCAGGCTTGCATGAGGGTTGGAGTCACAATCCCTCTCTACATTGAACATGAGCATTCCTGCTGATGAAAAGAGGTGCCTGTCTGATCTGAACAGCTGGAACACTGGGTCAGGAGTGTGACTGGGAGGTGTATTGCTTTCCTGCTGGCCTAAGAGGGGAGCTGAGGTGGCTCTCTGTCTTCCCCTTCAAAAGATCTCAGTGCATTTCCCTAAGATGTCCCCCAGCTGGCTCTGTCAAGGCTGGGCCCTCTGCCCATTATTGGGTATTGCTTTTACCAACCTGCTTTAACCACAGCTGAGTTTTATCCATAAACATCTCCCCTACTGACCCAAAGCTTGAACTGTTCAATTCAGTAAATAAAACACAAATACTGAGGGAAAAAAATAAGTGAATACCACTGGAGAATGAAATAAGCTTCAAGAGACCTCTGCCATTCCAACCCGATAGGAGACAGTGAACCTGCATACACACTGAGCACATTGCTACTACAACCAGCATCTGACGAGGCCAACATACAAAGAGTCTATATAACCAAGGAACTCATACAGAGTCTTCACTCCCAACAGCACCCAGAGCCAAATTAGGTTACAATAAACTATAAACATTAAAGTCACATCCTAGAAAGTGGGCAGGGGGAGGGTTAAAAAATAGTCAAATAAGAAAAAAACAGGGTTCTATAACACCCCCAAAAGATCACATTACCTCTCCAGCAATGGATCTAAACAAAAATGAAATATTTGAAATAATAGATACAGAATTCAGGGAGATACAAGAGAAAGGTAAAAACCAACATTAAGAAATTTTAAAAGCATTTCAGGATATGAATGAAACATTTTCTAAAGAGACAGATATTTGAAAGAAAAACCAATCAGAATTTCTGGAAATGAAGGACATAGTAGGTAATTACAAAATTCAGCGGGAGGTTTTAACAGTAGACTGACTAGACCAAGTAGAAGAAAGAATTTCAGAGCTCAAAGACAGGTCTTTCAAATTAGCCCAGTCACACAAACATAAAGTAAAAATAACTAAAAGAAATGAACAAAGTCTCCAAGAAATATGGGATTATGTAAAATGGTCAAATATAAGAAGTTTTTGTGTTCCTGATGGGGGAAAAAAAGCAAAAATCCTGGAAAATTATTTGGGATAATAATTGAGGAGAACTTCCCTGGCCTTGCTAGAGATGTAGCCATCCAAATACAAGAAGCTCAAAGAACTCCTGGGAGATTCATTGGAAAAAGGACATCACCAAGGCGTATAGTCATCAGGCTATCTAAAGTCCATATGAAGGAAAGAATTCTAAGAGCAGTGAGACAAAAGCATCAGGTAACCTATAAAGGAAAATCTATCAGACTAATAGCAGGCTTATGAGTAGAAACCTTACAAATCAGAAGGGATTGGGGTCCTATCTTTGGCCTCCTTAAACAGAATAACTGTCAGCCAAGAATTTTGTATCCAGCAAAACTAACTTTCACAAATGAAGGGGGGAAAAGTATCTTTCAGACAAGCAAATGTTGAGGGAATTTGTCACTACCAGACGAGCCCTAAAAGAAATGTCTAAAAAGAGATCTAAAGCTTGAAACAAAAGGTTGATATGCACCAAAATAGACCCTCTTGAGGCAAAAAACTCACAGGGCCTATAAAACAATAACATAATGAAGAGAACAAAATATCTAGGTAACAATCAACGTGATGACTGGAACAGTACCTTGCACCTCAATATATTAATGTTGAATGTAAATGATCTAAATGTCCCAATTAAAAGATACAGATTAGCAGAATAGATAAAAAATCACAAACTAAATATCTGCTATCTTTAGGAGACTCACCCGAGACCCGAGTATTCCTATAGACTCAAGGTAAAGGGGTGGAAAAAGATATTCCATGCAAATGGAAACTAAAAGCAAGCAGGAATAGCTATTCTTATATCAGATAAAACAGATTGTAAAGCAACAACAGTATAAAAAGACAAAGTAGGTCATGATATAATGATAAAAGGATCAATCCAACAAGAAGATACTACAATCCTAAATATATATGCACCTAACTCAGGAGCTCCCAGATTGATGAAAACAATTACTACTATAGCTAAGAAAAGAGATAGACAGCAACACAGTAACAGTGGGGGACTTCAACACTCCACTGATAGCACTAGAACGATGATCAAAACAGAAAGTCAACAAAGAAATGCAGGACTTAAACTGAACTCTAGAACAAATGGACCTAACAGAAATTTACATAACATTCTATACAAGAACTGCAGAATATACATTTTTCTCATCTGCATATGGAGCATTCTCTAAGACAGATAATATGATAGGCCACAAAACTAGTCTCAATTTTTTTTTATTATACTTTAAGTTTTAGGGTACATGTGCACAACGTGCAGGTTTGTTACATATATATACATATGTGCCATGTTGGTGTGCTTCACCCATTAACTCATCATTTAACATTAGGTATATCTCCTAAAGCTATCCCTCGCACCCCCACCTGACAACAGGCCCCAGTGTATGATGTTACCCTTCCTGTGTCCATGTGTTCTCATTGTTCAATTCCCACCTATGACTAAGAACATGCGGTGTTTGGTTTTTTGTCCTTGCGATAGTTTGCTGAGAATGATGGTTTCCAGCTTCATCCATGTCCCTACAAAGGACATGAACTCATCATTTTTTATGGCTGCATAGTATTCCATGGTGTATATGTGCCACATTTTCTTAATCCAGTCTATCATTGTTGGACATTTGGGTTGGTTCCAAGTCTTTGCTATTGTGAATAGTGCCGCAATAAACATATGTGTGGGTGTGTCTTTATAGCAGCATGATTTATAATCCTTTGGGTATATATCCAGTAATGGGATGGCTGGGTTAAATGGTATTTCTAGTTCTAGATCCCTGAGGAATCGCCACACTGCCTTCCACAATGGTTGAAGTAGTTGACAGTCCCACCAACAGTGTAAAAGTGTTCCTATTTTTCCACATCCTCTCCAGCACCTGTTGTTTCCTGACTTTTTAATGATCACCATTCTAACTGGTGTGAGATGGTATCTCATTGTGGTTTTGTTTTGCATTTCTCTGATGACCAGTGATGATGAGCATTTTTTCATGTGTCTGTTGGCTGCATAAATGTCTTCATTTGAGAAGTGTCTGTTCATATCCTTCGCCCACTTTTTGATGGTTTTTTTTTTTTCTTGTAAATTTGTTGGAGTTCATTGTAGATTCTGGATATTAGCCCTTTGTCAGATGAGTAGATTGCAAAAATTTTCTCCCATTCTGTAGGTTGCCTGTTCATTCTGATGGTAGTTTCTTTTGCTGTGCAGAAGCTCTTTAGTTTAATGAGATCCCATTTGTCAATTTTGGCTTTTGTTGCCATTGCTTTTGGTGTTTTAGACATGAAGTCCTTGCTATGCCTATGTCCTGAATGGCATTGCCTAGATTTTCTTCTAGGGTTTTTATGGTTTTAGGTCTAACATTTAAATCTTTAATCCATCTTGAATTAATTTTAGTATAAGTTGTAAGGAAGGGATCCAGTTTCAGCTTTCTATATATGGCTAGCCAGTTTTCCCAGCACCATTTATTAAATAGGGAATCCTTTCTCCATTTCTTGTTTTTGTCAGGTTTGTCAAAGATCAGATGGTTGTAGATAAGTGGCATTATTTCCAAGGGCTCTGTTCTGTTCCATTAGTCTATATCTCTGTTTTGGTACCAGTACCATGCTGTTTTGGTTACTGTAGCCTTGTAGTATAGTTTGAAGTCAGGTAGTGTGATGCCTCCAGCTTTGTTCTTTTGGCTTAGGATTGACTTGGCGATGCAGGCTCTTTTTTGGTTCCATACGAACTTTAAAGTAGTTTTTTCCAATTCTGTGAAGAAAGTCATTGGTAGCTTGATGGGGATGGCATTGAATCTATAAATTACCTTGGGCAGTATGGCCATTTTCACCATATTGATTCTTCCTACCCATGAGCATGGAATGTTCTTCGATTTGTTTGTATCCTCTTTTATTTCATTGAGCAGTGGCTTATAGTTCTCCTTGAAGAGGTCCGTCACATCCCTTGTATTTTATTAAGGATTTTGCATCGATGTTCACCAGGAATATTGGTCTAAAATTCTCTTTTTGTGTTTTGTCTCTGCCAGGCTTTGGTATCAGGATGATACTGGCTTCATAAAATGAGTTAAGAAGGATTTCCTCTTTTTCTATTGATTAGAATAGTTTCAGAAGGAATGGTACCAGCTCCTCCTTGCACCTCTGGTAGAATTTGGCTGTGAATCCATCTGGTCCTGGACTTTTTTTGGTTGGGAAGCTATTAATTATTGCCTCAATTTCAGATCCTGTTATTGGTCTATTCAGAGATTCAACTTCTTCCTGGTTTAGTCTTGGGAGAGTCTATGTGTCGAGGAATTTATCTATTTCTTCCAGATTTTCTAGTTTATTTGCATAGAAGTGTTTATAGTATTCTCTGATGGTAGTTTGTATTTCTGTGGGATCAGTGGTGATATCCTCTTTATCATTTTTTATTGCATCTATTTGATTCTTCTCTCTTTTCTTCTTTATTAGTCTTGCTAGCGGTCTATCAATTTTGTTGATCTTTTCAAAACACCAGCTCCTGGATTCATCGATTTTTTTGAAGGGTTTTTTGTGTCTCTACCTCCTTCAGTTCTGCTCTGATCTTAGTTATTTCTTGCCTTCTGCTAGCTTTTGAATGTGTTTGCTCTTGCTTCTCTAGTTCTTTTAATTGTGACGTTAGGGTGCCAATATTAGATCTTTCCTGCTTTCTCTTGTGGGCGTTTAGTGCTGTAAATTTCCCTCTACACACTGCTTTGAATGTGTCCCAGAGATTCTAGTATGTTGTGTCTTTCTCATTGGTTTCAAAGAACATCTTTATTTCTGCCTTTATTTCATTGTGTACCCAGTAGTCATTCAGGAGCAAGTTCTTCAGTTTCCATGTAGTTGAGTGGTTTTGAGTGAGTTTCTTAGTCCTGAGTTCTAGTTTGATTGCACTGTGGTCTGAGAGACAGTTTGTTATAATTTGTGTTCTTTTACATTTGCTGAGGAGTGCTTTACTTCCAACTATGTGGTCAATTTTGGAATAGGTGTGGTGTGGTGCTGAAAAGAGTGCACATTCTGTTGATTTTGGGTGGAGAGTTCTGTAGATGTCTATTAGGTCCGCTTGGTGCAGAGCTGAGTTCAATTCCTGGATATCCTTGTTAACTTTCTGTTTCACTGATCTGTCTAATGTTGACAGTGGGGTGTTAAAATCTCCCATTATTATTGTGTGGGAGTCTAAGTCTCTTTGTAGGTCACTCAGGACTTGCTTTATGAATCTGGGTGCTCCTGTATTGGGTGCATATATATTTAGGATGGTTAGCTCTTCTTGTTGAATTGATCCCTTCACCATTATGTAATGGCTTTCTTTGTCTCTTTTGATCTTTGTTAGTTTAAAGTTTTTTATCAGAGACTAGGATAGCAACCCCTGCCTTTTTTTGTTTTCTATTTGCTTGGTAGATCTTCCTCCATCCCTTTATTTTGAGCCTATGTGTGTCTCTGCACGTGAGATAGGTTTCCTGAATACAGCACACTGAGGGATCTTGACTCTTGACTCTTTATCCAATTTGCCAGTCTGTGTCTTTTAATTGGAGCATTTAGCCCATTTACATTTAAGGTTAATATTGTTATGTGTGAATTTGAGCCTGTCATTATGATGTTAGCTGGTTATTTTGCCCGTTAATTGATGCAGTTTCTTCCTAGCCTCGATGGTCTTTACAATTTAACATGTTTTTGCAGTGGCTGGTACCAGTTGTTCCTTTCCATGTTTAGTGCTTCCTTCAGGAGCTCTTTTTAGGGCAAGTCTGGTGGTGACAAAATCTCTCAGCATTTGTTTGTCTGTAAAGGATTTTATTTCTCCTTCACTTATGAAGGTTAGTTTGGCTGGATATGAAATTCTGGGTTGAAAATTCTTTAAGAATGTTGAATATTGGCCCCCACTCTCTTCTGGCTTGTAGAGTTTCTGCCGAGAGATCCGCTGTTAGTCTGATGGGCTTCCCTTTGTGGATAACGCGACCTTTCTGGCTGCTCTTAACATTTTTTCCTTCATTTCAACTTTGGTGAATCTGACAATTATGTGTCTTGGAGCTGCTCTTCTCAAGGAGTATCTTTGTGGCAGTCTCTGTATTTTGTGAATTTGAATGTTGGCCTGCCTTGCTAGATTGGGGAAGTTCTCCTGGATAATATCCTGCAGAATGTTTTCCAACTTGGTTCCATTCTCCCTATCACTTTCAGGTACACTAATCAGATGTAGATTTGGTCTTTTCACATAATCTCATGTTTTTTGGAGGCTTTGTTTGTTTCTTTTCATTCTTTTTTCTCTAAACTTCTCTTCTCACTTCATTTCATTCATTTGATCTTCCATGACTGACACCCTTTCTTCCAGTTGATCAAATCCACTACTAAGGCTTGTGCATTCATCACATAGTTCTCCTGCCATGGTTTTCAGCTCCATCAGGTCCTTTAAGGACTTCTCTGCATTGGTTATTCTAGTTAGCCATTCATCTAATCTTTTTCCAGGTTTTTAACTTCTTTGTGATGGTTCGAACTTCCTCCTTTAGCTTGGAGTAATTTGATTGTCTGAAGCCTTCTCTCAACTTGTTAAAGTCATTCTCCATCCAGCTTTGTTCCATTGCTGGTGAGGAGCTGCGTTCCTTTGGAGGAGGAGAGGCGCTCTGATTTTTAGAGTTTCCAGTTTTTCTTCTCTGTTTTTTCCCCATCTTTGTGGTTTTATCTACCTTTGGTCTTTGATGATGGTGACGTACAGATGGGGTTTTGGTGTCGATGTCCTTTCTGTTTGTTAGTTTTCCTTCTAACATTCAGGACCCTCAGCTGCAGGTCTGTTGGAGTTTGCTGGAGGTCCACACCAGACCCTGTTTTCCTGTGTATCAGCAGCGGAGGCTGCAGAGCAGCAGATACTGGTGAACAGCAAATGTTGCTGCCTGATTGTTCCTCTGGAAGTTTTGTCTTAGAAGAGTACCCGGCCGTGTGAGGTGTCAGTCTGCCCCTACTCGGGGGTGCCTCCCAGTTAGGCTACTCGGGGGTCAGGGACCCACTTGAGGAGGTAGTTTGTCCATTCTCAGATCTCAAGCTGTGTGCTGGGAGAACCACTACTCTCTTCAAAGCTGTGAGACAGGGACATTTAAGTCTGCAGAGGTTTCTGCTGCCTTTTGTTTGGCTATGCCCTGCCCCCAGTGGTGGAGTCTACAGAGGCAGGCACGCCTCCTTGAGCTGCGGTGGGCTCCACCCAGTTTGCGCTTCCTGGCCGCTTTGTTTACCTACTCAAGCCTTGGCAATGGTGGGCACCCCTCTTCCAGTCTTGCTGCCACCTTGCAGTTCGATCTCAGACTGCTGTGCTAGTAATGAGCAAGGCTCCGTAGGCATAGGACACTCCAAGCCATGCATGGGATATAATCTCCTGGTGTGCTGTTTGCTAAGACTGTCGTAAAAGTGCAGTGTTAGGGTGGGAGTGACCCGACTTTCCAGGTGCCATCCATCACCCCTTTCCTTGGCTAGGAAAGGGAATTCCCCAACCTCTTGCGCTTCCCTGGTGAGGTGATGCCTCACCCTGCTTTGGCTCAGGCTCGGTGCACTGCACCCATTGTCCTGCACCCCCTGTCCAACAATCCCCAGTGAGATGCACCCTGTACCTCAGTTGGAAATGCAGAAATCATTCGTCTTCTGCGTTGTTCACACTGGGAGCTGTAGACTGGAGCTGTTCCTATTCTGCCATCTTGGCTCCCACCAAATTTTTTTAAATCTTTTTATTTAAGTTCTAGGGTACATGTGCACAATGTGCAGGTTTGTTATGTAGGTATACATGTGCCATGTTGGTTTGCTGTACCCATCAACTCATCATTTACACTAGGCATTTCTCCCAATACGATCCCTCCCCCAGCCCCCTACCCCCGAGAGGCCCCGGTGTGTGATGTTCCCCACCCTGTGTCCACGTGTTCTCACTGTTCAACTCCCACCTATGAGTGAGAACATGCAGTGTTTAGTTTTCTGTCCTTGTGATAGTTTGTTGAGAATGATGGTTTCCAGCTTCATCCATGTCCCTGTAAAGGATATGAACTCATCCTTTTTTATGGCTGCATAATATTCCATGGTGTATATGTGCCACATTTTCTTAATCCAGTCTATCATTGATGGACATTTGGGTTGGTTCCAAGTCTGTGCTATTGTGAATACTGTCACAATAAACATATGTGTGCATGTGTCTTTATAGTAGCATGATTTATAATCCTTTGGGTATATACCCAGTAATGGGATGGTTGGGAAAAATGGTATTTCTAGTTCTAGATCCTTGAGGAATCGCCACACTGTCTTCCACAATGGTTGAACTAGTTTACACTCCCACCAACAGTGTAAAAGCATTTTAATTTACACTCCCAACAGTGTAAAAGTGTTCCTTTTTCTCCACATCCTCCCTAGCATCTGTTGTTTCCTGACTTTTTAATGATCACCATTCTAACTGGTGTGAGATGGTATCTCATTGTGGTTTTGATTTGCATTTCTCTGATGACCAGTGAGGATGAACATTTTTTCACGTGTCTGTTGGCTGCATAAATGTCTTCTTTTGAGAAGTGTCTGTCCATATCCTTTGCCCACTTTTTAATGGTTCTTAATGGGGTTGTTTGATTTTTTCTTGTAAATTTGTTGGAGTTCATTGTAGATTCTGGATATTAGCCCTTTGTCATATGGGTAGATTGCAAAAATTTTCTCCCATTCTGTAGGTTGCCTGTTCATTCTGATGGTAGTTTCTTTTGTTGTGCAGAAGCTCTTTAGTTTAATGAGATCCCATTTGTCAATTTGGGGTTTTGTTGCCATTGCTTTTGGTGTTTTAGTCATGAAGTCTTTGTCCATGCCTATGTCCTCAATTGTATTGCCTAGCGTTTTTTCTAGGGTTTTTATGGTTTTAGGACTTACATTTAAGACTTTAATTCATCTTGAGTTGATTTTTGTATAAAGTGAAAGGAAGGGATCCAGTTTCAGCTTTCTACATATGGCTAGCCAGTTTTCCCAGCACTATTTATTAAATAGGGAATCCTTTCCCCATTTCTTGTTTTTATCAGGTTTGTCAAAGATCAGATAGTTGTAGATGTGTGGTGTTATCTGTGAGGCCTCTGTTCTGTTCCATTGGTCTGTATCTCTGTTTTGGTACCAGTACCATGCTCCTTTGGTTACTGTTGCCTTGTAGTGCAGTTTAAAGACAGGTAGTTTGATGTCTCCAGCTTTATTCCTTTAGCTTAGGAATGTCTTGGCCATGCAGGCTCTTTTTTGGTTCCATATGAACTTTAAAGTAGTTTTTTCCAATTCTGTGAAGAAAGTCATTGGTAGCTCGATGGGGATGGCATTGAATCTATAAATTACCTTGGGCAGTATGGCCAGTTTCATGATATTGATTCTTCCTATCCATGAGCATGGAATGTTCTTCCATTTGTTTGTGTTCTGTCTTATTTCATTGAGCAGTGGTTTGTAGTTCTCCTTGAAGAGGTCCGTCACATCCCTTGTAAGTTGGATTCCTAGGTATTTTATTCTCTTTGAAGCAATTGTGAATGGGAGTTCACTCATGATTTGGCTCTCTGTTTGTCTGTTATTGGTGTATAGGAATGGTTGCGATTTTTGCACATTGATTTTGTATCCTGAGACTTTGCTGAAGTTGCTTATCAGCTTAAGGAGATTTTGGGCTGAGACAATGAGGTTTTTTAGATATACAATCATGTCATCTGCAAACAGGGACAATTTGACTTCCTCTTTTCCTCATTGAATACCCTTTATTTCTTTCTCCTGCCTGATTGCCCTGGCCAGAACTTCCAACACTATGTTGAATAGGAGTGGTGAGAGAGGGCATCCCTGTCTTGTGCCAGTTTTCAAAGGGAATGCTTCCAGTTTTTGCCCATTCAGTATGATATTGGCTGCGGGTTTGTCATAAATAGCTGTTATTATTTTGAGATACTTCCCATCAATACCTAATTTATTGAGAGTTTTTAGCATGAAGGCTGTTGAATTTTGTCAAAGGTCTTTTCTGCATCTATTGAGATAATCATGTGGTTTTTGTCTTTGGTACTGTTTATATGATGGATTACATTTATTGATTTGCATATGTTGAACCAGTCTTGCATCCCAGGGATGAAGCCCACTTGATCGTGGTGGATAAGACTTTTGTTGTGCTGCTGGATTTGGTTTGCCAGTATTTTATTGAGGATTTTGGCATTGATGTTCATCAGGGATATTGATCTAAAATTCTCTTTTTCTTTTTTTTGTTGTGTCTCTGCCAGGTTTTGATATCAAAATGATACTGGCCTCATAAAATGAATTAAGAAGGATTTCCTCTTTTTCTGTTGATTGGAATAGTTTCAGAAGAAATGGTACCAGCTCCTCTTTGTACCTCTGGTAGAATTTGGCTGTGAATCCATCTGGTCCTGGACTTTTTTTGGTTGGTAGGCTATTAATTATTGCACTTGAGATGGGTCTCCTGAATATAGCACACTGACGGGTCTTGACTCTTTATCCAATTTGCCATTCTGTGTCTTTTAATTGGGGCATTTAGCCCATTTACATTTAAGGTTAATATTGTTATGTGTGAATTTGAGCCTGTCATTATGATGTTAGCTGGTTATTTTGCCTGTTAATTGATGCAGTTTCTTCCTAGCCTCGATGGTCTTTACAATTTGGCAGTGGCTTTACAATTTACAGTTTTTGCAGTGGCTGGTACCGGTTATTCCTTTCCATGTTTAGTGCTTCCTTCAGGAGCTCTTTTAGGGCAGGCCTGGTGGTGACAGAATCTCTCAGCATTTGCTTGTCTGTAAAGAATTTTATTTCTCCTTCACTTATGAAGGTTAGTTTGGCTGGATATGAAATTCTGGGTTGGAAATTCTTTTCTTTAAGAGTGTTGAATATTGGCCCCCACTCTCTTTTGGCTTGTAGGGTTTCTGTTGAGAGATCTGCTGTTCGTCTGATGGGCTTCCCTTTGTGGGTAACCCGACCTTTTTCTCTGTCTGCCCTTAACATTTTTTCCTTCATTTCAACTTTGGTGAATCTGACAATTATGTGTCTTGGAGTTGCTCTTCTCGAGGAGTATTTTTGTGGCATTCTCTGTATTTCTTGAATATGAATGTTGGCCTGCCTTGCTATGTTGGGGAAGTTCTCCTGGATAATATCCTGAAGCGTGTTTTCTAACTTGATTCCATTCTCCCCATCACTTTCAGGTACACCAATCAAATGTAGATTTGGTCTTTTCACAGAGTCCCATATTTCTTGGAGGCTTTGTTCATTTCTTTTTACTCTTTTTCTCTAATCTTGTCTTCTCACTTTATTTCATTAATTTAATCTTCAGTCACTGATATCCTTTCCTTCACTTAATTGAATTGACTATTGAAGCTTGTGCATGCGTCACAAAGTTGTCGTGCCATGGTTTTCAGCTACATCCGGTCATTTAAGGTCTTGTCTACACTATTTATTCTAGTTAGCCATTCATCTAACCTTTTTTCAAGGTTTTTAGCTTCCTTTCAATGGGTTAGAACATGCTCCTTTAGCTCAGAGAAGTTTGTTATTAATGACCTTCTGAAGCCTACTTCTGTCAACTTGTCAAAGTCATTCTCCATCCAATTTTGTTCTGTTGCTGGCAAGCAGCTGCAATCCTTTGG
This sequence comes from Homo sapiens, assembly GCF_000001405.40. Lineage (NCBI taxonomy): Eukaryota > Metazoa > Chordata > Mammalia > Primates > Hominidae > Homo > Homo sapiens. Next base: position 22,881,750 of record NC_000010.11, on the reverse strand, counting down.
AGGAGAAGAGGCACTCTGGTTTCTGGAATTTTCAGCTTTTCTGCTCTGGTTTCTCCTGATCTTTCTGGTTTTATCTACCTTTGGTCTTTGAAGTTGGTGACCTACAGATGGGGTTTTGGTGTGGATGTCCTTTATGTTGATGTTGATGGTATTCCTTTCTGTTTGTTAGTTTTCCTTCTAACAGTTGGGCCCCTCAGCTGCATGTCTGTTAGAGTTTGCTTGAGGTCCTCTCCAGACCCTTTTTGCCTGGGTATCACCAGCGGAGGCTGCAGAAGAGCAAATATTGCAGAACGGCAAATATTGCTGCCTGATACTTCCTCTGGAAGCTTCGTCCCAGACGGGCACCCACCTTTATGAGGTGTCTGTCGACCCCTACTGGGAGGTGTCTCCCAGCCAAACTACACAGAGGTCAGGGACCCACTTGAGGAGGCAGTCTGTCTGTTCTCAGAGCTCAAATACTATGCTGGGAGAACTACTGCTGTCTTCAGAGCTGTCAGACAGGGATGTTTAAGTCTGCGGAAGTTGTCTGCTGCCTTTTGTTCAGCTATGCCTTGGCCACGGAGGTGAGGTCTATAGAGGCAGTAGGCCTTGCTGAGCTGTGGTGGGCTCCACCCAGTTTGAGCTTCCCAGCTGCTTTGTTTACCTACTCAAGTCTCAGCAATGTTGGACGCCCCTCCCCTCACCAGGCTGCAGCCTCACAGGTTGATCTCAGACTGCTGTGCTAGCAGTGAGCAAGGCCCCCTGGGCATGGGACCTGCCAAGCCAGGCATGGGAGGGTATCTCCTGGTCTTCTGGTTGCTAAGACCATGAGGAAAGCACAGTATTTGGGCAGAGGTGTACTGTTTTCCCAGGTACAGTCTGTCACGGCTTCCCTTGGCTAGGAAAGAAATCCCCTGACCCCTTGCACTTCCGGGGTAAGGTGACACCCTGCCCTGCTTTGGCTCACCCTCTGTGGGCTGCACCAACTGTCCAGCCAGTCCCAGTGAGATGAACCAGGTACCTCAATCGGAAGTGCAGAAATCACCCATCTTCTGTGTTGATCTTGTTGGGAGCTGCAGACCAGAGCTGTTCCTATTCAGCCATCTTAATCATGGCTTGTCTCAATAAATTTTTAAAAATCAAAATCATATCAAGTGCCTTCTCAGACCACAGTAGTAAAAAACCAGAAATCAAACTCCAAAAGGAAAACTCAAAATTATGCAAATACATGGAAATTAGTCAATCTGCTCCCAGATGACTTTTGGGTTAACAATGAAATCAAGATGGAAATTTTAAAGTTATTCAAAATGAATGATAATGGTGACACAAGTTATCAAAACTTCTGAGATACAGCATAAAGCAGTGCTGTGAGGAAAGCTAACAGCACTAAATACCTACATTAAAAAGTCTGAAAAATCACAAATTGACAACCTAACATTACATCTCAAGTAAACAGAGAAACAAGAACAAACCCAAAGCTATAAGAAGAAAAAAAATAAGGTCAGAGGAGAACTAAATGAAATTGAAACAAAAATACAAAAGATCAATGAAATAAAAAGTCGTTTATATAAAAAGATAAAGTCAGTAGACCATTAACTAGATTAACTAAGAAAAGAAGAGAGAAGATTCAAATTAGCTCAGTTAGAAATGAAAATGGAGGCATTACAACTGACATCGCAGATATGCAAAAGTTAAGTTTACACTACTATGAACACCTCTATGCACATAAACTAGACAATCTAGAGGAAATGAATACATTCCTGGAAACATACAATCATCCTAGCTTGAATCAGGAAGAAATAGAAGTCCTGAACAGACCAATAACAAATAATGAGATTGAATCAGCAAAAAAACAAAAAAACGCCAACAAAAAAAAGGCCAGTGCCCCATGTATTCACAGCCAAATTCTTCCAGACATTAAAGAATCGGTATCAATCCTACTGAAATTATTCCAAAGGAATTGAGAAAGAGAAAATCCTTCCTAACTTTTTCTATGAAGCCATTATCACCCTGATACCAAAACCAGGAAAGGGCATAACAAAAAAAGAAAACTACAGACCAATATCCGTGATTAACATAAACGGAAAAATTCATAACAAAATACTAACAAACTGAATCCAACAGCACAACAAAAAGATTATTCACCATGATCAAGTGGGTTTCATCCCAGGGATATAGGAATGGTTCAACATACGCAAGTCAATAAATGTGATACGTCACATAAAGAGAATTAAGAATTATATGATCATCTTAACAGATGCAGAAAAAGCATTCAATAAAGTCCAGCCTCCCTTTATGATTAGAAACCCTTAACAAACTAGGCATGGAAAGAACATACCTCAAAATTATAAGAACCATGTATGACAAACTCTCAGTTAACATCATATTGAATGGGAAAAAGTTGAAAGCATTCCCCCTGAGAACTGGAATAAGACAAGGATGTTCAGTTTCACCACTTCTATTCAACATAGCACTGGCAGTCCTACCCAATGCAATCAGAGAAGAGAAACATATAAAGGGCATCCATGTTGGAAAAGAGGAAGTCAAACTATCCCTGTTTGCCAATAATATCATCATATACCCAGAAAACCCTAAAGACTCCACTGAAAGACTCCTAGATTTGATAAGTGAATTCAGTGAAGTCTCAGGTTACAAAATCTATGTAAACAAATCACTGGCACTGCCTTACAGCAACAATGACAAAGCTAGGAATCAAATTAAGAACTCAATTCCTTTTACAATAGCTGCAAAAAATTACCTAGGACTATACTTAACAAGGAGGTGAAAGATCTCTACAAGTAGAACTACAAAACACTGTTGAAAGATATCATAGATGACACAAACAAAGGAAACAGATGCCATACTCATGGATTGAAAGAATTAATAACATGAAAATGACCATACTACCCAAAGCAATCTATAGATTCAATACAATTTCTATCAAAATATCAATATCATTTTTCACAGAATTAGAAAAGCAATCCTAAAATTCTTATGGGCCCTACAAAAAAAGCTTGAATAGCAAAAGCAATCCTAAAGCAAAAAGAACAAATCTGGAGGCATCACATTATCTGACTTCAAATTATACTACAAGGTTATAGTAACCAAAACAGCACGGTACTAGTATAAAGGTAGATACATAGATCAATGAAACAGAATAGAGAACCCAGAAACACAACCAAATATTTACAACCAACTGATCTTTGACAAAACATAAATTGGGGGAAGGACACTTTATTCAATAAATGGTTCTGGGAAAACTGGATAGCCACATGAAGAAGAGTGAAACTGGATCTCTCTGTCTCTCTCTCTCACATATACAAAAATCAAAGCAAGATGGATCAAAAACCTAAATCTAAGACCAGAAGCCATAAACATTCTAGAAGAAAACCTAGGAAAAACACTCCTGGACATTGGTTTGGCAAAGAATTGATTACTATAGCCCCAGAAGCAAATGCAACAAAAACAAATAAATGAGACCTAATTAAGCTAAAAAGCCTCTGCACAGCAAAAGAAATAATCAACAGAGTAAACAGACAACCCACACAATGGGAGAAAATATTTGCAAACTATGCGTCTGACAATGGACTAATATCCTGAATTTGCAAGGAGCCCAAACAAATCAGCAAGAGAAAAATAATCGCATCAAAAAGTGGGAAAATGACATGAATAGGCATTTCTCAAAAAAGGATATGCAAATGGCCAAGAAACATATGAAAAAGTAATCAACATTGCTAATCATCAGGGAAATGCACATTAAAACCATAATGAGATACCATTGTTCCTCAGCCAGAATGGCCATTATTAAAAATTCAAAAAACAATAGATGTCCGCGTGGATATGCTGAAAAAGAAACACTTTTACACTGCTGGTGGGCTGCTCAATTAGTACAACCTCTGTGGAAAATAGTGTGACAATTTCTTGAAGAACTGAAAGTAGAAATACCATTCAATCCAGCAATCCACTACTAGATAGCTACCCAAAGGAATAGAAGTCATCATACCAAAAAGACACCTGCGTGCATATGTTTATTATAGCACAATTCACAATTTCAAAGATATGGAACCAATCTAAGTACCCATTAAATGATGACTGAATAAAGAAAATGTGGTATAATTACACTAAGGGAGGAGACCACCCCTCATATTGTCTTATACCCAATTTCTGCCTCCAAAGAAAGAAGAAGTAAAAACTAAAGGGCAGAAAGGAAATCCACAGGCAGACAGCCCGGTGCCACTCCCTGGGCCTGGTAGTTAAAGATCGACCCCTGACCTAACCTGTTGTGTTATCTATAGATTCCAGACATTGTATGGAAAAGCACCGTGAAAATCCCTGTCCTGTCCTGTTCTGTTCTGATTACTGGTGCTTGCAGCCCCCAGTCACGTACCCTCTGCTTGCTCAATCAATCACGACCCTCTCACGTGGACCCCCTTAGAGTTGCAAGCCCTTAAAAGGGACAGGAATTGCTCCCTCGGGGAGCTGGGTTTTTGGAGATGTGAGTCCGCCGATGCTGCCATCTGAATAAAGCCCTTTCCTTCCACAACACGGTGTGCGAGGGGTTCTTGTCTGTGACTCATCCTGCTACAACACCATGAAACACTATTCAGCCATAAAAATGAATAAAATAATGTCTTTTGCAGCAAGTTAGATGGAGTTGGAGGCAATTATTCCAAGTGAAGTAACTCAGAAATGGAAAACCAAGTACCACTTATTCTCGGTTATAAGTGGGAGCTAACCTGTGGATATGCGAAGTTATGCAGAGTGATAATAATTTAATGAATATTGGAGACAGAATGGGGGAGAGGGACGAGGGATCAAAAAGTACATACTGAGAACAATGTACACTACCTGGGTGCAGTACAATCTCAGACTTCACCACCATGCAATTCATCCATGTAACCAGGAACCACCTGCACCCCAAAAGCTATTAAAATAAAAAATATATATTAAAAATTTAAAAAAAATTAAGTATCAAAACCCTGTGATAAAGAGAAAAATTGTAAAGCAGTCACAAGGAAAAAAAAGCACTTTAGAAGCAGAGGAACAAATATAAAATATATAGACATATATAGAGAGTTTTTATACAGTCTCAAAAAAGGACATAGTGGAATCTCCACTCATGTAGGAGGGAAAAGGGCAAATATTCTGCTTAAATACAAAATAGCTTCCTTCTGAGAAGAAAATTTTATGGTCTGCTTCACTTAATTTTTTGTATCACAGTTTGATTTTAAAGAAAAAACTTGCAAAACCTGCTATCAGATTTTAAACTTTCAAATTTGTAAAATACCTTGAAATGTATTAACAAAGCATTGTCGCACAGCAGATTTTCTAGATGAATCTTAATTAGCATATTCATTGTTATGTAAATGATTCTTTTTGCTGTGCTAGAAAAATGCATTCTAGCACAATGTAGTTCTTAAATAATTTGAGCAACCTTTTTGCTCTGTTAATTGCCGCTCAATTTTTGCATTCTTTATTTATACCCTTTTTGCACTATGACTTTAACATTTCAAGGGATAGGATGTATGAAGCACTTTGTAAACTGTAAATCATTGAGGAAAGGTAAAGTAAAATTATTGTAATCTTTGGTTTCACTAACCTCTGCTACAGCAGTTTGGGGTGTTACTTCTCAGTCGTATGTATCTAGTGATATTAAATCTTCCCTGTCTCTCTGCCTTTTACATTTTTTAGTAGGGAATTATACCATGAGAGTTAAGTAACCAAAGACAAAATAAAGTATGCCAATGGCATTCGAAATCTGAAATCTTCCTAAGAATGAACCTGCTTTTTCTTGCCCTTTGGCTTTATATGTATAGTTAGAGAAGAATGAAGTCTGTCTGTCCTAGGCATTGCCAGTTCTAAGACACTGCATAGTGATGAATTAACTTTACTCAAAGAGAAGTCTTGTCTTTGTCCCTGCTCTCCGGAGTTAACCTTTAAACCCTTGGAATTTCTAGAGTAACGGGAGTGTCTTTGTTACTCATGATCGGCCTCTTAAGCCACACCTGATAGTTTGTGTTAATCAGGTGATTCAAGGAAGACCCTTGGTACATCACACTAAGAGATGACTCAGTGTGAGGCCCAGGCCACACCGATAGGCTCAAGGTGAGCACTGACCACACCAGAAAGACCAACCATGTGGTTAGGGGGTCGGGACTTTGAGCCATATGATGCTAGACTGATATCCAAGAAGGGGAGGGGGCTAGAGATTGGGTTTAACCATGTAGGCCATGATACAATCAGTCATGCCTATGTCATGGAGCCTGGAGAAAATCTTTAGATACCAAAGCCCAGGTGAGTTTCTTAGATTGGTGACATTCTGTATATAGCCACACATCAACATCAGGAGAGTAACGCATCCCGAGGGCATGGAAGCGTTGTGTTTGGGACCTTCCCAGTCCCAGATTTTACCTTATGATCTTTTCCTTGGGCTGGTTCTGAACTGTATCCTTTGCTGTAATAAAACTGTCATCCTACATATAACGCTTTGCTGAGTTCTGTGACTCATTCTAGCACATTATCAAATCTGAGGGAGTCCATGGGGACCCCCAAATTTGTGGCTGGCCAATCCGAAGTGAGGGTGGCCCTGGGCATCCCTGAACTTGTAGCTGGTGTCAGAAGTCTTGGGTAGATGTAACATTCTGGAGGACCGTGCCTTTAACCTGCCTTTTGTTATAGGAGTGTCAGCTGTGTTTAATACCTTTCCTCACCTATTATAAGAGTCACAGCCAACACTCCTATAACAAAAGACAGGTTAACAAGAGAAAAGCTTAACTATTTAACCACAGATTTACATGACATAGAAGCCTTCAGATATGAAGACTCAGAGACCCAGGAATACTGTCTATTTTTATGCTTAGGTTCAATGAAGAATGGACAGCCATGTAGAAATGTGATTGGACAAAAAGACTATGATCTAATGGTGATAGACTGAGGCGGGGAACCTATCAAGAACCATCTGCCCAGACTTTTTTTGGCGTCTCTGAGCATCACTTCTTCCTCCCGAGAATAGGGCAGCACCCCTAGGGAGAGAATAACTTTCCTAGGTGTTATGGCTTGCTTTGCGGGAGAGGAGTTCTAGTGTTTATGACTCATTCTGGGGAGGAGGAATTCTGATTTCTATGGCTGGCTTTAGGGAAGAAGAGGGGTGGAAGACATGAGGTAAGAGTGTTCCTGGATGGAAGGTCTTGACTATGAATTGTCCAAGCTCTTGGCTTGTTGAACAAAGACTTGAACAAAATGCACAAACAAAGCAACAAAAGAACAAAGCAATGAAAGACAAATGGCAACAAAAGAATGGAGTAACAAAGGCATAGATTTACTGAAAAAGCAAAAGTACAATTCACAGAGTAAGGGCAGGCTCAGGCAAGAGGCCCAAGAGCCTCCTCTACTGCAATGCTCCCCGGGCTTTTTATAAAGCCAAAAGAATTCGGTAACACCCTCAGCTGCGCTTCAGAGGCCTCCAGCTGGTTACACCCTAAGAACAATTGGCCTGCAACCAATCAGAGGCTGAAGTGGAGAGTTGGTCCACATCAATCAGAGGCTGAAGTGGAAACTTTTGTCTTGTTTTTACAGGAGTGAAAAGGTGGCCTGTGTGCTGCCCAGTCTTGCCTAGAACTGGCTGCACCTGCTGTTCTGTTGCTTATGCAAACTCCTATTCCTTTGCTTATGCCCCAACCCTTGGCTACCCTAATTCCCTATCCTCCTGCCTCAAGAGGTCAGAGAGATCTTGTTTCTGAGGCTCTCCAACGTCCCTCAGTTTAAAGTACTCAGTGTGCCAAGTGCCATAATTATGAGTGTCATGTTCTGAGCCCCAACAGGGCTAAGGCTGGGCAGTCTTTGTTCTTGTGATCCTTATGGACCACTGAAGACGCTAGAGAAAAAATTATTAATACCTATGCGAATAAACATGAGACACATAACAGTGGGCCTTACCTACTCTTAGGGGTCAAGGAAGTTTCCCTAGAAGTGGAAGAGCATTTGAAGAAGAGAAATGAGTCCATGCAAAGGCTCTGAGACAGGAAGCAGCACATCACAATGGAAGAATTTACAAGGGGCTGCAGTGTCTGGACAGCAGAAAGTGGGGCAAGCAGAGGTGGGAGAGAAAGAAAGTTGTCAGTTCATGCAGTCCCATGCATGCTGTTAAGGACTTTGGAGTTTGTTTTAGAAAAGTAGAAAGCCTCTGAAGTGACAATTAGACTTGCATTTTTAATAGTTACTTAGTAGGCATGAGGAGAGCCTAAATCCACTCCAGTGACATGGCTGGTACAAGAGTAGTCCTAGTAGCACAGCCAAGGGCGGTGGAGGAACGTGGATGCATTCAAGATCTGCAGAAGCTAGAATCAACCATACTTGGTGATCAAATGGAAATTGGAGTACTGATGCAGGAGATCCCAGGTGTCAGGCATGACTAGGGACAACAAGGGGCTGTTCACTGTGAAAGGAAAATGAATCTTGGGACCCCAAAACCACTAAGCCAAAGGGAAAAGTCAAGCTGGGAACTGCTTAGGGCAAACCTGCCTCCAAATCTATTCCTAAAAAACATAGCTACTAAGATTTAAAAAAAAAAAAAGCTACACACCTCCCTCCCTCACAAGGAATTTCACTGTGGACAAAGGACAGACAGAACTCAAAGTCATTCCTCTGCTCACCGAGATAAATGCATATCTGATTGCCTCTTTTGGAAAGGTTAATCAGAAGCTCAAAAGAATGCAACAATTTGTCTCTTACCTACCTATGACCTAGAAGCCCCCTCTCCTCTTCCAGTTGTCCCGCCTTTCCAGACAGAACCAATGTACATCTTACATATATTGATTGATGTCTCATGTCTCTCTAAAATGTATAAAACTAAGCTGTGCCCCGACCACCTTGGGCACATGTCGTTAGCACCTCCTGAGGTTGTGTCATGGGTACGCATCCTTAACTCTGGCAAAATAGGCTTCCTAAATTGACTAGGACCTGTCTCAGATATTTGGGGCTCACATCACTGAGGCAGAAAACACTGGAAGAGGACAGGTTTGTTGGGGAAGCATCCCCAGCTCAATTGGGCTTGTTGAACTTGGCATTGCTATAAACCTTGTGGTTGGAGATGTCTACTGTAAAGCTATATCGTGGGTCTGGAGCTCAGAGGAAAGTCTCGTGCTGCATATGTAGATCTAGGAGTTGTTGGTATATAGAAGATATCAAATTCATGGGAGTGATAAGCTCACCTACGTAACTGTACCAGGTTTGTTTCCCAACATGTGTGTCAACGAAAAGAGTCAAATTATGTAAAATATTTGAAGAGATTTATTCTAAGCCAAATATGAGTGACTATGGCCTGTGACACAGCCCTCAAGAGGTCCTGAGAACATGTGCCCAAGGTGGCCGGGGCACAGGTTGGTTTTATACATTTTAGAAAGGCATGAGACATCAATCAACTGCATCTTAAATGTATTTCTTAAAAATACATTGGTTTGGTCCAGAAAGGTGGGACAACTCAAAGCGGGGGGTGCAGGGAGTGCTTCTAGGCTATAGGTAAATTTAAACATTTTCTGGTTGACAATTGCTTAGAAAGGAAATGTTCAGGTTAAGATAAAAGATTGTGGAGACCAAGGTCCTTTTGAAGTCTTATAGTGTCTGCCCTTAGAGAGAATAGATGACAAATGTTTCCTATTCAGATCTTTAAAACGTGCTAGACTCTTTCCAGAGTCAGATGGGAAAGTAAATCACAATATATAGGGTTAAATAAAACCCATCTGAAGAGATTTTACGGTTTGTAGGGCATGACTCCCCAGACCTCTTAGACAAGAATTTGGGCAAAATGAAAAAACTCAGAGCTTAGTCCTCCCATGGCAAGCAAATACACTAAGACACTAGGTTGCAGCAGAGAAAGAGGTTTAATCATAAGGCAGACAAATGAAAGAGATGGGGGGAAACCTCAAATCTGCCTCCCGGAGGAGTCTAGGGATAGGGATTTTAAGAGGCTTGGACAAGTAGCGGGCTGAGGTGTAGAGATGGTTGTTAGGTTGAAGAGTGTAGGATGAAGTCACAAGATAGATGAAGAAACTGTATTCTCATGTTGATTCCGTTCCTCTGTGGGGTTCTTCAAACTGGTTGGCACCACCCATTTTGCTGGAATTCAGGATCTGAAAAACATCTTAAGCAATTCTGCAACAAAATCCTTAGGATTCTAATGTCAGAGAGTCTAGCTATAGAAACAATGAGAATTTAGTATCTAGTATCAGTGAGAACGCAAATGGTCAGTATCTAGTGAGATGTGGCTAGTCCAAATTGAGGTGTGCTGTAAGCCTGATATGCACACTAGATTTATGTTTATTAAGCAGCTACAAGAAAGTGGGGCAGAGTGCAGTCTGAGGAATGTTTAATTGTAAGTATTATATTTCTGTCCAGAACCTGGCATGCAATTCTTGTTAACTCTATGAGGGTGATTTCACATAGGCAGAAAATGTGCACCAAGAGAAGCTCTGGTACAACTTTATCTACCACGTTTGCTCAAACTCAGCAACACTTTAGAGCGTTACCAGGGAGTAAAGGCTACCATTGGGCAGAAGGTAGGTGGAAGACCCAGAGAAAGTAAAACTTCAAAGTATTTTTCAGGTTTGGATTATAATCCTGGAAGACACAATGCCAAAAGCCATAATGCTTAATGTGTAAATCCCAAAAGATCAAAATCCCTAAAGTATACATTAATTCTCTAACATATAAAATCCTGAAAATAAGTCCAGGCGCCATGGCTCATGCCTATAATCCCAGCACTTTGGGAGGCTGAGGTGGGAGTATTGCTTGAGCCCAGGAGCTTGAGACAAGCCTGGGCCACATAAACCCCACCTCTACAAAAAAATACAAAAATAGCCAGGTGTGGTGGTACGTGCCTGCAGTTCCAGCTACTCTGGAGGGTGAAGGAGGGAGGATGGCTTGAGGCTGGGAGGTAGAAGTGGAGTGAACTGTAATCACGCTACTGCACTCCTGCCTGGGTAACAGAGCAAGATCCTGTCTCCAAAAAATTAATTAATTAGATAAAACCCTGAAAATCACAGTCACAAGATGGTTGCATTATGTTAGGCGGAATAGGGAATGCTCATTTCCATGTATATCAAATAATGGAAGAATTTCAAAAAGAGCAACACCACATAGAAAATCAACGTGGGCCAGGCGTGGTGGCTCACGCCTGTAATCCCAGCACTTTGGGAGGCCAAGGCAGGCGGATCATGAGGTCAGGAGATCAAGACCATCCTGGCTAACATGGTGAAACCCCGTCTCTACTAAAAATACAAAAAATTAGCCAGGCATGATAGCGGGCGCCTGTAGTCCCAGCTACTCGGGAGGCTGAGGCAGGAGAATGGTGTGAACCTGGGAGGTGGAGTTTGCAGTGAGCCGAGATAGTGCCACTGTACTCCAGCCCAGGTGAGCGAGACTCCCTCTCAAAAAAAAAAAAAAGAAAATCAATGCGAACATACTCACCAAGGAAAGCCATGCCCAATTAAATAAAAAAAAAAACAAAAAACTACTCATTGCGATGCAAGACTTCAAAATACAATGAATGATTGTGATAATCAGCCAGCTCTATGAACTACCTATGTGCAATTGCCCATGGTCTATCCCTATGATACACTTTTCCATATGTCAGATTTTCTTTTCAGTTTGTTTTTGTTTTTTAATTTTTTATATAGTTACTGTTTTTTTTTTAACTAAAATATGGGAATTGGAAAGCTTTAATCCCTTGACTCATCTAGTGTTGCCAGCCCATTTCCCTGCTGAGCTGTGAGACTGCATAATATCACAGTTTGTCATGGCGTTCAGATATGTCAGGGGTTCAATCCTATCCTGTGAGATAGAACAAATGATGGAACAGGGAATACTCAGCCTACCCTCAACACCAAAGGATGTGGCTCTCTTCAGAATAAGGTGTGATGAAATAGTCACTGTATTAGGGTTCTCTAGAGGGACAGAACTAATAGGATAGATGTATATATGAAGGGGAGTTTATTAGGAGAATTGACTCATGCGATCACAAGGTGAAGTCCCACAATAAGCCATCTGCAAGATGAGGAGCAGGGAAGCCAGTCCAAGTCCCAAAACCTCAGAAGTAGGAACGCTGACAGTGCAACCTTCAGTCTGTGGCCGAAGGCCCGAGAGCCCCTGGCAAACCACTGGTGTAAGTCCAAGAGTCCAGAAGCTGATGAACTTGGAGTCTGATGTTCGAAGCCGGGAAGCATCCAGCACAGGAGAAAGATGGAGGCCAGAAGACTCAGCAAGTCAAGTCCTTCCATATTCTTCTGCCTGCTTTATCCTAGCTGTGCTGGCAGGTGATTAAATGGTACCCACCCAGACTGAGAGTGGGTCTGCCTCTCCCAGTCCACTGACTCAAATGTTAATCTCCTTTGGAGACACCCTCATAGCCACTCCCAAGACCAATACTTTGCATCCTTCAATCCAATCAAGTTGACACTCAATTTTAACCATCACAGTCACTAAGCTATGCAGAGACTGGGTTTTTTTTAGCCAATATCATTTTCTATCTTTAACCACTTAAATAGCTATGTGGCAGACCCACCCTTGTGATGTCGTTCATCTTTCGGGTGCTTGAAAATATCCAAGACACTTTTGCCCTCAAAGAAAGGCACCCCACAAGGAAGGACAGGGCAGAAAGAGAGAGAAAGAGGGAGCCATTGCAGTCACAGCAGGAACGAGGCATTCTGCTTCCTGGGGGAGCCATGCTGATCTGTGCTGCTGTTGCACAGCTCTCTGCGGAGGAAGGGCCTTGAAGTCATGGACTCTCCCCTCCTAGGAGAAGGCTTCTGAAGGGAATGGCAGGGAGGTGTGCGATTTCATCTCTAGCTTGGCAAAGTGTGCTTTCCTGCATTCATGCTTAACTCCCTCTCACCCTTTTTTTTTTTTTTTTGAAATGTTTCACTCTTTTTGCCCAGGCTGGAGTGCAATGGCAGGATCTCAGCTCACTGCAACTTATGCCTCCTAGGTTCAAGTGATTCTCCTGCCTCAGCCTCCCAAATGGCTGGGATTACAGATGCCCACCACCACACCCAGCTAATTTTGTATTTTTAGTAGAGACAGCGTTTCACCATGTTGGCCAGGCTGGTCTCGAACTCCTGACCTCAGGTGATCCACCAAAGTGCCTCCCAAAGTGCTGGGATTACAGGCATGAGCCACCGCATGCCGGCCTCTCACCCTTTCTGCAGCTCTGGAAAGACGCTACATCTATAAACCTGAGTTTCTTTTCCAAAATTTTTTTTTAGAAAAATATATGAAATGCTTGGATGTTTGCTCCATCTCTCACCCTCCTAGCCATGCACTGTACTTATAGAGTGTATGTTGTATACCCAGTTCTTCTTTGGCCAAGAGAAAACTTTGCTTGATCAAAAATGATCACAGCTTTGCAACATCCCATAGAAGTTGATATAACTGAGAGTTATTTTCTCATTCTTACTCCACTCATATTTAATGACCACATGGAGAAAGAAAGCAGATTCAGAAGGTATTTGAATTACATCACCCTATATTCGAAACTAAATGAGAGCCAAGAGAAATACACACACATCCAGTTTATTAAGTAGTCAGGGATGTCCTTCTCTTTCAACTTGCCTTTCCCGGCGTGGCCCCTTGAGGGTTTCTTCAATTTGTGAAGATCCATAATGCAGATTCATGACCAGGATTGGAACTGCCCTGAAAACCAAAGCACTGGCTTTCAATGTGCACCAATTACTTTCACACCAACCTAATGTATAAGTGAGTCTGCTTTATAGAGTGGGAGGCAAGAAAAGCAAGGTCTTGATATTTGTGATATCAAAAGAAAATGTAATGGGAACACAAGGGAGCCTCTGTTAATGTTCCATCTCATGATCTGGGGTCTAGTTAAGCAGCTATGTTCTTCGTGAAAACTCATCAAAATGCACTTATTATTTATGCATTATTCTGTATATTTTTATGCATCAGTAAAAGGTTCACATTTTAAAAATCCATCATCTGGCTGGGCGCGGTGGCTCACACCTGTAATACCAGCACTTTGGGAGGCTGAGGTGGGTGGATCACTTCAGGTTGGGAGTTCAAGACCAGTCTGGCCAACATGGTGAAACCCCGTCTCTACTAAAAATACAAAAATTAGCTGGGCTTGGTGGCAGGTGCCTGTAGTCCAAGCTACTCAGGAGGCTGAGGCAGGAGAATGGCTTAAACCTAGGAGGCAGAGGTTACAGTGAGCTGAGATTACGCTACTGTACTCCAGCCTGGGTGACAGAGCAAGACTCCGTCTCAAAAAACAAAACAAAACAAAACAAAAAATCCATCATCTAATTTGTCTAACAAAAGTCTAAGAAGCAGATTGTGTCCAATCCAATTGGTGTTATCCAATATGGTACCCACCAACCACATGTAGCTATTGAGTACTTGAGATGTGGCTAATCCAAACTGAGGTGTGCTATAAGCATAACATGCACACTAGATTTTAAAGACAGAGTATGAACAAATGTAAAATATTTTATTAATAATTTTTATATAGATTATATGTTGAAACCATATAGTACAGATATATTGGGTTAAATCAAATACATTTTTTAAATTTCAATTGTTTCTTTTTGCCTTTGTTAATGTGGCTGCTAGGAAATTAGAAATTATGTATGTGGCTCTCATTATCTTCTTTTGAACAGCATGGTCCTAATGTCTCTAACTCTCCCACTAGACTGGGTGTGAAGTTAGTTACTGTAGATCCTGGCCTCACACACTCACACCTGATGGATATTTTCAATTCCTATAGCAATATCACAGAATATTTTATATTCTAGGGGGAAAAAGAATAATTACCAATCTTGATTTGTAAAGTTGGCTTAAATATATACACATTATACGTGACTTTTTTTTTTAATTAACTGTGAATAGTGTAAAATGTTTTCAAGTTGAAAATAGTAAAAGTAACACTTCTAAAATGAACAAATCTAGCCAGGCACAGTAGCTCATGCCTGTAATCCCAGTACTTTGGGAGGTCAAGACAGGAAGATCACTTAAGCTCAGGAGTTCGAGACCAGCCTGGGCAACACAGTAAGACTCTATCTTTGCAAAATAAAAATTAGCCAGGAGTAGTCCTAGCTACTTGGGAGGCTAAGGCGAGGGGATCACTTGAGCCCAGAAGTTCAAGGTTACGGTGGGCTATGATTACGCCACTGCATTCCAGCCTGGGTGACAGAGCAAGACGCTATCTCTAAAAAAGATAAAAATAAAAAAATAAAAATAATGGGCAAATCTGAAAAGTTTCAATTCAGTCAGTCATGAGTGCAGAACCACCACGGCAAAGGGAAAGAACCTTTCTTGGGTTTAGAGTCTTCCCCTTTGTCTAATATTTCTGCTTTCTGTTGTGTACTTTTCCGTAATTTGTATTCAAGCTGTGAAAAACATTCTTCCATCAGCAGAATCTGGCACTATAGCAGGCTCTTCAGAAAGAAGGGTGGGCATTTTTAAAATTCACTCTGGATTTGTTAAGTGGTTTACAGCTGAGAAGCCAGAGGAGCTGACTTTTCACTGTATAAATTTTGAAAGAGCACAAAGGCAAGTATCTCTTTAAGAATTATGATATTCTGTGGGCCATATCATAGGCACATTATTAAAATATGCGCTCTTTTGACTATTATAGGAATCTAAAATTTGCTAATTATGTAATAGCACACTAACAAAAGCATAATCATAGATACACAGTATTTGATGTATATCCCAGTTATTGGCAAACCTTGAAACTAGTTACATACTATTTCTAGAAAAATCAAAATTTGTCCCAAAAGTGTTAGACTCAAGTCAAGACTAGAAGTGCTTAAGTAGGCTTAGGAAAATTACCATTTCTTCCATGACAGTCACCGGGGAAACATCTATCAATGGAAGTTTAAGAAAATTGGGCACAGTAAGCAAGAGTGAAGGACGAATCACAGCAATTGCCTTTAAGCATTCTCCCATTTGCAGAGATTCTAATCCTCACTCTAAAATGAATTATTTCACTGCAAGGGGTTTGCAGTGAGAGCATTTTGTTTTTGTTTTTGCTTTTTTAGAGACAAGGTCTCACTCTGTCGCCCAGGCTGGAGTGCAGTGGTACAATCTTAGCTTACTGCAACCTCGAACTCCTGGGCATAAGCATTTCTCTCGCCTCAGTCTCCTGAGTAGTTAGGACTATTCCTGACTAATTTCTTTTTTTTTTTTTATTTTGTAGAGACAGGGTCTTGTTATATTGCCCAGGCTGGTCTCATACTCCTGGCCTCAAGTGATCCTCCTGCCTTGGCCTCTCAAAATTTTTGTTCTTTTTATATGTAACACTAACCATTTTACATTCAACAGTCATTGGAAATACTCAAAGATTCAACATTTATAGGACAAACATTCTTTGAAAGTAGCAACACTGTCTAACAAATTTTAGTTGATATTCAACTTAACTATAATATTCAGAACAAAAAGACTGGGGAAGATAAGAGATGGAGGAAAGAAATGAGACTGTCAAATCAGGGAGAGAGGAGGAATGAAAATGAATGGTACATTTTCTGGAAGTCATGAAAGTCATCAACCCGAGTTTAATATTTGATCTGAATGGTAAAGGAAGATGGTACTGGTGATATCAGAAGGGAATTCTAGTTCATTTACATCTCACAAAACACATCAACAACCTAATCTAGAAGATGAGCTACCATACTTATATCAAGATATTTCCAGTATGTGAATCATAGGATTCCTCCTTTTCTACTTGTAAAGCCCATCTGAATTCTTTGGAAATTTCTCTGATTACAGGAAACAGCAGATAGACTGATGAAATACCTATAGTTACATAATGCTAACTAGTTAATTTTTAGAGCCTCTTAGGTTGAGAATTTAAAGTCTATTTTTCTTGTATCAACCCAAAAGGCATCTGTTCCAGGCATTTGTTAGCTAGCCCCTCAGCATACATTAGGTTAATTTTATGTATCAACTTGACTGGGCCACCGGGTGCCCAGACATTTGGTCAAACATTATTCTGGGTGTGTCTGTGAACGTGTTTCCAGATGAGATTAGCATTTGAATTGGTAGACCTAGCAAAGCAGTATATCCTCCCTAATGCGAGTGGACCCCATCCAATCAATTGAAGACTGAACAAAACAAAGAGGCTGAGTAAGAGAGGGCTCCTCCTGCCTGACTGCTTGAGTTGGAACATGGGTCTTTTTCTCGCCTTCAGACTCAAACTGAAACATCAGCTCTTCTTGAGTTTCAAGCCAGCTGGCTTTCAGACTGGAACTTACTCTATCAGCTCTCCTGGTTCTCAGGCCTTTGGACTTGCACCAAGACTATGCCATCAGCTCTCCCTGGTCTCCAGCTTGCCAAGTACAGATCTTGGAACTTCTTTGCCTCTGTAATCATGTAAGTCAATTTCTTACAATAGATCTGTATATGTAAATGTGTATATTTATATACATATTGTACTTTTACATGTATGTGACACCTATGAATGGATGGCTTCTTTTGGACTCATCATATGTAGCTCTAGCTCTGTCCTGGGGAGAGGAAATTTGTAGGAAAGATCTTTTCATTTCTCCAGTTACTTCATTTCTCTCATGTAGATGGGCTTTGCTGCCCATAGACAGGACGGACTTGTTGCCCCTGCCCATCATTGTCAGAGGGGAACAGGAATGCACCTTCCCCAACTATCCCACCTCACAGTATCTGCTCTGAAGCAAATACATACAGGAATCCATGAAAGTTTATGCAGTTCTTGACTGAAGGGGTTTGAGTGCCTACAGATTTAGGATGTGCTGGGGCAAGTGAACAAGTTCATTTTTTTTTCATTTACATCATTTTGTCTTTATTTCTTGCAAAGAAATACCCTGATTGTGTTATGCACAGAGAGTATTCACATGCTCCCTGACCAGAGTTACTTCACAGTGAAGAATCTCAAATGCAAATCTAATTCTGAAAGACAGAGGAAGATGGTACTGGTGGCATCAGAAGGGAATTCCACTTCGTTTACATCTCACAAAACACATCGACAACCTAATCTAGCTGATGAGCTACCATACTTATATCAAGATTTTTCCAATATGTGAATCACAGGATTCCTTCTTTTTTACTTGTTTTCCAATATAACTCTATAAAATATATTGTGTCAAGAGATAATCCCTGGCAGTAAATGACAGCATATTTCTGTCAATAGGGAACTATTACATGTAGTATGATTGTGTTATATGAAACTGGAGATGTGATCCTTAATTACTCCATTTTTCTTTTACTTTATTTTATTTGGTGACATATTAATCTCTCCAGATCTGGTTTCTTGTGGAAGAAATTGAGATCATGCACTACAGTGATTTTTTCCTCTGTATCTTTCTACCCTTATCTTTGTAAGAAGCAATGGTTTGTCTACAAAGATGTGTTGCCTCACTATTAAATTTTAGAAACCAAGACCTACTATCTAATATATGTCATTTATTTTCAAGCTGCTTTATTCCCGGAGGCAAAAAAAAAAAAACAACAAAACAAACAAACAAAAAAACCTGTTAGTGATTTTTCTTTTCTTAATTTAAAGGAAAGTGGAAATGATTTTTCTTTTTTAATTTAAAGGAAGGTGATTTATCTGAGAACTGTCAACAAATAAATGATCACAGACCATGTACAATCAAGTTGACTGAGAGTAAGAATACTGTAGTGTCCAAATACACAGACTCTAAAAGGAGAAAACACAGTTTTGAATCCTGGCTCTTAAACTGAATAAATGTGTACCTTTGGGCATAGCATTTTACCCCTCTGACCCTGTTTCCTCATCTGTAAGAGGGGATAATGATGGCTAGCTCACAGATTTGTAAGGATCAAGTGGGATAAGTTTTGCATGCGCCTGGCACATGGTATTCGTTCATTCTACGTTACCTTTTATTATTTACCATTCCCCACACAAACTATTTTGAAGAGTAACCTTCAAGTTCTTCCACCAAGCACATTAGGGAAATACAGAGGGGGCTGATGAGAACTGGGCAGGATCCCAAGTTTTCTGCCAAGCAGTTTGGGGTTCAAGTCAGGGCTACAGTGTAAAAGGACCAAGGTGCGGGTTCTATCTCCTAAGGGATGGCCGCAGCCAGGGCTTGGAAATCAAGTAGCTCTGGTTTGAAGTGCTAGCACCACCGCTTCCCAGCTGGGCGATTTTGAGCAAGTCATTTAATACTCTGCAATCTCATGTTTCCCCATTTATAAAATGGGAATAATAATGTCCCCCGTAAGGTGGTGGTGAAGAATTAAATGTGATCTTATATATAAAGCATTTAGCATAGTGCCTAACAGTAACATGTCAACAAGTGATAGTAGTTGTATTTAATATTGGGGAAGGGTTTATATTTTCTTTGTTAGTATTGATGTTCTTTAGGCTGGTCCAACTCTTTATGGGGCAGGAGTGTTTTGCAAGTCAGTGTGCAGTCAATTTCCATGTTCCTCTTTAGACCTGTGGGGTCTATAATCGCAGAAATCATTTCAGACCCAACCAGACAATAGGTTGGTTTATTGCCTTCCTCTTGGGTCTGGCTGGAGAAGCTCAGGACTGGGTCCTGGTGAGCTAACATGTAGAAAGAAGCCACTGGGAGGTCCTGCAGGAGGCCGTAGTTCACAGTATCTTTACTTCTTCCTTTATTCTGCATTCCACATAACATGAGAAACACAGGTGAATCTTTAGTTAATGTGTTAAACTACCTTAAAATAGGTAGTTGAGCAGATGATTACGTTTTATATGTTGCCATTTATTCCATCGAAATGTTGAAGATTCATTTTGCTTTAGTCATTTTATAACTTCTGTAGAGAAAATGCAAAGCTGTAAATTTGAATAGTTCTATGATACTGCTACATCTTTTTGGGTACAGTGGATTAGACTGCTGGACACATAAAGGGTTATTTACAGGAATTAGTAGTATCTGTAATCATCATTATTGCAAACAATCACTTTCTTAGCCTGGTCTAGGTGATTCTGCATGTGTAAGGACAGTATAACAAAGTATCACATTTACATGTTTAATTCAATCTAATTTTTTCCAAATTGTCTTGTTCATTTTTAATGTGTTCTTTTATCCAGAAATACTTTCTTGCATATGATTTTTTTCTGAATAATGATATTGTTTAGAAATGTCTGGTAGGATCCAGACATACTGTTCTCACTGATTTTCTATTATGGGGAACTTTTGGAGCTTCCTATTTGATATTTGCAAACATTCTGTCCAGGTTTGAGAGAGGCAGGTGGGCATATGACTTCCCCTTACATTCATTCATGAAAATTGATTTGAGTGTTTTTTAAAGAAAATCCACAAAGGTTTCCCCTTTCTACCCAAACATCTTTATCTCTAGATTCCTTTATTTTATTTTATTATTATTATACTTTAAGTTTTAGGGTACATGTGCACAATGTGCAGGTTTGTTACATATGTATACATGTGCCATGTTGGTGTGTTGCACCCATTAACTCGTCATTTAGCATTAGGTATATCTCCTAATTCTATCCCTCCCCCCTCCCCCCACCCCACAACAGTCCCCGGAGTCTCATGTTCCCCTTCCTGTGTCCATGTGTTCTCATTGTTCAATTCCCACCTATGAGTGAGAACATGCGGTGTTTGGTTTTTTGTCCTTGCGATAGTTTGCTGAGAATGATGGTTTCCAGTTTCATCCATGTCCCTACAAAGGACATGAACTCTTCATTTTTTATGGCTGCATAGTATTCCATGGTGTATATGTGCCACATTTTCTTAATCCAGTCTATTGTTGTTGGACATTTGGGTTGGTTCCAAGTCTTTGCTATTGTGAATAGTGCCGCAATAAACATACGTGTGCGTGTGTCTTTATAGCAGCATGATTTATAATCCTCTGGGTATATATCCAGTAATGGGATGGCTGGGTCAAATGGTATTTCTAGTTCTAGACCCCTGAGGAGTCGCCACACTGACTTCAACAATGGTTGAACTAGTTTACAGTCCCACCAACAGTGTAAAAGTGTTCCTATTTCTGTACATCCTCTCCAGCACCTGTTGTTTCCTGACTTTTTAATGATCGCCATTCTAACTGGTGTGAGATGGTATCTCATTGTGGTTTTGATTTGCATTTCTCTGATGGTCAGTGATAGGGGCATTTTTTCATGTGTTTTTTCGCTGCATAAAGGTCTTCTTTTCAGAAGTGTCTGTTCATATACTTTGCCCACTTTTTGATGGGGTTGTTTGTTTTTTTCTTGTAAATTTGCTTGAGTTCATTGTAGATTCTGGATATTAGCCTTTTGTCAGATAAGGAGGTTGCGAAAATTTTCTCCCATTTTGTGGGTTGCCTGTTCACTCTGATGGTAGTTTCTTTTGCTGTGCAGAAGCTCTTTAGTTTAATTAGATCCCATTTGTCAATTTTGGCTTTTGTTGCCATTGCTTTTGGTGTTTTAGACATGAAGTCCTTGCCCATGCCTATGTCCTGAATGGCATTGCCTAGGTTTTCTTCTAGGGTTTTTATGGTTTTAGGTCTAACATTTAAATCTTTAATCCATCTTGAATTAATTTTAGTATAAGGTGTAAGGAAGGGATCCAGTTTCAGCTTTCTATATATGGCTAGCCAGTTTTCCCAGCACCATTTATTAAATAGGGAATCCTTTCCCCATTTCTTGTTTTTGTCAGGTTTGTCAAAGATGAGATGGTTGTAGATATGAGGCATTATTTCTGAGGGCTCTGTTCTGTTCCATTGGTCTATATCTCTGTTTTGGTACCGGTACCATCCTGTTTTGGTTACTGTAGCCTTGTAGCATAGTTTGAAGTCAGGTAGTGTGATGCCTCCAGCTTTGTTCTTTTGGCTTAGGATTGACTTGGCAATGCAAGCTCTTTTTTGGTTCCATATGAACTTTAAAGTAGTTTTTTCCAATTCTGTGAAGAAAATCATTGGTAGCTTGATGGGGATGGCATTGAATCTATAAATTACCTTGGGCAGTATGGCCATTTTCACCATATTGATTCTTCCTACCCATGAGCATGGAATGTTCTTCCATTTGTTTGTATCCTCTTTTATTTCATTGAGCAGTGGTTTGTAGTTCTCCTTGAAGAGGTCCTTCACATCCCTTGTAAGTTGGATTCCTAGGTATTTTATTCTCTTTGAAGCAATTGTGAATGGGAGTTCACTCATGATTTGGCTCTCTGTTTGTCTGTTATTGGTGTATAAGAATGCTTGTGATTTTCGTACATTGATTTTGTATCCTGAGACTTTGCTGAAGTTGCTTATCAGCTTAAGGAGATTTTGGGCTGAGACAATGGGGTTTTCTAGATACACTGTCATGTCATCTGCAAACAGGGACAATTTGACTTCCTCTTTTCCTAATCGAATACCCTTTATTTCCTTCTCATGCCTAATTGCCCTGGCCAGAACTTCCAACACTATGTTGAATAGGAGTGGTGAGAGAGGGCATCCCTGTCTTGTGCCAGTTTTCAAAGGGAATGCTTCCAGTTTTTGCCCATTCAGTATGATATTGGCTGTGGGTTTGCCACAGATAGCTCTTATTATTTTGAGATACGTTCCATCAATACCTAATTTATTGAGAGTTTTTAGCATGAAGAGTTGTTGAATTTTGTCAAAGGCCTTTTCGGCATCTATTGAGATAATCATGTGTTTTTTGTCTTTGGTTCTGTTTATATGCTGGATTACATTTATTGATTTGTGTATGTTGAACCAGCCTTGCATCCCAAGGATGAAGCCAACTTGATCATGGTGGATAAGCTTTTTGATATGCTGCTGGATTCGGTTTGCCAGTATTTTATTGAGGATTTTTGCATCAGTGTTCATCAAGGATATTGGTCTAAAATTCTCTTTTTTGGTGCTGTCGCTGCCAGGCTTTGGTATCAGGATGATGCTGGCCTCATAAAATGAGTTAGGGAGGATTCCCTCTTTTTCTATTGATTGGAATAGTTTCAGAAGGAATGGTACCAGCTCCTCCTTATACCTCTGGTAGAATTCGGCTGTGAATCCATCTGGTCCTGGATTTTTTTTGGTTGGCAGGCTATTAATTATTGCCTCAATTTCAGATCCTGTTATTGGTCTATTCAGAGATTCAACTTCTTCCTGGTTTAGTCTTGGGAGAGTCTATGTGTCGAGGAATTTATCCATTTCTTCTAGATTTTCTAGTTTATTTGCGTAGAGGTGTTTGTAGTATTCTCTGATGGTAGTTTGTATTTCTGTGGGATCGGTGGTGATATCCCCTTTATCATTTTTTATTGCATCTATTTGATTCTTCTCTCTTTTCTTCTTTATTAGTCTTGCTAGCGGTCTATCAATTTTGCTGATCTTTTCAAAAAACCAGCTCCTGGATTCATTAATTTTTTGTAGGGTTTCTTGTGTCTTTATTTCCTTCAGTTCTGCTCTGATCTTAGTTATTTCTTGCCTTCTGCTAGCTTTTGAATGTGTTTGCTCTTGCTTCTCTAGTTCTTTTAATTGTGACGTTAGGGTGTCAATTTTTGATCTTTCCTGCTTTCTCTTGTGGGCATTTAGTGCTATAAATTTCCCTCTACACACTGCTTTGAATGTGTCCCAGAGATTCTGGTATGTTTTGTCTTTGTTCTCATTGGTTTCAAAGAACATCTTTATTTCTGCCTTCATTTCGTTATGTACCCAGTAGTCATTCAGGAGCAGGTTGTTCAGTTTCCATGTAGTTGAGTGGTTTTGAGTGAGTTTCTTAGTCCTGAGTTCTAGTTTGATTGCACTGTGGTCTGAGAGACAGTTTGTTATAATTTGTGTTCTTTTACATTTGCTGAGGAGTGCTTTACTTCCAACTATGTGGTCAATTTTGGAATAGGTGTGGTGTGGTGCTGAAAAGAATGTATATTCTGTTGATTTGGGGTGGAGAGTTCTGTAGATGTCTATTAGGTCCGCTTGGTGCAGAGCTGAGTTC
Organism: Homo sapiens; assembly: GCF_000001405.40. Lineage (NCBI taxonomy): Eukaryota > Metazoa > Chordata > Mammalia > Primates > Hominidae > Homo > Homo sapiens. Next base: position 22,857,890 of record NC_000010.11, on the reverse strand, counting down.
AATTCCTGGATATCCTTGTTAACTTTCTGTCTCGTTGATCTGTCTAATGTTGACAGTGGGGTGTTAAAGTCTACCATTATTATTGTGTGGGAGTCTAAGTCTCTTTGTAGGTCACTCAGGACTTGCTTTATGAATCTGGGTGCTCCTGTATTGGGTGCATATATATTTAGGATAGTTAGCTCTTCTTGTTGAATTGATCCCTTTACCATTATGTAATGGCCTTCTTTGCCTCTTTTGATCTTTGTTGGTTTAAAGTCTGTTTTATCAGAGACTAGGATTGCAACCCCTGCCTTTTTTTGTTTTCCATTTGCTTGGTAGATCTTCCTCCATCCCTTTATTTTGAGCCTATGTGTGTCTCTGCACGTGAGATGGGATTCCTGAATACAGCGCACTGATGGGTCTTGACTCTTTATCCAATTTGCCAGTCTGTGTCTCTAGATTTCAAATTGGTTATTTTTCATCTTATTATTATTTAAATCAATTAAAGTTTTGAATTAGAAGAGAATTCGATTAAAATTAAATTACTTTGCCAAAACAGTAAATCAACTTGGGACTAAACTTTCTTAAATTGCATGTGTTCTTTCATTGTTCACTCAGTCAACTTTTTTTTTTTTTTTTTTTTTTTTTTCAGATGGAGCCTGGCTCTGTCGCCCAGGCTGGAGTGCAGTGGTGCAATCTCAGCTCACTGCAACCTCCACCTCCTGGTTTCAAGCGAGTCTTCTGTCTCAGCCTCTCCAGTAGCTAGGATTACAAGTGTATGCCCCCACGCCCAGCTAGTTTCTGTATTTTTAGTAGAGGGGGGTTTTCACCATGTTGGCCAGACTGGCCTCAAACTGCTGACCTCAAATGATATGCCCACCCCACCTTCCCAAAGTGCTGGCATTGCAGGCATGAGCCACTGCACCCAGCCAAATTTTTTCTTTTCTTTTTTTTTTTTTTTTGAGACAAGGTCTCACTCTGTTACTCAGGCTGGAGTTCAGTGGCACAATCATAGCTCACTGCAGCCTCCTCCTCCTAGGCTCAAGTGATCCTCCCACCTCAGACTCCCACACAGTGGGGACTACAGGTGTGTACCAAGCTTGGCTCATTTTTTTTTTTTTTTTTTCCTTCAAAAAACAATGTCCTACTCTCTTGCCCAAGCTGGTCTGGCTCTCCTGGGCCCAGGCGATTCTCCTGCCTGGCCTCCCAAAGCATTGAGATGAGATGGCACACATGAGCCGCTGTGACCAATCTTTATTGAGCACTGACTGTTTTAAGACATTAGGTAAAATACTGTGAGTGAAATAGAGATAGATTAGCAACCATCAGGAACTTCCCTCTGCAGGTTTGTAGTTTCATAGAGAAAACAAGATTTAGATGCAAATGCTTGTAACAACATTTACAGAGAAATCATGTAGACCAGAGGAAAGGAAGAAAGATGAAGCATCAGCCATTGGAACTTGGACAGGAAGGGATTAGTCCTGGCTTGAGGGAGGATTTGTAGCTGCCTCTGTGCATCCTTTCCTGCATTTTCTGACTTTGCGTTCATTCTTTCTTTCACTATTTAATGATACTCTTACCCTCTGGAATGGTTGAGTTAAAAATTACGACCAGGCAGGTGCAATGGTGCTCCTGTAGTACCAGCTACTCCAAAGGCTGGGGCAGGAGAATTGCTGGAGGCCACAAGTTCAAGACCAGCCTGGGCAACATAGCGAGACCCTGTCTTGACACCAAATTTAAAAATTTGCTGGACATGGCAGCACATGCCTGCAGTCCCAGCTGTTTGGGAGGCTGAGGCGGGAGGATCACCTGGGCCAAGGAGTTCAAGGCAGCAGTGACCTGTGATCATTCCACTGCACTCCAACCTGGGCAACAGAACAAGGTCCTGTCTATTTAAAAAAAAAAAAAAGGATAGACATTTCACCGGCTCTTGCAGTACAAAACAGACATAGTCTCTGGGATATATAATATATAAAAGAACCAAAAAAATAATAATAGTACGGGTGCTGATTTTGGATCTAAAAGATTAAGTTCTTGTTGTCTGTGTGTTAATTTAGAAATAGTCCTCCTCAACATTAACATCTACAGACGTTTGACCTAAGGTTTGAAATATTAGGGAATTTATTCTCTTTTTTTTTTTCCTCTGTTGCCCAGGCTGGAGTGCAGTGGCATGATCTCAGCTCACTGCAACCTCTGCCTCCTGGGTTCAAGCAATTTTCCTGCCTCAGCCTCCCAAGTAGTTGGGACTATAGGCACACACCACCATGCCCAGCTAATTTTTGTATTTTTAGTACGGACGAGGGTTCACTATGTTGGCCAGGCTGGTCTTGAACTCCTGACCTGAAGTGAATCAGCCACCTTGGCCTCCCAAAGTGCTGGGATTATAGGTGTGAGCCACTGCACCCAGCTGATTCTCTTAACTGATAAAGGCCAAAAGGAACAAGGATCGACACTGACCAAGGCCTGACCTCCACAGAAGTGCTCCCAGCACAGGGAGGCCGCAGGAGTAGCAGAGAAAAATTCAGGCTGAAATGTTTGCAAACAGACATCCCCAAACACAGCGTTGGCATGAAGGAAACTCAGAGCACATTAGTCACTGCTTCAATGGAGGAGTGGGAAGACCAGCCTCAGCCCGCTGGTGAAGAGCAAAGTTTAAAATAACCCTACTAAATTAGAACAGTGGTCAGGATGCTTTTTAAAGTTTGCTGAAGATAAATGCAGGGTAGGAGTCCCTCCAGGAGAGGGAAGTGAAGTATACAAATAGAAGATAAGATGTGACTGGCTACAGGGAAGGATGTCTTAAAACGAGCCAGCAATGAAAATAGATAAGCTGGAGTCAGTCATAACAGCAGCTTTTTAAAGACTGAACAGTGCCAGGATGTAAAACCAAGTCCCCAGAGGAACCATGAGATCACCCTCCCATTATACATGGTACTAGTCAAACTTTTCTAGGAGCAGGGTGTCCATTCCTGAGTTCTAGAATTAAGGGGCATGGAGAACTTGGAGAACATTCTATCCCTAAAGTCAACCAGGATTAGAAAATGGGACTTCTGCAAAAAAGTAAGGGCTCGAGATTGTTCATTATGAAGAGAAAGCCAAGAGTTGATTAAATTGGCATCTTTAATTGGCAAGATTGTGTATGTGTGTAAATATGTGTGTATGTATGTATATATGTGTATTTAAATTCAGCTATTTTTTTCACCAGGGTACAATCTTTTTAGCTATAATATAAATATTTGGGGTTACATGTTAAGAGAATTGTCTAAAAATAGAGTTCAAACCCCAGTTTGAACAAACTCTGCTCTAAATTGAAAGCCATTTGCTTAGGGGTCAGAGGCCTCCTGGAGGGCCTGATCTTCTTGGTCTGATTTGACTTTATATTGGTAGGGATTACTGCCTAACGATTTATTTTTCTTCATTCCATTATTATTTTTCAGGCATCTTTCTTCTTCCTGGTCTACAGTTTGTTATAGTGTCCTCCCTTATCTACAGCTTTACTTTTTGTGGTTTCAGTTACCCGAGGTCAACCACAGTCCAAAAATATTAAACAGAAAATTCCAGAAAGAAACAAATTATAAGTTTTAAACTGGGTAGCATTCTGAGAAGGGTGATAAAATCTTGAATTGTCCCGCCCCATCCCACCTGGGACATGAATCATCCCTTTGTCCAGTGGATCCACATTGTACTACCCACCCATTAGTCATCAATAGCATCTGCTCCTGACATTCAGTCACTGCCATCAATTATGGTTCGATGATCCAGGTTCACCTGAAGCAGATGGTCCTCCTAATCGTCAGAAAGTCAATAGTAGCCCAACCCTACGTCACAATGTCTGTATCATTTACCTCACTGCATCTCATCACAAAGGCATTGTGGTATCCCACATCATCACAAGAAGGGTGAGCACAGAACAGTAAAATATTTGGAGAGAGAGACCACATTCCCACAACTTTTACTGCAGTATATTTTTAGAATCATTCTATCTTATTATGAGTTACTGTTATTAATCTCTTACTGTGCCTACTTTATCAATTAAACTGTATCATAGGTATGTAGGTATAGGAAAAAACAATATCTATAGGATCTGGTACCATCCATGGTTTCAGGCATCCAATGGGGGTCTTGGAACACATCTCATGAGGATAAGAGGGGACTACCATATTCTCCTGTCTGTGTTTGTAACAAGAATGCTGCACTTCTAGGCACCGAGTTGCCTCCCAACCCCTTCCCCTCTGCCATCAGAGAAACTCTCCCACCTCCTCTGCTCTTCCTGAGCTTCCTTCATGCATCTTGCGTCAGCCGAAAGCTGTCTCTTCTCAGAAGACACTCCTTCCAATTGCCCGGGAATGCCTTTCTCTCTCACATGCACCCTATTATGGAGGTGGGCTGCCATCGTCTTTGCTCCTTGTTCCACTTGCATCCACTACTATTGTTCCCTCTTGCAAAAATTCTTGCTTTTTTGGACTTCGTGGTTTTCAGCTCAACCACTCCTTCCTGTTATTTTCTTCTAGCCAATTCCTGGTCACTCCCTTCCCAGCCATTTGTCAAAGTCTTAGCATGTGGACTCAAAGTCCCACCATCCTGCCCAATAAATTCAACAAACACATGGCGTTCCGCTGTACCAAATGGCCTCTGATTCCTCAAGTTCTCATCTGCAATAGCTCTTCCACTCCACTCAAATCATCCATCCTAGTGCACACACATTGGGTCTTCCTGTCACTCCCCAGTCCCCCACTTGCAGAGTCACTGAAGCAAATGTCCTCTGAGCATCACTACTTCCCCTTGCCCTGGCTGACTCAGCTCCTTCCACTGAGGCCATTCCTCAGCCCCATCAGGATTTCAGGCTTGCAGCTCCATCCTCAGTCTCTCAGTGCCTTGACCTTGTCCCGTCTGCACATCCTCCTCATCTGGCAGATGCCAAGGGTTCAGCAAGTTGATAGCCCTTTTGCCAATACTCTATATTCCCTTGCCCTTTGAGCTTTTTTTGTTTGTTTCCCTCTTCTGGCAAACTCTCACCCCTAATGAATCCAGCTATTTGCATTCCAACCCCCAGCAGCTGAACTCTTCTGAAGAAAGGCACGCAATGGAGCAGACTGGCTTTATTGTAAATGCATAAAAATGAATCTCAGGGCCGAGTGCGGTGGCTTATGCCTGTAATCCCAGAACTTTGAGAGGCTGAGGTGGGCTGATCACTTGAGGTCAGGAGTTTGAGACCAGCCTGGCCAACATGGTGAAACCCTGTCTCTATTAAAAATACAAAAATTAGATGGGCATGCTGGTGCAGCATGCCTGTAATCCCAGCTACTCAGGAGGCTGAGGCAGGAGAATCGCTTGAACTTGGGAGGCATTAGTTGCAGTGAGCCCAGATTGCACTACTGCACTCCAGCCTGGGCAACAGAGTGAGACCCTGTCTCAAAAAAAAAAAAAAAAATGAATCTCAGATGGACCCTCTTACTACATATTTTGATTAACTCACTCTCCTACTTTCCATCAAAACTTCTACAGAGCTTCTCCCCTCCTTTGGTGACAGCCACTCTCACACCACATGCACACACAAACACACGCATCTGCCCCTTCTTCCTCAAACTCAGCAGAAACTTTGCCATCTACAACACAAAGAACATTGAAGCTGTAACAGAAGGACTCTGGGATTGTTCAGAACACTCTTTGCCAGGCTCTGGTGGTGCAGGACTTTTTTGTCTTGCCCTCATCTCTCTGGCTACCCCATTTCCTTTGTACAAACCTGGCCATTAAATATCCACCATGTTATGCCAGAACTTTTCCTCACTCCACGTGCTTTTCTTAGGCATTCTTAGCAATGACAAACTTGCACAGATGACTCACAAATGCATATCTCTAGACCAGACATTCCATCGGCGCCTCCGACCCATCTGTCCACCTGTCAACCTGTCATCTCCATGCAGACATCACAAAGGCACAGCAAAAGTTCCTACCTAAATCACGCATCTTCCCACCTTCCAATCCATGCTCTTCTTCTACCTCTCTTATTTCAGCACAAGATACTACCATCTTTCCTGTTCTACAAGCCAGGTATCTAGGCATCATCCATAACCTCCCTGTCTCTCTCACCCACTATTGATTCTAACACCTTGTCCTGCTCATTTTACCTCCTAAATACCTCTCAAATCCATCTCCACACTAACCCAGGCAACCATCAGTCCCAGCCTGTATAATGTCAGTTGCTTCTTCCTGCCACAGCTTAGACCACCACACTACTCATCCTGTAACCATACTTTACCCTTCTCCTCCACTCAGAAGCCAGAGTGATCTTTTAGAAACATAATTCTGAGAACGCAGCTCTTCTGCTAAAACTATTCAACAGCTTCCATTGCTCTAAGAATAAAGAGAAAATTCTTTATCCTGCTATTTCCTGAGATAGATGCCCTTGGTGGCCGTTTAGGTCATGCTTCTTCATGCCACAGGACCTGTCTCGTGTTGTTCCCTCTATTTGGAAATGTCAGTTTTCTAGCAAAGACTTCTCTTGTGGCTCTGATTGTCAAATTGTTGCCACGCAATCAATGGGCTTGCTGCCTGATGCACACAGAGGCCAATATGATGGCACCAGCTTTTGAGAAAAGAAAAGCTTTATTGTCATTTAACTCACAAGGAGACAGGAGGAAATGCTCAAGTTTGTCTCCTGGAGCTAGGTGCTGAGGCAGGTTTTATAAGCATAGGGTAATGAGGTGTGATCTGATTGGATCTCACAATGAGGTGATGCCAGGAGGCATGAGCTGATTGGATCCTGCCATGAGGTGATGACCGCACTCAATCTGGTTGGATCCTGGATTCTGCCATGCGGTGCCTGCTGCTGCTTTTTTTTTTTGAGATAGAGTCTTGCTCTGTTGCCCAGGCTGGAGTGCAGTGGCACGATCTAGGCTCACTGCAACCTCCGCCTCCTGGGTTCAAGCGATTCTTCTGCCTCAGCCTCCTGAGTAGCTGTGACTACAGGCGAGCACCACCATGCCTGGCTAATTTTTGTATTGGCCAGGATGGTCTCAAACTCCTGATCTCATGATCCGCCCACCTCAGCCTCCCAAAGTGCTGGGATTACACATGTAAGCCACCGTGCCTGGTGCAGTGTCTGCTTCTTAATTCAGTCTCTGCTCCTCAGGCTGAGCATTTAGGTTCTTGTGGTTGCACACTTGGGCATGGTCAGGTTACATAAGCTTCAACCTCGGGGGCTCTTGGCAATAGAGAAACAACTCACAACTTTGTTATGTAAAAGTTGAGCCAGATTGGTCTGGTGCAGTTAGAAAGTCTCCCTACTATAAAATATCCTTCAATATGGCTTCAGTTTTACAACTATTAGTATGATTATTTGACTGATGTCTTTCTCCCCTTGCTAAGGAATGCTGCCCTGTGAGCATAGGGACCCTGTAAGGGCCTGGTTCCTTATTGTCTGCCTAGCACATGACAAAATGTCAAGCACAAAGTAGGCAATCAATCAACTTTTGTTAAAGGAACAAATGAATAAATGATCAGTATTATGTCTTTGTGTATCTCTATAGAAATATTGATTAATTTATCATGTAACCTATAACTTAGTTCATAGGAGAGGATACCATTCTTTAAAATCAACTCTTGGCCAGGTGCAGTGGCTCACACCTGTAATCCCAGCACTTTGGGAGGCCGAGGCGGGTGGATCACCTGAGGTTAGGAGTTCGAGACCATCCTGGCCAACATGGTGAAACCCCCATCTCTACTAAAAATACAAAAATTAGCCAGGCATGGTGTCGGGTGCCTGTAATCCAAGCTGCTCGGGAGAATGAGGCAGGAGAATCACTTGAACCCGGGAGGTGGAGGCTGCAGCTGAGATCACACCACTACACACTCCAGTCTAGGCGACAGAGTGAGACTCCATTTCAAAATAAAATAAACTCTTTGCTGTATAAGTAGCATATCATAAATCATTTTTTATGATTTATGATATGCTCGTCTCCCTCTTAGATGACAAAATATGCAAATATTCTGTTTGCATGGCAGTTTTGTTTCAGAGTTCCCTAATATTTTATAATATTACTCCACTTACTGTAGAATTTGAAATTAAGGAAATATTTGGGTTTTCAGTTTGGACCTTTTGATTTCTCTCCCTTTTTTTCACTCACTGATTTGCGTTTAAACTTCTACTTCTCTCTACTTACCAGACTCTGCTTCCTAACAGAGACCTTCCAGGATGAAAGGGCTTGTGGTTGGAGCTCAGCCACGTTGGTGCCGGGCAGTCATAATGGCTGCATTGTGCAGGGCGGCGCCTGTGACTGTCAGAGCCCGGCAGCCTCTGCTCCAGCTCCGGGACAGATTGTTCTCACTGCTGTTGCTCTGATTAGTTGTTTTTCTGATTCTAAACTTGGCTTTGCAGTCTGAGTTATTTCCTATTTAACCTCACATGCAACGTGGCATCTGGCCATGCCTCCTGAGAAGGCTTCTCTGATTCTGCCAGTTGAAATATAACTTGGTTTGTGTATGTGGGCTAGACCCTCCTGAGTCTGTCCCCTGGGAAGGGAAATAGGTTCTTCTGGTGAAGGTGACCCGGACCCAGACCTAAGAACATTTGCAGAACATTTGGATTGGTCTTAAGGTCCCCTGCCTACCCACACATTCCAGCTTATTCCTCCTTCTTCCACTCCCCACCCCAAGCCACTTCCCACTTGGGACCACTAACACTGATCCAGCAGCTTCTTACCTCTTGTGGTTCCATTCACTCCTCTTCTCTCTCTGTGCTCTCCCTCTCTGCCCATCTATGTGCGTTTCCTTCACGGGCTCTTCTTCCTCTTGCCACTGAACATGAGTATCCCTCAGGCCGCCACCTTGACATCTTCTCATTGCACTTTGCCCACCCTCCTTGGGAAGTCTTTCATCTGGAATAGGTAGCATCAACTCGAACCTCCATCCTGACTTTCAGATCCATATATTCAATGCCACTTGCAGAGTTTACCAGTCACTACTGTTTCATTGGACAGTATGATGCACATAAAAGTGTTTAAGGCAAAATAGAGAGGCTGACAGTTCCATAGGAAGCCGGTAGGAATGGCGCTTCTAGGGGCAGAGAGCTTTGCAGTGGCCTTCAATTCCCATCACATAGGATCTATTTGACTATATTATCAAGCCCAGATATGCTTCCTTTGCGAGGGGACAGGTTGCAATCATTATCCTCCTGTGTGATGACATCTTAAGTGGCAAGTGACATTCTTGTCAACCACCAATATGGCTAAGATATGAGTATGCATGATGCATTCTACCGTATATTTTCTCTTTTGAGGTTTAGAAAGATACAAGAGCACTCTTAAAACTGTAGAACAAAATCTCTTTGATAATATCATGGGGAAATTGCCACTGAAAACCCATTGGTGGAAATGTTCAGTCACTAGTATACAAATGCATTTCATATCTAATGTTGTTTTTTGAATTTACCCTTAATATTGGGCACTATTTACAATTAAATGAATGGCCACAATGTAACTATTAATGATAAAATGTCTATTTGCTTTACGAAAGAAATATGATCCCTGGAAGTCTTTGGTTTTGCATTTAAATTAATTAGTGAATTGAATACCTGTCCCTTGGATTGCTCATTTACACTCTTACTAAAAAGGTGGCTAGCTTGTCAGAGGAAGTACTTTCAAATTGGCTAATTAATTGCATGACCACATTCCCATGGAAATAGCAAAAGGGCATTCTAAGGACAAACAAAAAATATCTGCACGGGCATCATACTCGTCATCAGCTCTAAAGTAATGTTATCTGTAGACATCTACTCAGTAAAAGAGCTGCTTGACTAATAGGACAGATTGGCTTCAGGAAAAAAATGTATATATATGAAAACTGTGTTTACGTCTTATCTAATTAAAGAATATATGGTATCAAAGACTAAGTTTTAAACATTTAATATAAAATGAGCATTCACAGATATGAACAGTGCTCACATGTAACAACTGGAAAAGAAAGCATAATAAAATTAAAGATGCAAAGTTATATAAATATATATATAATATATATATATTTTTTGAGACATAGTCTTGCTCTGTCACCCAGGCTGGAGTGCAGTGGTGCAATCTTGGCTCACTGAAACCTCCATCTCCCGGGTTCAAGTGGTTCTCCTGCCTCAGCCTCCTGAGCAGTTGGGATTACAGGCATGTGCTACCACACGTGGCTAATTTTTGTATTTTTAGTACAGACGGGGTTTCACCATGTTGGCCAGGCTGGTCTCAAACTCCTGACTTCAGGTAATCAGCCTGCCTTGTCCTCCCAAAGTGCTGGGATTACAGGTGTGAGCCACCATGCCTGGCTCGTTATTTATATATTTGCCAGAAAAAAATAGTGGGACCTTGAGGGATTTAAATCTTCATAGGCTAAAAGTGAGGCAGGAGAATAGGGTCTGGAGGCAGGAACATAAGGCCAATTCACACTGACTTCCTAGGACTAAATCAAATGGAAACACTTCAGCTATGATAGGAAATATCCTCTCCATTTACATAGGGCATACACCAAGTAACCAATGGAAACCTCTAGAGGATATTTAAACCCCAGAAAATTCTGTAATGGGGCTATTGAGCCCCTATGCTCGGGCCCACTCCCACCCTCTGGAGCGTACTTTTGTTTTCAATAAATCTCTGCTTTTGTTATTTCATTCTCTTCTTGCTTTGTTTGTGCCTTTTGTCCAAATCTTTGATCAAGACGCCGAGAACCTGGACACCTTCAACCATTAGCATAAGGATTCAAAAAAGCCCAAATTTTGACCTAACGTATTATTCTACTGAATACAGGGCATCATCCCTTGCTTTGAACTGTATCTAAATTAGCCTGCAATGATAGATCCTGGACATAGCAGGTCATGCCAGTGTTTTGAAAACCTCACCAATGATGCCACCATATTGTATGATTCAGGTCCACAACACCTCCATCCAAATTCCCTCCAATTCACAGTCAAGTAGCTAAAACAACCACATTAAAATAAATCAATTACTCTTGATAGGCATACTAACCTATGAACAGTCTGAAACCCCACTGGAGTCCCAGTTCTGAGGAGGTGTGCTTTAGCCTTCTCCAATAAAACATGTTTTGTCAGTGGGCGAGGTAGCTCACATCTGTAATCCCAACACTTTAGGAGGCCGAAATGGGAGGATCACTTGAGTCCAGGAGTTCCAGACTAGCCTGGGCAACATAACAAGACCCCTGTTTCTTTTTAAAAATTAGCCAGGCATGGTGGTGCTCGCCTATAGTCCCAGCTACTCGGGAGGCTGAGGCAGGAGGCTTGCTTGAGCACAGGAGTTGGAGGCTGCAGCAGGCTATGATTGTGCCACTGTACTCCAGACTGAGCAACTGAGGGAGACTCTGTCTCTAAAAAACAAAAGCATGTTTTGTGAAAGATACCTCATTAACAGAAGGTGGCATGCAAACTCTCTAGTTTGTATGTTCTGAATAATACTTTTGACTCTTTTTTTTTTTTTTTTTTTTGACTCCACCTAGAGTCTGTCCTCTCCTCCCAGCACTCCTTACTTGACTGAATGACAGAATGGATGTGACAACAGATTCAGAGATTTGTTAAAAAGGTCATGTCATGCAAGAGGTAATGACAGGGGTGCAGACTTTGGGTTTCAACCTTTGGTTTCTGGAGTTGATCTCATAGCTTTAGCCTCATAATCTTGCATGATCTGTGCTGAGAATCACGCTGTGGCATATTTCCAATGCATTTCTAAGGATCAAGGTGCATTCAAAGTTGGTGGAAGGATTCAATCTAGTGAATGTGGTGGGTGGATGGATCAAAGTGAATGTGATTCTGGTTTCTTGCTTGTTGCTGCCATGTCCCTCACTGCTTGGAAGAACTGGAAAGTGGTTTTTAATATCGTTAGCTAGAATTCTAAGTCACCTTCCTGTGAGACCAAAAAGGGAAAAAATCAGTGCAAAATGCAACTTTTCACAGTCAGATTTTTAAAATATGGGCTTTGCAGTATCAATGCAAGTTTGCGAATGTTGGCTTATGGGCTAACAGCAAAGTAGGTGTGATTCTCCTCAGCTCTGGGGCTTTCATTTTTTGTTCATTCATGCATGCATGCGTTAATTCATTCATTTATTCATTCATATCAAGATAGTGGAGAAAATTCATATTTAAGTCTTATGACTTGATTCTCCCTCACACCTCTCACACAAAGCAAAGGAGTGCAGCTCTTTGTATTGGGTTGAGGTGGGAGAGATTGTTCTAAATCGCAACAATAGAGACAGAGATAACTCTATACTCTATATAGATGTTGGAATGGTTATAAAATGCAACATTAATGACAAACATCATTCTTAAAGACAAGGAAAATAATGCTTCTACACAACCACATGGTGTTGTTAACTATGTCAGTCTAAAATGCCAGATTATATTAACCCAAACTGGGAAGTAAAGGAATAAAACCCTGTTACATTTTTCATTTGACCCAAGAGCAAGTCAATGATCCTTTACGTTAAAATATAATGTAATTATTGACAATAAAATGAGAGAAAAGAAGTCTGGGTATTTTTGACTCTACTAACACTTCTACTTTAAGTGTTAATGGAAACATAATAAGCTCAGATCCCATCTTCAGAAGGGAGGCATTTATTCCTCCAGCTGCTGGGAGTGCTGCCTGCTGAAGGCTCACAGCTGAGTCCCTCCCCAGGACTTGTCTGCAATTGGAGGAGCTTTCTTGCTCCTAAAACATGATCCCTCTCCAAGCACAGCCCACATCCATGCCTGGCCAATGCAGGAATATAAATATTATATACCTAGCTGCCCCTCGACCCCCTCCACCCCCACACCTCAGTTTGGAACATTCTGGAAGGGCCATCTCAATCTCAGAGCTCCATATAAGTTTAGCTGAGGCAACTTCTCTCTCAGCTCAATCCTACATCCCTCACCTCCTTATAAATGCTGCCGCTGGAGTACACTTTCCAGCAAACCTCCACGTGCAGATCTCCGGTTGTTTCTTGGGGATCCTGACCTATGACAATATGTGACTTCCAAATCACTGGAGGGTGTAAAGAGCAAAGTCAACATAGTCATTATAACTAAAGTAAAAAATAAAAAATAAAATTCTAAGAGCATGAAGAGTATTTTTTAACCGAAAGCATGACACGAGATAACATACATGTATGTGTTCAAATCTCCTCTGTGAGAAGACAAAGACACTCCAATGGATCAAAACAACAAAATCCAACTTTGTGCTCTTTTGTCAGTGTTATTTCTTTCATAGATGTCAGCTGAGGTCATCTTGACCTTTTAAAATTAAAATAAAATTGGCCTGAGCCTTTAGTTCTATGTCCTTAGGGAAGCACAGCGCCCTTTTCTGATATTTCTGCAAATTCCTGGGCACTTAACACTTCACTGTCACTTCTGCTCACCTCTAGACATTCGATCTCATGCATGACTCCCGTATAACTCAAACCCTTTCCTTGATTCTCCCTCAAACCTCTCACACAAAGCAAAGGAGTGCAGCTCATTATGTTGGGTTGAGGTAGGAGAGAGTGTTTTAAATCGCAACAATACAAACACCTTCAAATTGGACTTGATATTCATTTTCTGAAAGTTCCTTGACCAATGAAAGCAGTTCATCATGCAAGTTTCCTGAACAAAGATAATTTCCTCTCTAAACAGAACTCTGAGGGCAGCCAATAAAATATTTTTAATCCTATTTTTATTAGAAAAAATGTGGAAGCTACTGAGAAGTCCAACTATAGGGGAAGAGTTACTTAAACTATGGTAGCCCCAGATGGTGGGAAACTGGAGACCCAATTTTAAAGTTCATTCTCAAAGAATATTTAATGGCTTGGTAAAATGTTCTTGGTATTGAATTGACTATTTAAAAAAACATAATTGTATAAATTTTATGATATAAAATATAATTTCATGTATAGTAATATGAAAATTGAAAGGAAATGCACTAAATCATTAACTGTAGTTTCCAAATAGTGTAGTTTCTAGATAGTGAGATAGTTTCTAGATAGTGAAAATAAAATTAAAATAATTAACTGTTAATTACCGTTAATAATGGTAAATAATTTTATTTTCTATACTTTTCTGACTTTTTTTTTTTTTTTTTTTTCCTGAGGCAGTGTCTTGCTCTGTCACCCAGGCTGGAGTGTGGTGGTGCAATCTTGGCTCTCTGAAACCTCAGCCTCCTGGGTTCAAGCAATTCTTCTGCCTCAGCCTTCCGAGTAGCTGGGATTACAGGTATGTGCCACCACGAGTAGCTAGGATTACAAGTATGCACCACCACACCTGGCTAATAATCTGTAAAAAAAAATGAATACATACTTCTTTTGGGATCAGGGCAAATAAGCAATGCTATTTTAAAATATTTATTGGAGATTTACTCGGGATTAGAAATAATTATTTGGAGGGGAGGAAAAACGTAATCATTTACATTATTCCATCTTCAAACCTGCTCATTTTATGTCATGATGGGAAATCCGGGCCTTCTGAAAAGGGTGGCAATATTTCCTGTTGCTTCGCTGAGTATTTGTTGAAAGTGAGAAAAAGAAAGAGAGTGGAAAGTAATAAAAATTAGTTGATTTGGCTGGGCACGGTGGCTCACGCCTAATAATCCCAGCATTTTGGGAGGCCAAAGCAGGCGGATCACGAGGTCAGGAGTTTGAGACCAGCCTGGCCAACGTGGTGAAACCCCCTCTCTACTAAAAATACAAAAAATTAGCTGGACGTCAGGCGCACACCTGTAATCCCAGCTACTCGAGAGCCTGAGGCAGAAGAATTGCTTGAACCCAGGGGGCGGAGGTTGCAGTGAGCTGAGATCACGCCACTGCACTCCAGCCTGGGTGACAGAGTGAGACTCCATCTCAAAAAAAGAAAAATGAGTTGATTGATTCTGTGCTTGCAAATTCACAGGTGGCACAGACTTTGTATTAAGTATAATTATTTTGTATTTGTCATATAATTTTATAAAGTAATATTTCTATTACATATGCAGTTATCTAATTCATTTTTAAATAAATTCACTAATTTTAATGTCACAAAAGTAATGTACTCTTTCTTAAACTAAAAAATATGAATTTTTTAAAAATATTAGGTAATATTTAAATGATAAAAATAGGTATAATAACAGGGCTGCAGTGGTCTCCTCTATAAATTGGTCACTGTTGTGACTATACCATTGATAATTTTCAGTGTAAGATCAGGAAAGTACAGTGCTCTCTCTTTACCGACAGGACTTCCCCTCCACACCACACCCCACCATTAAAATGGGTTCCCTGTGACATAATCACACAACTGTCCTAAGAACACGAAGGGTGCTAACTATATCCAATGACAAAGGAACTGTTTTAAATTAATAAGCCAATGTTCACTAAGAAAGTGGATGAGGAGTTAAAACCGCTATTATTGAGATGCCTTTTGTAAAATCTGAGAAAAAGGAAAGAGGAAAAGCATTTCTGCCAAAAGGATTCAGATTCTCCTTTTATTTACTCATCAAAATCCGTTAGGAAGGAAATTTCTACTAGAGGATTTCTTGTTCTTGGATTTTCTTCGTCTCAAACCAGCAACACCCTCTTTGTCAAGGCAGAGGTTGATTGGTTGGATTCAAAGGGGATTATGTTTCCTAACATGGGGTCCAGGGCTCCTTTGCTCAGAATCACCAACGACCTTGTTAAAATGCAGATCCCGAGCCTTCCTCCAAAATTCTTATTCAGCAGATCCAAAGTGGAGCCTGGGAATCCATTATTTTACAGGTTTCCCAGTGATTCCTATACACATGAAAGTTTGAGACCCACTGGGCCCAGCAATTCTCTATGGTAGTTTTAACAAACTCTCGGCAATGTTGAAGGATGAGAGCCTGGTAAGTTTCTAAGGCCCATGGCTCACTGGACCTACAGAAGGTTTTCAATCCCTTTAACAAAATGTCTTGCCATATGAACTACAGTCCTTAGGAAACTGGTGAAAAAGATGGAGATCTCAAGAAATAATCTAATCTCTCCCTTCCCAGCCAGACTTAGTTGAAATTTAGTGCCATCAGAGGCGGTTTTTGTTTTATCAGTTCAGACTCACTAATAATGATGATGCTAAATAGTCTCAAAACACATGGTTTAATGCATATTTTGAAATATCATTTGAGGTGACTACATACTCCAACATCAGAATTATCCATACTTGAAACACATAATGTATTATGTGTGCATATGTGTGTGGGTACTTCATTCCCCATGCCAATTGTAAGCTGTAGACCATAGTTTTAAAAATAACTTTTATTAGGCGGGCACGGTGGCTCATGCCTGTAGTCCCAGCACTTTGGGAGGCTGAGGTGGGTGGATGGCTTGAGCCCAGGTGTTCAAGACCAGCCCAGGCAACATGGTGAAACCTGTGTCTGCCAAAAACAAAACAAAACAAAAAAAACTAGCTGGGCATGGTGGTGTGCACCTAGTGCACCTATAGTCTCATCTACTCAGGAGGATCATCTGAGCCCGGGGTGGTCAAAGCTGCAGTGAGCCATGATTGCACCACTGCACTCCAGCCTGGGTGACAGAGTGAGACCTTGTCTCAAAAAAAAACTACTTTTATTATTTTTATGACTATAAACATAACAGAGTTGTACAAAATTCAAACATTGCAGAAATACTTAAAGTAGAAAGTGAAAATCTACCATAGCCCCCATTGCAAACAATCAATATATATGCTAATGGATATACATGTGTGTGTGCATCCAACATTTTTCTATGCATATGGAACATTTTTAATGTACATGGAATCATATAAAATACAATGCTATACCATTTAGCAATGCATGTTGGACTTGCTTCCAAGGTAGTACCTCCATCATGATAATAGCTGGGTGGCATTCCACTGAATGGCTATATGATCACATTAGGTTGTAACACTTCTGTTTATCATCAACAATGTGGCACTTTATCATGAGCAATTCTTGCTCCCACTTAGTCTTGAGATCTCTGCTCATTCGTCTTTTCCTCAAGATTTCTTCCCTGACCCCCTAACTTAGGTTTACTTCCCTACTACGTGTTCTCATAGCGCTGCATGCGAATCCTTCCGCTGCAGCCTGATCCAACTCTAATTTTATGTGTATTTGCTTGATTATTTGAGGCTCTCTGAGGCTTCTACTAAGCTGTGAGCTTCATGAGTGCAGGAGTGTGTCTGTTGTTGCCTCCTACCACATCCCCAGTGACCAGCATATTTTCTGGGAAAGGGTAGGCTTTGAAGAATTATTTTTCTTTTTTATTTTTTTGTTTTTTTGAGACAGAATCTTGCTCTGCCACCCAGGCTGGAGTGCAGTGCAGTGGCGCAATCTGGGCTCACTGCAACTTCCACCTCCTGGGTTCAAGTGATTCTCCTGCCTCAGCCTCCCAAGTAGTTGGAACTATAGGTGTGTACCACCATGCCTGGGCTAATTTTTGTATTTTTAATAGAGACAGGGTTTCACCATGTTGGCCAGGCTGATCTCGAACTCCTGACCTCAGGTAATCTGCCTGCCTTGGCCTCCCAAAGTGCTGGGATTACAGGTGTGAGCCACTGTGCCCTGCCAAGAAGTATTTTTTCAACAGGTTCATAAGTCACTCTGCCCATTTCAAAAGTGGCTTCTTTAGGATAAACTCCTACAGAAAACGTATTGGAAAGCCCAAACCAAAAGGAATGCTGTTTTATTTTTAATAGATTTCAGTTCGTATTCATGAAAATATTATTACAGAAAAGCTTCCCTTGGCTTTTCTAGACAATGCAGATCATACATAAATAGTAGTGTATATTAATATATGATTTAAACATTAGTATTTATACATTGAGGTTCTATCCTAGAAATGTTGACTTATGGGGTACATAATTGAAGAGTGCTAGGATCACTGCACTAAAGGCAAGAGATCCTTGAAGAAAGGGAGACCAGGAGAATCAGAGCCCTCCACTGTCTCACTCCCACTTTCTCTTCCAGCCTGTCTCCTGGTTATCAGCCCCTGCCATCTATACTTTAGCTTTGTCGTGTGTTCTTCTATCCCCCACCCATCCTTTCCTTTCCCCTGCGCCCTGCATTTGTTCACACCTGGACTGCTCTTCTCCCCAGTCTTCCCTTCCTCTAACTACAGGGTCAAATGTGATTTCCATCATAAAGCACTCAGGATGACCATAACAAAATGAATTCTTTCCCTTGCGTGCTCATCAAGCCCTTTCTTCCTTGTACTATTGTAGTACTTACGATTTAAGAACTTGCATTATACTTACTAGGCGGGCTCCCTTACTTAGATTATAAATTCCTTTAGAGTACATAGACATTGTGACAAATAGATGAACAATTATAGATATAGATGATAGATAAATAGGAACTCTTCATGAATGAACTATTCATTTATTTATCAAATAAATATTTATAGGGTACCTTCCAATGTCAGGCACCGTGCCAGGCTCTGGGTATCACAATCTTTAAATAATCGTCTAAGGTGAGGGAATTAAGGTGACCATAAGTGCCTGATGGCATGATTACATTAGCTATCCCAATAATTTAAAACTGGGTTTCAGACTGAATTCATGTTTCATTACGCTACCTGATACTCTCTTAATGAGTTTTTCAGTGTATTCGTTAATTGATAACATTATCATCTCTATATTATATATTCAGGCTTTAAGAAGTTTATTAACTTTTCAAAATTATATCTGCCAGTAAGAGTTGCCACTTCCCAAGTGGTGGGAAGAAGTCTCTTTTGCAGCCTCTAAACTACCAAGCTTTACCCAGAGAGGTACAATTAAGTTCAAGGTCAACACTATTCTTCATTCTTTGTTCTTGCAATATCAATACACAAACCCTCTACCACGATAGAAAACTCTGCCTTCACAAATAAATAACAGCAATATTTGATGAGCCTTGACTTCCTTCTTCACTACCAGTAACTGCCATTCTCACAACTGGAGACATCATGGACTTTACCTCTAATCTTGATTAGACAGGCAGGCACGGTGGCTCATGCCTGTAATCCCAGCACTTTGGGAGGCCAAGGCGGGTGGATTGCTTAAGACCAGGAGTTCAAGACCAGTCTGGCTAACATAACGAAACCCCATCTCTATTAAAATTACAAAAATTAGCTGGGCGTGGTGGCATGCACCAGTAATTGGGAGGACGAGACATGAGAATTGCTTGAACCCTGGAGGCAGAGGTTGCAGTGAGCTGAGATGGCGCCACTGCACTCCAGCGTGGGTTGACAGAGTGAGATTCTGTCTCAAAATAATAATAATAAACGATTAGAAAATTCACTTCTATAAAGTCCCTCCTAGCTGTGGTCAAGTTGTGAATTCAGAACAGATTGGCATCAAAAAAATTGTGTACTTTCTTACAGCTGTTAGTTTCTTCCCATTTTTACCGCTGATGACAGGCTATTTCACCTAACAGGCTACTTGTGCTGATAAGTTAAATATATTTTATCTTTCTTTTTCTTTTTTTTTTTGTTTTTTGAGACGGAGTCTCTCCGTCGCCTAGGCTGGAGTGCAGTGGCGCGATCTCGGCTCACTGCAAGCTCCGCCTCCCAGGTTCACGCCATTCTCCTGCCTCAGCCTCAGGCGCTCACCACTGCACCCGGCTAATTTTTTTGTATTTTTAGTAGAGACGGGGTTTCACCGTGTTAGCCAGGATGGTCTCGATCTCCTGACCTCGTGATCCACCCGCCTCGGCCTCCCAAAGTGCTGGGATTACAGGCGTGAGCCACGGCGCCCGGCCAATATATTTTATCTTTCTAGTACTATCCTATTCTCTCTGACTCTCTTACCTCTCCTCTTTCTCACACAAACTAGAGGAGACAAACCAACTAACCCCATCTTTATACTGAGTAGAGAGGGCAGGACCGTTTTGGTTATATCTTTCCAAATCTTGAAGGTTTCTATATACCTAACTTCCCCCATCCTCTCAATTATTTATTCCTCCCCATTTAAGAGAAAAGTTTCACTTTCCCTCTCTATTAGTCATTTCCCCCCTCTAGCCATTTGTTTCCCATAAAGTCACTTCCCTTGTTAATTCTCTAATAATCTGCTAAGTTTAAACTATTTGTAAATGCACCCTTTTAAAATAGCATATCAGCACTACTCAAGTCATTAAATAATTTTTAGATCAATAAAGATCTGTTTAGAACTGCTCCTGGATTTTAGATTTTCAAACAGAAATTTATCTCACTATCCTCCCCAAACAAAACAAAAATACAAACTTAGATTGTTCGTGTACTGTATTCTTGCCATCACATGAAATATTAAATGTTAGATGTGACCCGAGTTTCCAGATGACCCCACAAGGAAACTATGCTCTTAGGCATTCATCTTTCATTCATTAATTCAATAAACACTGGCGTCGGCTCTGTATCAGGCACTGGGCTACACCATGGAGCTCCAGACCACGGGGCGGGGGAAGTTCAACAGAGCTTCCTAACAGCCGCTACTCTCAGCAGAGCCATACCTCCCTAAGCTAGCTTTCTGCCTGACCAATCAATAGTCTGTTCTGCACTTTTCTTTAGAAGATCACTGAAAATAATAAAAGGCACTAGGAAAGCCAGTGTTTTTTGTTTGTTGGTTTTTTTGTTTTGTTTTTTTGAGACAGAGTCTCACTGTGTTGCCCAGGCTGGAGTGCAGTAGCACGATCTTGGCTCACTGCAACCTTCACCTCCTGGGTTCAAGCGATTCTCCTGCCTCATCTTTCCGAGTAGCTGGGATTACAGGCACATGCCACCACGCCTAGGTAATTTTTGTATTTTTAGTAGGACAGGGTTTCACCATGTTGGCTAGGCTCGTCACGAACTCCTAACCTCAAGTGATCCACCTGCGTCAGCCTCCCAAAGTGCTTGGATTAGAGGCGTGAGCCACCTCCCCGGCCAGCTAGTGTTGTTACTCATATGTTTGATATGTAGCATGTATGTAGCCAATTGTTAATTTCTTCACATTTTTATTTTAAAAAGTTGACAGAGAGAAAACTCCCTGCCCAACCCCCACAAAATCTTATATTCCAATATTTCTTACTTGAAATTATATTTCTTTATACCATGTGGATTTACAAAATTCATTTTTTGGCTTATATTCAATTAGTGAGAGTGACTCTCTTTATGTCTTTATAAAATGGGGAAAGATGGCTAAACTGACAAAATTTCTTAGATGTGTAAAGTGGTGTGAGATACCTGGAGAAGTTAATATCAACAACAATGTCAACAGAAAAGGATTTTCATAGCAAGAAAGAGAGGGATCTAGTAACATAGAGCTAGAGATGGAAGAACCCCTTTAATTCTTACAAATGATCCATTAACCCATTCATAGAGTTGGGTGCTCTAGTTTGAGGCTTCTGTCAAGAGCACTGACCCAGTGGTCTCAGGAAAAATAACTCCTAAGAGATATTGGCATGTACAGTCATTGAGAAAGAGGAATCTGATAGATCTGAGCCTAGGCAAGTAGCAATCGTGTAGAACGGAACAATGGCGGCCAACTGTTTTATTCCTGTTCCTTTGATAACTCCTGACTCCCGAGTGAGAGGATGTTCAGCCATGATAGTTGTGGTTAAATGACTACTGTATTTTCCCCAGTTACTAAGGGATTTATATTATGGGTAGGGGGAACTTCCTGACAGCAAGCTAGTTGAACATTTAGGTGGGAACTATGCCAGGTATATTTTAGGTATTGCCCTAAAATGACTGACTTTTCACCTGCATGCCCATTGTTTACATATGTTCCCATTGTAAAAACATTCCATTGTTATCAAATTATGTTTGTTGAAAGGGGACAATGAACCCTTGTTCCCCTTAGTTTTTGGATCCCCAATACCAAGCAAAGTGCCTGGTCTGCATTGGTATTTAAATGTTGATTGAATTACATTTTAAATATGGAAATATTTGGTAATTTCCATAACACTTTTCTATTATATAGTTAGAGGACCTGTGGTAAAGAAAGGTTTCGTTTTCTGCTAAAGCTATGAAACATTAAGTCTCTGCTTAAGGAGAAAGATCAAACTTACATTAAAATATCCAATTTTTATAGATAGGCATTTTGTTTTTCTTTTGGATTACGTTGTGTAGTTAAGGATCATAAGGTGTTTTTAAGAATATAGAGGGTAAGGGCTGGGCATGGTGGCTCATGCCTGTAATCCCAGCACTTTGGGAGGCCAAGGCAGGCATCACGAGGTCAGGAGATTGAGACCATCCTGGCTAACATGGTGAAACCTCATCTCTACTAAAAATACAAAAAATTAGCTGGGCGTGGTGGTGGGTGTCTGTAGTCCCAGCTACTCGGGAAGCTGAGGCAGGAGAATGGTGTGAACCCAGGAGGCGAATCTTGCAGTGAGCTGAGATCACACCACTCACTCCAGCCTGGGCTACAGAGCGAGACTCCGTCTCAAAAAAAAAATAAAAAAAGGGTATATATATATATATATATATATATATATAGAGAGAGAGAGAGAGAGAGAGAGAGAGAGAGAGAGAGAGAAGGTAAGATAAAATAATTGGTAATGCCAACCTGTTTGGACTGTGGAAAGAGTTTACTCTTTAGAGCATTTTCTTTCTCTCTTTCTTTTGTTTTTAGAGATGGGGTCTTGCTTTGTTGCCCACGCTGTTCTTGAAATCTTGGGCTTAAGTGATGCTCCTGCTTCAGCCTCCCAAAGTGCTGTGATTACAGGTGTAAGCCACTGTGCCCAGTCTAGATCATTTTCAATACGTGTTTGTAAAAATCGAAATATTTCTTACATATTCTAACACATTTTAATAACAGTGGTTTTAGGCAAGCCACATGAGGAAATGAATCCTTACGGTTTTTCAGAACCCTTCCAGGTGGTCTAATTTGGACTAATGCCTTATCCTGGTTCTGAATGGAGGTGTGGAAGGTTTTGACTGTGTGTCAAACATATCAAATCCTCCATTTCATCTGTTATTCTAGGCTTAAGAAACCATAATCTGCAGACTCCATCACTGCTAGGTTTTGATATTAAGAAACAGTAATATAAGCACACATGTATTATTTTTATCCCCAAATACGGTACTACAGTGTTGACAGCGGATAGAACCTGTTTTGTAGCAGATATGTGTTATTTTAATCCCCTTCTCTCATTCCCGGCCTTCACATCTGTGCCTTCTCTCTATTGGCCAAGTGCTAGGATTTGCTTATGATATAGCCTTCAGGGTCTCTTGTTTTGTGACTCACAGGAAATTCATAAACTTCATAGAAAAGAAACCAGGCTTATATTGTAATAAATCCCCCTTTATGAAATATCAAAGCTTAGAGAATTAATCTAACATGTGAGTGTGTTATCTTGTGCCCTAACTGCCGGAGAACATTCTCAAGACTTCTCTTTCAATCACGTGTGCTTAACAATGCATCAACCTCATTGCCTGGAAACTTTCATTTTGCTTCACAGGACAATCAAGATACTATCCATTTTGTCCCTTTGTCTTTTGCTGCAATAAAATCTTCCAGTAGAAAAAGGTTAAAAAAAAAAAAGATGAAAAAAAAAAAAACTATGCTCCTTCCAATATACCACTGAACCAGTCAAAGTTCAGGACAAATTTAGATAAAAATATAGATATGTTCACGGCACACACACAAACATTGGCTCAACTTCCTTTAAAAATACCTTATTTCTTGGCCTTAACTATTTATTTTTTATGGATATAGACGATGTGTGTGTGTTTGTGTGTGGGTAAAAAGTAAACAGAAAATATTAACCAGACACTATCAATTGTAGTGTGCGATAAGTTTTGCTTTTCCATTAAAAAAGTCAACAAAGCTTCTGTTTTCATATAGAACACTAAAACTATCAGAATGTATTTATTGTATTTTTCAGCATGTCATTTTCCCAGAGATGGAGCACACAAAAATAAGGGCTCTTTCTGCCTCGACTATCACAATTCATCTGCATCCTAAAAGCAAAGGCCCTTTTTGAAACAGTCATGATATTGTCCTTTCAGCATAGCACACTATAATACTTTTCCATTGTTTCTTCAGAGGCAAGAGGATTTATCCAATAGTAATAGCCACAGGCAAAGCAGGGAGCTCATAAACACATCCTTTACAGCTTCTCCTGGGGAAATGCAAAAATAGACCACTTAAGCACAATGCCACAAATTATTACAGGCTATTCTGACCATGTTTGAGATGTAGGTGACACTTTTCAGAAAATTAGAATCAAACCAAGTAGGCCCTTTCCCTCAAAAGCCTACAATCCACACGGCTAAAGCATGTGTTTATTTACTCTTGTTGTAAACTGTGCATTTGCAGTTTGTGTATCAAGACTTCCAGGAAGACCAAGATTCCTCAGTCCTTGAGGAGACTAACTGGCCTGTTCTGAAACCCCTTTCAGCTTGCGAGCAGTTCAAAGAACGCTTTGCTTCACACTGGCTTCATCCTATCTCCTAGCCCATCATCAAGAGGATGGAAGTTGGATTTGACCTTTTTTCTCATTCAGTTACGCAATTGATTAAAATGCGTGAACTGGGAAATGCTATGGGAAAAAGAGATATTCTGGGGGTGGGGGGAGAGCAAACCTGATGATACAGAATTCACATTTATCCATCATCACAGCTATTGAATCAACCATATCTTACTTGGTTGATTGCCAAGAAATCACCTCTCCAGGCCAGGCACAGTGGCTCATGGGTGTAATCCCAGCACTTTGGGAAGCTGAGGCGGGCGGATCACTTGAGGTCAGGAGTTTGAGACCAGCCTGGCTAAAATGGTAAACCCTGTCTCTATTAAGAATAAAAAAAATAAAAATAAATAAAAATTAAAAAATTAGTCAGGCGTGGTAGCATGTGCCTGTAATCCCAACTACTTGGGAGGCTGAGGCAGGAGAATTGCTTGATCCTGGGAGGCGGGGGTTGCAGTGAGCAAGGATCACACCACTATACTCCAGCCTGGGCAACAAAGGGAGACTTTGTCTAAAAAAAAAAAAAAGAAGAAAGAAAAAAGAAAAAAAAAAGAAATGACCTCTCCAATCTTCATTAGGGCACAGAATGCACTGAATTCAGTTGTTGAGGTAATTCTCATTCTGTAGACCCAATCATAATCAGGCCTCAGTTTTCTATACCTATCTCTCAACAGAAAAATGAGAAAAATAATCACAGGTTGAGTTTGGGCCCCTCATTCTTTTCATGCTGGGTTCTAACCTATTGTTACACTTGCTCTGCTCCCATTCACCCAAATAACTTGTTGGGCACAATGTGACTCAGTGAAAAGGGACAGGGAAAAGTTATTCTGAAGTAATAATGATGTGGCAAAGACAGGGGTCATTGTGTTCCAGTTTGTTTTGCTTTTTTCTAGTTACTTTATCATTTTGTTCAGATTGTCAGAGTAATATAGGCTTCCTTTACAAAATCCAAAAAGTATATATAATTATAGAGAAAAAAAAATAATGCCAACACCTGGAGACAAAACACCTGTTTTATCCACTGGAGTGATTTTTCCTGGTTCAAGAGTTTACCAACAATGGGAATGACCAGTAAATCTTCACAAAGCCGTGCTGTTATTTCTTTGCTTTCACCTTGACAGCACTGGAGTTTAGTGGGATTTATTACGCTACTTTGTAGCTGCCAATTTACTTGCAAATCATGCCTAGTCTGTAAGCTCCTTAAAGGAGTATCTGTCACACAGTAGTTGCCCAATAAATATTTCCTGAATTGAAATACATTAAATCAATCTAATCAGCCAGCAATGGACTTTGAGCACAACGGGAAGACCAAAGTCTAAAGTTGATTTTTGGTTAGCAATGGTAGCCAAGAGCAAGTCAAGTCTTATCTGCTGAGGAGTATATTTTCCTTTCAAAGTAAAACATCTACCGTCTTAATCTAACAAGCTATGGAAGTATCTATGTCTGATGATTCTGACATTTTATAAAAGTCCAAAGAGAGAAAGGGGGGGAAAAAAGCCACAGAATGATCCTCATTTAAGAATGTCTAATTAGGGGTTTCTTAGATATCTTATTTTCAAACTTTACTCATATCTCCAAAAATAAAAATAAGAAAGCAGTATGTTATATAAGCAAGTGTAATCCAGACCTGAAGGCAGAGGATGTGGGTTTAAAATTTGGTTCTGCCATTTTCTACGCCTGACCTTATTCGAGTTACTAAATCATCAACAATTAAGCCAGGTGGGAGGGGATCCCTGGAGAAACTCCAACCAGCTTGCCCACTGAAAAGCCCTGCGACGTTTTTGGCATGCAACATGGGCTGGAGAAGCGGTGAGTCACATGGGGACTCAAAACCTCTCACTGTTGCTTCTAAGACTTTTCATCCTCGGACTTCTGAGGGTGGGAGAAACCATGCCCCTACCCCTCATAGCTCCTGGGCCTTTTCAGGCCTTTTCGTGGCATTTTCTTTTTCGGGACTCACCAGTGAGCAGCAGCTCCCTCTGCTCCCCCATCCCTCCTTGTGCTGGGATGCATGGCCCAAGAGTCCTGCACAGCCCGCTGGCCGGTTCCCAGCCCCGTGAGGCTCCCCCAGCCTTCCCCTTCCCTGGCCAAGGGGTTTAACTCTATCGGATGGACAGTAATTAAGTTTAAACTTGTTTCCCTGGTGGAGGAACCACTTGCATAAGAATAAGATGTTCTTCGACCGGGCGCGTTAGCTCACGCCTGTAATCCCAGCACTTCGGGAGGCTGAGGCGGGCGGATCACGAGGTCAGGAGATCGAGACTGTCCTGGCTAACATGGTGAAACCCCGTCTCTACTAAAAATAGAAAAAATTAGCCGGGAGTGGTGGCGAGTGCCTGTAGTCCCAGCTACTCGGGAGGCTGAGGCAGGAGAATGGCGTGAACCCAGGAGGCGGAGCTTGCAGTGAGCCGAGATCACGCCACTGCGCTCCAGCCTGGGCGACAGTGCAAGACTACGCCTCAAAAAAAAAATAAATAAAATAAGATAAAAAATAAAAATAAGATGTTCTTCCACAGGTACTTTTAAAATGTTTCTTTGCTTTCCCCTTCTCTACCCCATCAGCAAGTTAACTTTTTTTTTTTTTTTTTTTTTTTTTTTTGAGATGTCTGGCTCTGTCATCCAGGCTGGAGTGCAATGGCGCGATCTCAGCTCAGTGCAACCTCCGCCTCCCAGGTTCAAGCGATTCTCCTGCCTCAGCCTCCCCAGTAGCTGGGATTGCAGGCACCTGCCACTATGCCCCGCTAATTTTTGTGTTTTTAGTAGTAGACAGGGTTTCAACATGTTAGGCTGGTCTCGAGCTCGTGGCCTCAGGTGATCCGCCTGCCTCGGCCTCCCAAAGTGCTGGGATTACAGGCCTCAGCCACTGTGCCTGGCCCACAAGTTAACTTCCAAAAGAATCTTTCTTTTCTTTTAGAAGATATTATACTAGGCTAGACGCCCCCTACCACCACCCCAAACTATCACTGTATTCTCTCAGTTTTGATTGTGAAATCAAGTCTCCATCTTGTTTTCCATCCTGAGGGCATGGCTGGTAACTGCTTGGCAAGGCTTTGTTTAGCAATCCCTCCTGAGGGGATGCCCCTCTCAAATTCGATGTCTGCAAGTTTTCCTAGCCCTGTCTCTTCTTTTTTTTTTTTTTTTTTTTTTTATATTCTTTTGAGACGGAGTCTCTCTCTGTTGCCCAGGCTAGAGTGCACTGGCATGATCTCGGCTCACTGCAAGCTCCGCCTCCCGGGTTCACGCCATTCTCCTGCCTCAGCCTCCTGAGTAGTTGGGTCTACAGGCGCCCGACACCAGGACCAGCGAATTTTTTGTATGTTTTAAAAGAGATGGGGTTTCACACCGTGTTAGCCAGGATGGTCTCGATCTCCTGACCTCGTGATCTGCGCGCCTCCGCCTCCCAAAGTGCTGGGATTACAGGCATGAGCCACCGTGCCCGGCCCTAGCCTTGTCTCTTAAAGGGCCCCACCCATCGACTGGGTTTTCTTCTGCCTGTCTGTGTGTGTACTGTGTGTGATGTCTGTAAAAAGAGCTCTAGGCCAGGCGCAGTGGCTCACGCCTGTAATCTCAGCACTTTGGGAGGCCGAGGTGGGCATCACAAGGTCAGGAGATCGAGACCATCCTGGCTAACACGGTGAAACCCCGTCTCTACTAAAAATACACACACACACACACACACACACACACAAATTAGCCGGGGGTGGTGGCTGGCGCCTGCAGTCCCAGCTACTCGGGAGGTTGAGGCAGGAGAATGGCGTGAACCCTGGAGGTGGAGCTTGCACTGAGCTGAGATCACGCCACAACACTCCAGCCTGGGCGACAGACCAAGACTCCCTCTCAAAAAAAAAAAAAAAAAAAAAAAAAAGAGCTCTAATTACTTTGGCCTAAAGTAAGACAAGCACTTGGATCTAATATTTTTTAAAGGGAAGATAAAAATCTGTGTTACATTTCAGTTCACGTAACTTTAATCTTTAAGAAATATGAACATCCCTAAAGACTACTGGTAAAATGCAGGTGAGATGAAAGGTTTGCTAAGTGTTTGGAGGTTACAAACTGCATTTTGGGTTTTGAGAACAATTTGACTTGCTGGCTTCACAATTGGTAAGGCTTGGGGACACATGGAACTAACCACCGCCTTAACTAAGAAGGCAAAACTTGGCTGCAGTTAGCATACAATTAAAGCAACTTACTAAATTTTGTCTTAAAGTTAAAAATTGCTAGGATTTAATTGAAACTACTAGAAATTGATTTACATGCAAGGTGTGTAAGAACATTAAAATGTGTTTTTTAGTAAAAGGTTATGAGAAGGCATGGAAATGTAAACTTTTGCCTAGGGTTAAAGGATTGTTTTGAGTTAAAATAGGAAAAAGCTGAAGGTTCAAAGAAGTGGTGGAAAAACTGCAAAAATTATCTAGCAAAAGAGGTTTTCTGTGTGAGCATATTGACTACATTCAAAAAAGGGTATTATATGGTTTTTCTGTAAATTGAGCATTGAAATAAAAGCATAACAAGGTTTTCCTAAGGCACTAATCTGCTCTTTGGCAAAATTTGTAAGGGGTTTAAAAAAGGCTTTTGCTTCTTTAAAATTTCTGAGTCATCATTTTGGCAAAGTAAATAACTTATAGTAATCTGGAATTGTATTTCATAATATCAAGTGTTTTAAACCTCAAACATTCAACATCCTTCCCAAAATCAAACCTCAGTTTCAAAATTATCTTCCCTAGCACCTGTCTTTTCAAATACTTCAGAGGGCCCCTGAAGTGTCCAGAAAAGAGAGATAAACAGGATTATTTGATATGTTTAGATACATGGGATTGCCAAAATGATGCTCAATGTTCTTTAAGGTATATCTTGCTGAATAATTCTAATATATGTTGCAAAATTATATGGGATTTCTAAAATTCTGATGTCTGAGTATATGCTATCAATTATAATTAAGGTTTTGTTGAGTTATTGTAAACCATGGAGATAATCAAACTTCTTTGTCATTTTTGTTTCTAACTGTAATTACCCTGGACATGTTGCTATTGACAGAGAGTTGTTGTCTTATTTTAATCCTTTTCAAAAGATGGTTTATAGTAAGCTGTAAGACTTTGACAGCTGCTCTGAAATGCAGGTTTATGATGAATTTGGATATAGTAACATTGGAATACAGGAAAATGCACAGGACTCACGAAGAACTGAAATGCTCACAAATATGAAGCAAAACAAGAGTTAACTAAATGGACTGAACTCAGGACGCTGAAGTAACTTTTTTGACTTTTGGTTGGAATATGGCTAATCCATGTTTTTTCAGTCAAGGAAACTTATTTTGAACTATTTACAGCCTTTAATAATTGAGTAAAGCATACTCCTATGAACAAAATTTGAAGCATGTTTGTCTCTCTCTGCCTGGTTCCTCTAGAATTTGGAAACTATCTGTGAGTATTCTTATGGCAATATATTTGTTTGCATCAGTGCAATAAGAGTCCATTTTTCTTTTGCAACAGGACACAATTGGAGAAAGTAGTTATTCTACCAAGGCTTTCACTGGAAGGATATGCTTCCCTTTAAGGAGTCAAGCTCAACTTGCAGAGCCAATAAAAGCCCCATAGGGAAACTGGCCTCATTCCCTTGTCTATGCAGTCCCTATAAAGGGTCCCTGACCTGTGGTCACTAAAGAATGTCACTTTCTAACAGGTCCAGGAGCTCCAAGTTTATCTTGGAACCTTAAGAGGAGTGGATCACCCAACTCACGGGTATTTGAGGATGCAAACCTATGGCTCGGCTCAGCTTTAAAAAGGTCTCATCTGTGATTCCTTGTGGAAAACATTTCCAACAAAGCCAATCCAAAAGGCCTATGCAGAAATAGTTATTCTTGCTGCATTTTAAGCAAATAATCAGGCCAAGTATAAGACTAAAGTCTATTTTGCAAACCACTCAGTCCTATCATAATTTTTTTAACAAAAATAAGGACTGGAGAGAGAGAAATTATGTTCTAAAGCTTACCATACATTTGTCATTAAATCCTAAAATCATTAGTTGTTTTTAAGTTTTCACCTACATTTCAGACTAACCCTGCTTGCTCCTCTGAACCAACCAGCAATCCCTGGCTGCAGGTCAGAAAGAACAAGAGGGATGGGTAATGTAGAAATCCGGATCAATATTCTAGTTCTGAGCAATTATCCTGCAAATCCTGCCAGGTGATGGAATAAATAGGGTGCCCATCACCTGGAGGTTTCCTTTTTGGGAAAGTAAAACCAAGGGAACTAAACAAAGCCAAGCATCATCCATCCAAATCCTAGCAAGCATAACTATAGCCGCCGGTTATCTGGGTGTGTCACAAGACATCCTTTTCTCTCCCTTGGAAGAGGACTCAGTTCCACAGTTTCACCGTAGCATTCGGCTTATAACAAGGAGTCCATGCAATACCCCCTAAGACACATTTTTGTCCCAGACTCAATTTCAAGCTTTGGGTCAAAGCCCTGGAAAGAAAACTGGATCTGAGCGATCCAGAGGCAGATGGCAGCAGAGATTAAAAGGCACAGCGTAGGTGAGCGTAGCTGTTTCTTGCCGATTAAGCCAACCCCAAGCTTCCTGTTTCATGGATAAAGGCCACGTTAGTATCCATGGCATAAATGAGGTCCAGGGAACTCCGAGGCTACTGACAGTAGGTGGGATAGGGGCATAGGTGAAAATGGATAATTCCTATTCTCTGGGACCCCCTGCTTCATGGGTGCAAGCCGCTTTGGCATTCATGGTGGTGCCTGCCAAGGTCTCCAGGGCTCGGGGCTGCAAGGATGCGAGATGTAAAGAGGACGCTCTTCCCTCTCTCCCTTACTTGCCCCGGGTATCTGCTAGGAAGAGAAGGGAACCAAGGATGCCTGCTCCCCTCTTTCTAGATGGGTAGCCATTCATCTTCAGTCTGTACCCCTTTCAAATGCATCCTGGATCCTTGGGACTCCCTTAAAAACACGTTCTTTTTCCTTTCTTCTCCTCGGTTCTCCCTTCACTGATAGGTAATTGTGTCTCTCCTTACTACGGGACACTCCCCTCAGATGCATCCTCCAAACTGTTAATTTCCCAAACCTTAAACTGGTTGGCTTAGGATTGGACTCGGGGGAAGGGAACCCAGAAGCCCAACATCGTGGCAAAAGGGTAAAGTGTCTTTACCAGTCAGGCGTTTGGACTTTCCCTCCCTGTGCAAACTGGTAAAAGCTTTTTGAGCTGTCCTTACCCCTCCCCTTGTTTTGTTTTGATACATGTTTTCTAATAAACTGGTTTGTCTGTTCTTGCCTTCAGGCCATCAGACTCCAAACGGTCATGCAACCAGAGCCTCTGACAATGGCCCCTTCTGCCAGGAACCCTTAGATAGGAGCTGATAGCTCCCTCTGAGGGAGCTCTGACTGCCTTTTCCCCAAAACAGAGCCTCCTGTCAGTAGGAAGCAGTTAAGATCGGTCTTTGTCCTTATCCTTAATCTAAGGGCAGTTAGGTGTACTTCTTTAGAGCAGGGAATGAGGCAGCCAGGTGGGAGGGGAATCCCTGGGGAAACTCCAACCAGCCCGCCCTCTAAGGTGGAGGGTAGGGAAGTTTACGCCCTTTGCAGCGGGGAGGCCGTGGCCCCTCCTCTTCCTGTGCAGAACCTGGGATTCAAATGGCCTGGCGGGAAGTGCTCTAGCAGAGGGACTCTGGCCTTGTGAGAGTCCCTGTTTCCCCTTTTTTTTTTCCCCTTTTCACCCAATAAAACCCTGCTTTACTCACCCTTTAAACCATCTGCGAGCCTAAATTTTCATGGCTGTGGGAGAGACAAGAATCCGATCTTTAGCTGAACTAAGGAAAAGTCCTGCAACAAAATCATTCCTTAGTTTCTTCATTGGTGAAATGCGAGTGATAGCCACTTCACTGAGTCGTTCTCAGGATGAAGGGAAATGACAGGCAAAAGCACTTGGCAGAGCACATGACTAGATCATAGGTGTTCCCAAAATGATCGTTTGAATCTGTGGAATCATGCTTTCTTACCTTGTTCTTAAGTGGTGCTTTTCTTCCTGGGCTTATTCACAACACTGCGTAAAATAATTTTAGATATAATGACTAGTTTAGGTAATTAGTATCCTCTTCATTTTATAAATGGAATAATATTCAGACTCAGCGATTAGGGTTGTGTCCGCTTGAGACAATTATGCCAGTCATGTAGTATAATTTGGTTCAAAACATTTTTTCTCTTTTCCTTTTAATATACCTTTGCAGATAATTTGCATGGGACAATTTTCTTCTTACCCAAACAGCTGACTGAATCACACATTCTTGCTGGGATGAATCAGTGAGGACACACTATTATTGTTCTGAGATCTAAGACCTTGGTATAAAAGTTTTAAACGGAAGTGAGCAGTCACCTCTGGGGTAGTCTCCTGGGGGAAGGGCAACTGATTGATCACCCAAGTGACGCTAGTTCCAATTCATCATTGTCCAGGACACAGCCCAAGTCGTACACTTGCAAATGCATTCCTGTCACTCTCCAGGGTTGACTGGGCTCAGGGACTCAGACCAACCAACTTCACAAGAGAGGAAGTTAATAAACCAGCAGGCCAATTGGTTCATTTATCATGAATGATACCAGCATTTCCAGCCCCCACCCCATATGTGAACAATATGGAAAACCAGTTTGTGGGAACATCCGTAAGCCTAGAATCAGAACAAGAGGTATGAGTTGTACAATTCTAATGTTCAATGACACTGAGCTGTTTGGGTTCTGTCCATTTCAATTTGTTCTTTTGTTGCCTTCCAAGGTCCAAGGTAAAATGAAACCCTTTCAGGCATTGTTGTCAATAACAATCTGGCCTGAGTGTACCATGACTGAATGTTTCAGCCACGATTTTAGTGCCTGAAGTGGTCAGACCAGTTAATAATACCTCTCAGAAACACCCAACTTGTTGGCCAGATTCCTTGAATTTAAATTTTTTTAAAACTTTTTTGTTTAATTATAACAAGGGAATTACGTTGATCCAGTTAACACAAACTGTTGCCATGGTTCTTAAGTAGAAACAATCTTAACCCACCCCTGAAGCCAGGTAGGGTGAGGTGCTGTGAGCCCCCCATCTTTCCTCACTTGCCCATACCTGTGCTGTGGCCAAGGGCAGCAGCAAGTGTTGAAAGCGGTGCAGGAGGTGACAAGTGGCACAGACGTGGCCTGAGGGGGAATTGTGAGCACTGTGAGCTGGAGGTCATCTGTCTCCATTGCTTGGGAAGGAAATGAAACGTTGCCAATTGTTCACTTAGTTCATTTTCATTTCTATCCTTCACTTGATATTTCTGCCTTCTAACAAAATTGTCAGTGGGAGTGCCTTAAAATGCCATTTAAAAATAATATGTAAAATCTCCTAGTTTTCCAAAGGCTTCAAGTAAGCAGATTTTTTTTTTTTTTTTTTTTTTTTTTTTTGAGCCAGAGTCTGGCTCTGTCACCCAGGCTGGAGTGCAGCGGTGCGATCTGGGCTCACTGCAAGCTCCGCCTCCCGAGTTCACGCCATTCTCCTGCCTCAGCCTCCGGAGCAGCTGGGACTACAGGCGCCCGCTATCACGCCCGGCTAATTTTTTTGTATTTTTAGTAGAGATGGGGTTTCACCGTGTTAGCCAGGATGGTCTCGAGCTCCTGACCTCGTGATCCGCCCACCTCAGCCTCAGATTTTCTAGGGAAAGCTATGCAGATACAACTGAAATGCTGCCCTAAAAGAAGGAGCCATTAATCCCAATTTAAAACAGATTGGAAATCGCAACATGAGCCAACACCATGATCAGTTTCTCGTAAAAAGCTGGGTTACCTTTTAAATCCCACTTTTGGGAGACTTAAGCTAAAAATGAAGAAGGTTTTGTTTGGTTTTCTACAAAGCTGAACACCAAAGTTGAACGTTAGTCTTCAAATAAAGGTTTGTTCACTGGCTTCACACACTTCAAAGTATTTAATTCAATTATTCCGAGAGGCTACATATGAAATCATATCGCAAAAATGGCACCTAATCCAATAACTAGTAAAATATGAAATTCCTGTTGATATGAAATCAGCAATCCCCATAAGCCAAAAGAAGGACACACCTATCTTCACCTAGTGGAGAATGGTTTGTCTTTTACTAGTTCCCTGCTATTTTTAGCTGAAGTTAATCACAGTAGAAAGAATCTAATGCATCAGCTCACACTAAATGTTATTAATGACTAAGACAGCTTAACCTGTTGACCCACCCAAAGGATTAGTATTTTAACTAGGGACTATGCATTAACATAAAAGAATAAATCTCAGTTAGTAATATTTCAGGCATCTGAGACACAATGAGAAGAGAAATGAGTCAGCTCACAGCACATGGGCAATGTGGCCCAATGGGACAAAGTACAAGCTGTGGCTTTACTCTGATCTGAATGGAGTCCTGTGCCTGGAGCTTTCTAGCTGTCCACACCATTCAGATCTTAAGTAAGTTATTTAACCTATTGAAATGTGGGTAACAATAGCGCCTTCTCTGTAGGACTGTTATGATAAATAAATGAAATAATGTACGCAAAGTGCCTAGGACAGTGCCTGGCTTATAAAAAGACACCGTGACAGGAAAGCCAGTACATGAATGCTTCTCCATCTATCATAAAATCACAAAAAGCTGGTTCCACAATAAACTTCCAAATTTCACTTTCTCCTTACACTTATGGAATATTTCACAAACTTTCCAAGTACACAAATCTACAACCTTGCATTTAAGGGAGAAGTGAAATGTTTTTGTTTCTTTTTAAAATTAAGACACTATGGTATTTTCATTTTAGTTTATTTTTATAGAGATGGACTCTCACCATGTTGCCCAGGCTGGTCTCGAACTCCTGGCCTCAAGGGATCTTTTCTCCTCAGCCTTCCAAAGTGCTGGGATTACAGATGTGAGCCACTGCACCTAGCACGAACTGTTATTTAGAACTATTAAAGGGCTAAATAACCCTATCTACCACCTTATGTATTTATAGAACTTAGTTTGTGTTCATCTAAATATATGTAGAATGAGAGCTAGAACTGTTTTATAGTGAACTCTCAGACTCTCTTCCTCTTTGAAAAATATAATACTCAATAGTCGGAACTTGTTACTCAAAAGCTAGGTCACAGGGAAGATAAAGAAGTAATGCAGATGGGCGCGGTGGCTCACTCCTGTAATCCTAGCACTTTGGGAGGCCAAGGCAGGTGGATCACTTGAGGCCAGGAGTTCGAGACCAGCCTGGCCAACATGGTGAAATTCAGTCTCTACTAAAAATACAAAAATTAGCCAGGCATCGTGGTGGGCGCCTGTAATCCCAGCTACTCAGGAGGCTGAGGCATGAGAATCACTTGAACCCGGGAGGCAGAGGTTGTAGTGAGCTGAGATCGCACCACTGCACTCCAGCCTGCATGACAGAGTGAGACTCTGTTTAAAAAATAAATAAATAAATAAATAAATAAATAAATAAATAAATAAAACTAACGAAATCAGAAAGGGCATCAGGGAAACATCTTTAAAGAGAAGGTGAAAGGGAAGAAGGAAAACAATTTTTGTTAAAAATTATAAATAACTAGGCATAGTTAAATTTATTTTTTTTAAGTGAAATTTGTATTGGTGTTGTCCCAGTGCTGTATATAACAGAATATCTGTAGAAAAGCCCAGCAGAAAGAGGAGAAACCATTACAGGTTAAAAGGTTTCAGAGGTGGGGTGGTGGGATCAAGTTGTGTTAGCCAGCCTTGAAAGAATTTGCAAAATGGCTTTAAACTTGTCTGAGGCCAGTGCTGGGGCAGCCTCTATATCATTGCAGATGTGGAAGTATATAAAAATCTGATAATCCAAGTCATGAGCCTCTTATAATCAGGAGGAAGCTGCAAGGAATTTATGAAAAGGAAATTCCATTTCACCAGGACATGTGACTGTGATCACCATCTGTTTAAACATCTTAATAGTTTGCGGCAAACAACTAAAACCACTTTTTCCCCCCTACAAGTCTATCCAAGCACTTTCTGTGTGTCCAGATGGAATTTAAACCTCCCTTTCCTAATGTTAGACTAAAATCTCATTCTAAACTGGAGTGAATTGGGGCTAACTATAGTGGAAAACATTAAAAATTCATCCTTCAGCTACAAAATTTAATCAAGTGGTAACTTCTCTAAGGCTATGGTGTGGAACTTACTATTATAGAACAATCATTAGAATTAAGTGAAGCAAAGATCCTTCAAGCTCCTCCTCATTTTGATTTATTGATTAAAAAATATTAAGCATCTCTAATATAAGCATCTACACTTCAGTATCATCTCTGTTGTGTTTAAAACAAAAGTTAATTGAGGTAAATGTGTATACTTTGAAATATTTATTCTGACCATTATCACTTTCCATCTCATGAACATCAAAGATTTTCTTATTTTAATCTGCCATTTTAAAAACAATGTTGGTCAGGGCACGATGGTTCATTCTTGTAATCCCAGCACATTGAGAGGCTGAGCTGGGAGGATCTCTTGAGCCCAGGAGGCTGAGGTTGCAGTGAGTTATGATCATGCCACTGCACTCCAGCCTGGGTGATAGAGCAATACCCTGTCTCTAGAAAAAATAAACAACGAAAACAAAATTGATGCACTAAAGCTAAATTTATCAGATTAACAGTAATTCTAGGTAGCCTCACCTTGTGTCAATATCTGTATTCAGTGCTAAATTGAACAAAAAAGAAGAAATTCCCAAAAGGACCCACTGCAGCTTGCGTCCCTAACAAACATTTGATGAGGAAGGACCATTGATCATTATGTGCTTGAGATACATCCAGTCTCTGCCTTCGAGAAGCTCCAAGTCAAGTGAGACAAGTAGATAGAAAGGTGTCACATCTATTATCAAATCTTTTGCAAGCCCCTGCAATGGCTCAACTGTGCTGTGGATATCAAGTCCCCAGGCTGTACCGAGGCTTGGGCCAGAGTCAGAGAGGAACCGTGTCTCCACAAGATCAGCACATGGGGGCCTGGGAAGAGAAACTCAGGATGAAGAATTCTGGGTCAACTGCTCCTCCTCAGTGGCAACTCCCCTGCCAGCAAGGACTTTGAGATGATCGGTTGTCTTTTAAAGGATAGTGACGTTCCCTTGTACTGCCTCTACCTCTCTGCTTATGAAGTCACTACTCTGCCTTGAATATCTAACTTTGAGTAGATTCTTAGGGAAGGGATTTGGAACCAGATGAGAGAGAAAGACAGTTATAGATGGGTCTCAGGTCTCCAGAGTAGTTCCACATTTGAAGGTCTGTTCACTGACTCAGTTCTTGTTGAGTTTGCTGAGATGCTAACAGCAGGTTCCACACAATGTGGATTCTACAAGATATATTTGCCTGCCATCTCCCCACTTCCTTCAAAAATCAATGAGTTTATTTAAATACCTGTTTCTATAAAGCATCGGTTGACTTATTTCTTCAAACAGGAGAGATCCGGAGAAGGAGAAAGGACCATAACATCTCCCCTTCCTAGTATATCACAAATAGAACCATGAAGGACATAGAACCCAACCGAGAACCCAGAAGTAAGCCATGGTAAAGATGAACTCTGGAACCCTTTGACAAAGGAAAGGTTGGGGTAACTTTAGAAGTAGAAGCTTATGAGAAAAAAACAGAAGAACTCAGGTGTCAAGGCAGAATAGTCTGGGGCCATTTCGTGTCATGCAATAGTTGTACACACCTCCTTTGTCTCTGGGGATATCATTTTATTTCAGTATTTCACCTTACCTGACATTCATAATGAGGACCCTAAGACACTGAGGAAAGGTTAAATTGTATGCCCCTTTACATTCAAGATATATTCATTTTTAAAAACTTCTTGTTTTGTTTTGATTTGATTTATATAGCTGGATGCATAATGGTAAGTTTGAGCTATCTAGAAAATTTCCCTGGAACACATACTCTTACATTGCTAGATGAATAAATTATTAATGTAACTTATGTAATGTAATACCTAATGTAATGTAATGTAAAATAGACAAGGAGACAAAGCTATGACATATCAAATTTTTTTCCTTTAATCAGATTTAAGACTAGCCTACTTCAAAGTTTAAGGTTAGAAGAATTTTACTTTGCTAATGGAAGTGGACTTCTTATAGAAGAAAAATCACTTTTTTTGAAGATAGAAATAGATGTTATTGTAGTCATTTATGCAGTGAAGTATCTATTTGTCACATTTTAAAAATCCCGGTAGCAATTTTTTCTTGGTAAATTTTAAAAAGATATATTAACATTTTTCCATATGTCTGATCTGCAAGGTTGTTGGGGTATTTTTTTTTAACTTCAGTTTAATTTCTTGGGAAATTTTATATTTTGG
This sequence comes from Homo sapiens, assembly GCF_000001405.40. Lineage (NCBI taxonomy): Eukaryota > Metazoa > Chordata > Mammalia > Primates > Hominidae > Homo > Homo sapiens. The sequence goes on along the minus strand of NC_000010.11, from coordinate 22,819,248 downwards.
GGGGATAAAAAGTCCCAAGACATTTTAACTCAGATGATGGAAAACTAAAACGATTGGCCCTTTTAAACAAGAGCACATATTTTGTTTTAAAAGAAATACTTAATAGGAAATGAATTCCCATAAAACCAAAGGTTTTTAACCTATAGCACTGGTACAAGAAATACATCATGGGATATAGACCTTTTTATAGCAGAGCCCTCATCTGAAATGAGTATTAGTTATTAGTCAGTTTTAAAGAGCATCATTTAACGGAGGTGTTTCCTTTCATTTGTTTGTTTGTTTGTTTGTTTGTGAAATCCCCCAATTAACATTCTCTATTGCTTGGAATGTTTGAGGCTACAAGATAAATCCCACAGTTACCTATGTTTTTTCAGCTCGTTTGTGGTATACAAACTCAGGATTTAGTTTCTCTTCCTATGTGAATCATGAGAAAGGCAAGAGTACAGCACTTTTTTTTTAATTTTTAAAACTTTTTATTGTGAAAAATTTTAAACATACGTAAACACATTGTAGTAGTATAGGGTAAAGATTTTCTTTTTTTTTTTTTACAGCAGTTTTTAATATATTTTTTTCACTGATAAAAGGAAGTCATTCCCAAACTAGCCTCTCAAAGAATATTGATATTTGTGCATAGAACTAAGATATCCTGCTCTTTAAAAATCGTATAATGATGACCTTTTCACAACTCAAAGAGAAATTTAGGTTAATAATAGTGTCTTCTTTGTTGGTTTTCACACGGGTATTTTTTTTTTCTTAAAACTTTGACTCTTGCTATAAATTGTGCATAGGCCTTTTTGTCTACAAGAAATCATTTTTTTATTCAACACAAAAGATTATATTTAGTTTCCACATGTTTACTAAATCAATATTTCATGGTATTCCATGAAAAGACTCATGACTTCTAGAAACTAAACCACTTGAAATATTTTGAGAACCACTAATATAACTCTTTCATTAATTAATATCAAGCATTTTGGCCAGGCGTGGTGGCTCACATCTGTGATCCCAGCTCTCTGGGAGGCTGAGGTGGAAGGATCGCTTGAGGCCAGGAGTTTGAGAACACCCTGGGCAACATGGTGAGACCCTGTCTCTATGAAAAAAAAAAAAAAAATTGGTCGGGTGTGATGGCTCACACCTGTGGTCCCAGCTACTTGGGGGACTGAGGCTGGAGCCCAGGAGGTCAAGGCTGCAATGAGCTGTGTTCATGCCACTGCATGCCAGCCTGGGTGACAGAGTGAGGCTGTCTCAAAAAAAAAAAAAAATTAGGCTGGGTGTGGTGGCTCACACCTGTAATCCTAGCACTTCGGGAGGCCGAGGTGGGAGGATCACGAGGTCAAGAGTTTGAGATCATCCTGGGCATCCTGATGAAACCCTGTCTCTACTAAAAATACAAAACTTAGCTGGGCATGGTGGTGTGCGCCTGTAGTCTCAGCTACTCGGGAGGCTGAGGCAGAAGAATCGCTTGAACCCGGGAGGCGAAGGTTGCAGTGAGCCAAGATCGCGCCATTGCACTCCACTGTGGTGACAGAGCGAGACTCCGTTTCAAAAAAAAAAAAAAAATTAAGCATTTGAGTGCGAATGTAGCACCTTGATATGAGTTTGCAGGTTTCCCTACCCCCCCAGTGTGACTGTGTCTGGAGATAGGACCTCTAGGAAGTAATTAAGGTTAATTAAGTTCATAGGGCTTGGAACCTTAACTCAACAGTACCATGGCCTTTTAAGAAAAGAAAGATTCTAATCAGATATAGTGGCACATGCCTGTAGTCCCAGCTACTCAGAAGGCTGAGGCAGGAGGATGACTTGAGCCTAGGAGTTTCAGTCCAACCTGGGCAACACAGTGAGAACCCATGTCTTTAAAAAAGCAAAAAGAAAATGAAGATTTTCTTTTTCTCTTTCTCTCTCTCTCTTCCATGTGAAGACACAGCAAGAAGGCAGCCATCTGCAAGCCAGGAAAAGAGCACTGATCAGAAACTGACCATGTTGGCACCCTGACCTCAGATTTCCAGCCTTCAGATCTGTGAGAAAATAAATTTCTGCCTATGAAATACCCAGTCTATGGTATTTTGTATGGCAGCCTGGGATGATGACAGAGGGGGAAATGGCAGCCACGTATGAGTCACACAGAAGCCACAGGTCTGGAGTGTTGGAATACAGCCAGCAAAGTTCTCATCCTTCCCCAGTCAAGATTGCTTTTTCTTGTGTCAGTCAGCATGAGAAACATTATGCTACAGTGACAACCCCAAAATCTCAGTGGCTGACAAAGTCACTCTGTCCCAGGGTGCCAGAGGCTCCATCTCAACATGTGCTTTTATGATCGTAAAGACAGCCAGGCACGGTGGCTCATGCCTGTAATCCCAGCACTTTGGGAGGCCGAGGTGGGCGGATCACCTGAGGTCAGGAGTTTGAGACCAGCCTGGCCAACGTGGTGAAACCCCGTCTCTTCTAAAAATACAAAAATTAGTCAGGTGTGGTGGCATGTGCCTGTGATCCCAGCTACTCAGGAGACTGAGAGAGGAGAATCACTTGAACCCGGGAGGCGGAAGTTACATTGAGCCAAGGTGGTGCCACTGCACTCCAGCCTGGGTGACAGAGCAAGACTCCATCTCAAAAAAAAAAAAAGAAAAAAAAGATTGTAAAGACAAGGAGAGAGGATGTGATGACTCATGAATGAACTGGCCCTTAAAGCATTTTCCCAGAAGTGTATACATCTGTTCACATTTCACTGGCCAGAGTAAATCACGTGGCCATGCCTGGCATCAGCATGGGCAGTAAAATGCACTCTTATTATGTGCACAACAGAGAAGAGGAAATAGGTCAGTGGGCCACACTGATGACTCTCCTCCAGGAGTGTAGTGTTGGGGATGGCCTGGCCATCACAGTGACACACTACGGTCAACGTGACGGGATTCAGGAGGTGAGCTATGGGACAGAAGATGCCTAGATTAATTTTCCCAACCCCTGGGGCACCACAGAGAATACAAAAGTGTGTTACATCTTTTCCAATAATTTTCAGTGGAGGTGATTATGAAGACATACACAGGAAAATAAGTAATAAAAGGCCAAGAGTAATAAAACATCAAAATGAGTGACATGCATATATTGAATTATGCAATTTCATAGAAGATGGAGATTACTCTGCCATAAAATCATTAAGAAAAATTCCATAGATGAGATAAAGGTTTAAATACAAGCAAGCTTAGATACAGTAAGAGAGGGAAGAGGGATGGGCACAGTGGCTCACACCTGTAATCTCAGCACTTTGGGAGGCCAAGGTGGGAAGATCACTTGAGCCCAGGAGTTCAAGACCAGCCTGGGCAACATAGTGAGACCCCATCTCAGAAAGGAAAAAAAAGGTAGAAAGAGGATTCAAGGCAGGAAAATGGCAGGAGGAAAGGATTGGAGAGTGAATTTGGGGGCATGTTCAAAAGGCAAAAAGGAGACAAGCCAAACTGAATCAGAAGTTTCTTTGTAGGAATAACAGAATTTGAATTCTGCTTTATAATCTTTGAAGGTCATGTCCTGTGTCTTTGTTTAAGTAGGCAGTGGTGTGCAGATGTTTGCATTTCAGAATAATTTTTCTGGTGTAAAGCATGTAGGCAAAGATGAAATAAACCAGAAAAAAGAAGTCAATTTATTACTATACAATAGCCTATGTGATGAGCACCTGGAAATGAGTGTTCATTATAGGAACTAAAAATAAAGTATGATAACTAAAAAAAATTTAAGATGAATCAGTGGGTTTACTTTAGGACTGGTGTGCTCTGTAAAATGAGGGGGAGAAAAGGCAAAGATGAGGTCAAGGTTTGAAATGTAAGTGATCCTCACTAAATTGGGAAGGAGACCAAGGGAACACACAAATCTCTCCACATTCTAAGACAGCATCTAAAAAATCCTCTTGTTAAGATTATAGTGGGAACTTAGGTTACCAAACTAACAGGATGGAAAGGTCTGCTTATTTAAATGATCAAATCTTACAAGAATGCATCAATTACTAAGGTAAATTTGAGCAGACATTTGATATCATTTATTTTCAGAAGCATGGGTCTACATTTATTCTGTGAGATTACCTTCTAACTGAAAATTTTCATTCAAAGCTTTCTGGTTTCATCAGAAAAAAAATTTTCAGTAGCATGGTCACATAAGCAATATATCCTGAAGATTTATATCCTCCTTGAACTTATAGGCCAGAGCAAATCTTTAAGTGATCCAAATAAAATACAATCAGAAGGTTAACACATAGAAATATGTTTCTGTATCAAATTCACCTTCTGAATAAATTTCATTTGTTTTAACTCTTTCAGATGGTAAAATTGATGGAAAATCAGTATTCTTCAGTGGTATAATCTAAAACAAGATATCCTTTTAAAATGCTCTTTGCAATAATTTTTCCATTGCATAGAGCAGCAATCACAAGTATAGCAACTACTTCTATCACTCAGTAATTTTGGCAAGCAGTACCAGCATTCTCTGAATAAAAAGAATTAATCTGAGTCATTAGATCACAGTTCTATATTCTCTTTTATCTGAGCCTTTATTCATTGTTCTATCTCATTGGAATTGATCTCTACCTGGTTAACGATCCACATTCTATCCTGCTACTTAAGGGCCTGCTCTAATATTATTTCCCTTTTTCTGAAATTTTATTGCATTTGCTGTCTTCATACTTCATTTAGACTTGTCATTTTCTATGCTTATTACTTGTTTGCTTTTCACTAGTGCCTATGGAAAAATCTTCCTCCAGGATAGAGGAACAAACTAAATGACACCTCCTCTAGGCAGTTCCAAATAGACCCAAGAAGGTGAGACATTCTGCAGTTCATCTGGCCATGGTAGATGCTCAGATACACACTGTCTCTTCAATAAGACAATATCATGAAGAAAAAGACTCTGCTGTATGAAATAGTGTCTATGATATATAACAGGGGCATTTCGTGGTCCTGGGTTAGAACCTTACCTGGACAAGGCAGGAATAAAGGAATTTTTTAGGAGAAAGGTGAGAAGAAAACTTACGGACAGGAAAAGTTGGAGACTGCTCACTTAAAGAAGTAACTAACAGGCCAACACATGCAGTATGATCTCCTAGGAAAAGAGATTTGGAAGGATAAACGCTAAGAATGTAATAGTTATAATCAATGGGTCACAGGTCTCTTCATTATCTTATATTTGGTTTCTCTGCATTTTCTTACATTCTACAATCTACCCATACTGCTTCTATAATAATAAAAGGTTTTTAAAAATTTTTTTAATTTTTATTTTTTTACAAACAAGGTCTTGCTATGTTGCCTAGGCTGATCTCAAACTCCTGGGCTCAAGTGATCCTCCTGCCTCGGCCTCCCAAAGTGCTGGGATTATAGGCATGAACCACTGCACCCTGCCAGCAGTTATTATTTTTAAGAGATACAAATCTCCCTGTATTCCCAGCTCTCCTATCCCTGACCCATACCTGCTCACACTCCCACATTACATGTTAATTACACAAAGGAGTCCAGCCAGGGAGCTGGGAGAAATCCTAGGTATTTCACTTTCCCTCACCCACCACAGATTTTACCACCTAAATATTTCTCCAATCTGTTCATTTCTCTTCTCTACTACCATTGACTTTGATCCAAGCTTATTACCTTTCACTGAGTGTGAAGAGTTTGTTTTCCAGCCAATCTCCCTGCCTCTCATCAGGTTCTCTTCTCCACCAGAGTGAGTTAAAATGGCAACATCATTCTCTTACTTATAATCCTTCAGTGGCTCACCATAAGATATGGTCCATGCTCACTATGGATGGGCTGGAGATCTCTTCAGGACCCTGCCCATGGGGATGTCTTTCATCATACCTTGCTCCACACTGTCCTAAGCTCTAGCATTACGGAGCTCCACGTAGCTCCCAGCACACTTTACACCCTGCTCTTTTTCTCAAGTGTTTCCCTATGCATAGAAAACCCACCTCTCTCTCCTTTGAATGTCCTCTTCTTTCCCTTACCTACAGATGGCAAATTCTTATAATCCCTCAAGTATTATTTCTCCAGCAACCCTTCCCTGACAGGCCCTGGCACTTAGGCTGAGTGTCCCTCTTTATGTGTTCGAGGTACTGTGAAGACTTCAGCTCTTGCAGTTACCATTGGCCTTGTTGTATGGAAATCATCTGCTGATGTGTCTATATCTGTCACTCAACCAGAGGTTATTCCCAACAAAGACCGTGAAGCATCTTATTCACAGACATGGCAGGTACACAACACACATTTCAAAAGCTGACATTGGCCAGATGCAGTGGCTCACGCCTGTAATCCTAACAGTTTAAGAGGCTGAGGCGGGAGGATCGCTTGAGGCCAGGAGTTTGAGACCAGCTTGCGCAACATAGTGAGACCCTATCTCTACAAAAATAAGACAAATTCAGAAAAGCATGGTGGCACATGCCTGTAGTCCCAGCTACTCAGGAGGCTGAGGTGGGGGAATCACTTGAACCCAGGAGTTCAGGGCTGCAATGAGCTGTGACTGCGCCACTGCACCTCATTCAGCCTGGGCAACAGAGTGAGACCGTGTCTCAAAAAAAAAAAAAACATCTAAACGGTGTGACTGATCAGTGAGCTCCTTTGGCAGTGAGTTTCCTTAGTCTTCAGCCAGCTGCCACCATGTCCCAGAGCATGCCCAAGAAGCAGCACCAGGGCTGCAGACAGGAAACCTGCCCTTAGAAAGAATAACGCCCACTAAGAGATGAGAAGGGCCATCTCTGTGTCTTGCTGGATTGTGAAGTGATTGGAAAGCCATCAGCCTCCTGGGTTCCAGATGCCTACCTGAGCCAACTCCTGGGATGTAGTTGTTTCCACCTGACTTCCTACCTGCCAGACCCTTTTCTCCTTCTTGCCATAGATAGATACAGATTCTCTATAGCTTTCCAAATGTTATCTACCCTAGAATTTGACCCACTTTATTCAAACTTCCTATGCTCTAGTTTAGTCCCTAAGATGGGCTCTGGGACAGCACAGAGCCTACTGGCCAGTTGCTCGCCTGCTTTTGCCTAAGCATCGCTAAGACGGTAAGCCTTCAATATCCAACTGTGTACATCATAACCTCTCCAAGGACAGGGCCTCAGCTTTTCTATGTCTTTGTCTTCCTAACCACTCTTAGCTCAGGCCTTTGCCTGTAATAAGCACTCAGACCATCTTTGTGGATTCAGTCACTTCCTGAATATTTTTTTCAAGACACTCATAGTTTCATAATTTATCTGCTAACAATATTTTTAACTTTTCAAGAATAGCACTGTCTATTCATCAGTTAATATCTTTCAACATATCTCCATCTTCAGATGGTTTTATTTTTATTATTTATTGTTTGTTTGTTTTTGAGACAGAGTCTCACTCTGTTGCCCAGGCTGGAGTGCAGTGGCATGATGTCAGCTCACTCAGCCTCTATCTCCCGGGTTCAAGCAATTCTCCTGCCTCAGCCTCCCAAGTAGCTGGGATTACAGGCACCTGCCACTACGCCCACCTAATTTTTGTATTTTTAGTAGAGACAGGGTTTGACCATGTTGGCCAGGCTGGTCTTGAACTCCTGACCTCAGATGATCCACCCACCTCAGCCTCCCAAAGTGCTGGGATTACAGGCATGAGCCGCCATGCCCGCCTTGGATGGTTTTAAAGTCTACTCCCAATCCTCTTCATCTATATAATCTCCATTAATTCAATTGTTCTCTGATTTATCTTAGTATTTGGAGCACATTTTAAAGCAACTTTTGTAGAAATCACACTGGGATCATCTATATTCCAGAAATAAGCATATTTGACATTTTTTAAATTAACTTCTACTAGATTACTAAATTCTCTTTTTTTTTCTGCCAAGTTCTCTAGATGTTGCTTCAGTATCTCACATTCCACTGTTGGGGAGGAGACATCTCAAGCTAAGCTGGCTTTAGTTCTCGTGGTGGTAATATCTTCCTAAGCCTTCCCTTCTCCTACTTCATGGAATGATAGACTGAGTGTCAGCCACGTGGCCAGGCTGGGGCCGAGATTTCCTAGGCCAGAGTCCACTAAGTGCTGGTTTAGCGTTGAAATGCTGAGAAGAGAGAATAGGAGCACCTGGAGAGAGAAAGCAGGGGCCCAGGCTGGGATCCAGGAGCCAGATGTCTCAAAGTCTGGAAGAGGAAAACATGTGGAAAAGCAGGGCAAAATCTGGCTTACCACCCAGCCTGGCAGGGCCAGGAAGGCATCCTAGTCCTTCATTTCCTGAGCCAGCAGGTACATGAGACAAAAGTGGAGGAGCCATCCTCAATTCAAAGGCTGTGGAGTTAGAGAGATTAAGATCCTTTATAAATTTAAACGTTTAACTACAACACTGCTGTGGTTTGGTTTGTCCCTACCAAAACTCATGTTGAAATTTGATCCTCAATGTGGCAGTGCTGGGAGGTGTTTGAGTCATGCCGGGAGGGGACTTATCCCTCAATAATAGATCAATGCCCACTAATGCCCTCCTGCTGGGGTGAATTCTCACAGGAGTGGATTGGTTCCCATGAAAGCAGATCGTTAATGAGTCTGGCTTCCTCAGTCTAACTCTCTTGCTCACTCTCTTGCCATAGGATGTCTTTGCCCACTCCAGCTTCCTTTCCACTGTCCACTATGAGTGGAAACAGCCAGAGGCCCTTACCAGATATAGATGTGCAGTCTCGAACTTTGCAGTCACCAGAATCATGAGCTAAAAAGCTTTTTTATTCTTTATAAATTACCCAGTCTCAGGTATTGTTATAGCAATACAAAATGTATTAAGACAAATAGGTACTTCATTTTTTCATTCTTTGTAACATGTGGTATATTTTCTCTTTTTCTATTCCTTATCTCTGCCCTGCTTATGATTACCCACCTCAAGCCTTTGTTCTTGGATTTTAGATCTAAATTTTAAATGTTTTTAGATTTATAAAAGATTTGTTTCCCTGCTCACTTTCATTTATCATTTCTGATTATTTGGTCTATTTACTTTTTTAATAACAATAGTTTACAGATTGGCAGCACTCCATAATCTATTTTTTAAATCTGTCTCTTTATTAAAAATATTTGCTTCAGAATGCAACGAAAACAAAAATAAATAGATGGGACCTAATTAAACTAAAAAGCTTCTGCACAGCAAAAGAAATAATCAGCAGAGTAAACAGACAACCCACAGAGTGGGAGAAAATATTTGCAAACTATGCATCTGACAAAGGACTAATACCCAGAATCTACAGGGAACTCAAACAAATCAGCAAGAAAAAAAACAAATAATCACATCAAAAAGGTGGCTAAGGACATGAATAGACAATTCTCAAAAGAAGATATACAAATGGCCAACAAACACATGAAAAAATGCTCAACATCACTAATTATCAGGGAAATGCAAATCAAAATCACAATGAGATATCACCTTACTCCTGCAAGAATAGCCATAATTTTAAAAAATCAAGAAATAACAGATGTTGGCAGCGAGGTGGTGAAAAGAGAACACTTTTACACTGCTGGTAAGAACGTAAACTAGTACAACCACTATGGAAAACAGTATAGAGGTTCCTTGAAGAACTAAAAGTAGAACTACTATTTCATCCAACAATGCCACTACTGGGTATCGACCCAGAGGAAAAGAAGTCATTATATGAAAAAGAAACTTGCCGAGTGTGGTGGCTCACACCTGTAATCCCAGCACTTTGGGAGGCTGAGGTGGGCAGATTACTTGAGGTCAGGTGTTCAAGACCAGCCTGGCCAACATGGTGAAACCCAATCTCTACTAAAAATACAAAAAATTAGCCACACATGGTGGCACACGCCTGTAATCCCAACTACTTGGGAGTCTGAGGCAGGAGAATGGCTTGAACCCAGGAGGTGGAGGTTGCAGTGAGTTGAAATTGCACCATTGCACTCCCAACTGGGTGACAGAGCAAGACTTCATCTCGTCAAAAAAAAAAGAAAAAGAAAAAGAAACTGCACACTCATGCTTATAGCGGCACAATTCACAATTGCAAAACTATGAGACCAGCCTAAATGCCCATCAGCCAACAGTGAATAAAGATAATGTATTATCTATGATACCATGGAATACTACTCAGCCATAAAAAGGAACAAAATAGTGGCATTCGCAGAAAGCTGATTGGAGTTGGAGACTATTATTCTAAGTGAAGTAACTCAGGAATGAAAAACCAAACATTTTACGTTCTCGCTTATAAGAGGGAGCTAAGCAATAAGGACACAAAGGCATAAGAATGATATAATGGGCTTTGGGGCCTGGAGTGAGGGCAAGAAGGATGGGAGTGGGGTGAGGGATAAAAGACTACACATTAGGTACAATGTGCACTGCTTGGGTGATGGATGCACCTAAACCTCAGAAATCACCACTAAAGAACTTTTCCATGCACCAAACACCACCTGTTCTCCCCAAACTATTGAAATTTTAAAAGAGAACAGTAGAGCAGGTAATTACGTATAAAAACAATATAAAACAAACAAAATACCAAAACAGCCTACCTCCTAGGATTGTTATGAAGATTTATTGAAATAATATATATGAAGTGCTCCAAGCCTGGCATATAGTAAGTACTCAATAAATACTCTTTTTAATGTAAATAAATAAATAAAAAATATTTACTTCAGAAGAAAACACAGGAAAATATTCTTGTGGCTTTGGGTTAGGGCAAAGATTTTTTAGATGGGGGATAAAAAGCACAAACTATAAAGGAAAAAAACCTGTTAAATTGAACTCCATCAAAGTTAATAATGTTTGCTTCTTGAAAAATACCATTAAAAAATGAAAAGACTTCATTTTGGGAGGCCAAGGCGGCCAGATCACTTGAGGCCAGGAGTTTGAGACCAGCCTGGTCAAGATAGTGAAACCCCGTCTCTACTAAAACTACAAAAATTAGCTGGGCATGGTGACACATGCTTGTAATCCCAGCTACTTGGGAGGCTGAGGCACGAGAATCACTTGAACCCAGGAGGCAGACATTGCAGTAAGCTGAGATGGCACCACAGTGAGCTGAGGGTGCACTCCAGCCTGAGTGACAGAGCAAGACCCTGTCTCAAAAATAGAAAAGAAAAAAAGAAGAGACAAGCCATGGATTGGAAATCTGTATTTATATATGAATATAAAATAAACATAGATATGACAAAAGATTTGTACCCCGAATATAAAAAGAACTCTTAAAACTCAAGAAGAAGAATACAAATAATCCAAATGGAAAAAATGGGCAAAAAAAGTTTTGACTACACATTTACGAAATAAAAATAAATGAATGGCCAAGAAGCACACAGAAAGATGTTTATTTAATATCATCAATCAGTAGAGAAATACAGATTAAATCTAAAATTAGACAACAAAATGCATCCATTAAAATGGCTAAAATTAAGATAACACCAAGGGTACATGAGGATGTGGTGTGACTGGAACCCTCATCTATTGATGGTAAGAATGCAAAATGCTGCAAATCTTTGGAAAAACAGTTTGACAGTTTCTTTAAAGTTTAAATATGCATTTACCATATGCATGTACCAACATACCAATGTACCGACATTTTCATCCCTGGATACCTACCCAAAAGAAATGGAAACATATGTTCACGTAAAGACTTTCATGTGAATGCTCACAGTAGCGTTATTCATAATAACCTCCAAAATGGAAACAGCCCAAATGCTTACCTATGAATAAACAAAATGTGATGTATCCATACAAGGGACCCAGCAATAAAAAGAAATGAACTACTAAAATGAACAACATGAATGAATCGCAAAAACACTTCTGCTAAGTGAAAGAAACCAGACACAAAAGAGTATATATTGTATGACTTCATTGATAAACACTTCTATAAAAGCAAAACTACAGTGACGGAAAGCAGATTACTAGTTTCCTTGGGCTAAGGACTGAAGTGGGGGTAGAGACTTACTGCAGAGGGGCTCAAAGGAAGGTCTGAGAGTGATAAAACTGTTGGAAACCTTCTTGTGATTATAGTTGCACAACTGTGTGCGTTGACCAAAACTCATCCAACTGTATACGTAAAATGGACAATTGTAAATGACTTAGAACTCAATGAAGTAAAAAAAAAAAAAAAAATTCCTTCACAATCTAAATCATTTCCTTAAGCTAGTTATCTACACATGGTAGAGTTTTCTACAGTGTTAAGTCTGCTTTTTATTGCTTTTGATTAAAGTTTGATCTCTGTGTGTGTGTGTGTATGCATGTGTGTGTTCCAAATATCCTCTTTCATTGAGAACTAAAAGTATTAACTAAATTATTCTTCTGTTTCATGAACAAGTCTGTGTCATAGGGGGAAAGGTTTTTCTCTAAGCATTTATAAATTTACTGGAGAATTTTTCCAGAATTCCATTTGTTTTCTCTTTTCTCATTCTAGAGCTTGATGTGTTGCTCTTTGATAACTATGAGAGGCTCTCATAGTTGAAAGGCTCTCTCCAAAGCCTGCAAGTTTGGAAGGAAAGGCTGAGGGCGCATGGAGGAGTAGGTCTGTGAAGCTTGGGACTAAAGAACACCAAGCAGAAAGCAGGCCCAGGCTGGAGGATGGGACACCACTCCCCTGAAAATGGACAGCAAGACTCCTCCGAGTGTGGCCAAAGAACATCCAAGCAGGGCAGTGCTTTTCAAGACCTGTCACCAGACTCAGAGAACAGAGATTGGAGCTGGTCAAGGTGAGCTTGGGCCAGGGCGGGGAAAGGGAAGACAGAGGCAAGGGAAGGTGCCGAGGCAGCAGGGGCTGCCTTTAATTTCCCCGGAGGGCAGAGAATTGGAGACATGCCTATAGAATCTGGAACAGTTTCAGTTCTTCTGCTTCTCACAGTGGCTACTAGACATTCTTTCCTTTCCAGATGGACACATCAAAGGCTGGGAGAGGAGACTTCTGCTCTTCCCATGCCTTGACCCCTCTTCTAAGTACTCCAAGCACTCTCTGTTGGAGCTCCTGAAATCCCTAAGCAGGATGAGTTCCTTGATGAGATCCCAAGGTACACATGTGCTTAAGGAGACTTGTTTTTTCAAAGAAAAAAAAGACAACAACAATGTGAACAGTGTCCTTACATCTCTAAAAATTTTTTTTTCCTTTGGTTCTCTTCATGTGGGCAATATATTCCTAACAAAGGGATAATGAAATAACTAATTTTCTGAGTTGCATCTTAGGAGCATCTGCTATTAGAACTGGCCTGCTAAAATCTCATTCTTCCCTTCTAAATTCTGTCTTCATCTCCATTCCTGCCTTCTTTCTCATTTCTTACACCAAGTAATTGTACCAGGATGCACCCTGGTACAGGTGCATTCACTGCAATGTTCTGCTCTGGAGGACAGAGCCCACGTTAAAGGGCATCTGTGTGTTTTCAATGCATCTTGTCCCTTTAGTGACCATTCCTCAGCTATTGCTAAGTTTCATTTAATTGAGCTGGAGTCATCATCTGGGAAAGGCAGCGAGACCAACAAGAATACGAAAGCCTCTCAATAAACCTTCAAATGTAGGTGGGAAGGGAGAAATAGGACTGTATTAGAGGATAATTTCAGAAAGTAGGCAGGAACAAAGGACTTGCAGAACAAACAGACTCCAAGAGAGTCATGTACGAAGCAGCACCTGCTGATGACTGCAGAAATGAAGAGACGGTTATTATCTGAATACTCCAATAGACTGGCATATTGTTCTGGCCCAGTGCCAGGCGCACGTGATGATCTGGCTAGGATTATTAGAGCTCTTCTGTTAAAGCACAGATCACATGTGTGCTGAGAATGTGTTCTTTCTCTGGATTTGAGGTGACAGACAGCCATATCACATGCCATCCCTTTTTCCATCCTGATTCCAGCCAGGCAGTAAACCAAATCCTCACCCAGTCTGTCTCCACCATGTGGTTTCCCTAGCCAGCTGAACAAAATATTTTCAGAATGTGGAATGTAAACAAAGTTCCTACTGTTAGCAATTCTGTGTCATTTACTTGTGGTTTATTTTATTTTACTTTAAGTCACATTTAAATTCAAAAGATTGCCAGCCTGCATGATGCATGTAAACAAATCAGAAATATAGATTAGAATTGCAACTGATTAGTTAGCTGTGAACGTGTCTGTTCAAATGGAAGAAGGGAGAGGAAAATCTATTATGCTCCTGGGATATTGCGTCTCCAAAGGAAATTCATTTGTGAGAAGGGCTTTAAAAGCAATGACTTCCGTCATTTGTGTTTTCTACACACTGGTTACTGTAAAAGCTAATAGAATACCTAGGCGGAATCTCTGCTTGGGCTCACGTAACACAGCTTCACAAGGAAACACAGGGAGCAATTGCAAGAGGGAAAAGGAAGACCTGCAAATACACCTTAGCAGACGGTGATCACAAAATATGTGTCCCTCGCACTACTGGAGATGTTTTTCAAGAAAATTCTATTTTCCAGGTTTCTTATTTTTGATTGTTTAAAAGTATATGTCTACAATGCATGATGCTGAATGATAAAGGTTGTATGAACCTTCTGATATTCACTAACAATCTGAATCAAAGTCGGGCATGGTAGCCTCAGCCCTTAGGGAAGCCAAGGCAAGCAGATTGCTTGAGCCTTTTAGTTAGAGACCAGCCTGGACAACACAATAAGACCCTGTCTTTACAAAAAAATAAGAAAAAAAAAATTAGCCAGGAGTGGTGGCATGTACCTGTAGTACCAGCTACTTAGGAGGCTGAGGTGGGAGGATCACTTGAGCCCAGAAAGTCAAGGCTGCAGTGAACTATGATCACGCCACTGCACACTACTGTGGATGACAAAGTGAGACCCTGTCTCGAAAAAGAAAAAAAAAAGGAATCCAAATCAAGATTTGCCTTTGTTTATACATTTCATCTAAAATATCCTCTGTCTTCCAAATCAATAGGGAGCTAAAGTGGGCATAACAACTTTACTATTAGGTAAATATTAGTAAAATATTTACCCACAGACCTACACGAGTAATGTTTTCCTAGCACAGTGCCATGAACTATACATTTTCTAAAATCTTGTTGACACTTTAATTACACCATCCACCTTGTTTATATTATTTGGAAGCTGGTAAGCTAATGTGAAAATTAACTGAATGATACATTTCTTTGAGTTCTTCTTGGTATCTTCTGAATTGTGGTCAAGTAGCAATCCTAGGACCCTAGATGAGCCAGGCAGCAGCAGACGCAGATGCCGGTGAACTCACTGCATTTCATCTTCAGTACTACCTTCTTCACTCAAAAGTAATGGCTCACCCAAGGGGTCTTATTACACTTTCTCAAGTTATAGCAGCTGTATCTTGATTCACAAAAGAATCTTCCTCAGAATAAAGCCCCGTGGAAAAAGGTTGTGTGCCCTACAAGATTAGGCACCTGGAGGATTGGAAGAACAATCACCTTGAACCACACATTATTTGGATCATTTGGCAAAAGGAAAAGCAACTTCCTCTAACGGGTGAGATTTGAAAAGTTTTCATCAGAGAAGGAGAAATAGATAGCTCAAGAATGGGAACTTAAGTCATGCGAGAGGTAAGAGAGAGGATAATCTGTGTTTTGAGATCAGTGGCTCTGCAGATAGATTTTGGTTCCAAGCCTGAGCATTCCTACATAGAAGAGTAAAACTTCATTCTTAAATAAAGCCCTGGAGCCAAATAGAACATTCCTGCAGGGTGACAAATAGAAGCTTAATCTTCCCATACATTTCTGATTTCTTTTATAAACAAAAATTTCAACTCAATCTTTCATTAATTTGTTCTGAAAACAAATCATTTATGATCAGTTGTGGAATATTTATTGTCAATCTTGTTGAGTTACTGTAGCACATTTGTCTATGTTTTCTGTGTCCAGAATCTCCTATTTTTGGCTGTATGCCCCACTTTTTGTTTCTTATAGTGCATGCATGAACAATATGGAAGTCTGACTTTAATTAGGCATTCACTTGTAAGCCACATCTTGAGCATTTCATTGAGAACTGTTTTCATTGTGAATAATTCTTACTGAAAGAAGAGTGTTGCTTAGCTCTAACTTGAATCTCCTTGATCTAAAATTAAAACCATGCTTGTCTATTTTATTATGAGGAGAAACATTCATGCTTCCTACTTATAATTTCAACTTGGCTCATAGAAGAAATGGCAACTACCTACACCCCATCAAAGAGTTTTGGGGAGGGATATTGAAGAGCTTGACATCCATTTGACTGCCTTTCACACATGATGTAGTGTTTCTACATCTGTTTTGCCCAATCGGTTTTGCCCAAATTCTTCATTTCCTGATAGACTAGAAGAAACCATGTTCTTTGCTGCTTCCTGTGCCCTGAGTGTGACAATGTGCAGTAAGACCTACTTGGTACTCCTCCCCCAAGGGTACTCTAGGGACTGGAAATATTAAAAAAAAAATTGGTGGGCCAGGAGCCCTACTTTGGCCCCTAGTTGGAATTACGTATCCCTAACATTTTTCCTGCACTGGAGATTTAAAAAAGCGGGAGAGAAGATTTGTTGATCTGGCCATTTTACGAAATGTGCCTGTTGATCCCCATAAGATAGGTCTGCATTGAGTGCATCCATCAGAGGTTGAAGAAGGTAGATGTTGCAGCCTCCAACATCTAACATCTATATATTGTTGGAGAGATTATCGTTCTTATAATTGTTGTACATGCAAAGTAAGGCTGAGTTAGCCCTCAACGAAATCTTGACTGTGCACCCACAGTGTTAGGCACTTTGTGAGATCCTAAAGAGAACAAGCCCGGCTGGGTGTGGTGTCTCACGCCTGTAATCCCAGCACTTTGGGAGGCTGAGGCAGGAGGATCACCTGAAGTCAGGAGTTTGAGACCAGCCTAGCCAACATGGTGAAACCCCATCTCTACTAAAAATCCAAAAAATTAGCCGGCCGTGGTGGTGGGCACCTGTAATACCAACTACTCGGGAAGCTGAGGCAGGAAAATTGCTTGAACCTGGGAGGTGGAGGTTGCAGTGAGCCAAGATTGTGCCACTGCACTCCAGCCTGGGCAAAAAGGCAAGAAGGGCAAAACTCCATCTCAAAAAACAACAACAACAGCAACAACAAAAAACAAACCCTGCTTTCTAGCCCCAAGATTTATCTCCGTTGATTCAAGCAACTTTACTATTATCCTTAGGCATTAGTTTATAAGATATTTATAATTTGATAGCTTCCCTTGTGGATATTTCTAGTTTCTAAAACATAATTCTGAGTGTGCACAGAGAATTCTGCTAGGGTCTCATCAAAATGAAATATGACTTCCTGATCTTGCAGAGTCAAAATTTTCCAGTTGTGTTAAACTTTAAAAATAGCTTCTTTCTCTAAACAACAGGCCCCTCTTTGGCTGTTAGTATAGCATCTGTGAGTAGATCATGCTCTCTGCCATTCTCACACTTCTAGAGCCATCCAGCTGGGAACTGCTCTCCCTGACTCAAACACAGATGGGTCGTGCATCTTACCACTTGAGCCACCTATTTTGCTATTTAGTTAAAGAACAGCACACAGGTCCAGGGCAGAGCTATTGAAGAATTTAGATTAAATGTTACTGGCTGGTTCACACTGTAGTGCTGTATAGAATTTTGGGTATTACAATGTCTCCAGTGTTTTTTTTTTTTCAATTTTTGGTAAAATGGCTTGAAGTTATATTGATAGCACATTATGATACTACTCTGTCCCAGCTCCCTAAAGCATTTTTCTGTTAATTTGGTTTTCTGCTTCTTCTATTAGTTCATCAGTGGGTAGTATTCTCTTGGGCTGAATATAGTAAAGTGTTCAGGGTGAATGTAGAAAAATTATTGTTCTGTCTCAAAAGCAATTGACACCCCTTGGAAAATCTATCAAGGAACTCATAAATAAGATTCATGTTTTAAAATTTGAAACAGAACATATACCATTCACATAGTATTTAAATTAATAAAAGAATACAGGCCGGGCAAAGTGGCTCACACCTGTAATCCCAGCACTTCGGGAGGCTGAGGTAGGCAGATTGCTTGAGCCCAGCAGTTAAGACCAACCTGGGCAACATGGAAAGATCCCATCTCTACAAAAAATACAAAAATTAGTCAGACGTGGTGGCACACACCTGCAGTTCCAGCTACTCAGGAGGCTGAAGTGGGAGGATCACCTGAGCCTGGGGAGGTTAAGTCTGCAGTAAGCTGTAATTACACCGCTGCACTCCAGCCTGGGTGACAGAGTGAGATTCTGTCCAAAAAAAAGAAAAGAGAGAGAGAGAGAAAGAGAGAAAGAGAGGGATAGTATATTTGATTTCATAAAAACAACCAATAGTCTGGGTTTGGCAGCTCATGCCTATAATCTCAGTGCTTTGGGAGGCCAAGGCAGGAGGCTCACTTGAGGCCAAGAGTTCGAGGTTACAGGAGCTGGAATCATGCCACTGCATGCAAGCCTGAGTGACAGAGCGAGACCCTATCTCTAATTTTTTTTTAAACACAAATAATCAAAATGTAGGCATTCATTCTATATTACGGACTATTTAAAAGACCCAGAGAGAAGAAGATAGAAAAGGACAAATTATGGGGAAGACCAGGTGGTGAAAGAGATACAGAGAAACCCAAACAAAGACAGGGAAAAGAGAGAAAGATAAGCTCAGATAAGCCAGGAACGTAAAGCATAACAGCCCCAAACTATGGGGTTTTAATTTGTTGCTACCAAACAATGAAACATTTGCACAACTAGAGTAGAAGTGAAGAAATTATCCTTGGGGACTTCATGCCAAAAATAGTCGAGAAAGAACCTGAGGGCCAGTGTTCTCCCACTCCTGATTTAAAGAAAGAAATATTAGAAAACAGAACAACTGAGTGGGCAGTATTTAGGGATGAGGATCATTTTAGAGAGGAGTATCAAATAGGAGTTTGAAAGGGAAAGAGTTAAGTCACAAGAAACAAGGGTGTTGCTTTAAGCTGGTTTCTATACACCCTATAATCAGCCTTTCCTATGAATCTGAAGATACACAATCTAAATGTGGCAGAAAACCCTTCAGTGAAAACACAACAGTGATTCTGGCTGATCCAGAGTCCTCCCCCACCCCACCAGTGAGCCTCCCCATGTCACCCTGGTTCCCTGATAGAGTGACTTCTGGAGCCCCAGGCTCTCCTTTTTGTAGACATCAATGTGGCTATGGTAAGATGAGATACAGAAGGTGCTGGAGCCAATTCACACTGACTTGTGAGAACCGTGTATTAGTCCATTTTCATGCTGCTGATAAAGACATACCCGAGACTGGGCAATTTACAAAAGAGAGGTTTAATTGGACTTACAGTTCCACATGGCTGGGGAAGCCTCATAATCATGGCAGAAGGCAAGAAGGAGCAAGACTCATCTTACATGGATGGCAGCAAGCAAAGAGAGAATGAGGAAAACACAAAAGCAGAAACCCCTGATAAAACCATCAGATTTCGTAGACTTATTCACTATCATGTGGACAGTATGGGGGAAACCACCACCATGACTGAATTATCTCCCACCAGGTCCCTCCCACAACATATAGGAATTATGGAGCTACAGTTCAAGATGAGATTTGGGTGGGGACACAGCCAAACCATATCAAACCCATGGTTAAATGTAGCAGAATTTGGAGAACTAGCTATTAAGCCACCATTATTAAAAATTAAATTGAGCCAGGCACAGTGGCTCATGCCTGTAATCTCAGCACTTTGGGAGGCCAAGGTGAGTGGCTTGCTTTAAGCTCAGTAGTTCAAGAGCAGCCTGGCCAACACGGCCAAATCTGTCTCTACCAGAAAACACAAAAATTAGCTGGGCATGGTGGCACACACCTGTGGTCCTAGCTACTCAGGAGACAGAGGCTGGACAATTTCTTGAACCTAAGAGGTGAAGGTTGCAGTGAGCCAAGATTGTGTCACTGCACTCCAGCCTTGGCAACAAAGTGAGACACTGTCTCAAAAAAAAAAAAAAAAAAAAAAAAAAAAAAAACTAAATTGCATAAATGTACAATTAAATAAATCATATTAATAGCAAAGGTAATAAATATTCAAAATTCATCATTTCCTGGTTATTTTCCTACTTTTAACTACTACCTATGCTGTCATAGTTATTTACATTTATTCTGCCTGTTCAGCGGAAATACTACACAATGATGACTTCCCATCTCCATATGAAGTGACATGATACTGGTAGCTTGAAATTAACCACAGTGGGAGTATTTACACCACAGAAATCAGCAAAAGCTACACATCAGTGGTTCCCCACCCCCCGCCCTTTTTTCATTTTAGAGACTGAGTCTTGCTCTGTCCCCCAGGGTGGAGTGCAGTGGTGCAATCATAGTTCGCTGCAGCCTCAAACTTCTGCGCTCAAGCAATCCTCCTGCCTCAGCCTCCCAAGTAGCTGAGGCTACAGGTGCTTGCCACCATGGCCAGCTAATTTTTTGTAAAGATGAAGTATCTCTGTGTAGGGCTTTTTAATTTCTCAAAGAACTAAAGGTTAAACATTTACCAACACACCACCAAATGGAAGGGAGAGTAAACTGCCATTGTTTTTACTGCAAATGTAAAAGTTGCTGTTTTCTATGAAGATAGAAAATAAAGAACAAAGAGGGAAAGATGGGAGTTACCAATGTCCCAGGTGTGCATTAATTATTTTTCCACCGTCCACTGCATCATGTTTGCTACCATCCCTATTGGCCAAAACAAGTCACATGGCCAGCCCAGAGTGAACACAGGCAGTCATGAACACCTTGGGACCATTCTCGAAATCAACACATTGCCCAAAAAACCAGAAGTACTAACATTTTGTTGTTTCTTCTATAGCATTTCTCCAATATCCTCTCATCTGTGGAATAGAACAGCTGTGAACTTTGAAAAAGAAGAATAAAAATCAATGTGGTGTGCATATGTGCATGTGCGCACACGTGTGTGTGTGTTAGGGAGAGATGATTTCTAAGAAGAAAACTACAGAGAATGCTAATTTAAAATGGGCACGACCGAATAGGCACATCTTGCCAGCTACGTATATCATAGATTCCTCCTGGGCACATACTGTCTTATCCTTCCATTTTTCTCCTTTCTTAATTACTCAGCACTTAATTATGTCTCTGTAGAATTACAGGTGACCAATAGATAGTTAGATAGGTAGGATGGATGGATAGATACATGGATAGATAGATAGATAGAGAGATAGAGAGATAGACAGATAAGTAGATAGATATTGTCCTTACATATAAAATATTTTCACTCAGTTTATTCAGATATAGTCTAAGATCTCAGGAAGTATTTGCCTGTTTTTTTTTTTTTTCTAAGACAGTTTCACTCTGTCATGCAGGCTGGAGTGCAGTGGTGCAATCATGACTCACTGCAGCCTTGAACTCCTGAGCTCAAGTCATCTTCCCACCTCAGCCTCCCAAGTAGCTGGGACCACAGGTGTGCACCACCATGCCCAGCAAATTTTTGCATTTTTTATAGAGATGGGGTTTCACCACATTGCCAGGGCTGGTCTATAACTTCTGAATTCAAGAGATCCACGTGCATCAGCCTCCCAAAGTGCTGGGATTACAGAAATGAGCCATCACTCCCAGCCCCTCTTTCTTAAAGACTAAAAACTTTAAAACTGTAGACCCATTAAGTCACATATATATGCACCTCATGAGGGTTGGGCCCAGGAGAAAGTAACTACCTGCCCATGTGATGTATTTTGAAGGGTATTAGGAAACCCTCCCTTTTTTTTTTTTTGAGATGGAGTCTCGCTCTGTCGCCCAAACTGGAATGCAGTGGCGCAATCTCGGCTCACTGCAACCTCCGCCTCCCAGGTTCAAGTGATTCTCTTGCCTAAGCCTTCCAAGTAGCTGGGACTACAGGCATGCGCCACCATGCCCGGCTAATTTTTTTATTTTTAGTAGAGATGGGGGTTTCACCATGCTGGCCAGGCTGGTCTCGAACTCCTGACCTTGTGATCCACCCACTTCAGCCTCCCAAAGTGCTGGGATTACAGGCATGAGCCACCGCACCCGGCCTGGAAAACCCCTTACTGCCCAAATACTCGTTCATTTCCTCAAAGCACAAGATGCATGCTTAAGAAAACTTCAAGTGAAACTTTCATCAAAGAGTTTTACACCCATATACATATATACGCACACATACATATGTATATAATGCTGCTATATATGTGTGCGCATATATATATATATATATGTATGTATACATACACACATACATACACATATTTTGGCTGAAGTCAGACCCAATAAAATATGCACGAACTATGCACTTGGGTTGAGGCAAAAAAGGTGAGTAACAGAAGCACAGAGAAAAAACATTGAAAAGGGATGTAAAAAGAGTTTTTTAATATAACCTTTCCTTATTGTAAAATTTAGCTGAAGTTAATTTACAAGTTAACTGATAGTCTGTTAACTGATAGTGATTTTCCTGGGGTGCACATTGATGCCTGTGATATCCCCCATGTACCATGTGGGTGATGTCGTTAATCATGGCCACCAAAAAGCACACTTGGTTCTCTAGAGGCTGTTATTTTGTCCAGTTGTGTTTTAGGGCATTGCAAGAAGATCTGGTGTTCATCCCACTGTGGGTGAAAGTGCTGAATTAGCAGCTGCTAGTTCAGGATTATTATTTATTTCTAGCATTGCCTTTTTGCCACCACTACAATGGCCCTTTCAAAATAAAAATAACAATCGGGAACTTTATTAAGTTTTCTCCTTTTAAAAATCTTTACTTTGGGAGGCCGAGGCAGGAGGATCACTTGAGCTCAGCAGTTTCAGATCAGCCTGGGCAAAACAGTGAGACCCCATCTCTACAAAATAAAAATCAGCAGTGCGTGGTGACAGGCACCTATAGTCCCAGCTACTTGAGGGACTGAAATGGGAGGGTCGCTTGTGCCCAGGAGTTTGAAGCTGCAGTGAGCCATGTTCACGTCACTGCACACCATCCTGGGCGACAGAGAAAGACTCTGTCTCAAAAAATAAATAAAATGAAATATTTAGATTATCAAATTATCTTCTAGTTTCTCAAAAGGTGAAGTTAATGACCCTATCCTAACTTTAGTCCATTTCCCTGGTATCTATCACTTAAAAGAAGGACCTCTTTCCGTAAACTAATATCACTTCTTGCCTTACCATAGAAAAGAATGTAAACTCAGGTTTCTAGTGAAAAGACCTTTATTTTTGAAGACTGAAGCTAGAAAGTCCTTCCTTTAATAATGTCATCTGTATCTTTCCATTTTCTAATAAGAAAGAGGAAACAATTTTCTGGGTCTTTTTTTGCTTACATTTATTCTGAGTTAAAACTTATTTTATCTTTGAACTACTCGTGAAGAAAAAGGCTGCTTAAGTCAAAAATCAGCAAAAATCTGAGGACGATTATGTGGCAGTATCTAAGATAAGAGTTTTCAGCAAGTTCATGAAAATCCACTTACTTACAATTAATGTAAAAATATAAATACATATTTTTACATTATGTAAATGTAAAATGGGAACGTAAAATGATACAGCATCTTTGGAAAACAATTTGGCAGTTTCTTCAAAAGATAAATAGATACTTACTATATGACCCAGGAATTGCACTCCTAGATATCAATCCAAAAGGAATGTAAACATATGTCTGTCCAAAGACTTGCACACATAGCGGTATTATCATAATAAAAAATTACAACCAATCCAAAAGTCCATCAGCTGGTATATTAAGCCATTCTTGCATTGCTATAAAGAAATACTTGAGACTGGTAATTTATAAAGAAAAGAGGTTTAATTGGCTCATGGTTCTGCAGGCTGTACAAGCATGAAACCAACATCGCTTAGCTTCTGGGGAGGCCTCAGGGAGCTTTTACTCATGGTGGAAGATGAAGCGGGAGCGGGCACTTCACTTGGTGAAAGCAAAAGCAAGAGAAAGAGAGTGAGGGAGGAGGCGTCACACACTTTTAAAGGACCAGATCTCACAAGAGCTCACTGCCATGAGAACAGAACCAACAGAACAGAAAAACAGAACCATAAGAGGATGATGCTAAACCATTCATGAGTGATCCACTTCCACGATCCAATCATCCAATCACCTCCCACCAGACCCCACCTCCAACATTGGAGATTACAGTTCAGTCTGAGATTTGGGCAGGGACAAATATCCACACCATGTCAGCTGCTGAATGGATGAACAAATGTTGGTATATCCATACAATGAGCATTATTCAGCAATAAAATGGGAAGAAATACTGATACATCCAACAACATGAATGAACCTCAAAAGCATTATGCCAAGCGAAAGGGCCAGATACATAAGATCACATATTGTATAATTCCACTTATATGAAATGTCTAGAGAGGGAAAAACTGTAGAGACAGAATGCAGATTGGTAGCTGCCTAGGGTTAGAGCTGGGAGTAAAAACCATAAGCAAATGGGCATGAGAGAAACTTATGGATGGCGGCAGTGGTCTAAAACTAAATTGTGGTGATGGCTGCAAAGTTTATAAATTTACTAAAGCTTTCCAGCAGCATAATGAAAGTGGATGAATTCTATGTTATGTAAATTATGCCTCAATAAAGTTGTTTTTCAAAAGGGCATACATAGTATTCTACCATTAGTGTAAGTAGAAGGAAAAATAAGAAAACTTATCAATATCTCTTTGCCTTTACAAAAAGAAGCACAAAAGGAAAGATAAACCAGAAAACCACAAAGTTCGCCATGTATAAAGGGAATGTGGCACTAGGAACTGGGGAGGAAGTGGCACTTTTACAAGGGGAATTTTCTGTACAGTTTTTCTTTTGGAAACATGGCAACCTTCTACATAGTCAAATTAATTAAGTTAATAAGAATAGGTTGAAGAAAATAAAATGAAGAGCAAACTGAAATCAACCCAATTAGATGACTAGTATAACCACTCAGATGGAAAGTAGAAAAAGAACTAATTCTAGCAGTGTATAAATACAATATTGGACTACACAATATTTGACTAATTTTAACAGTGTATAAATACAATATTTGACCACCCTCCATTCATGATGGGATAATTGGGCAAAGAGGACATCAGAATTCCTGAACTTTTCTCAGAGGTCTGTTTTGTGTAGTGGAAAGAATGAATTCTGAAACTATTTTAGCTGTGTTATACAATTGAGCAAATATATAAATATATTGTTTTGGGGACCTAGAGTTTTCACTGAAAAAAAAACCCCTGTGAGGATAGATAGAAATTAAAATTATTGCTGTGAACTCATGAATTCTAAAATATGTATATGTTCACATGTATATGTATTTATGTATATACATATATGTCTGTAGGTATATAAGTTTGTAGGTATAAAGTATAAACATCCTTTGACTTTTTAGATCACTCATCTGAAAGGTGCAAGAAGCAAAGATTCCCCAGTAGCAATGGGCATGCCTTACATCCAGAGCTTGCTCTCTAATACCTTTTTCCATTAAAAGGAACCAAGACACATCATAGAAATGGTTAAATTCAGGGCTGGGACAGGTAGCTACAAGAAAAGCTTGGATGATCTCTTTATACCAGATATTAAGAAAGTGCTCAAAATGATGGAGGAATATCATATATCACGAGAACACAGGAGCCAGCTTGGAGGGGCTTCACTGGTTAAAACCAGGGCATTTTGAACACCAAAATCTTGAAGTACAGTAGTGAATTATAAGCCTGAAAAAGTAGTTTTTCATGAGTCCATACCTATGATAAATACATCAGGAACTGGAGATTAGGGAGAGTTCCTGCTTAAAGTAGCATACTAAGTGTCAAATGGTAAATGAGGAGGGAGTGCTACCATTGGAAAATAACTGTTTCCCAATCATCATAGTAAAGACCCGTTCTGCAGGAATCAGTAAAGAGTGAACCCTAATGTAAACCATGGACTTTGGGTAACAATGATGCGTCCTTGTAGGTTCATCAGTTGTGACAAGTGTACCACTCTGGTGAGAGATGTTGATAATGGGAGGCTGTGCATGTGTGGAGTAGGAGGTACATAGAAAAGCTCTACATTCTGCTCAGTTTTGCTGTGAACTTGGAACTGATGTTAAAAAAAACCTATATATTTTAAATGGCCCTGCATATATTGAGATGTCAGCTGTCAGCTGTCTTTCTCATTATCTTTGGGTTTCAGACTATGATGTAGCTCAATATTATTTCCTATGTATACTTATTTTTCTCCACATACATCAAACTTTTTGAAACTGTGGCTTGAAATCTTTTATCTATTAAGAACGTGTTTGTGCATTTCCTTTTCTAAGGTTAATTATTCCCTCAGTTCTAGCTTTTTTCCTTTTTTATTAATTAATAAACTTTATTTTTAGTTTTGGGTTCACAGCAAAATTTGAGCGGAGAATAGAGAGAGTTCCCATATCCAGCCCACTAATTGTGTCCCAAGTGTCATTTAAACTCTGTTTAACTTTTCTGCTGTTCATCTGTTGCATTTATTGGGACATTTTCTTTTAGCCTGTCTTCCATTTTACTAATCACAGTTTCCTGGGCTCCTCTTGTTAATTTCTTATATTCTTCATGTCAGTTCTAAATATAAAAGAAGAATGGCTTTTATAAGAAAAAGATAGAAGAGCAGCTTTACAACTTCTGAGTAGAAAAACTATTGTTTTAATGCAATAAAATTATAAACACAAAGGAAAAAGATAAATTTGATTATAATAAAGAATATGAAATGCTACTGCTCATCAAAATGCATCATTAAAGAAGGGATTGAGCACCCCACAAACTAAGAACTGTTTGCATTATATATGCCCCGTAAAGCACAGAAAGCCAGAATATAAAACAAATTCCTACCACTTAAAAAGAAAAACTCTGAAAACCCATTAGAAAAATGGGTAAAAAACTTGAATAGACACTACCCAAAAAAGAATGTCCAAATGATCAATAGAAATATAAAAAGATGTTTCACTTCTTTATCTTCAGGAAAATGCTAATTTAAATCATGATGAGATACCATTCTACACACACCCGTTCAGCTAAAATGAAAACGAGCAATATCAAGTCCTGGCAAGTCCATGGGGCAATCAGATCATTCATGTACACGTGGTGGAGTTTAAATTAAACCACACTGGGAAACTGTTTGGCAGCATCTACTGAAGCTGTATAGGTAGCTATCCTGTTCCCCTTCACACAAACATCTACAGCAGATAGGTTTTCAAATGTTCTTAGTCCCAGGAGTCATAGCATCTACTGAAGCCGTATAGGTAGCTACCCTGTTCCCCTTCACACAAACATCTACAGCAGATAGGTTTTCAAATGTTCTTAGTCCCAGGAGTCATAGGAGCTCTGCAGAGGAAACTATCCAAATGTCCATCAACAAGAAAATGGATAAACACCGTGGTATCCTCACCCAGTGGAACACTAGACAGCAATAGAAATACACAAACCAGAACGCACACAACAATGAGGAAACTCACAGGCCTAATGCCAAGCTACACCCCAGGGAGTCCCTATTCATGGTTCTGTTTACATAAAATATAAAATGAATGTTATAATTCATTTTATAAAATTGTCAAAATGAATGAATCTGTGGTGCTATTAAACAGTGGGTGTTCTCTTGAGAACTGGATGGCAGCAAAAAGTACTTCTGAGATGCGGCTGATATTCTGCGTATTGATTTCAGTGCTAGGCACGTGGGTGTGTTCAGTTTGTGAAAGTTCTTGGAGATGAACATGTATAATTTTTTGCATTTTCTGTATGCATGTGTAACTTTAGTAACAACTTGGAGAAAAAGAATGAAGTAAAAATATACAATCTGACAGTCAAAATTCAGCAAAAATTATCAGTAGGCATAGAAGATGATAAGAAAAATATGCTGTGATATTTTTGTTAAAAATTCATATTTCATTAGCTGGGTGTCGTGGCGGGTGCCTGTAATCCCAGCTACTTGGGAGGCTGAGGCAGGAGAATTGCTTGAACCCGGGTGGTGGAGGCTGCAGTGAGCTGAGATTGCGCCACTGCACTCCAGCCTGGGCAACAGAGTGAGACTCCATTAAAAAAAAAAAATCTATATTTTAGTGTGTATTTTGTATGTGTATAGAAAACCTCAAATGGCTGCATACAAAAAATAATTTAAAATTGGAAGGAAATAATGAAGAGGTTTTTAAAATACAAATTTAAAAGTACGATTTTTGCATTTTATTTTGCTTACTTGTAAGTATTTTATAGACTGTATATTCATATACATGAAAATGAGTGAACAAAATTTGGCAAAAAAAAATCTATGCACTGTGCTAACAAAAGCATATCTCAAGTGAGTAAAACCAGATACCTCATGAAATTGTTAAGCTAATTTCCAAAATTGTCACTCATCAGGTTGCTATTAATATATTCTGAATGATATTTAAATATTATTTGATTTTGATATTTAAATATAACTTAAGTAGTATTTTAAAAATAAAACATGAAGATTTATTAAAAAAAATTAACACCACCAATGAGGGGCAAATGGGTATCATGTGCCTGCAATTGTGAAGGACAGAGACTCATTTATGTAGTATTCTGGCCAAGAATGCATAACCTAAATGCAACCATGAAGAAACTTCAGACAAGCAAAAAATGGATGTTTTAGTTAAAGGCTGTGGGAGGGCCAGACTGCATTTTTCAAACATGTCAATGTCATTTTGAAAAGAAAAAGTTCCAGATTAAAGGAGGTTAAGGAGAGACATGACACTTAAATTCAACGCCTGACCAGAGGCTAGATCCTGTACATGAGAGAAGAAAATGCTAAAGCATATCATTAGGTCAATCAGTAAAACTGGAATACCAATGGTAGATTAGATAAAAGTATTGTATCAATATTAAGTTTACTAATCAGTTAACATAGAAAAAAATGAATAAATTCATAGACATATAGAACCTACAAGACTAAATTATGAAGAAACAGAAAATGTGAACAGATCAATAACGTGTAAGGAGATTGAATAGGTAGGTAAGTTTCCCATCAAAGAAAAGCCCAGGACCTAATGACTTCACTGCTGAATTCTACCAAACATTTAAAGAACTCATAGCATTCCTTAAACTCTTCCAAAAAAATTAAAAAGGAGGGAAACATTGATGAAAGAAATTAAAGACACAAATAAATGGAAAAGTATCTCATGTTCATGGACTGGAAGAATTGAAATTCCTAAGATGTCCATATCCAAAGTGATCTACGGGTTCCATGTAATCCCTATCAAAATTCCAATAACATTTTTCACAAAAATAGGAAAAAAAAATCTTAAAATGTTATGTATCACAAAAAATATCAATTAGCCAAAGCATTTTTGAGCAAAAATAACGAAGCAGGAGGCATCACAGTAACTAATTTGAAAATACACTATAAAGCTATAATAATAAAAACAGCATGGTAGTGGTATAAAAACAGACATATAATCTAATGGGACAGAATAAAAATCCCAGAAATAAATCCATGCATTTATAGTCTATGTACTTTAAAAAAGTACCAAGGACTTACAATGGGGAAAAGATAGTCTGTTTAATAAACGATCCTGGGAAAACTGGATATCCACACGCAGAATATTGAAATTAGACCCTCATCTCACACCACATGCAAAAATCAACTCAAAATGGATTAAAGACTTAAATATAAAACCTACAATTGTGAAACTAGAAGAACACATACGGGAATAGCTTCATGACATTGGCCTAGGCAATAATTGTTTTTATATGACCACAAACACATAGGCAACAAAAGTAAAAATAGACAAATGGGACTGCATTAAACTAAAAATCTCTGCATAGCAAAGAAAACAACTAACAGAGTGAAGAGAAACCTACAGAATGGGAGAATATATTTGCAAATAATAATCAGCCTCCAAAATATGTGAGAAACTCAAATAACTCAAAAGTAAAAAGACAAATAACCTGATTTAAAAAATTAGCAAATGACCTGAATGGACATTTCTCAAGGGAAGATATACAAATAACTAACTAGGTATGTGAAAAAGAAATGCTCAGCCAGGGCGCCATGGCTCATGCCTGTAATCCCAGCACTTTGGGAGGCCGAGGCGGGTGGATCGCCTGAGGTCAGGAATTCGAGACCAGTCTGGCCAACATGGTGAAACCCTGTCTCTACTAAAAATACAAAACTTAGCTGGGCGTGGTGGTGGGCACCTGTGATCCTAGCTGCTTGGGAGGCTGAGGCAGGAGAAGGAGGTTGCAGTGAGCCAAGATTGTGCCACTGCACTCCAGCCTGGGCAACAGAGTGAGACTCTGTCTCAAAGAAAAAAAAAATACTCAACATCTCTAATCATCAGGGAAGTGCAAATTGAAACCCCAATGAGATATTACCTCACACCTGTTAGGATGGCTATTACCTGAAAGATAAAAGATAACAAGCATTGGCAACGATGTAGAAGAGAGGGAAGCCTTGCACACTGTTGGTGGGACTATAAATTAGTACAGCAATTGTGGAAAATAGTATAAATGTTTCCTCAAAAAACTAAAAATAGAGCTATCATATGATCCAGCAATCCCACTTCTGGGTATATATCCAAAGAAAATGAAATCTGTGTATCAAACAGATATCTGCAGGCTCATGTTCATTGCAGCATTATTCACAATAGCCAAGATATGGAGTCAATCTAAGTGTTCAGAAAATGTAGTGTATATGCACAACAGAATACCATTCAGCCTTTAAAAACACAGAAATCTTGTCATTTGTGACAACATGGATGAACATGGAGGACATTATCTTGAGTGAATTAAACCAGGCACAGAAAGACAAACTGATGACCTCACTTATATGTAGAATATTTTTTAAAAGTCATACTCATAGAAACAAGGAGTTAAATGATGGTTACCAGAGACTGTGTGTGTGGTAATTGGGAAGATGTTGGTCAAAAGAAACAAAATTTCAGTTAAACAGGAGGAATGAGTTCAAGAGATCTACTGAACATCAAGATGACTATAGTTTATAACAATATATTGTATACTTGAAAATTGTTAAGAGATTTTAAGTATTCTCACCACAAAAAAGTATGTGAGGTAATGCATATGCAAAATGACTTTAGCCATTTCACAATGTATATACACATATCAAAACATCATGTTGTACACCATAATACATATACAATTTTTACTTGTCAATTAAAAAAAGAAAAAGTGGCTGGGCATGGTGGCTCACGCCTGTAATCCCAGCACTTTCGGAGGCCGAGGTGGGCGGATCACCTGAGGTCGGGAGTTCGAGACCAGACTGACCAACATGGAGAAACCCCGTCTCTATTAAAAATACAAAATTAGCCGGGCATGGTGGTGCATGCTTGTAATCCCAGCTACTTAGGATGCTGAGGCAGGACCATCGCTTGAACCCGGGAGGTTGCAGTGAGCCAAGGTTGCACCATTGCACTCCAGCCTGGAAAACAAGAACAAAACTTCCTCTCAAAAAAAAAAAAAAAAAGAAAAGAAAAAAGAAAAAGTAACTAAATGTACTCTATTTGTTAAGTGTACTGTGGTTACAAAGGAGAATCCCTATTTTTAGGAAATATGCTGAGTATTTTCCCCTCAAATGGTTCATAAATATATATACATATATCTAGTTTATACACAAATACATATGCAGATATAGATGATGTATTTTTAATGTATATATAAAAAGAGATTGAGAATGGTGAAGCAAATGGGGTAATCGGAGTAAACTCCTGCAAATTTTTTGTGTTTAAAATAATTTCCAAACAAAAGTTTAAAAATTGGAGTTAAATCCTAAAAGTTATCTTTCACTCCCATCTCCTCTTCCAAGGAGTAAGCCAATATTAACAGTTTTATATGTGTATTTCTAGACCCATGTCTATGTTTTTTATTGAGGTAAAATATATATAACATAAAATCTACTATTTTTAAGTGCACAGTTGAGTGCATTAAATACAAAAATGTGGAACTCTTCTTGAATTTGTGTGTCATCCTTGTGCAGGGGCCAAGCCAATTTTGTCTGTATTATTCCAATTTTAGTATATGTGCTGCTGAAGCAAGTACTCCATGCATTTTTAAACATACATGTTCCAATATTATAAATGTAACCATATTGTACCAAAAAAGAAAATGAAAAAGAAAGATGTTCCTAGTAAAATGAGAACAACTATTTCATCACCAGCAGAACTGCAGAAATGTTAAAGGAACCTCTTCAGGCAGAAAGAAAATAACTTGTAAAAATTTTAATTCACACAGTGTAATAAAGAACACTGGAAATGGCAAATATAAAAACATGTTTTTCCTACTTAATCTCTTTAAAAGATATTTGACTATTTCAAGCAAACGTAACAAAGTCTGTGGATTTCATTACCTACATAGAAGTAAAATATATTACAACAATGACACAGAGGACAGGAGGAGCAGAATGAAAGTATGCTGTTGTAAGTTTCTTACATGTCATGTGAAATCATATAATGTTATCTGAAAGTAGGCTGTGATTAGTTAAATATTGTAAACCCTGGAGCAACCACTAAAAAGAAACCTTAAAAAAGAAGAATTGCTAGTAAGCCAATAGTGGAGAGAAAATAGAATCTAAAAATAATTTGATTAATATGAATGAATAAAGGAACAAAGGAAAAAGAAAACATAAAATAGATGGGACAAAGGGAAAACAAATATCAATATGGTAAATTAAAACTCAACTATATCAATAATTCTATTGAATGTAAGTGGTCTAGACAGTCCATTAAAAGATTGTCAGATTGGATTAAAAAAGTAAGACCTAACTATATGTATGTTGTCTATAAGAAACTGACTTTAAATATAAAGACATGGACAGGTTAAAAAAAAGAATAACAAAACATTCCCCAAAATGTTACAAAAAAGTAAAAGAATGTCATGCAAGCATTAAGCAAAAGTAAGAGAATTGGCTGTATTAATATTATACAAAGTAGATTTCATATTGGGGATCATAATGGGAAATGGATCAGAAAACACAACAGTGCTCACAGAGCTTCAAAATATATGAAGCAAACACTGGTAGAAGTAGAAGAAGAAATAGACACAATTACAGTTATAAACTTCAACACTCCTCTCTCAATAATTGTTAAAATATGTGGGAAGAAAACCAGTAAGGATGCATGAAACTTGAACAACACTACTAACTACTTAAATTAATTGGCATTTATAAAACACTCACTCAACAACTGCAGAATAAACATTCTTTTCAAGTGTACACGGAGAATTTATCAAGATAGACCATATTGGGTCCATAAAACAAGTCTTAATACAATTTAAAGGATTAATTTCTAAAATATATTATCTGACACCAATAAAAAAATCACAAGTGAAATAAGAAAATATTTTGAAAGGCATGAAAATGAAAGCATATTCCCACACATATAAAAAGTGTGGGAATCATTTAAAACAGTGCTAAAAAGGAAATTTATAACTTTTTTTTTTTTTTTTTTTTGAGACAGAGTCTCACTCTGTCACCCAGGCTGGAGTGCAGTGACACAATCTCGGCTCACTGCAACCTCCACCTCCTGGATTCAAGCGATTCTCCTGCCTCAGCCTCCTGAGTAGCTGGGACTACAGGCATGCGCCACCATACCCGGCTAATTTTTGTATTTTCAGTAGAGATGGGTTTTCACCACCTTGGCCAGGCTGGTCTTGAACTCCTGACCTCAGCTGATCCAACCGCCTCGACCTCCCAAAGTGTTAGGATTACAGACATGAGCCACTGCACCCGGCCAGAAATTTATAAGTTTAAATACTTATGTTGGAAAGTAGAAAACTTTATAGTTAAATGTCTACATTTCCACCTTAAGAAAATAGAAAAAGAAGAGCAATTTAACCCAAAGTAAGTGGAAGGGAAGAAATAACCAGAAATCAATAGAATAATAAATGGACAAACAGTAGAGAAAATCAATGAAAACAAAAACCAGTCTTTGAAAACACAGCTGGTAAATCTTTAGCCAACTTAAACAAGAAAAATAGATAAAGAACACACAATTACAAGTACCCAGAATGAACAATTTCTATACCCTACTAAAAGGATAATAAAAAAAGTTATGAATAAACTTAAAACAATAAATTCATCAAATTAGATAAAAATACATTCCTTGAAAGATCAGAACAACTAAAGCTCACTCAAAGAGAAATAATTTAAACATCCCTATTTATATTAAAGAAAGTGAAGTTGCAGTCATAAACCTTTCTACAAAGAAAACCCATAGATTCAGAGGCTTGACTGATGAATTCTACTGAATGTTTAAGGGAGGAATAAAACCAGTCCTGCACAAAAGCATAGAAAGAAGACTTTCCAGTTCACTTTATGCGGCTAGTTTTACCCTGATAACACTAGAAAAAGAAATTTAAAAGGTAGAAAACTACAGACCAATATTTCTTATGAACACAGACACAAAAATCCTTAACAGAATTTCAGTAAATCAAATCCAGCTACATATAATAAAAGAATACATCATGAACAAGTGGGGTTTATCCTAGAAATGTAATATTGAGTCAACATGCAAAAATCAATAAATATAATTCATCATACTAGCAGACTAAAAAGGAGAAACTGTATGATTCATATAGTTTCATCTTAAAAGGTGCAGAAAAGCATTTGACAAATTTCAATACCCATTCATGATTTAAAACAAACAAACAAAAAGCCCTTAGCAAACTAGAAATAGGAGAAAACTTTCTCAATGTGATAGAGGAAATCCACCAAAAACCTACAGCTAATGCCATAATTTAAAACTGAATTATTTTCTCCTAAGATCGGGAAGAAGGCAAGATGTTCCCTCTTGTCACTTCTATTCAGTGCGTGTTTCCAGTTAATGTTATAAGGCAAGAAACCAAAATAAAATTCCTATCTTTGGAAATGTATATGTAAAACTGTCACTATGCACCAGCAATGTGCCTGTTGATACAGAAAATCCAAAGGAATCTACCAAAAAGTAACCACAGCTAAGAAGCAAATTTAAACAACGTCACAGGATACAAGGTCAACATACACAAATCAATTATATTTCTATATGGTAGCAACAAACAATCGGAAATTTACATTTTAACAATATGTTTAAAATGGCATCACAAAACATGATTTATTTAGGAATAAACATAACAAAATAATGATGGTATGTATAGTAACCAAATCAGTCTTTTCCTTTTCAGCAGTTTTCAGTTATCTACAGTCAACTACAATCCAAAAATATGAAGATATTTTGAGAGACCACATTCACACAACTTTTATTACAGTTTGTTATAATTCTTCTGCTTTATTATTAGTTATTGTTACTCTCTTACTATGCCAAATTTATAAATTAAACTTTATCATAGGTAAGTAGATATTAAAAAAACATAGGATATATAGGGGTCAGTACTCTCCACAGTTTGAGGCATAGCTGGGGTTATTGGAACGTGTCCTCTGCAGATAAGGTTGGGCAACTGCACAGAGAAAAGTCCAAGACTTTGCTGAGATAAATTAAAGAATATCTCAATAAATAGTGAGACACACATGTTCATAGTTCAGTTGACTTGGTATTGTTAAGATGTCAATTCTCCCTAAATTGTGAGTCAGTGCTGTCTCAATCAAAATCAAGCGAATTTTTTATGTAGAAATTTATATAGAATTGCAGGCGGGGCGCAGTGGGTCACGCCTGTAATCCTAGCACTTTGGGAGGCCAAAACAGGCAGATCACCTGAGGTCAGGAGTTCGAGACCAGCCTGGCCAACATGGTGAAACCCCTAAAAATACAAAAATTAACCAGGTGTGGTGGTGCGCTCCTGTAATCCCAGCTACTCAGGAGACAGGCAGGAGAAACTCTTGAACCCAAGAGGCAAAGGTTGCAGTGAGCTGAGATAGCACCACTGCACTCCAGCCCGGGTGATGGAGCGAGATTCCATCTCAAAAAAAGAGAAAAAAGAAATTTATGTAGAAATGCAGAATCCTAGAATAAGCAAAATAATTTTGGAGAAAAAAAAAGAACAATCACTGGTCAATTTCAAGGCTTACTATAAAGCTAAAATAAGACAGTGGGATGTTAGCATAAGGACAGACATATAGATCCATGAAACTGAGAGTTCAAAAATAGGCCCACGCATAAATAGTCAATTGGTTTTCAGTTTTCAATAAAAGTACCAAGATATCAAAAGGGAAAAGGTGATTCTTTCTTCCTTCCTTCCTTCCTTCCTTTCTTTTTCCTTCTCTCTCTGTCTCTCTCTCTCTTTCTTTTTTTTTTTTTTTTTTTAGACAGGGTCTTGCTCTGTTACCTAGGCTAGAGTTCAGTGGCATGATCACGGCTCGCTGCAGTCTCAACCCCTTGGGCTCAGCCTCCTGCGTAGCTGGGGCTACAGGTATGTGCTGCCACACCCGGCTGATGTTTTAGTCTTTTGTAAGGGGTCTCCCTATGTTGCCCAGGCTGGTCTCCAACTCCTGGCCTCAAGTGATCCACCTCAGCTTCCCAAAGTGCTGGGATTACAGGCATGAGCCACCGTGCCCAAAAATGCCCTCAATGTCTGACACAAAATGTATTCTAGAAAAATTGACACAAAATGTATTCTAGACCTAAATGGAAAATCTGAAACCATAAAACTTCAACAAAACAGGAGGGAAAACCTTTGTGATTGGGGCAAAGATTTCTTAGATGGGACAAAAAGTGTACAAACCATGCATTAAAAAATTAGCACATTGGAGATATCATCAAAATGTGAAACTTCTACTCTTCCACCTTATTTTTGTTGTTGTTGTTGTTGTTTTTTAGACAGAGTCTCACTCTGTCACCCAGGCTGTAGTAGTGTCGTGATCTTGGATCACTGCAACCTCCACCTCCCAGGTTCAAGCAACTCTCCTGCTTCAGCCTCCCGAGTAGCTGGGATTACAGGCACCCGCCACCAAGCCTGGCTAATTTTTGTAATTTTTTTAGTACAGATGGGGTTTCACCATGTTGGCCAGGCTGGTATTGAACTTCTGACCTCAAGTGATCAGCCCACCTCGGCCTCCCAAAGTGCTGGGATTACAGGCATGAGCCACTGCACCCAGTCTCTTCCACCGTATGTTAAGTGAAATAAGCCAGGCACAGAAAGGCAAGTACTATATGATCTCACTCATAGGTGGAATCTAAAATGTTGTTATCATAGAAGTAGAGAGTAGAATAGCAAGCAGTTACCAAAGGATGGGGAGGGGTCTCAAAAAATAATACAGTTAAGAAAGTGAAAAGGCAAAACACAGATTAGAAAATAAAGGACTTACGTCCAGAATTTGTAAAGAATCTCAAACTTCAATAATGAGGCACAGTCCTTGATTTTTTTAATTGGTAAAAGATTTGAATAGACATTTCCCCAAAGAAGATGTACTAATGGCACAAAAAGCACATCTAAAAAACACTCAACATTATTCATCAGCAGGGAAATGCAAATAAGACCACAATGGGCTACTGCTATACACCGTCTACAATGGCTAAAATTGTTTGAATTGGCAATATCAAATGTTGACAAGGTTGTGAAGCACCTGGGACTCTCATACACTGCTAATAGGAATGCAAAATGGTCCAGCCAGTTTGGAAAAGTGTGTCAGTTTCTTATGAAGTGAAATATACATTTACCATATGATTCTGCAACTCTATTCCTAGATATTAACCCAAGATAAACAAAAATGTATGTTCACTTGAAGACATAAATGTTCATAACAGCTCTCTTCATAATAATCCCAAACTGGAAGCCCATCAAAGGTCATCAGCAAGTGTATGGAAAAGCAAATTGTAGCACACTAGCTGGCAATATAAAGGAACAAAGTGATGCATGCAACAACGTACCACAATACATTATATTTTGCTTGTTATTGTTTTTACTTCCCCTCCCACCACACTTCTACCACTGTAAACTTGAAATCAGGAATCGTTTCCTTTTTTCCATCATATTTCCAGTGCCTAGCACAGAACATGATACTTAGTGAGTGCCCAGTAAATATTTGTTGCCCATGAAGTTCTTATTTATGCCAGATTTGCTTGTATAGTCTCTGGCAATGGGTTCTTTTCTCATGCACTCTGTCTTGGGGAAGACAACTAATTCATTTTCCTATAAAAGTACACTAACTCGGGCTGGCCGCAGTGGCTCACACCTGTAATCCCAGCACTTTGGGAGGCCGAGGCAGGTGGATCACCTGAGGTCAGGAGTTCAAGACCAGCCAGACCAACATGGTGAAACCCGTCTCTACTAAAAATACAAAAATTAGCCGGGCGAAGTGGCAGATGCCTGTAATCCTAGCTACTTGGGAGGCTGAGGCAGGAGAATCACTTGGACCAGGAGGCCGAGGTTGCAGTGAGCCAAGACTGCACCATTAACTCCAGCCTGCGCGACAGAGTGAGACTCCATCCAAAAAAAAAAAATACACCACTAACTCCTTGTTTGATTACATTAATGTGTGTGCGTGCGTGTGTGTGTGTGTGTGTGTAAAATAAAGCTCCAGAAGTGAGCTCTTTTTTGTGGCACATTTCAGGGACTTCCAGCCTTCTGACTTCGGGATGACTGGTTGGCAGAGTTTACAGGGAATGAAAGCCCCTGGACTCCCACTTCCTCCTCCTTTCCTCTTGATCCACAAGAGGTTTGAGCCAAGGTTCTCTCAGCCCTCCTTTTTAGGCTCAGGCGCTGTGCCAGCCCCAGCCCAGTCCCAGGGCTGAAATTATTTGCTCCTTTGCCCAAGCTTTAGGAGCCAACTTGCAATTTGGCTTTTACAATATGTTCTGACTCTTTCGAGTGTGGTTTGGACTCATCAATATTCATGAGCTTGCAAAGAAGAGGTTCTCATCCCCAGGGAGACTGTGTGGTGGTAGAAGGACCCTTTCCTCAGTCTCACTATGGCACTGGCCAGGCTACCATCTGCACAGAGAATAGCTGTACAGATGCTTCTTGAGGAAATCCTTACGCTTCTTCCAGATGGAACAGACCTTTCGTCCTTGAGTTTGGATATTTCGGCCTCCAGAGATGAGTACTCAGAAGTCCATGTCACCGTAGAAGATACTAAGTTTTTATCTCCTGGGGACTCTGATGTGTTTTTCATTCAGTTTTTTAAAAATGTGTTCCCAGGTCCCACATCCCACAGCAGCTAAGAAGAGATGCCAGGGCAGAGAGCAGTGTCCTCAGTGACAGAGGTTGCTGCACTTCACTGGGCTGGCAGCCAAGGAGATTGCTTTTTCTGGGGAGTGGAATAGATTACTATTTCTGCTTGTGTGGGATTTTATTTCTGGTTAGGTCATGAACTTCTGATGCACACATGTCTTTGCTTTTTTTTAATTCAACTAATTCATTTTCCACTAAAAGTATACTAACTCCTTGTTTGATTACATTAACGTGTGTGTGTGTGTGTGTGTGTGTGTGTGTGTGTGTGTGTGTGTAAAATAAAGCTCCAGAAGTGAGCCCTTTTTGTGGCACATTTCAGGGACTTCCAGCATATGAGGGCCTCCTTCTAGCTACAATAAGATTATAATGCTAGAATGATTCTTCACATTTTAGTACACACTGTGCTAGGCATTGCGTTAGATGTTTTGCAAGGTTTATATGCTTTAATCCTTACAACACCCATGTGTGGTAGACTAGTATAGACCCACTTCACAGATGAAGAAACTGAGGTTTATTAAGACAAACTGATTTGCCCAAAGTCACCTCCAGGAATGACAGAGCTGGCTTTCAACCTCAGCGATCTGATGCCAGAACCATTCCTTTTATCTCCATGTCTTGAGACTGATGATTCAGTTCTCAGAATAAGACTATCCAACAGAGAGGAAGGACAGCAGCCACCTCTAATTCCATGTTATTGGCTGCAGATGAGCCACACACTGCTCTAAGGTAAGGGTCAAAGTGTCTGGACTCTGAGTTAAGGTATTGGTTAATTTTTTGCAGAAGTGACTGCTTTGTCTTTCTCAAATATCCTCTAACCTAGACCCACAGGAATTTGACAAAGGTTCCCATGGGATGAAGGGCCTGTGTGGTTTTCTAGGAGCCTGTGAAGAACCGCAGCTCTGGTGGGAGGACAGCCTTCTGCCCTTCTGAAAAAGCACTGGCAAGAGCTCTTCCTTCATTGGTTCATCAAACATGGTTAAGCAGCTGGGCATGGTGCCTCGCACTTGTAATCCCAGCTACTCAGGAGGCTGAGACAGGAGGATCACTTAAGGCCAGGAGTTTGAGACCAGACTGGGCAACATAGCAAGACCTTGTCTCCAAAGAAAAAATGTGGTTAAGTACCTCTTTCTGGAGTGAAAAAGACAGCAACAGATCCTACTTTCATAGATCTCACAGTCTGGCAGAGAAGACAGACAATTAAATGAACAAATACTGAAGGAGCCATAAGAGTAATGCCAGAGGAAGTGCTGGGTGCAAAAGGAGTATAGCACCCTAGGAGGATGCTTCTGCTAAAGAGATGTAACAGACATCAGGGTAGGGGCAATGGAGAGCCATCTCCGGTACCCAGAGGCAATCCCTAGGGTCTGCCCCAGCCATGAAAAGAAGCAGAGTAAGATCACAGGGAGCTGAGGAAGGCGTTATCTGTAGCTGTCTCAGGACATTTTAAATCACCATCAAAGACACTGTGTGAGCTCTCTGGGACACTGCAAGAGAAAAAGACATCTAAGAGCTGCAGGATTCTGGTACTTCTGCTGGTAGGCACCCAGAACCCAACATTTTAAATTCTCGTTGCACTCGTCAACCACACTGCTAACTGGCTTTGATCTATAAAAGCTTGATTACATCCAGCCATTGCTAAAAGAAGTTTCTTTTTCTAAATATAATTTTTTTTCATATATGGGAACTGCTATCCTCCTAGGGAGAGTAGTTCATTTTCCAAGGTTGATTTTTCTTTTTTTTCTTTCTTTCTTTTTTTTTTTTTTGACAGAGTCTCGCTCTGTTGCCCAGGCTGGAATGCAGTGGCGCCATCTCAGCTCACTGCAAGCTCCGCCTCCCTGGTTCAAGTAATTCTCATGCCTCAGCCTCCTGAGGAGCTAGGGTTACAGGCATGCACCACCACACCCGGCTAATTTTTGTATTTTTAGTAGAGACGGGGTTTCACCATGTTGGTCAGGCTGGTCTCAAACTCCTGACCTCAAGTGATCCACCTGCCTTGGCCTCCCAAAGTGCTGGGATTATAGGCATGAGCCACCGTGCCTGGCTCCAAATTTGATTTTTCTAAGAAGTAAATTCTCATTGACTTTGAAAGACTAGCAGGAAGTGACTTGACAAGCCAGGGACTACTGCAATAATTAAAGACCTCAGGGTTCTCCAGCTTTTTATCAAGTACTCCAACAACGGACGAGAGTGAAACTCTAGAAAGTTTGGAATATCGCTACAAGCTCTCAGAAATTTCTTTGAATTCTTATTTTAAAATATTATGTAAATTTTGTGTTAATTGTGTAATACATCAGAGATTATTTTAAAGGAAAACAGTACATTGCCATCAAATCTCTGAGTACTTAACGGTCCCATAAAATGAGCAGGCTGCAAAACCCTTGTCATGTTGTCATTATACTTTGCATTTTTTTTAACAGTAAAAACCATCATTAAGTACATGAAATATAGAATAAAATTTGAAAATATTCCACAATGCTTAACAATTTTTTCTTCTTGGATAATGATCTCAAATCTAAATTAAAAACCTGGGATTCATCCTAAATCTCTTTGAATTTCTGGTTTTTTTTCCCTCTCCACCCGCCCCCAACCCCCCAACAATTAGGTGTATTTCAGTGTAGTTTAGACAAAGTGCAAAGAAAAGCAATGTCTTCTAAATCAAGACAGAATTCTTCACAGAATTATCTGAAAGTCAAAATACTTAAAGTTTAAAATAGGTGATTAAGGTTCTGGAGATTTAACTTCTATTTTCAACTCCCCTGTTGACTTTAGGAAAGTGTCCATTCTTTTAGAAAAGCATGTATTCTGTAGTTTTTCTGTCCAATAGTTAGGATAATAATCCTGACTTGTATGACAATAACAATAAAAATAACACAAGTTAGAATAATTTTTAACTTTTATTCTAAGTTAAACATTATTCTAATTCTAAAAATTATAATAAAATTCCAATTCTTTAAACATACATCAGTGACTACCGTGTGCCATACTTGACCATACTTTAAACATACATCAGTGACTACTCTGTATGCCATTCTTGACCATGTTTTTCTAAGTGTATTTGAGAAGTTTGATGAGCACCTGATGTGGTTTCGCTCTGTGTCCCTACCCAAATCTCACATTGAATTGTAAATCCAGTGTTGGAGGAAGGGCCTGGTGGGAGGTGATGGAATCACGGGTGCAGACTTTCCCCTTGTTGTTCTAGTGATAGATTCTCAGGAGGTCTGGTTGTTTGAAAGTGTGTGGCACCTCCTCCTTCTTTTTCTCTCTCTCTCTTTCTCTCATTCTCTCCTGATGGCCATGTGAAGATATGCCTGCTTCCCCTTTGCCTTCTGCCATGATTGTAAGTTTCCTGAGGCCTCCCCAGCCATGCCTCCTGTACAGCCTGCAGAACTGTGAGTTGACCTCTTTTCTTTGTAAATTAGAAAGCTCTTTTCTTTATAAATTCCCCAGTCTCAGGTAGTCCTTGATAGCAGTGTGAGAACAGACTAATATAGCACCATTCTGATAGGATAGGAATTCCTATTCTGGGAACAGATGAGAAATGTAAGGGAACAGGGATGAGCAGTCCTGCCCAAGGTGACTTGGTAACCGCTGAACTGGCCAACATATGACTATTAATGTCTCTGATGTCCACTTATGGCAGACAGCAGCACATCCAAAATGTTATCAAAAAGTTCGGCTGACAATTTGGAACATATGATCAAAGACTCCCTGAATTTCATCATTTTAATTATTGCACAAGAAGACTGACAAAATAAAAGGAAGGCTCAGCGCGATGGCTCACGCCTGTAATCCCAACTCTTTGGGAGGCCAAAGCGGGTGGATCAGTTGAGCCCAGAAGTTCAAGACTAGCCTGGCCAACATGGAGAAACCCTGTCTCTACTAAAAATACAAAAATTCGCTGGGCCTGGTGGCACATACCTGTAATCCTAGCTACTCAAGACTGAGGCATGAGGATCGCTTGAACCCGGGAAGCAGAGATTGCAGTGAGCTGAGATTGTGCCACTGAACTCCTCAAATATATAACTTATTTTTCTTCAGTCACAATGCAGAATTTGGTATCAACAAATGAACTTTAAGTGCAGAATATTTGGTCATACGCTATTAAAATAGATAAATATTCTGTTTTTAAAACAGCATGAGAGCTAAAATAAGCTATGTAATGTAAATAAATGAATTCATCAGGAATATGAATAAATGCAACCTTCAAATAAAATTGTTTGTGTAGTAAATTGTCATTTTTTTTAAACACAACAAAAGAACTTTTAAATATTTAGTTACAGGTTACTAAGAATTATTTTTATAGCCATATTCCTTTAAGCAAATTTGTTAAATTTTAACTGTTTTAAATTTAGGAATCTCTCAAAAGATTTCTTCGACAGTATTGAAGAAAATAAAATAGGGTTTTATTAATTCCTTTTAATAAAAAAATTAAAAGGAATTTTTAATTTCCTTTAAAGGAGGGAAAAAGTGTTCCCTCTTGCCTTGGTAAAAAGAGTAAAATATTACATAAATTATTATAGTACCTGAAAGGTTATTATATTTATTTGATAAATATGATAGATAGAAATGGTACAGGAAACAAGCTAGATATACAAACTGACATTTTATTGTGCACATAAAATTCTCATTAGTCAGGTGTTAGATGTGTTTATATCACATGACATATCTATTGGCATTTTCCTTAATCTCATTTGTTCATTTATTGCCTTCATAATAACCGTGGTGCCCTGAAAGTAGAGTCTGACAAATTTAATCTTTTACTATTGGATTGCATTTTCATATTTACTGGGCTATTTAGTAAAAAGACTAGGGGAAATCTTTGATGCCAGATTGTCACATGAA
The DNA here is from genome assembly GCF_000001405.40 of Homo sapiens. Lineage (NCBI taxonomy): Eukaryota > Metazoa > Chordata > Mammalia > Primates > Hominidae > Homo > Homo sapiens. The sequence goes on along the minus strand of NC_000010.11, from coordinate 22,775,491 downwards.
ATTAAATCTATGTCCTTAAAAATGAAATGGGGCACTCAGCACATGGCTGTGCTCATACAGAATTAGATCTAGCATTGTTTCTGGTTTTTCATGTTGCTAAGAACTATTTCTTGCTCTTTGGAAAATTCCTGTCTGAAATTATCTATGCAATATTTCATTTAAATTGCAAGATGGAATAATCTTCTTCATTTCGCTTCTGGAACTTCTATGTAAATAGGCCCATCAGCCTAAAGACAGAATACTAGCTTATAGATGTAGTAAGACAGACACAAATAGAAAAAGCACTATATTTCTGTTTAGCTGTCTATTGTTGATGCTAATTGTCAAGTATAATCTTTCGCCTGATTTAAATTGTTAATGCTTGAAAATCTATTTCCCGAAATTGGCTCCCTGTCATGAATATCAAGGCATGTGAATTTCAAATAAACCTGAAGGAAGCAGGATCATTTTAATTACCCAGCAGTTATAATAGGATTTTTTTCATATATGTGTGTTTTTATATCATGATTATTAATACTAACATAAAATAATGTTAATAACAATGAGGACATGAATTTCTTGAGTGCTTCTATGTGCCAGGTATTGTGCTCAATAATTTACATGACTTATCTCCTTTAATCCTCACAAAACTCTGAAGTGAAAATTGCTATCCCCATTTTGCAGATGAAACTGAGGCTTCACGACATTAAGTAACTTGCCCAATGTTGTACAGCCAGCAAGTGGTCAAACATGAATTTGGAGGGAGACATTTTGACTTCAGATCTCATGCTTTTAAACTAGTGTCCTACCACAGAAAGAATTTAAGGTAGCTTTAAAAGACACCTACAGTATATCAAAAGAACATTAATTAGGAGCACGTGAGAAAAAGAACAGAGAATAGGAATATAAATGGCACCAGAATTAGCCCAGTACATGAAATTTACAGTACTTGCTTAGGCTGAACTACAAATATACTCAAAGCTTTCTAACAGTCTTCGCAAAGACCAAACAGAGTATGGTGCTACATTACAAAATCAAACCATTTGGTCAACTGAAACACATCTATTGTTTATATTAAGACTGTGAAGACAGTCTCCTAAGCATCCTCATAAACCAAATACTATGCAAGGTAATGAAGCCCATTTTCAACAATATCCTTACAGTAAATATGATGATGAATTTCATTGGGCTATTTCTTCCTGATCTGCTGACACAGACAAATAGCTTAATTCAGTTAAGTCACCCCAAAGCACAATTCAGTTAAAGCAACTCTTCAGGAGGCCACTGCGACATATCCAGATATACACAAGGGCTGTAAGCAAGAATGAAGGCATTAATGAAGCCAAGCAAATTGCTCTGAAAATAGAAAGCTAAAGCAAAAAAATAATAATAATGAATTTACTGCATAGTTTTCCCTCACTAAAGACAATAACTAATTTTTGTCTTCATATATTAGTAATGGATCTTTCCAAATTCTTGGTGTGGTTGTTAACCAAATTTACCCTGTAATTTCACATTTACTTGTTTTGTTTATATAATTTGTGCTCATTTCTCAAATATGCTTTTTGATTTTTTCTCCACTTTAAAAAAAACTTCCCTTTTATGATCTGCATCCATGACACCTCTATAAATTTTTCTCTAACTCTGCTCACCTAACAGAATCAATCAAGTCTTATGCTGTATTTCCATAGCACTTTGGAGAGAGTAATAAAAGCTAGAATGGATTGAGCATTTACTATGCACCAGGAACTTCCCTTTAATTTTTACAACTCAGTAAAGAAGATGCCAGTGCTATCCCCATTTTACAGTTGAAGGAATCGAGGTATTGAAGGTGAGACAACTTGCCCAAAGTCCCACAGACAGTAAGTGGCAGATCCAGCTTTCAAAGCCAAGGCAGTCTGGCTCCAGAGCCCCCACGGGTAGCTCGTGCACCATCCTGCCTATAATATACACCACCAGTTATCACTTGGTGCATGGTACTCAGTGTTTCTATTTTTATCTCTCTTCCTTCTTCTACTTGCCCGTTCTAGCTTTCTCCATTTCTTCATATCCTAATCATTCCTTTACCAATTCCGATCTGGCTTCTGATTCCCCCACTCCTTTGAAACTATGTCCAGAAAATATTTGCAAATTATGCATCCAACAAAGGTCTAATATCCAGAAGCTATAAGGTACTTAAACAAATCAATAGGAAAAGAAACACCTCATTAAAATGTGGACATAGGACATCAACAATTACTTCTGAAAAAAAAGACATGTAACTGGCCAAGAAACATATGAAAAATGCTCATTATCACTAATCATCAGAGAAATGCAAATCAAAACCACAATGAAATACCATCTCACACCAGTCAGAATGGCTATTACTAAAAAGTCAGAAAATAACATGTTGGTAAGACTGTAAAGGGAAAGCTCATACACTGTTGGTGGGATTGTAAGTTAGTTCAACCACTCTGGAAAGAAGTTTGGAGATTTCTCAAAAAACTAAAAATAGAATTATCATTCAACCCATCAATCTCATTACTGGGTATATATCCAAAAGAAAAGAAATCACTCTACCAAAAAGATACATGCACTCGTATGTTCGTTGCATCACTATTCACAACAGCAAAGCCATGGAATCAACCTAGGTCCCCATTAATGGTGGAATGGATTTTTAAAAATGTACATATACACCATGGATTACTACACAGCCATAATAAAGAATGAAATCATGTCCTTTGCAGCAACATGGATGGAGCTGGAAGCCATTATCCTAAGTGAATTAATGTGGAAACCGAAAATCAAATACCATGTCTTCTTACTTGTAAGTGGGAGCTGGCTGGGCAAGGTGGCTCACACTGTAATCTCAGCACTTTGGGAGGCCAAGGTGGGAGAACTGTTTGAGGCCAGGAGTTTGAGACTAGCTTGAGCAACATAGCAAGACAAAAAAAAAAAAACCCAAAAAAATTTTCCAGGCATGGTGGTGCACGCCTATGATCCCAGCTGCTTGGGAGGCTAAGGCAGGAGGAGCGCTTGTGCTCAGGAGGTTGCATTGAGCTATGATGGCGCCACCTTGCTCTAATCTGGGTGGCACAGTAAGATACCGTCTCTAAAAGATAAAATAAATAAGTGGGAGCTAAAGATTGGGTACAAATGGACATAAAGATGGGAATGATAGACATTGGAGACTCCAAAAGCGTGGCAGAAGGGGTGAGGACAAGGGCTGAAAAGCTACCTATTGGGTACTATGTTCACTATGTGGTTGACCGGTTCATTTGAAGCCCAGACTTCACCATTACACAATATGTACACATAACAAATCTGCACATGTACCCCATGAATGTAAATTTTTTTATTTTTATTTTTAGTTCTGGGGTACATGTGGAGGATGTCCAGGCTTGTTACATAGACAGACGTGTGCCATAGTGGTTTGCTGCACCTATCAACATATCAACTTGGTATTAAGCCCAATATGCATTATCTATTTTTTCTAATACTCTTCCTCCCCCCTCCCCATCCCCCGACAGGCCCCAGTGTGTGTTGTTCCCCTCCCTACGACAGTGTGGTCTCCTTGTTCAGCTCCCACTTATAAGTGAGAACATGCGGTGTTTGGTTTTCTGTTCTTGCGTAAGTTTGCTGAGGATAATGGCTTCCAGTTTCATCCATGTCCCTGCAAAGAACAAGATCTCATTCCTTTTTATGGCTGTGTAGTATTCCATTGTGTATATTTACCACATTTTCTTTATCCAGTCTATCACTGGTGGGCATTTGGGTTGATTCCATGCCCTTGTTATTGTGAATAGTGCTGCAATGAACATACGCATGCATGTATCTTTGTAATAGAATGATTTATATTCCTTATATACCCAGTAATGGGATTGCTGGGTCAAATGGTATTTCTGGTTCTAGATCTTTGATGAATCACCACATCATTTTCCACAATGGCTGAACTAATTTACATTGCCACCAACAGTGTAAAAGCGTTCCTATTTCTCTGCAACCTTGCCAGCATCTGTTGTTTCTTGACTTTTTAATAATGGCCATTCTGAGCTTTTTTTTCATATGTTTGTTGGCTGCATAAATGTCTTCTTTTCAGAAATGTCTGTTCATGTCCTTTGCCCACTTTTTTTTTTTTTTTTTTTTTTTGAGACGGAGTCTCGCTGTCGCCCAGGCTGGAGTGCAGTGGCGCAGTCTCGGCTCACTGCAAGCTCCGCCTCCCGGGTTCACGCCATTCTCCTGCCTCAGCCTCCTGAGTAGCTGGGACTACAGGCGCCCGCCACCACGCCCGGCTAATTTTTTTGTATTTTTAGTAGAGACGGGGTTTCACTGTGTTAGCCAGGACGGTTTCGATCTCCTGACCTCGTGATCTGCCCGCCTCGGCCTCCCAAAGTGCTGGGATTACAGGCGTGAGCCACCGTGCCCGGTCCACGTTTGCCCTTTTTAATGGGTTTTTTTTTTTTTCTTGTAAATTTGTTTGAGTTCCTTGTAGTGAATCTAAATATTTTTAAAGGAAATTTTTAATAAGTCCCCACCCCCAACCAAGAAAAAGAAGCTATGTCTATATGGTCACCAAGGATGTCGAGGTTCTCAATCAAACACTTCTCTGTCTTCATGTAATTTCTCAGTTGTGATAGAAATTTCTGACCCCTCTCTCCCTCTGAAAATAATTCTTTCCCTCGGCTTTCCTCACCTCTCTGTTTTCTGTGTCTCTTTCTATATTGCAGGTTGCTTCCTCTCAGTCTCCTTGATTCTTCTTTTTCTGCCTACCCTTAAATTTTCCTTCTGCCCCACTCTCTGACTCCCAGTCCAATCCTTAGCATTCTTTTCTCTTTCTACAGTTTTCCTAGGGAGACTCATTCACCCACAATTATTTTTTTTCCAGCACAGATCTTTCTGTTGAGTTCAACATTCATATAATCATGTTCCCTCACAACCCCAGGTTTTAGATGTAGACCTGTATTATAGCACTTCTCTTTCATCTTTCTATTCTTAGCACTTGGCACAGAGTAAGTGCTCAATAAATATTTTTATAAGAGAATCTAGGTAAACCAGACTAGAGGATGTTTTGGCAAGTCAGGCCAAACAGATGATGCTATAAACTATAAAACCTTCTACAGAAGGAACTGGACTCAAAAAACAGAATAGGTTAGCCTTGAAGACCAATAAGATACGGTTATGGGGGCAAGACTCAAATATAACTCTTAGGCATCTGTCAAATGCCACTGGGTATAATGTGTGCAAAGAGAAAAGGTTGGCCTTTTCCTTTGGTTAATTTACCAGGTAATTGCCAACATTTTCTTTTCTTTTGCTTTGTGCTGCATGGAAACATTCTGCCATGCAAAATAGAACCAAGGGAGGAGGATGTTCTCCATATGCCATTATTTAACTCTGCCATTTTACCAGCCTATAAGCTCCATGGGAACAGAAGCCCTGTTTCTTTTGTTCTAGTGCCTAGCCTATATTTTGGGCACACAACGAATAAGGATTATCTTTAATTGAATACCTTCTTCTGTACCATATGCTTTGTGTATATTTTCTCCTTTAATACTCACCAAAAAAGAGGGTCATTTTAGGGCTGAGGATGCCAATGCTTAGAAAGGTTAAGTGGCTTGCTCAAGTTTGGGGTACAAATAGCTAAGTCAGTAGTTAAACCTAGATTGCTCTGATCCAAAGGCTTCCCTTTAATAAAATACTATATGATCTTCCTATATGTGGTTAAAATTTCCAGGAAAGCTGGCTTCTGTAGCACATGCCTGTAGTCCCTGCTACTCAGGAGGCTGAGCTGGGAGGATTGCTCGGCTCAGGATTTCTAGGCTAGACTGGGCAACATAGCAAGACCCTATCTCTAAAAGAAATAAATAAATGTATATTTTAAAATTCTGATGATAGAATGAAAGAACACAAGAATATTCACATTTGGGGATATATTTTGATGTGTTTCATTGAAAGGTGTTTTTCCTTCATGAACTGTTATATGTATAAATATTACCATTTAAAATGAAATGCTTTTATGTCTAAGGTCTTTAAGCTCTTAATCAAATTATTGAAATGTTATTTGACATTTTAAAAAATACATAGATGGAGTAGATTCTTCATAATTTTATGTGTGTTACTGTTTCCTATGGTTTGAATATTTTCCCCAAATTTCATGTGCTGGAATCTTAGTCCTCAAATTCATATGTTGGTGGTATTTGGAGGCGAGGCCTTTGGGAGGTAATTAGGATTAGATAAGGTCACCGTGAATCCCTCATGATGGGACTGATGTCTTTATAAGGAGACGAAGAGAGACCTGAGCTAAGATGCTTGCTCTGTCTCACCATGTAATGCCCTCTGCCACATTATGATGCAGCAGGAAGGCCCTCACGAGATGCAGCTGCTTGATCTTGGACTTCCCAGCCTCCAGAACTGTAAGAAATACATTTCTTTTTTAAAAATAAATTACACAGTCTGTGGTATTCTGTTACAGCAATGCAAAATGGACTAAGACACTATTGTTGTTATTGTTACTGTTGCTTCTTAGGGAAAAGAGATTGTTGGTTATGAACAAAACTGCTACTTCCTTTCTTGGTGAGACTCTAGAAGTAAAATAACTTTCTATATGTGTCCTAAATCAGGAGGCCTCAGAGTAGAGAAAATTTGGAGGGGCTTTCTGCAACTGAAAAAGAAAAGAGAAATGAAGACAGGCACCCGGTAGAAAATTTTAAGATTCTGAAAACACAACAGGAGAAAATTGAGGATAGGGAAGAAGAGGTGAGAAAGAGATGCCATACAGCGGAAGTGTAGCTAGCAGTGACCGAGAAGGAGGTGAGAAGGGACTACTCATTCTCCAGGAGTGTGTTCTCAGAAGCAGTGCTGCCTTCTTGGCAAACCTTAAGTTAATGAATTGTCTTGACAGTTAAGAATATGATGAGAAGGTATTAAAGGCAGAGGTGAAACAGCAAGCCTGACCATGAGAAGAGAGTCCAAAAGTCCAAACTCTTTGCATGCTTGTTCCTCTGTCAACCAATGGCCCAGATTCTACTCCCAGTCCACTCTGGACCAGCCCAGACTTGACTTCATCTTATACACACACACACACACACACACACACAGCCCCAAGGCATTGCTGAGTGAAACCCCAGCCACAGCAGCCACATCAGTCCCCCAGACAATGGCCAAGAAGCCAATGGAAAAATTTAGTGCCCTCCTATTGGCTCTTTATGTTTCTTACATATGCTGGGAGACAAACTAGAAAAATGAGAAGAATAATGTCTAAGAAAGAGGACACAAGAGAAAAAAATTATATCCTAATAGAGTGAAATTGGACAGCCTTCTAGGCTGTTTCCTTTTTAAACAATCTCCTCTTCTTAAAAAAAAAAAAAGTTGTTTAATGTCCCAGAAAGCTTTTTGAGAAAAGCAGTTTGTCCCCTTTTTCTAAGCCAAAGGCCAAAAATAGGAACTATTTGGCGATCTCTTCTGAGGCAGATCCGGGTATGCCTAGCCTGAGAAAATCCTCCTTGACCATTAACTCAGGGAGCTGTCATGAAGGAATTCTGGGAATCATGATATGCATTTATACACAGAATGTCTAAATGGGAAACAAAGCTTGACCTGGTTTTCTCAGAGCCAGACCACTCTTCTTTTTTCTCTTTTCCCTTAATAGATGACAGGGAGGAAACAGCTTCAAACCACCACTACCTTCCAAATTCCCCATCAACTTGGGTCACCAAAAGGAAGATGGCCAGGTACCTGATAGAATCTGATTTTACAGTATTTTGCCTCTGCTACAGTAGAAACGCCTTCCTTACTCAAAGGACACATTAATTAATAATAGGTAACATTTACTGACTGCTTCCAATGTGCCTGGCACATCTGCTAAGCACTTTACATGCTATCTTCTTTATCTTCACAATAACTCTACAGGGAAGTACTGTGATGATTCTCATTTTACGAATGGCTAAGTTGAGGCTTAGAAAAGTTGGATAATGTGGTTACAGTTAGGAGAAGAAAAAGCTCAATATTAAACCCAGGCAATGGGACTGGAGCCAACACTCTTGACTACCTGGCTCTAAAGTTACAACTCAGTTATGGAGACAGAACAGAAGCCTACAAATATTTAACAACACTTTAACTTTTCTCCCATCTGTTTGCAAATAAAAATAATATTTAGCAATACAATTAGCATATCCTTTATGCCAAATAAATGGAATGAACCACTACTTCTATGGAACACAGGAAAAGGATGCTTTCGGCACAGCAGAGCCTAGGATGCAGGACCTAGGGAGGACTGGCTCTTCAAACAGCAGATTTTATTGGTATTTCCACCATTGGCCTCCGCTGAGAAACAGTATTAAAAACATCTTTGGAAGATTAAAAAGGAAGTAATTTTTTTCAAACACTTCAAGTTGTGATCTACTTGCAAAGCCAGCTATATCAACAAGCGATTGATCCCTGGAAATATATGCAAAGGAGCCCCCTAGTTTGTCTCTGATCCCCTTCCTTCCTACCTCCTAGAGGGACAGGTTCTTTGATTTTAAGGCAACTTCCACTGAGGCCAGGAGTTAGCTGCCTGGGCTGTCAGTTTCTAGCAAAGGGCAGCCCAGAATAAATTTGACTCTTTATGTATCCTAATCTGGAACAGAAAGAGGCAAAGTTCTCCCTGTCTCCTCCCAACTTCACACGCACTTAAAATTGGCATTCCCCCTCTGCAGTTTTTGGCAGACCTTTCAGGAAATATTAAGTTAGACTGAAAATTCAGAGGTCCTCGTAACTGTCTGGGCTACTTTAAAATCTGGCATGTTATGAACACAACCTAAAAGTTGTTAAACATTGTTTCTATTTATTTTAGCAAGATAGCGGCTACCTAGAATCAGAATTGAGAACAATAATAAGCTTTCAAAAAATAATATATTTTTACAGGAGCTAAAATGTCTTACTTGATAGATATATTTAATAGCTACAAAACACCTCGCTCCACACTCATATTGACTTCAAAGAAGGGTCGAAATATTAAAATATGTTATTGCCTCTTTCTTGGCCTCCCACACAGAATGTAGGACTTGACTACAGCACTGTTGGCCAAGACAAAAGACTTCTGTACCACCTAACATAGCAACTGCAATGGTCTAGGCTGCAAATATGTTCTTCCTCTTTGGGTGCCCATTTAGCCTGTCTTCAGAGGTCAGATTTGGAACAAAAGAAAAGGAAGTGAGAGAACAATTTCATCTTCAGATGTAGCAAACAGTGTGTAACCGAAATGGGAATTTCAGGGGAGGTCTCATGTTTGACACAATATAGCGCCTTTTTCTTTTTTGGCCCTCAGTTACCTTCATGCAAATGTACTAAGATGTCAGAATTGCAGATATTTTACATGTTAGGAGAATTCTCTCATACCTAAATTCCCATGCAAATTGTACAATTCTCCTTAATCTCATTATTGATGGTACTCTTTCCAAACCGCTAAAGTGTGACAAAATGTGTACCTTACTGAAACAATATGTAAGCATTTCATGGATGAGTCCCAAAAACTGATGAACTATTTTCAGACATGGTATTTATGAGACTACCAAAAACTCATTAGTCTTGTCATTTCTTTTGTAAGTTGAAAAGTAAGCACATGTTATTTATATCATTGCTCTAGAGACACTGGTAATTTTGGTCTGGAAGACATTTGCATTTAAGATACACCATGCGACTGGCATCAGTTTATTTTTTAACGTTATGTTTATACACTAATCTATTACTAGCAATGGAAATATGCAAATATATCATGTGTTTTCTCTTTTTTTTTTTTTTTTTTTTTTTTTTGAGACAGAATCTTAATCTGTTGCCCAGGCTGGAGTGCAGTGGCTCCATCTCTGCTCACTGCAACCTCCGCCTCCCAGGCTCAAGCGATTCTCCTGCCTCAGCCTCCCAAGTAGCTGGGATTATAGGCACACACCACCACACTCGGCTAATTTTTGTAGTTTTAGTAGAGATGGGATTTCACCGTGTTGGCCAGGCTGGTCTCAAACACCTGACCTCACGTGATCTGCCCACCTTGGCCTCCCACAGTGGTGGACTTACAGGTGTGAGCCACTGCGCCCAGCCTCCTTTCTTCATTTGATAAATATATTTGGAGAATCTTATGCTTTGAAGTGAGAGCAGCACATCTAAGTGGACATTTATAATACTTCAGTCTCTCCACTAAACTAGACCAGAAGGAAAACAGAACCTCAGAACAAAAATTACCCTGAATTCTTTCTCTTCTGTAAACAGTCTTGGACTTCCCTTTCCATGTGGAATAGATGGAGAACTTGTTAGAGCTGACATATACTGTACATGCCAAAGAGACAAAAAGATCCCTGTGCATCAATGACCCCTGGATGTGAGAACATCAATGCCTAGTATAAAGTGATGGCCTGTTTCCTAGCAGTTAACTTCAAATGAAGACACCCTCACAATATGTGTGTGTGCATGTGTGTTACATGTACACAGCTTGTCATTTAGGGGAACTATATAATGCAGGCTTCCTTCTCCATAGGACTACCACCAATTTCATGTCACATTTCAGAAGATTTTGCCTGAGATGAAGTTTTAAAGTTCCCTGAAGACCTGTGGGTCTTAACCACTGATGAGAGTGCAGCCATCTTCAACAGTCTTGGGTGAATTAGATAGTGTTTGGCAGAATTGTCAGATTCCTCCCATCTTGGAAGCCTGAGTTTCTGTTCCTGGCACTCTAGTTGTTTTGCTTGATTCTTGATCCTCACATCCGGCTCCTCCCTCCTGGATCATTGACTGAACCCTTTCTCAGGCTTATTTGTCTGTGTTATTATTTTGATTTACTCTGTAGGTCATAACTGGGAATAACACAGCGAGTCATAAATGCCAAAACTTAATTAAACAAAGGACCCTAGGTCCTTTCCTTTCCCTGCCTATCACATCCAATTTATCACCATGTCCTCTCAATTCTACCTCCTAAGTTCATGTGGAATCTGCCCTCTGGGCTCCATCCACACCATCGCCTCACCTTAGGACCTAATGGCCTCTTATGTGAATAGCTGCAATAGGGTCTTCTCTGGCCTCCTTCAAGTTTGCTTCCAAAATGGGAAGCCCTTTTCCCAGATCAAGGGGATCATACTAAAACAAAACTGTGATCATAGCTATCACACTGCATAGGGTATGGACCCCTTCCTTGTTTCCCCATGGCATCAGAATGAAGTGAAGGCAGCTTGCTGTGCACAAAAGACCTTTCCCTGGTCAGCTTCTTCCCAGTGTCCCAGCACCACCCCTGCCCCACTGCACAACTGCAGCACAACCCACCCCCAGTGCCATCCCACAGGAACCCTTCACCTCCCAGCCACCCTGCCCACTCATCTCTGGACTCGTTGTTCTCCTTCAACGCTCATTCTTTTTCTTTCTTTCTTTTTTTTTTTTTTGTTTTTGTTTTTGAAATGGAGTCTCACTCTATTGCCCGAGCTAGAGTGCAGTGGGGAGCTCTGGGCTCACTGCAACCTCTGCCTCCCAGGTTCAAGCGATTCTCCTGCCTCAGCCTCCCGAGTTGCTGGGGTTACAGGTGCACCCCACCTTGCCTGGCTAATTTTTGTATTTTTAATAGAGACAGGGTTTCACTATGTTGGCCAGGCTGGTCTTGAACTCCTGACCTCAAGGAATCTACCTGCCTCAGCCTCCCAAAGTACTGGGATTACAGGTGTGAGCCACCACCCCTGGCCAACACTCATTCTTTTTCTAAAATATATTTTTATTGAAACATAATAGTGTATATTTATGGGAGATGTGGTATTTTGATACAAGCATACAGTGTATAATGATCAAATCAGGGTTATTGATCACCTCAAATTGATCACTGCATTTTCTCAATTCTACTTCCTAAGTGCATGTGCCATCTGCCCTCTGGGCTCCATCCTCATCATCTTCTTCCTCATGGTGCCATGGGAAGCCAAATCACCTTAAATATTTATCATTTCTTTGTGTTTGGGAACATTTCCAAATCTCTTCTAGCTATTTTAAAATTTACAATAAATTCTTGTTAACTAGAGTCACCCTATTGTGTTACAGAAGGCTGGAACTTACTCCTTCTATCTAACTGTATTTTTGTACCTATTAACCTCCCTGTGCCTTGGGACCCTCCTCCCCTTCATCCAGTTATGCTTCGTCAGGGGAGCCCACCAGTCCTCCCCAGGGATATAAACCCCAGAGCATGGACCACATTGTGAAACAATCGAAAACTGGTCAAACTTGGGTTATGTGCATAGCTGATATAAACCTTTAGATATTCTGAGGAAAGCAAAGAAATCACCATCAAAATCTAATCTGAAAGAGATGACATTATTTAAATCCAGTAAAAGAATCAAAGGAAGGTTTTTAAAGAACAGGAACTTTTTTAAGAACTTTTTTTTTTTAAAAAGACACAGGGTCTTGCTCTATTGCTCAGGCTGGAGTACAGTGATACAATCATGGCTCACTGCAGCCTCCATCTCCTGGGCTCAAGCGATCCTCCCCTCCTCAGCCTCCTGAGTAGTTGGGACTACTGGCGTGCACCACCACACCCAGCTAATTTTTTCTTTTCTTTTCTTTTCTTTATTTTTTGAGATGGAGTCTCGCTCTGTCGCCAGGCTGGAGTGCAGTGGCACAATCTCGACTGACTGCAACCTCTGCCTCCCGGGTTCAAGTGATTCTCCTGCCTCAGCCTCCCGAGTAGCTGGGACTACAGGTGCATGCCACCTACGCCCAGCTAATTTTTGTATTTTTAGTAGAGACAGGGTTTCACCATGTTGCCCAGGATGGTCTCGCTGTCTTGACCTCGTGATCTGCCCACCTCAGCCTCCCAAAGTGCTGGGATTACAGGTGTGAGCCACCACGCCCAGCCCCAGCTAATTTTTTAATTTTTTGTAGAGATAGGGTCCTGCTATGTTGCCCAGGCTGGTCTCAAACACCTGAGCTCAAGCAATCCTCCCACCTTGGCCTCCCAAAGCATTGGAATTACAAGCATGAGCCACTGCATTCAGCCAAACTTTTGACTGGAATTCTAGTCTCAAAAATACTTTTTTGCTCAAATGGACGGCTCCTATAATATCTTTCCAGCTACTTCTTTTTCCTAAAAGCATCTCTCTAATCCCCTAATGACCATAAGATAACTATGTGTAAGAATTTTTTAAAAATCTTGTCCTCAATCAAAACCTGGGTTTTATGTGCAGAATTAGGCCACGATCACAGCATTATGTGGCCAAAATGAATTCTGAATGGACAGCCCTGCTCCCTCAGATACCCACACAATCAATCAGATTAAAGAGCACAAGAAGAGAAAAAGTGTGAATTTCAGTTAGGAGACATTTTGAGGAAATGTGCCTTTGACAAGCATGGGATGGTATTTTGGTCTCTCCCCCTCTGAAGGGTGTGATTGCAATTCCTCCTCTGCCCTCATCTCTCTCTCTCTATTTAGAGAGAAACAATGAGGAGATGGAAAGATCGAACAAACACATCTTTGTGAAACAACAAAGAGGTACAGTGGGGTCCTGGGGCTGATGGAGGGGTGGAGACTGCCTCTGGTTTGCATTCCTGGCTCAGGGGGTGAAAGAGAGAGGGGACCAGATGTGGCAGCTCACAGGAGTTGGAGGGGGCCTGCCCACCTCCCCCTCTTCATCCCCTAACTCCAGCTGTGGTGATGAGCTGCTCTTTGAACACAAGAGGATTCCACTTAATGTATCTTCTGCTGATGTTGCAGTTGGTGGTGCTGACATATGGAGAAGGAGGGAATGATAGGGAGATGATTCACACAAAGATCTTGTCCTTTAGTTTTCTTTTACAAATTTGGGATGAGGTCATGCTTGGTGGCTCATATCTCTAATCCCAGGACTTTGGGAGGCCAAAGCAGGCAGATTGCTTGAGCTCAGGAGTTTGAGACCAGCCTGGGCAACATGGAGAAACCTCATCTCTACAAAAAGTAACAAAAATTAGCTGGGCATGGTTGGTGCACAGCTATAGCCCCCACTACTTGGGAGGCTGAGATGGGAGGATCAATTGAGCCCAGGAAGTCGAGGCTGCATTGAGCCGTGTTCACATCACTGCACTCCAGCCTAGGCAATAGAGTGAGAACCTGTCTCAAAAAATAAAAAAGGGAGGTGAGAAAGAGATACCAGTGAAGAAATACTACCACAACCAAGGAAAAGATACCTCGATAAATGAGGGACTAGAGCCCAAGCCTTATCTGAGTCATTCATGCTAAACATCCCATGAGAAGTCACATTTAGAGGGATTAAGAACACACACTCTGAAACCAGACGGCCCAGCATGGATCCTGACACTCACATCTACCAGCTTTATGATCCTGGGCAAGTTTCTTAACCTCCCTGCGCCTCAGTTTCCTTTGTCTTTAAAATGAGGGTGAAATCACACCAACCTCCCAGTATTGCTTCGAGGGTCATATGAGAGAAGATTAACATAAAGCAGTCAGAAGGTTAAGTCTCAATATACGTTAGCTATTATTATGGTTAAGCAAGTTATAGAATTATTTTGTACCTCGGTTTTTCTTTTTTTTTTTCTTTTTTTTTTTTTTTTTGAGATGGAGTCTTGCTCTGTCACCCAGGCTGGAATGCAGTGGTGCAATCACCGCTCACTGCAAACTCTGACTCCTGGTTCACACCATTCTCCTGCCTCAGCCTCCCAAGTATCTGGGACTACAGGCACCCACCACCATGCCTGGCTAATTTTTTTCTATTTTTAGTAGAGATGGGGTTTCACAGTGTTAGCCAGGATGGTCTCAATCTCCTGACCTCATGATCCGCCCGCCTTGGCCTCCCAAAGTGCTGGGAATACGGGTGTGAGCCACTGCGCCCGGCCAGTTTTTCAATCTATAACAATGAATTTGTTTTTATTAAATCAACTCTATAGTCCTTAGAAAAGTTAGGAGGGAATTATGGAAAAGCTTAGAAAATATGACTAGCATGTCAACTTGGAAGACATACTTAGAAAGGCTTTGCTACTTAGTCACCAAAATATGTAACAAACAAGAAAGAAAGAACCCTGTCAACACTTAATATGCTCTTCTTTTCAAATACATCCCCCTAGAGCTATCATTAATTCTACCCGCTCTACACAACAGCAGGCTGACAAAAACAATCATCTGACTTGAGAAGATAAAAATGGAGTTTCCCCACCAACCTTCCAAGTTCTATGAAAACCAAGTCCAGAAGAGAGGCTGAGTTTGTTTATGTTCTTTGGTCATGCTGTCTGAATATTCAGAAGTTAATAATTAGCTAGAATTTGTTAAGTACATACTATGTGCCAAATAATGTGTTAGATATTTTACATTCCTGTTGATAAGAATCTTAGGAGTAAGAACTGTTGTTATCCTATTTGACAGATGAGAAGACTAAAGTATTAAAAGGTCAAGTAAGTGGTCAGGT
This sequence comes from Homo sapiens, assembly GCF_000001405.40. Taxonomy (NCBI): domain Eukaryota; kingdom Metazoa; phylum Chordata; class Mammalia; order Primates; family Hominidae; genus Homo; species Homo sapiens. The sequence goes on along the minus strand of NC_000010.11, from coordinate 22,760,147 downwards.
CTGTCTGACTCCAGACCCTGTAAGCTCAATCACTGCATTATGCAGCTTCTTTTGATCCTAGGTATACTGAATAATGTTTTTCACCATATACTTGCAACATTTGATGTCAATTTTTTTTATGTTTTAGACAGGGTCTCACTCTGTTACCCAGGCTGGAGTGCAGCAGTGCCATCACCACTCACTGCGGCCTCAACTTCCCAGGCTCAAGTGATCCTCCCACCTCAGTCTCTCGAATAGCTGGGACTACAGGCACATGCCACCATGCCCACCTAGTTTTTTTGTATTTTTAGGAGAGATAAGATCTCGCCATATTGCCCAGGCTGGTCATGAACTCCTGGGCTCAAGTGATTAGTCTGCCTTGGCCTCCCAAAGTCCTGGGACTACAGGTATAAGCCACTGCGCCCAGCCCCAACATTAATAATTTTGAATTATTTTTTTAACTGGCAAATCCATATTCTAAAAAACATTTCCAGATTTACTAAATGTCCTTTCCTAGAAGACCTGTCATTGTGAAATGAAGTTTTCCTACTTTCGGGGATTAAAATGTCCTTCTGAAAAATGAAATAAAAGTGTTGGTAGATTATATATTTTCCCTCTTTTTTTTTTTTTTTTTTTTGAGACAGAGTCTTGGCTCCTGTTGCCCAGGCTGGAGTGCAACGGCACGAACTCACCTCACTGTGACCTCCGCCTCCTGGGTTCAAACGATTCTCCTGCCTCAGCCTCCTGAGTAGCTGGGATTAGAGGCATGTGCCACCATGCCTGGCTAATTTTGTATTTTTAGTAGAGACAGGGTTTCTCCATGTTGGTCAGGCTGGGCTCGAACTCCTGACCTCAGGTGATCCACCCGCCTCAGCCTCCCAAAGTGCTGGGATTACAAGCGTGAGCCACTGCTCCCGGCCCTATTTTCCCTCTTTTTAAAGAACAAAACTAAACTAAAAAAAAAAAAAAAAAAAAAAAAAGGATGGATCTTGCCAATTTTTTTCTTTTAATTGATGGACTATGAAATTCACACATCTGAGCACATTACATCATACTTTGCATAATGGTTTAATGTTTGCAAACAACCATTAGTTGTTGAGACCGGAGATCTCGCCTCGGCATCATCGCTGTTTTCTGGAATCACAGGAACACAGTCAGTCGTCTTATTAAAATACATGCTTATAATTTGATGTGAAAAAACAGCATGAAGAAAAGGTATTTTGAAAGCAATTAGGGAAATTAATTATGGACTGACTCTTACATGATGCCAAGGAATTATTGTTAATTGATTAGGTATTGTTGTTAGTTTTTAAAGTCCACGTTTTTTAGAGATGGATATTGATATAAGTCGAGGTAAAATTATACATCTGGCACTCGCTTAAAAATTCTTCAGCAAACTTAAAAAAGTAAAAGAAAAGAGAGATGAAGCAAATATGTCAGTCTTAATAATTTTTTAATCTGAGTGATGGGAAGAATGAATTACAGTCATCCCTCAGTACTCTCGGGGAATTAGTTCCAGGATCAACCCTCACCCCCACCCCCTCCCCACAGCCCACTCCCCCATGCCAAAATTCAAAGATGCTCAAGTCCCTAATATAAAATGGGGTAGTATTTGTGTATAACCTGAACACATCTTCCCATATACTTTTAATCATGTGTAGATTACTTATAATACCTAGAACAACGTAAGTGCTATGTAAATAATTACTATACGGTATTGTTGAGGGAATAATGGCAAGAAAACAAGTCTGTATGTGCTCAGTACAGATGGAACCATCCTGTTAGTTTTCTCAAATATCTTCAACCAGTGGTTGGTTGAATCCACAAATTTGCAACCCATGGATACAGAGGGCCAACTATACTACATTTGAAATTATAGTACATGACATTCTTCATAATAAAGATATATATGATCATATGTAATATTGAAATCTTGTCATCAAAATTTTTTTCCACTATTAACTATGTGGACTTGAGCAGTGTTCTCTTCTGTAAATGGGGTGAGGATATCTAATTTGCATATTGTTGGGAGATCACATGAGATGCCTGCCCCAAAAGATATTCAATCATTGTTGGTGCCCTTCTCCCCAACTTTTCTTCTTCTCTCACATGTTCTAGACAAATTCAGAATTACAAAATGATATTTAGGCAGTAGCTATTCACATTTTCCTAAATGAGTTACCATAGACTTTTTTTTTTTTTATTGAGACGGAGTCTTGCTCTGTCACCCAGGCTAGAGTGCAGTGGCGCGATCTCGGCTCACTGCAAGCTCTGCCTCCCAGGTTCACGCCATTCTCCTGCCTCAGCCTCCCAAGTAGCTGGGACTACAGGTGCCCGCCACCATGCCCGGCTAATTTTTTGTACTTTTAGTAGAGACGGGGTTTCACCATGTTAGCCAGGATGGTCTCAATCTCCCGACCTTGTGATCTGCCCACCTCAGCCCACAGATTCTTTAAAAGAACAAATTTCTCTAGTGCACCTATATGATTCAATTTATAACAATAAAACACAAAGGCAACTTTTCAGACACAGAATTTGTGTGAAGTGAGATGTAGTTGGAAGAGGAAATGATAGTCATTAGAGACAGTGGCTATAAAAGTGTTGCATGGCAATTAAATTTTTAGAAAATTCTGCATCCTTTTAATATTCTATTTTATTAAGTTTTTGATAAGAAGTATATTTCACTAATTAACATGTTTATGCAACTAGAATACAGCTTATATAGCACCAGCAAAGTCCTTCGATCTACATCACAATTCAATTGCTTACATTTCTCAACTTCACACAATTTAACGGAAATCTTTTGAAACTGTGATGCTGAAAATTCAGCAACTTTTTGTTAGCCAACAAAAAATTAGGTTTCTCTATTAGTATAAATAATTATGTAATAATTTTCATGGGCATATTCACGCTTTTTATTGGTATAATGTGGTATAGTTCTTAATCAATAAGAAAGAATTATGTCTAAATTACAGAAAGAATCTTTGAAGAGTTTGATTAATCACAGCTACAAAGAACACTTTTATAAAAATACTGGTCCAGAAAGCAGATTATTCTAACTCATTCCTCAGATCACCCTAGTATTGCTTATTGAGTATCAGTGTGGTGCTACACAAGGCACTCATTTTTGAAACTTTTGCAGAAGAGCAAATGCATTCACTATGCTTTGCCACATGGTTATTTCAAAATTTCAATTAAGAACAAACATTCATCATTTTCCCTAGCAAGCTCCTATGCCCAGACCGTTTGAAAGGGCAGGAGAACAATTTAATAAGTTAAATCCTGTCAAAAATAACCTATCAAGCAGATGACAAAAGGAACCTTTGCTTTGAAGCTTGAAAAAAAATTGCATTTCACTATGAAAAATCGCCTGTCTTTAGGATCTGTTTCATGTTTCTTCAAACGATTCATATCAACCTTCCCACAGAGCAAGATTTGAGATGAAGTTATGTAATTTATTGTCATGCTTTAAACATATTATATTTATTTGTCCCTTTGATAGCTTTTTTTCTCTTAGGTCCTTGGAGGCAGTGAGATTACTGTGAATTGACTCTTCCTGTGGTTAATGGAAAAAGTGGCAGGATTTGCTGAAAGTGAGGAAGGTAAGGAGTACAACAGAAGAGATGGAATGAAGAAAAAAAAAAGGTAATGTTGCAGAATGAAAGTTTTGTTAGTGTAAGAGTTGAAATCTGAAGGATTTTCATTCTGGACCTAAAAATAGAAGATCAACCCATAGGTAAATATCACAAATACCATTGGGGTGGAGACTTTGCCTCTAGTGTAGCTTCACCACCAAGTCCAATAGTCTGTATTGTGCAAAGAAGGGAGGAGGCCGGGCAAGGTGGCTCATGCCTGTAATCCCAGGACTTTGGGAGGCCAAGGTGGGAGGATCACCTGAGGTCAAGAGTTCGAGACCAGCTGGCCAACATGGCGAAACCCCATCTCTACTAAAAATATAAAAATTAGCTGGGTGTGGTGCTGCACACCTGTAATCCTGGCTACTCAGGAGGCTGAGGCAGGAGAATCACTTGAATCCAGGAGGTGGAGGTTGCAGTGAGCCAAGATCGTGCCACTGTACTCCAGCCTGGGCAACAGCAAGACCCCATCGAAAAAAAAAAAAAAAGAGAAGGGAGGAGAAGTTCTTGGGTGTCTCTGAGGTGCCCTGATCTGCAGTGGGTAGGCCCTTTACATATTTATCTTGTGTCATCCTCATGACAACTCCATGAAGTAGATGCCCTTTCCCAATATACAGATCAGGAAACTGACACTCAATGAAATTACAGAATAGATTGCAAGTAACCTTTGCCACAGAGCTGAACTCTAGTCTGTTAATTCTAAAGCTCACAATTCTACAACAGAAGTCATCTTGTGTTAATATGAAAATCTGTTCTGTCTGTGGCCTGCCTTTTACTCAGTTATGGTCCCAAATCCATCAACAGCATATAATGGAATGTGATGTGAGAAGATCCTGTCAATGGAAGTCTTTTAAGCCATAAATGAAAGAAAATCAATGAGGAAATGCATCCAAAATAGGACACAGACAAAAATCAGCAACCTCGGTGAGTTGGTTAAATGACACATTGATCATCCAAATTAATGGTTCTTTACCTTTGTTTGAATTATGGGACCCTTTGAGATTCTGATGACAGCTATGAAACTAGACATTTATACAACCTTTCAGAGGGCTGAAGAACCACCACTTCAGTGTATTTAAAAATAATATTGTTTAAACTCAATATTTTTCAAGTGTAAAATGTATTTAAATATGAAAATGTTTAGGTAGGGCGGGCATCTGTAATCCCAGCACTTTGGGAGACCAACGTGGGGAGATCACTTGAGGCCAGGAGTTTGAGACCAGCTTGCGTAACATAGTGAGATCCCATATTCACAAAAATTACTGAAACTAGCCAGGTGTGGTGGCATATGCCTGGAGTTCCAACTACTCAGGAGGCTGAAGCAGGAGGATTTCTTGAGACCAGGAATTCAAGGTTACAGTGAGCTAGGATCGCACCACTGCACTTCAGCCTGAGTGACAGAGCAAGACCCTGACTCTTTATTTTAAAAAAAAAAGTTATGCATATAAATGAAGGACTTTTTGGATACCTTTATATACTCTGCAAACATAAATTATCTGAAGCTTGACCACTGCGATGACACAACTTTTTAAATTTTAATTTAATTCTTAATGATTTTAGAGATGAGGTCTTTCTACGTTCCCCAGGCTGCCCTCAAGCTCCTGGGATCAAGCCATCCTCCACCTCAGCCTCCCAAGACCCTGGGTCTACAGGTACGCACCACCACACTGGCTTGTGATGACGTAACTTTTGAATGAACCGATCAATGTTAAGGGTTACTACTAGGGGCCTTGGATCAGAAATCCATCCATCTTCAAGAAGCCACATTAGAAGGGAACCATTTAAGAAGGATGTTGCTGGCATGTAAAACCAATAGCAGTACCCTACTCCTCGCAGTTCTAGAGGAATAGAACCGAGCATGAATGCTAATTCAGTTGATAATTTCATTTTCGCCCATTATATAAAGTTACATCCTATTATTTCATGTAAATTGATGCATGATGGGGCAGGGCAGGCCCAAGGGCCAGAGCCTGAGGGACCCCAGGGCCTGGATGCCCCAGCCAGCCTCCTCCTAAAGGGGAAGTTGTAAGAGGAATAGGATGACCTCTCACCACCACTTCCCTTCCCCAAAAAAGTGAGAAGCATGGAGAAAGGCACAGGAGAAAAGTGAGGCAGCAGAGAGAGACAACAAGACAGCCCACACGAGAATGAAGGACAAAGGTGGTGGTGAAGCAGATGAAGCACTTTAACCAGCCTCCCAAGCATGGCGCACTCTTAAGTTAGAAATGCTCTGCAAGACATAGCATGAAAACACACTTCGGGGAAAATGAAACTGATAAGTTACATTCCTTTACTTTCCTGCCTCATTATTAATTAGTTTCCCACATTTTTATACAAAGTGTTTATTAGTTAATGTTACAGACCCAGCAAGGGGGTTTCTATGGTTGGCTCTGCTGCCAATTTGCTCTGAAAACTCAAGAACTTCTATCTGGCATGCGGTTGAGTCCAGAAGAGTGGACTAATGAGACTCTTCCAGTTTTCCTAATGCTCTAAGAGTCTGTAATGCACTGCAAATACACGTGGAAAATTATCTATTGGTACAACACAGGAAACAGGAAACTTCTGCACCCAGTTAAGATGAAGGATATTCCCCGTCCTCCCTGCCTGAAGTAAAGGGATAAATAAAAGTTTGTCTTCCTGGAGAAAACAAACTGGATGTTTGAATGGATCATTTTTCCCCTTCTAAACTAGAAATTAAAACCTTGAGACATGGTGAAATATAGACAATTTATCAAAGTAAGCAGTTTATTCCTTGGACTGCCCTAACTCTCTTGCTGCCCCTCTGTGCCAACTTGGGAGCCTCACGTGATGTATCCTTCTCTCCAGTTCTCTCTGCCCCCCACCAAAGCATGGCTACTACTTGGCAGGCTCAGCATTCCTTGGCTTTTGAATTGCCTCACATCTTAAAATTCTTCCATACCCCAAGCAAACTTGGCAGCTTTTATTTCTTTCAGGTGCTTTAAGAAAAGCAACTTTATTGAGCCTTACACTAAGATATAAATGACTAATAATCCTTGAACATCCCAAAGATATTTGCACTTTTAATAACATCTTCAGAGAGAGAGTGAGATTTTTAATTGGTAGGAAGTTGAGGAAAGTAAAATGAAATTTTAAAAGAAAAAAAAATTCCTTTAGGTTGAGAGAGATCTGAACGCATGGACAGACCAGGTCTCCTGAAGTCAGATTCTTACACTGTTTTTGCACAATTTCTTTCCTTCCTCCTGTTCTGAATCCAGGGAAACTAAATATTCCTTCCTCACCCCTTCCTGCTGGCATGACAGCTTTTATGGAAATTACTGAGGCTCTAGCAGTTGAGAGAAGGGATAAACATTTGTAATTTTATCAGTTATTTATAAGTCTGTTTTTATAAGTCAGGAAATGTGTATATTGATAAAATTTCTAAAATCCCCAACTAAAATGGTGACAAATAAACTCCTTTCTCAAATATCAAGTGAATGTTTAAAAATCAAATCAATAAATGGAAAACATGCTTCTTTGAACCATTTTGCTCTTACATTGTTTCTGATCTTCTGAAAAGGCCAAAGTGGGAGGGAAAGAAAATACAAAAAGTAAAAGAGATTCTTAATATCCACTTACTTAAGAACTGACAAGCACATGATTTGGGAGATTACCAGAAACTGCAATGTTTTCATGTTCTTTTGAGCTTTTCAAAATGTGATTTTGAAGAAATTAAAACAAGAACTGCAATTTTCCAGAAATTGCTCAATATTGGAGAAATATATATATATACACATATACATGCACATACATACACACATAAATATGGAAATTACCTAAGTGTATATGAATTTATGTATATATGCATGTGTATATGCATGTATACATACATATGTCTATGTGTGTACATAGGTACACATGCACACATAGTTGGATTTTTTCTAAATCCGTATACTTTATCATCCAACTTACTCACTCATGATAATTGAGAAGATCATTTTGTAATCCTTTGCATTGGAATATTAGCATTTTTATACTACTGGTCACAGAAGATCAAAAACAGCAAATATGGTTAACCTTGGGCTGAAACTGAAAGTTACAGCTTTTGTCCTGTACCATGCAGTTCTGTTAACACCAAAACTTTTAAACTATTATGTAAATAACTTCCAAAAGAAATAAAATATGCAGTTACTCTCTCTCATGGCTGAATTTGAGATCTGGGTTAACAAAGGTTATTTCTATTATACGCCATGGCAACAATAACCAAAATACCAAACACATATTCTTCCAAATATCTAGAATCATCCTAATCTAAACTATTAAAGGGTCTTCCTTTACTGGCTCAGCAAAAGCTCCCTAGACAGGAAACTGTTTTGGTGGTAGAGACCCCATCAAAGACTTGAAAGAAGACTATATAATCTTTCCTTAACAGTCGTTTTTTTTTCCGGGCATCTTCCTCACTGTTGGAAGCTACCTTAAGGAGATTTAGGAAATTATTAATAGTAGGCAAAAATCAACAAAATGGGAAAGGGAAATAGAAACATCCCAGTGCTTCCCTTTGCCTAGGAAAAGCTGTACTTCTCCAGTGATGTGACCTTCCCCCTGCCATTGGGCCAGATCACCATTCAGTGAATATGCCGTCTTCTCTCCAACAGTCATGTGCTCTGAAACTCCGTCTGTCAGTACCAGGAAGATGTATGTTTTCTCTGTACAATTCAACCACAGGTTGAATCAAGGGAAGAAGGGTTGGGTAGTAGAAAGAGTCTGGAGTCAGATATCGCTGAATTCCAATCCTACTTTTGCCAATCATTAGGTGTGTGGCCAAGGGTACATTTCTGAGCCTCCATTTTCTCATCTGTGTAATGAAAATAATATAGCCTGTCTCATAAGTTGTTGGTGTGTTATTTATGTGATGCACCTAGCATACAGCAGTAAGGGTGGCTGTGGACCTTACTAGAGTGGCCATAATATAATGACCCAAGAGCTCCAATCTACCCTAGTCTGCTCTTTATAATCTGGGAGGATTTTATGGTTTTTGTGCATTAAGACTGTTCTTCTGGGTGAAGTGTCATATGACAGAATAACTGAGATGCCTTTTATAAGCTCTTCAGACAGGTAGGATTCTAGAATAGAAATGGGACAATGTAATAATTGAGTTTGAACTTTTACCTAATAAGTTAACATTTTTAAACATTAGCAAAGCGATTTGGTGAAAACAGTATGGAATTTGTTCCCTCTTCATTGTCTCCCATTAGGAGCCCCCGGATTAAGCCCAGTTCCTCCACTTATTAACTACATGGCCTTGAACAAGTTCACTTACATCTTGAAACTTCAGTTTCCTCATATGTAAAAATATCTTACTCATCTCTCAGGGCTGTAGTGAGCATTAAAATAACATAATGCATATAAAAGAGCTATGTAAGCTCTACAGTTCTAGACAAATATGATCATATTTGTTATGAAGATTGAAGTCATTCAGCGACAGTATTCAAACCTTGCTATAGAATGACGAATCACAGTATTTAATATAAGGCAGATCTTTCTCAGAGCTCAAAAATAATTTACATAATGAAATCTCTCATTGGCTTCACTTTAAGGGGACATGGATATGGATAAAGACTAAACATTATTATATTATATTATATTATATTATATTATATTATATTATATTATATTATATTATATTGGAAGGCTCCAAGCTTTCATGTTTTCCATGCCATGGGACAGAAGTCTTTTTCATATTTGTACTTTTAAAATAATTAATACAAGCCCAATGATGAACACACTGAATATGATTGTTAGTTAAAATGATTGCCTTTTAAAAAACGTTTTCTGTCTTATTTCAAAAAACCTATATTTATGTTATGTGTGTGACTCTCACTACGAACCTAAAATGTGAAAGGCCTTTTCATGCGTGACATGGTATTTTTGGTTACAGCTTTTCTTTTTAATATACTGTATATCAATGTATAGAGAAAAATTATCAGCTATAGAACTTACAAAAGTGTTATCTAAACTTTATTTGTTTCATGTCTTTTTCCTTCAAGAATATGCCACAAATATTTCCATGTCTTCAAAATGACATTTTAAGAGGTTTCTAATATTCCATTGAGGACACACATCCTATTATTTATTCAACCTAGCCTTTATGTGAGATGGTTTTTGTCTCCATTTCTTTCTGTTTCGAACAGAGATGTCAAGAACATTTTTGCAGCTATATCTTTCTACATATCCCTGATTATTTCCTTGAATAAACTGCTAAAAGGGAAATTACTCATTCAAGTGGTATGTGAAATAATAAGAATTCTGATAAATTTTGCTAAATTTCCCTTCATATGATATGCCAACTGATGCTCACACCAGTATTTTGTTAGTACCTATTTCTTCCTATTATCTATTAAATATTTATTGAAGGGTGCTTTAGAAACGTAAACAGAAGAAAATTAAAGCCTCCATAATCTCACTATGTGACCAACCATTGTTAACATTTTTTGTATCTATTAAAATATATTTTAAATATTTATAAATATTTATTTTATAATGTGTATTTTAAAAAATTATTTGGTGAAATATCTTTCTTATTACTTTGTAAAAGCTCTTACATGAAACATATATTGCAATTTTTTTCCTTTTTTTTATCCTTTAATTTTTGTTTCTGGGATATTTTGGTGTGCATTATGTTTTTATGTTCATTATTCAAATCTATCCTTTTAAGACTTTTGAAGGGAGGGATAAAAGAGATTTGTTAATGGATACAAAATTGCAGCTAGACAGAAGGAATCAGTTCTTGTGGTCTACAGCACTTTAGGGTTACTGTAGTTAACAATAACATATTGCAGTTTCAATATAGCTAGAAGGACATTAAATGGTCCTAATGTAAAGAAATGATAAATGTTTGGATGATGGTTATGCAAATTACCCTGATGTGATCACTACACATTAGATGTAGTGAAATTTCGCTATGTATTCCATACATATGGACAATTATTATTAGTCAATTAAAAAATAAAATTTTAAAAAGAATTTTACCTGTTGTGTCATGCATGAAAAGGCCTTTCACATTTGATAAAATTTTCATTTTTGCTAATCTCTTTTTACATTTAGCTCCTTAATCTACTTGGAAGCAATTTGGCATCTAGTGCAAGGCTGAGAATCCTTTTGTTTCTTAAAGAGCTAATCAATATCCATAACACAATGATTTTCTTTTAATTATCCTTTCATGCTCAATGGGAAGTTCATATTCCTTGGACTTTTATGCAATCTTACTCTGTTCAGTTTCGCTCTCTTAGTAAAGGACCAATAAATACCACACCGTTTAAATTATTTTAGCTTCATCATAAAATTGAAGATAGAAGCACAGCAAATTCTGCTTTGTTATTTCTCTACGAGAATGCTCTTGGTTTTGCTAGAATGCTTATATTACCAAAACAACAATTGCCTTTAAAAATATTTTGACAGGGTGTTTAGACTTTTATCAGGTCATGCTTAAAGAAGATTTTTGTTTGTTTGTTTGTTTTTTGTTTTTTTTAATTATACTTTACGTTTTACAGTACATGTTCACAATGTGCAGGTTAGTTACATATGTATACATGTGCCATGTTGGTGCGCTGCACCCAGTAACTCGTCATTTAACATTAGGTATATCTCCAAATGCTATCCCTCCCCCCTTCCCCCACCCCACAACAGTCCCCGGTGTGTGATGTTCCCCTTCCTGTATCCATGTGTTCTCATTGCTCAATTCCCACCTATGAGTGAGAACATGTGGTGTTTGGTTTTTTGTTCTTGTGATAGTTTGCTGAGAATGATGGTTTCCAGCTTCATCCATGTCCCTACAAAGGACATGAACTCATCATTTTTTATGGCTGCATAGTATTCCATGGTGTATATGTGCCACATTTTCTTAATCCAGCCTATCATTGTTGGACATTTGGGTTGGCTCCAAGTCTTTGCTATTGTGAATAGTGCCGCAATAAACATACGTGAGCATGTGTCTTTATAGCAGCATGATTTATAATCCTCTGGGTATATACCTAGTAATGGGATGGCTGGGTCAAATGGTATTTCTAGTTCTAGATCCCTGAGGAATCACCACACTGACTTCCACAATGGTTGAACTAGTTTACAGTCCCACCGGCAGTGTAAAAGTGTTCCTATTTCTGTACATCCTCTCCAGCACCTGTTGTTTCCTGACTTTTTAATGATCACCATTCTAACTGGTGTGAGATGGTATCTCATTGTGGTTTTGATTAGCATTTCTCTGATGGCCAGTGATGTTGAGCATTTTTTCATTTGTCTTTTGGCTGCATCAATGTCTTCTTTTGAGAAGTGTCTGTTCATATCCTTTGCCCACTTTTTGATGGGGTTGTTTGTTTTTTTCTTGTAAATGTGTTTGAGTTCATTGTAGATTCTGGATATTAGCCCTTTGTCAGATGAGTAGATTGCAAAAATTTTCTCCCTTTCTGTAGGTTGCCTGTTCACCCTGATGGTGGTTTCTTTTGCTGTGCAGAAGCTCTTTAGTTTAATGAGATCCCATTTGTCAATTTTGGCTTTTGTTGCCATTGCTTTTGGTGTTTTAGACATGAAGTCCTTGCCCATGCCTATGTCCTGAATGGTATTGCCTAGGTTTTCTTCTAGGGTTTTTATGGTTTTATGTCTAACATTGAAGTCTTTAATCCATCTTGAATTAATTTTTGTATCAGGTGTAAGGAAGGGATCCAGTTTCAGCTTTCTACATATGGCTAGCCAGTTTTCCCAGCACCATTTATTAAATAGGGGATCCTTTCCCCATTTCTTGTTTTTGTCAGGTCAAAGATCAGATGGTTGTAGATATGAGGCATTATTTCTGAGGGCTCTGTTCTGTTCCATTGGTCTATATCTGTGTTTTGGTACCAGTACCATGCTGTTTTGGTTACTGTAGCCTTGTAGTATAGTTTGAAGTCAGGTAGCGTGATGCCTCCAGCTTTGTTCTTTTGGCTTAGGATTGACTTGGCAATGTGGGCTCTTTTTTGATTCCATATGAACTTTAAAGTAGTTTTTTCCAATTCTGTGAAGAAAGTCATTGGTAGCTTGATGGGGATGGCATAGAATCTATAAATTACCTTGGACAGTATGACCATTTTCACGATATTGATTCTTCCCACCCATGAGCATGGAATGTTCTTCCATTTGTTTGTATCCTCTTTTATTTCATTGAGCAGTGGTTTGTAGTTCTCCTTGAAGAGGTCCTTCACATCCCTTGTAAGTTGGATTCCTAGATATTTTATTCTCTTTGAAGCAATTGTGAATGGGAGTTCACTCATGATTTGGCTCTCTGTTTGTCTGTTATTGGTGTATAAGAATGCTTGTGATTTTTGCACATTGATTTTGTATCCTGAGACTTTGCTGAAGTTGCCTATCTGCTTAAGGAGATTTTGGGCTGAGAAGATAGGGTTTTCTAGATATACAATCATGTCATCTGCAAACAGGGACAATTTGACTTCCTCTTTTCCTCATTGAATACCCTTTATTTCCTTCTCCTGCCTAATTGCCCTGGCCAGAACTTCCAACAGTATGTTGAATAGGAGTGGTGAGAGAGGGCATCCCTGTCTTGTGCCAGTTTTCAAAGGGAATGCTTCCAGTTTTTGCCCATTCAGTATGATATTGGCTGTGGGTTTGTCATAGATAGCTCTTATTATTTTGAGATACATCGCATCAGTACCTAATTTATTGAGAGTTTTTAGCATGAAGCGTTGTTGAATTTTGTCAAAGGCCTTTTCTGCATCTATTGAGATAATCATGTGGTTTTTGTCATTGGTTCTGTTTATATGCTGGATTATGTTTATTGATTTTTGTATGTTGAACCAGCCTTGCATCCCAGGGATGAAGCCCAATTGATCATGGTGGATAAGCTTTTTGATGTGCTGCTGGATTCAGTTTGCCAGTATTTTATTGAGGATTTTTCCATCGGTGTTCATCAGGGATATTGGTCTAAAATTGTCTTCTTTTGTTGTGTCTCTGCCAGGCTGTGGTATCAGGATGATGCTGGCCTCATAAAATGAGTTAGGGAGGATTCCCTCTTTTTCTGTTGATTGGAATAGTTTCAGAAGGAATGGTACCAGCTCCTCCTTGTACCTCTAGGAGAATTCGGCTGTGAATCCATCTGGTCCTGGACTTTTTTTGGTTGGTAAGCTATTAATTATTGCCTCAATTTCAGAGCCTGTTATTGGCCTATTCAGAGATTCAACTTCTTCCTGGTTTAGTCTTGGGAGGGTGTATGTGTCCAGGAATTTATCCATTTCTTCTAGATTTTCTAGTTTATTTGCATAGAGGTGTTTATAGTATTCTCTGATGGTAGTTTGTATTTCTGTGGGATCAATGGTAATATCCGCTTTATCATTTTTTATTGCATCTATTTGATTCTTCTCTCTTTTCTTTTTTATTAGTCTTGCTAGCGGTCTATCAATTTTGTTGATCTTTTCAAAAAACCAGCTCCTGGATTCATTGATTTTTTGAAGGGTTTTTTGTGTCTCTATTTCCTTCAGTTCTGCTCTGATCTTAGTTATTTCTTGCCTTCTGCTAGCTTTTGAATGTGTTTGCTCTTGCTTCTCTAGTTCTTTTAATTGTGACATTAGGGTGTCAATTTTAGATCTTTCCGGCTTTCTCTTGTGGGTATTTAGTGCTATAAATTTCCCTCTACACACTGCTTTGAATGCGTCCCACAGATTCTGGTATGTTGTGTCTTTGTTCTCATTGGTTTCAAAGAACATCTTTATTTCTGCCTTTATTTCGTTATGTACCCAGTAGTCATTCAGGAGCAGGTTGTTCAGTTTCCATGTAGTTGAGTGGTTTTGAGTGAGTTTCTTAATCTGAGTTCTAGTTTGATTGCACTGTGGTCTGAGAGACAGTTTGTTATAATTTCTGTTCTTTTACATTTGCTGAGGGGTGCTTTACTTCCAACTATGTGGTCAATTTTGGAATAAGTGCGGTGTGGTGCTGAGAAGAATGTATATTCTGTTGATTTGGGGTGGAGAGTTCTGTAGATGTCTATTAGGTCCACTTGGTGCAGAGCTGAGTTCAATTCCTGGATATCCTTGTTAACTTTCTGTCTCGTTGATCTGTCTAATGTTGACAGTGGGGTGTTAAAGTCTCCCATTATTATTGTGTGGGATTCTAAGTCTCTTTCTAGGTCTCTAAGGACTTGCTTTATGAATCTGGGTGCTCCTATATTGGGTGCATATATATTTAGGATAGTTAGCTCTTCTTGTTGAATTGACCTCTTAACCATTATTTAATGGCCTTCTTTGTCTCTTTTGATCTTTGTTGGTTTAAAGTCTGTTTTATCAGAGACTAGGATTGTAACACCTGCCTTTTTTTTTGTTTTCCATTTGCTTGGTAGATCTTCCTCCATCCCTTTATTTTGAGACTATGTGTGTCTCTGCACATGAGATGGGTTTCCTGAATACAGCACACTGATGGGTCTTGACTCTTTATCCAATTTGCCAGTCTGTGCATTTTAGTGGGAACATTTAGCCCATTTACATTTAAGGTTAATATTGTTATGTGTGAATTTGATCCTGTTATTATGATGTTAGCTGGTTATTTTGCTCGTTAGTTGATGCAGTTTCTTCCTAGCCTCGATGGCCTTTACAATTTGGCATGTTTTTGCAGTGGCTGGTACCAGTTGTTCCTTTCCATGTTTAGTGCTTCCTTCAGGAGCTCCTTTAGGGCAGGCCTGGTGGTGACAAAATCTCTCATTTTGTCAAGCATTTGCTTGTCTGTAAAGTATTTTATTTCTCTTTCACTTATGAAGCTTAGTTTGGCTGAATATGAAATTATAGGTTGAAAATTCTTTTCTTTAAGAATGTTGAATATCGGCCCCCACTCTCTTCTGGCTTGTAGAGTTTCTGCCGAGAGATCAGTTGTTAGTCTGATGGGCTTCCCTTTGTGGGTAACCCAACCTTTCTCTCTGGCTGCCCTTAACATTTTTTCATTCATTTCAACTTTGGTGAATCTGACAATTATGTGTCTTGGAGTTGCTCTTCTCGAGGAGTATCTTTGTGGCGTTCTCTGTATTTCCTGAATTTGAATGTTGGCCTGCCTTGCTAGATTGGGGAAGTTCTCCTGGATAATATCCTGCAGAGTGTTTTCCAGCTTGGTTCCATTCCATGGCCACACACTAAGCCTCTTAAGGTCTACATTCAGAACTGACAGACTGAATATCACTTCTCCTGCATTCTATTGGCTAAAGTAAGTCACAAAGTCAGCCCAAATGTAAAAGATCATGAAAAAGATTCTCCTGATGGCAAGAGTCACAGAGTCACCTTGTAAAAGGACGGAAAGAGTCAGGACAAGTTTCACAATCAATCTACCACATTATCTTTCAGATATTGGCTCAGGATAAGATACCTCAGAGAAGCCTCTCACAAGCTACTTGCCTAGACTACATTGCCCCATTATGCCCATTATGGACTCACTCTGTGAACCACTTCTTCATGGCCCTTGGTGCAGTTGGAATGTCATGTGTGTTTCTGTGATTATTTGCTTAAGCTCAAATCCTCCCTTCCATACACCTCTTCCCCCAAGACTTAGAGGTCAACTAAAGGCCAATGTCCCCTTTTCCAGCACCTGGCACAGAGTAAGTAGTAATCCACGAATATTTGTTAAAGAATGATTTCACTTCCCATTGTGTTATTTTGAGAATATACTTTCTGTTCCCTGATACAATGCTTTAATTAAGAAAGTAAAAAAAGAAGACCTTTTGCTTTTTGGGATGAGGCAGCGAGAGGATATTGAGTCCTGTGCACAGCAGAAACCCCAAGGGATAAAGTGATGATCATTGCCTCTTTGGGACCTGTGGCAAGGAAAAAACTGCATGGGTTGGCCACTGGGGGCTGGAAAGTAGCTTTAGGACTTAAAATACAGAGACTCGTGTGGGGTCTTCTCAGGAATTGAGACCCATGAAAGCAAAATTAAAAAAAAAATCATCAGGTTATTAGAAAAAAATAATGCGTTTCATTGTAGATTTGTTGAGTTTGAGGAACATTCATGAATCTAACACTTGGAAAAGAGCTGGAGATTTGACAAGGAGGTCTTAGTTCTCACATTGCTATAAAGAAATACCTGAGACTGGGTAATGTATAAAAAAAAGAGACTTAATTAGTTCACAGTTCCTCAGGCTGTATAGGAAGCATGGTGGCATCTGCTTGGCTTCTGGGGAGGCTTCAGGAAACTTCCAATCATGGGAGAAGGCAAAGGGGTAGTTGGCATGTCTTGTGGCTGGAGCAGGAGAAAGCTGGGTGGTGGGAGCTGCTACACACTACACAACTAGATGTCATGAGAACTCACTGACTATACAGTACCAAGGGGGGATAGTGCCAAACCATTCATGAGAACTCTGACCCCATGATCCAATCACTTTTCACCAGGTCCTACTTCCAACATTAGGGATTACAATTCAACATGAGATTTGGGTGGGGACACAGATCTAAACCCTATGAAACATGTAGAGTTGGGAGTTCACCGAGTATATGCTTAAGAGCAATCTCAACCATAGAAGTAGATGAGAGTGGGCAGAGTAAGAAGAGAAGGCTAAAGATGGAAGCTGAAAGAGAATCACATTTAAGAGGCAAGAGGAACAAGTAGGGCAAGGGGCAGTGAGGACTACCCAGAGGAATGAAAGCAGAAGTAAGAAAGAGCCAGTCTTAGAATTAGAGGAGGGAAGAGTTTCAAGAAGGAGGAAGTAACCCCCAACACCAAACATAGCTAACAGGTCAAAAGATAAGACACAAGAAACACTCAATTCAAAATGACATATGCTGTGAGTGTTATGAATTACTTTTCCTCAAAGGATTATTTGTAATGATGTGTGTATGTCTTAAAATTCTTAAAGTTAATATGGCATAAGTTTCAGGAAGGCAATTTATAAGGCTAAAAATCCAGACACAGTGTCCATTTTGTATTTGAATTTCTACTTTGAATGATTTTTAAGCCCCATTCAGATTCTTGTCCTCTTCCCACAATGCTATTTGGCCTCTCATTTCTATGCATATGTGGAATTGGTTATTTTGGTAATTTTTATTGCCACTCATATCAGTAAAGAATACCAGTATAGGTTAAGTCTAATTTATTCCCGTATTCTACTTAACTAAAATGAAACGTTAACCCCAATTTTTTTAAAGGCTAGAATAGCTAATTAAGCAAATGGGACATGCAAGATCCCTATTACCAACTGAAAATGTTGCTGCCAAACCTGGAACAAATTCATTCATTTGCTAAATAAATGTTGATTATTGAGCTGATCAACTAAAACATGTTTAGAATTACCTCTGGCTTCTGTCTTTCAGAGAATTATACATAAAAGCATTCAAAAGGGAGGAAAAATTAAGCAAGAAAATACTCTATGTACCAAATGTTAAGGATGCCTTTCTCTTCCTCTGTAGTTTTTTTTTTTTTTTTTGGTTTTGTTTTGTTTTGTTTTGTTTTGAGATGGAGTCTTGCTCTGTTGCCCAGGCTGGAGTGCAGTGGCACAATCCCGGCTCACTGTAACCTCCACCTCCTGGGCTCAAGAGATTGTCCAGCCTCAGCCTCCCAAGTAGCTGAGATTACAGGCGTGTGCCACCATGCCTAGCTAATTTTTTTGTATTTTTAGTAGAGATGGGGTTTCACCATGTTGGTCAGGCTGGTCTCAACCTCCTGACCTCAAATGATCCACCAACCTCAGCCTCCCAAAGTGCTGGAATTACAGGCATGAGTCACCGCACCCGACCCCTTTGTAGTTTTCTAATGTTGAGCTAATCATGAGCACAATTGTTTGCCAGTTTCTCTCTTCTTAGTCTTTTAAACAACTATTTTATTAAAAGGATTTCAGATCCGTCATTTCATTTTATTATATTTTTAATTAGAAATGAACTGTAACAAAATAGGAAATGCAGTGAACTAGTCTGACTTCTGCCTATAACCAGGTAGATATAGGTAATTTTTTTCTATAATTTTTATTAATTGAGACTCTAGCTAAAGGTTTGATAGTTCTATTTTGATATATACCCTTTTTTTTTTTTACCATAGGTGTATTCCTTAAAAGAGAATCTGTAAATTTACTGCTGAATGAAACTTAGAGATGTTTTTCTCCAGACCGTCTATGCACAGATGAACAAATGAGCCTTCTGCAGATTAAATAATTTACCTAAAATTACAAAGGTTTAGAGACAAAACTAAGACAAGACCCCAACTCTACAACCTCATGCTCTCCCCTACGAGTAAATACATGAGTGTATTTACAGTAACATGTAAATGAAATTTATTAAATTTAGTGTTATTTTAATCTAATAGGATAATCCATTCCTAAGAAGAATCAATTTCTAAACAAAGAAAGCTTTTTGTAATATTAACAATCTTTGTATGTCACTTTGAGATACTGATTGAGTTGTTTATTTGTTTTACTGAAGCACATCAGAAAAAGATTATATACTATTTGTATTTCACAAAGTCTCTTTGGAGGAAATTCAATATTTATATTCAACCAGAGATTCTGATAACATAATTTAGCAACAAAAATGTTAATGAGAGCTTGGGGTTATGGCAGGTAATACTCCATATCAATGTAATGTTAGTCTTTTTTTTTTTTTGAGACGTAGTCTAGCTTTGTCGTCCAGGCTGGAGTGCAGTGGCATGATCTTGGCTCACTGCGACCTCTGCCTTCAGGGTTCAAGCAATTCTCCTGCCTCAGCCTCCTGAGTAGCTGGGATTACAGGCGCCCACCACCACTCCAAGCTAATTTTTGTGTTTTTGGTAGAGACGGGGTTTCACCATGTTGGTCAGGCTGGTCTTGAACTCCTGACCTCAAGTGATCCACTCACCTCAGCATCCCAAAGTGCTGGAATTACAGGTGTGAGCCACTGCGCCCAGCAAATGTTAGTCTTTTACGACATGAATGGATTGTAAAAATAGAAACAAATGTGTCCCCTCCCTGCATCTACAGCCTTGTGAAGTGACTTCACAGCTTCCCCCATTGGGAGGTAGAGTCTGCTTCTCCACTCTTAATCTGAACTTGACCATATGACTGGCTTTGGCCAATAGGACATTAGCCAACATGACACAAGTAGAGACTTGGAAGGCACTTGTACGTTAGAACCTGCTCTCCTGCAGCTCCTGGGGACTCTTCCACCACCATGTGGAAATGTCAGGCATAGTCTACCAGAAAATGAGAAACTAGGTGATGTGGTCCCAACTGAAACATGAGCTATCCCAGCTGAGCCCCAGCTAGCTCCCATTGTAGCTGGAAGTTGACCACAGACCTGTAAGTGAGCCAAGCCAAGATCAGAATAACTCAAGAGCAAAAGAAATGACTGCTTTTTGAAGCCACTAAGTTGTACGGTGGTTTGTTACACAGCAAAAGCTAACTGATACAGGGAGAGATAACAGAAAAAAACCCTTCAGAGATATATTATTAATGTTTGATAAATGAGGCTAAATGGGAAAAAAAGATTAACTTTCTTATCTAAGATATGAAATTGAAGTATAGTGAAGTCCCACAATTTTCTCAAGGGTCATTTTGTTTTGTTATTTTTTTTTCTTTTTGTGTGTGTGTGTGTGTGTGTGTGTTTTTTGAGACAGAGTCTTACTCTGTTGCCCAGGCTGGAGTGCATTGGCGTGATCTTGGCTCACTGCAAGCTCTGCCTCCCAGGTTGATGCCATTCTCCTGCCTCAGCCTCCCGAGTAGCTGGGACTACAGGGGCTCACCACCATGCCCAGCTAATTTTTTGTATCTTTAGTAGAGACAGGGTCTTACCATGTTAGCCAGGATGGTCTCGATTTCCTGACCTCGTGAACCACCCACCTCAGCCTCCCAAAGTGCTGGGATTACAGGAGTGAGCCACCGTGCCCGGCCTAAGGGTCTTATTTTTAATATAATAAAAATTGGGGGCAAAACATTCTAAATATCTTAAGTACCAGCTATGTTCTAATTACTGTTCTGTAACTGTTCCAGATGACCTGAAATCCTGTGGTTCTATCAGATTATTAAAAGCTGATTTGGATTTTTGTATGTTGATTGCTATCGTAACTAAAAATTCTAGATCATCTAGGCCATAGCCAGTTGCACTGTGAAAGGGTCAAAGAGAATGCTCCCTTAGTTGAGGGAAGATGTTACTACATCTACAGTGACGAAACTTTAGTTTTCATTGTTCTAAAATTACAACGGAAATATGGAGGTTTATCCTTACTGATATTTTGAGTATTTTAGAATCTATATATTCCATTTATCTTTTTATGGAGCTTGGAGATTCTGAGAGACATGTGAAAACCTAAATGTTACTGATTTTCAGTTATTTTAAACAAAATAAGCATTATCAAGAAAGTGAAAAATGTAAACTAGCAAGAATTTAATTGTAGGTTATCTATCTGTAGCAATCATACATTCTACTTTGAATGCTTTTGCATATTGAACTCTCATCCTCTATTGACCACTGAGGGCCATACAACTGTTAAGTAACAATGCGAAATTCCTGGCTATCTCTGTAATTTAGTTAAACAATCAACTAATATTTATGCAGAATCATTAACTTAACTGGGAAAGCAGGTTTCATGATGTTACACACTCTGAGTTGAAGAAAATTGTCCACCTTTGCAATCCTAAAACATTCAACATAGCAATGTAAAAGTGTAGGCAAACAGCACTGGGTGAATATAAACTTTGAAGATGGATTAATTTTTTTTCCACATAGGGTACTATATTAACAAAAAAGGTGCAACATAGTAGCCACTGGATAAGGAGTCAGATTTAGGGTGAGAGGTCACATTGTATTACGTGGGAGTGATTCCAGAAGTGCATGGAACTCAGAGGAAATGAAAACAAAGAGCAAATGCCTGCGTGTCCTGAGTCAGCCATGAGGGTGATTAATAGGGAACTGCATTAGGAATAGTCCTCACAGCTAAGCTCCTTGTTTGTCCTCTTGTTTTATTTAGCACTGGGCAACACTGTCTTTATTTTATTTATTTATTTATTTGTTTGTTTATTTATTTATTTATTTGAGATGGAGCTTCACTCTGTCACCCAGGCTGGAGCGCAGTGGCACTATCTCGGCTCACTGCA
Organism: Homo sapiens; assembly: GCF_000001405.40. Classification (NCBI taxonomy): domain Eukaryota; kingdom Metazoa; phylum Chordata; class Mammalia; order Primates; family Hominidae; genus Homo; species Homo sapiens. The sequence continues at coordinate 22,738,508 of NC_000010.11, read as the reverse complement.
ACCTTCGCCTCCCAGGTTCAAGCAATTCTCCTACCTCAGCCTCCCGAGTAGCTGGGACTACAGGTGCCCACCACCATGCCTGGCTAATTTTCCTATTTTTAGTAGAGACAGAGTTTCACCACGTTGGCCAGGCTGGTCTCAAATTCCTGACCTAAAATGACCCGCCCACCTCAGCCTCACAAAATGCTGGGATTACAGGCATGAGCCACCGTTCCCTGACCAACATTGTCTTTTTTTTTTTTTTTTTTTTGAGACAGAGTCTCACTCTGTCACCCAGGTTGGAGTGCAGTGGTGCAATCTCGGCTCACTGCAACCTCCACCTCCCGGGTTCAAGCTATTCCAGCCTAAGCCTCCCGAGTAGCTGGGATTACAGGCGCGTGCCACCACACCTGGCTAATTTTTGTAGTTTTAGTAGAGATGGGGTTTTGCCATGTTGGCCAGGCTGGTCTCCAACTCCTGACCTCAAGTGATGCACCAGCCTCACTCTCCCAAAGTGCTGGGGTTACAGCTGTGAGCCACCACACCTGGCCACTTTGCAGATATTCTTATCACCCTCTTAGAGCATTTATGTAGGTGAAGAGGCCCAGGATAGCCTCCTTTAAGATGAGAGACCATGTGGAGAGACAAGCCCAGCTAAGAGTCAGCTCCAACAGCCAGACACATGAGTGAGGTTCCAGTCGAGCTCCCATGTGACTGCAGCTGAATGAGTGGTCCCAGCAAGACCAGTGGAAGAAACCTCCAGCTGGGCCCAGCCCAAAGAGCTGACTCACTGAAATATTACACAATAATATGGTAGCTGTTTTAAGCCACTGGGGTTTGGAACAATTTCTTATGCAGCAATATATAACTAATGAATACAACTAAAGTACATTTGAATGGCAAACATAAAACAAATCCAGTGTTGCTGTTTGCAAGAGTTACAAAAAAAAAATACAGGTAATTTGAAAATAAAGGGACAACAACATGCTACCCAAAAAGCAATATTAAAACAGAAAATAAATCGAAAAGGTAAACATTTCAAAAATAAAGATATTTTATACTGGTAAAACGTACATCTTACCAGAAAGGTACAAAAGTCATATACCTTTATACACTTAATGATGTAGTTTCAAAACATGTTAAGTAAAAACTGTTTTACTATGAAAGGACATAGGATAAAACAACTTGGAAGTAAATAAATTTAAAAATAAGTGAAAAATATAGAGGATTACAGTTACACAATTAATAAACCTAATTGAAGAGTTATGTTTTAAGAAAATCTGTGCCAAACATATAGGAAAATGCATTAAGTATTCTTATTTATCTTCATTTTTATGTATTATTCCCAACATAAAAAATACAGAGAATCATATCTCAACATATACCTGCCACTGAGATTTTTTTAAAGGTTAACTTTTTTTGCGTATGTATTTAGATCTTTTGGCTTTTAGAAAATAAAATGCTACAGATACAACAACCTTTATTATCACATTTACCCCTGTCGCTCTCTAAAGGGCACAACTATTCTTATTAAAATGATAAATTTCCCACCCTGTTTTTATACTTTTTTTACATATATGTGTTTCTGTAATTAATATGTAGGTTGATTTTTTTGTTGTTTTTTTGGAGACAGGATCTCTGTCACCCAGGCTGGAGTACAGTGATATCATCTTCACTGCAGCCTTGAGCTCCTGGGCTCAAGGGATCCTCCTGCTTCAGTCCCTCCCGAGGGACTAGAGGCACTCACTACCATGCCTGGCTAATTTTTAAATTTTTTGTAGAGACTGGGTCTCACTATGTTGCCTAGGCTGATCTCGAACTCCTGGCCTTGTGTGATCCTCATGCTTTGACCTCCCCAAATATTGGGATTACAGGTGTGAACCATGACGCTTGGCCTATTATGTGCATTTTTAAGATTTACATTGTGCGGGGGACGAGGGGAAAGAAACCTTTTTTCTCTACCCTCTTAGTTTTGGCATCTGGGGCCCAGAAAAGTAAACTGACATAGAGCATCTTAACAAAAAACAATAAATTTGTAGAGAAGTGAAAAGACTAAAGGAAAAAGGGTTTAGGTTCTTAGGGGTGGCAAACTACAAGAAGGTAAGTATATAGGGGAAATTAATGAAGGATGAGGATTGTTTTATAAGGTTTGTCATACAGATTCCTGTCTGAGCTGATACTTGGAGTCTAGAGTCATCTCTGGTGACTAAGACTTCTGGGGATTAAGAGTGGTTCTCTTTCTGATAAGGGAGAGGGAGACACCTTAACAAATGGGAATTTATGTTCTGCTTTAAGTCAGATAGGAGAGGGCACAGAGCTTTATTTTCTTATGTCTACTGCCCTCTTAGCTACCTTTGGCTCAAAATAATTCTTATGCCACAATGGCATATTTTCAGCTGGCATGTTCTGATCCCCTACAACATAAAATTTTAAATTTACATAAATATATATCTTTCTGCAATATTTTTAAAATTCAAAATAAAATAGCCATGCTGTATTCACTTGAAAGCATATGATGAAGTTCATTCATTTTAGCTGCTGTGAAGTATTGAATTCAGTGGTCCTGTCTCCTACTACTGACCGCTTAGGTTGCTTCTAATTTTTTGCCATTATGTAAGCCCGCAGTGTACACCTTTGTATACACTTTTGTGGATGGATGTAAAAGCATTCCCAGAAAACTGGAATTGCTAGGTCATAGGTAATACAAACCTTGAGCTTTGCTAGATATTGCCAAACTGTGCTAAGAAGTGGCACCAATGTTATCACCCTATAATGTAATCACCAATGTATACTCCAGCAGTGGCTGAGGGTTCTGATTTCCCTATATCACGACCACCAGTTTGTATTGTTAAACTTTTTAAATCTGCGCCAATTTGCTGAAAGTGATATGGTATGGTTTAGTCTAGAACTGGCCAGGTAGGTGGCTCACACCTGTAATCCCAGCGCTTCCAGAAGCCAAGGCAGAAAGATGGCTTGAGGCCAGGAGTTTGGGACAAGCCTGGGTAGCAATGAGACTCTGTCTGTACAAAAACACTTTTTTTAATTAGCCAGGAGTGGTGGCATGCGCTTGTAGTCCCAGTTGCTTACGAGGCTGAGGCAGGAGTATCACTTGAGCCCAAGAGTCTGAGACTGTGATGAGCCATGACTATGCTACTGCACTCCACCCTGGGTGACAGAGTGAGATTCTGACTCAAAAATATAAATAAATACAGTAATAGAATGCTAAGTTAATAACGGCATTCCCATTGTCATCTGGCATCTAATGTTGCAAATGATAAATACACTATCAGTTTACCTGTCATTCTTTTTTGTCACCTTATTTCTCTGTTTTAATATTTTGTCTTTGTCTTTGTCATTGTGCAGCTTACAGTCACATCATTTTGTATTTTTTGTTGTTGTTGTTTTTGAGACAGGGTCTCCATCTGTCGCCCAGTCTGGAGTACAGGAGTGTGATCATAGCTCACTGTAGTCTTGAACTCCTGGTCTCAAGTGGTCCTCCCGATTCAGTGTCCTGTGTAGCTGGGACTATAGTCATGTGACACCACACCCAACTAACTTTTTTAAAAATCATTTTACTTTGGGAGGCTGAGGCGGGTGGACAACGAGGTCAGGAGATCGAGACCATCCTGGCTAACACGGTGAAACTCTGTCTCTACTAAATATACAAAAAATTAGCCGGGCATAGTGGCGGGCGCCTGTAGTCCCAGCTACTCTGGAGGCTGAGGCAGGAGAATGGCGTGAACCTGGGAGGCGGAGCTGCAGTGAGCCGAGATGGCGCCACTGCACTCCAGCCTAGGCGACAGAGTGAGACTCCGTCTCAATAAAAAAAAATTATTTTTGTAGAGACAGGGTCTTGTTATGTTGTCCAGGCTAGTCTTGCACTCCTGGTCTCAAGCAGTCCTTCTATCTCAGCCTCCCAAAGTGCTGTGATTATAGGTGGTATTGGTTTTTAAATTAATTCTGTTGAAGACTAAGTATCCTTCCTAAATTATATTCTAAATCATTATCTTTTTAAATGCTGCCCCCTGACTTCTGTTTCCAGCAATTTGGTAAACTTGGTGTGCCCATTCAAGTATAGAACCATTTTTAAAGGACAGATAAAAATAGGAAAAAAAAATATACTTCAAGAAATGTTTTGCGGCCTTCTGGAAAGTAAAGGAAAATAACTAGGGGCCGAAAAGAACTAGAAGTCATGATTTCATAAGCACTTGAGCCAGCATGTAACCTGAGGGCATCTGCAGATGCCTGATGGCCCAGTATCTGAGAGTCAAGTAGAGTAAAGGGTCAGAAGGAGGCTGCCCACAAAAGCCAGGATCTTCCACTGACAATGACATCAGAAGTGGGTGAATAGAAAAGATACCCACTGAAAAAGACTCTGGCTGTTTTGACCTCGGCTCTGGGTAAACAGAGAGGGGCAAAAAGTCTCTTAATCAGTTGTAGCCACAAGTATGCACTCATTCAGCTTGGGAGGCAAATCCACAATATTTCTGAGACACAAAAAGGCCCAAGATAAAAATCCTCCCTAGAGGAACATCCTTTAATCATAGGCCTCAAACAACTCCAACATATAAAGTTCCAAGGAACATATTCTCACAATCAAAAATCCCTACATGCATGAGGAAACAAGCCACAATGAATGAGAGTTATAAAGAAAGATAAAATGTAAATTCAGACACACGAAGAGTACAGAAATTAAATATAGTGCAGAGGAAAATCCTTAAGAGAAGATAACATTTGGGCAAAGACATGAAGAAGGTGAGAGAGTGAGCCATCCAAGTATCTCAGGAGAGGTGACCTTAGTGGAGAAATCAGAGTTCAAAGGGTCTGAGGCAGGAACATGACTGAATGTTCCAGAAACAGCATGCAGTTTGACCTACACTTCTAAAAATATCCTTCTGGATTCTATGTTGAGAATATAGAGGTGAAGGACAAGAGCAAAAGCAGGTAAGCCAGATAGATTATGAATTCGTGTGAGATATGTTGGGTGAATTAGACCAAGGATGTAAGGCATAAAACTGAGATGTAGACAGATTCTTGAAGGTAGGGTAGAGAGGATCTGATGATGGATTGAATGTGGTTGAGAAAGAGAGAGAGGAATCCAAATCACTTTTCACCTACGATGGGAAAGAAGAAAGATGAAGCATGATTGGGAGAAGGGCAGGAGTTTTTTTCTGAACAGGTTGTGCTCAGATCACCAAATTGGGAAGTTAAATAGACAGTTGGATATATGAATATGGACTTCAGAAGAGAGGACTTAACTGGAAGTTTCATTTAGGGGCTGACATAAAGATGAAGCTAATGAAAAAAAAAATCTCACATTCAAGAAGGGCAATGCATCTCTAGAAGAATTAAAAACAGGATCTGGGACATCAGGTTTTAGCTCCAGTACGTAAATGGATTGGAACTCATCACTCCCATATAAACAATAAGATAAAAAGCTGAAGAAATGGAAAATCAATGACTTTTTTTTTTTTAACTCTTCAGAGAATTGATGTTGCAGAGCAAATGGGCACCCTGAAATCCGGAGAGAAAGACAAATACAAAGAATCACAGCCAAGATCAGCTTGCTGAGTTTTTGAAACGGTAAATAAAATTGATAAATCTTTAGCTAGACTAACTAAAAAAGAAAAAGAGAGAAGACTCAAATAAAAAAATTATAAATGAAAGAGGAGACATTCCATCTAATATCACAAAAATACAAAGTATCATAAAGAAGAACCATAAACTGTTATACAGCAATAAATTGGATCACCTACAAAAAGTGGATAAATTCCTAGACACATACAACTTACCAATCATGAAGAAATAGAAAATCTGAACAGGCCGGGTGCGGTGGCTCATGCATGTAATGCCAGCACTTTCGGAGGCCGAGGCGGGCAGATCACAAGGTCAGGAGATTGAGACCATCCTAGCTAACACGATGAAACCCCGTCTCTACTAAAAATACAAAAAATTAGCCTGACGTGGTGGCGGGCACCTGTAGTCCCAGCTACTCGGGAGACTGAGGCAGGAGAATGGTGTGAACCCGGGAGGCGGAGCTTGCAGTGAGCCGAGATCATGCCACTGCATCTAGCCTGGGTGACAGAATGACACTCCATTTCAAAAAAAAAAAAAAAATCTGAACAGACCAGTAATGAGTAAGGAGATTGAATCAGTGATTGAAAACCTTCCAACAGTAAAAGCCCAGGACCCATTAGCTTCACTGGTGAATTCTACCAAGCATTTACAGGATTAATGCCAATCCTTCTCAAACTCTTCCAAAAAATTCAAGAGGAGGTAATTCTTCCAAACACATTCCATGAGGTCAGCATTACCCTGACATTACAGCCAGAAAAATACATGACAAAAACAAAAAACAAAAAAACAGAACAATATTCCTAAATGAACATAGATGCAAAAATCTTCAACAAAATACCAGCAAACCAAATTCAACAACACATTAAGAGGAGCATACACCATGATCAAGTGGGATTTATCCCTGAGATGAAAGGATGGTTCAAAATACATAAATCAAGAAATGTGATATACCGTATTAATAGAATGAAGAATAAAAATCATATTGTCATCTCAATAGATGCAGAAAAAGCATTTGACAAAATTCAACATAATTTCATGATAAAAAAGAAAAATCTTTCAACAAATTAGGTGTAGAAAGAAGGAACCTCAACACCATAAAGGCAATATGTATCAAGCCCATAGCTAACAACATATTCAATGATAAAAAGCTGAAAGCTTTTCTTCTAAGATCAGGAACAAGACCTGGGTACTTCTATTCAACGTAGTATTGGAAATCCTAGTCAGAGCAATTAGGCAAGAAAAAGGTATAAAAAGCATCCCTACTGGAAAGGAAGAAGTATAATTATCTCTGTTTGCAGATGACATGATCTTATATATAGAAACTGCTAAAGATTCCACAAAATTTTGTTGGAATAGGCAAATTCAGCAAAGTTGTAGGATAAAAAAATCAGCATACAAAAATCAATTGTGTTTTTGTACACTAACAAATAAGTAATAAAAAATAAAATAAATAAATAAAAAGACAGAGATTTGCAGAGTTAATTTAAAAAAATACCCAACTATATGCTGCCTTCGAGAAACACAGATAAGGCAGAAAGACATGGATAGGTTAAAAGTAAAGCAAAGGAGAAGGATATTCCATGCTAACATTAAGCAAAGAAATGTTGGAGCAGCTATATTAATTTCAGACAAAACAGATTGCAGAACAAGGAAACTTATTAGATAAATACCTTCACATGATCTGAATAGGCCTATATCTATTAAAGGAATTTAATCAATAATTAACAACCTGGCATTAAAAAAAGCAACAGACTCAGATGGTTTCACTGGTGAGTTCCACCCAGCATTTAAGGAAGAAATGATACTAATTCTCTACAAGCTTTCCCAGATAATAGAAGAGAGAATACTTCTTAACTCATTCTATGAGACTAGCTCTATCCTAATATCAAAATCACATAAACAACACAAGAAAGAAAATTTATAGCCTAACATCTCTCATTAATATGGTTGCAAAATTCTCAAAAAATATGTTAGAAAATTGAATTCAACAAAGCATAAAAAGAATCATACACCCTGACTAAGTGAGTTATTTCAGATATATGAGGATGGTTCAGCATTCAAAAATCAGCTAACCTAATCCACCACATCACCAGGCTAAAGAAAAAAACCGTACAATTGTATCAACTGATATAGCAAAAGCATTTGACAAAGTCCAACACCCTTTCATGTCAAAAACTCTCAACAATCAAGGAATAGAGGGGAACATCCTCAATCCCATAGAAAGCATTTACCAAAAAACCTACAGCTAACATTATACTTACAGCAAAGAGTTCGCCTCTTATTACTCCCATTCAACATCATACTGGAAGTTGTGGCTGGTGCAATTAAAATAATAATAATAAAAGGAAACAAAAGACATATGATTAGGAAGGAAGGAACAGAACAATCTTTGTTCACAGCTGGGATCTATTTAAATAGAAATTCCCAAGTACAGAACACAATTAATAGGTATAAAAGATATTAATTTACAGGGGAATACAATGTAGAAATTTATATCAATAAAATATGAAAAAGTGGTTACTTTTCTAGAAAAATATTTTATCAAAATTGACTCAAGAAGATGGAAAACTGAACCAATAAATAACCATCCCCAAACCCCTGAAATAAACGCTATACCTTTAATGAACAGATGACTAATGTGTTATTTAAATAATTCCACAAAGAGAAAAAACATATAATGTTTTCCAACTTATCTGTTACCGAAACTGTGCAAGAGTTATTGATAAGAATATCACTATAAACCAGTCTCACTGGTGAACATAGGTACAATAAAATGCTAGCAATGAAACCCAGCAGATTCATAATATATTCCCTCACTGAAAGAAAAGACATATTCTATTGACAAAAGTGGGAGGGAGAAGCAAAATACTTGAAACTTAACAATAAATGTGTATTACCTATGTGAAGAGAACTATAAAGCTTTACTGAAGGTCATAAAAGAAAACTTCAAAAAAATAGACAAATGTATGATGTTCATAGATAAGAAGTTTTAGTGTAGAAATATCTCAATTGAGTCTGTAAATCTAATGCAATCCCAATAAGACAAGTTCATTCTCATGTTCATAAGAACGGAAACATGCTTCTAAGTATATTTTAAAAATTTGAAAAAATTGTTTGGGAAATTTGACCAACCAGAGAGCAAAATATAAAAATACATTGATTTTTGCATGAGGTATTAAAAAAAGAATAGGCTGGGCGCAGTGGCTCAGGCCTGTAATCCCAGCACTCTGGGATGCCGAAGTGGGCAGATCACCTGAGGTCAGGAGTTTGAGACCAGTGTGGCAAACATAGTGAAACCCTATCTCTACTAAAAATACAAAAAAAAATTAGCTGGGTGTGGTGGCACACGCCTGTGATCCCAGCTACTCTGGAGGCTGAGGCAGGAGAATCGCATGAACCCAGGAGGCAGAGGTTGCAGTGAGCCGAGATCAACACTGCACTCCAGCCTGAGCGACAGAGCAAGACTCCATCTCAAAATCAGATCGCTGGAATTGGAGAGTCAAGAAATATTCCATCTAAATTAAAATTTAAATTATCTTAAGTATGATCTTTTACATCAGTCTCTAGAGACTAGTCTATTAAATATATGGTGCTGTGATATTACCTCATATCAGGAACAAAAATTAACTCCAGAGCAATTAAAGAGCTACACATAAAAAAGATAAAAGCATAGAAATATTCAAATAAAACAATATTTTTATAATCTTGGAAAAGGGAGATGGACAGTTTTGACCGTATTGTAACAGATCTTTAAAATAAATGACCCCTTAACAAAAAAGGCCAGCAGTAAACTGAGATACAACGCAGTATATTTTGCAACATATATAACATACAAAGGATTAATATCCAGAACAAAGCCCCACTACATATCAATAAGGAAACAGAAAGACTATAAACAGGCAATTCACAAATTAATAAATATAGTCAATGTAACGCATGCTGTGCTGTGCTCCAGTACTGAAGGATTTATTCTCCCAGCTGCTGAGGGTGTCCATCCTCTCTGGGAGTTGCCGTCAGTGGAAGGGACTCACCTTGCCCAAGGGCATGCGTCCTAGGGCTGCCCTCATTCAATAACTGGGGACTCAGGGCTATGCTGGCATCATCACCATGCTCTAAGTTGGACAACTGGAAAGCACCATTCTAGCTTCAAAGATCACCAGGAGGACAGCTGAGGCCTTAGTTGTGACCAAATAGAAGCCCAACTTCTTCCTCTGCCCAGTCCTGCTTCCTTCCCTCCCAATTTGGGTGTTAATCAAGAGAGCACTTCCTCATAACTTCCTGTACCCTAATTTCCATCTCTCCGCCTGCTTGCCGGGACCTGACCTGCAACAGTCAGTGGACATAAAAAGATACCTTGCCGGCCAGGGGTGGTGGCTCACGCCCATAATCCCAGCACTTTGGGAGGCTGAGGTGGGCAGATCACGAGGTCAGGAGTTCGAGACCAGCCTGGCCAACATAGTGAAATCCCATCTCTACTAAAAATACAAAAATTAGCCGGGTGTGGTGGCACAGTCCTCTTGTCCCATCTACTCGGGAGGCTGAGGCAGGAGAATCGCTTGAACCCGGGAGGCGGAGGTTGTGGTGAGCCGAGATCGTGCCACTGCACTCCAGCCTGGGCAATAGAGCCAGACTCCGTTTCAAAAAGAAAAAAAAAAAGTACTTTGCCCCAGTCCTAATAAAATCAAAGGTTCTATTTTGCTTATTAGATTGGCAACATTTTCAAAGGCTGATAATATCCAGGGTTAGTGAGGGTGTGAGTAAATGACCATTTTCATACATGGTTGGAAAGTAAATTGGTAAATCATTTTTGGAAAGCAATTTTCCATAGCCTCTCAGTTCTGCCTTTCAGTACCTATCTATAACAATTACTAATGCATCTGCATAAAAAGACATATAAAGCAGTTCACTGAAACTTCATTTTTAATAGAGAAAAACTGCAAACACTACACGTGCTGTTTTATAATCTGCTCAACATTTCCTGCTTTGGAGAACCACCTCTTTCCATCTTATTATGAGATGGTGGGACTGTTCATCCCAATAGCTCCTTCCTCCATCTGGGTGCAGTGGTGAGCACAGAACCCAACCCTGGCCAATCACAGCATCTCATTTCCCTGAACACAGGGAAATGGCCCTGGCCAGGAGTGGGCACCTGATCCCAATAGGGCCAATCTCAGAACTGCTGCAGAACTGACAGACGGATACCATTGCAGAGAAACTTTCTTTGCAGAGTGGTGGAGCCAGGGACTCTCAGTGACCGTCTTCCCTGGGATGTGAAGAAAACTTGTGTGTGACATGAAAGCAATGCACACACTGAGGCTGATCAAGAGCTGGGAACGTTGATCTTTAAAGCAATTGTCCAGTCTCTAGATCCAGGAATGTCTGACTCTTCCATTTCAATAAGCCAGCAATTTCCCCAATTTTACAAAAACTAGTTTAAAACAAATTTCTAAACCTTGCAACCAAAAGAATATTAATGTGATTTGTTGAACATTAGGGGATTAAATAACTAATATTACCTGTATACTAGAAGCTGGCAATTTTTCTTTCTTGCAGAAAGAGCCAAAGAGTAGTTATTTTAGGCTTTGCAGATCATGTGGTCTATCTCAGCTACCCAGCTCTGCTGCTGAGGTGTGAAAGCAGCTATAGACAATACGTAAATGAATGAACGTGGCTGTGTTTCTGTAAAACTTTACTTACAAAACCAGGCAGGATTTAGCCCTCAGGAAATAGTTTGCTGACATGTCCTAGACAATGAAATCATGAAGCTTAAACATGATGTCCTTTATAGATAAAAATGTAATGAAGTAATATTTTGCAACATAAACCCATGGTTTTTGTTTTGCTTTGTTTGAGAAAGGTTCTTGATCTGTCACCCAGGCTGGATTACAGTGGTGCCATCACGGCTCACTGCACGGGGTCATCACGGCTCCCTGCAGCCTCAACTACCTGGGCTCAGGTGATCCTTTTGAGTAGCTGAGGCTACAGGTGTGTGCCACCATACCCAGCTAATTATTTTATTTTTTTCTAGAGACAGGGTCTTGATATGTTGCCCAGGCTGGTCTTGAACTCCTGGCCTCAAGCAGTCTTCCCACGTCACCCTCCCAAAATGTTAGGATTACAGGTATGAGCCACCAGACACAGTCAACCCATGGTTTTTCTTTCTTAGTGACTCCTTTTAAGCTTTCTGCATCAGAACCTCTGCACTTGCAGGTACTTTGCCTGGAATATTCTTCCCACAGGTACCTGGATGGCCTGCTCCCTTCCAACTTCAGGCCATTACCCAAATGTCTCCTCCTCAAGACTTTTGCTGGTCATGCTATCTAAACACCTTCCTTACTTTATGTTTCTCCTTATTTTCCCCATCAAACATGCTACGTATTTTTTTACTTTGAAATCTCCATGAGGACAGGTAATTTAATCTGTTTTATTCACTATCCCAGTCCTTAAAACAGGGTCTGGCACATAGCAGATGCTCAATAAACATTTGCTAAATGAATGAGTAGAAAGGGTAACGTTTACTGAGCACTTACTATGTGCCAGGCACCATTGCAAATGCTTTCTATTAATCATAATCCTCACAACACCATTTCTAGCAGGTGCCACTATTATTTCTATTGAAGATAATAGTCTTGGAAGACAAGGTTTTTCCTTGCAAGAGCTGACCTTTTAAAAATAAAAAAGAACAAAAGCTTTCTGTATGGCCAAAAGCCAAGTACCCAAAGGATTTTTGAGCATAAAGCTTATTCTTAAATGATAGATTGTGATGAATACTTGGATGGTCAGTGGTGCCTTTTAGAAGGGGAGGTAGGGAACACTCTGGGTGCAGCTGGGAGAGTTTCTGAGAGTTGGACAGTGGCAGAATCAGCCCTGGTGTGGGCCGGGAGGTGTCCCACATCAGAGCAGACCTAGACCTTGATTACTAGGTTTGTCCCAGGAGGCTGAGGTCCACTGAGAAGAACCAGAGCAGGACCAGAGCAGGACCAGAGCATGCAATGTTACTGGCTGACTGAGGTTCTAGGAGGAAGGGCCAAGGGCAGCCCAAAATCCCTGTGATCTCTCAGGGAGGCAGAGGTGGCTGAGAGGGAAGGGTAGACCCACAGGGAACTGGAGTCAAGCTGAGAAGTTTCCAGAGCACAGGGGCCTCGGTGGAAGAGACCATGGTGTGATGGAGGTTACCTGGGGGGAATCTGAGGAGATCAACAGACCAAAAACACATCCACAGTCTCCATCCCAAAGCCACAATACATAAGCCTCCTACCCCCATCCCAGGTTGCTCCTAGCAGGAGGGGACTTGACTTTCATTAAGTATTTCCCTAATAGGGGCTAAGGAAAACTCAGAATTTGACCAAGTTTATCTAGAAGAGACTTGATCAAGTCCTCTGCTATTCAGCTAGCAACTGAGCTAATGGTAAAATGAAGTACAGGATGGATGAAGAAAATTATAATTTCGTATGGATGAGATTTGTGATAATTAAGATTTGTCCCTGTTACTCTGACATGGAAAGATCTCGAAGGCACAGTGTTGAGTAAAAAGGCAGCAAGTTGTAGAATAATATGTACAGTATATTTCCGTTTACATAAAAAGCTAACATATGGCGAGGGGTGGTGGTTCAGCCTGCCATCCCAGCACTTTGGGAGGCTGAAGTGGGAGGATCCCTTGAGCCTAGGAGTTGGAGACCAGCCTGGGCAACATAGCGAAACGCTGTCTCTATAAAAAATAAAAAATAGCCGGATGTGGTGGTGCGTACCAGCTATTCAGGAGGCTGAGGTGGGAGGATCACAACCCAGGGGAAAAAATAGTAAACAAAAAAAAGTAAGCATATATTAGTCCATGTACATATATGTGTAAATACATAGAAATTAACTGACCCACTCAGATATAAACAGAGGGGAAGGGATTGGAGGGAAAGTGAAAAGATCTAAGAAATGGAAAGCAGGAGTGGAGGAGAGGGAGGAGGGACTTTCCCTTTTTAGTCTATGATGCCATTCTGTGCTGTTTGGGTTTGTTTTTTGTTTTTTTTTTTAGACAGGGTCTTGCTCTGTCATCCAGGCTGGAGTGGTAGTGGCGTGATCATAGCTAACAGCTCACTGCAGCCTCCAACTCCTGGCTCGAGTGATTCTCCCACCTCAGCCTCCTTAGTAGCTGGAACTATAAGTGCACGCCAGCACACCCAGCTAATTTTTAAATTTTTTTGTAGAGACAGGGCCTCATTATGTTGCCCAGGCTGGTCTCCAACTCTTGGCCATAAGTGATCTTCCAACCTCTACCTTTCAAAGTGTTGAGATTACAGATGTGAGCCACCACACCACATGCTAATCGTGTGCTTCTTCCTCCCTCTAAGCATTTACAGCCCTATCTCTATTGTCTTGCTATAGAAGGTACCATATTGCATTGGAAATGGCTGGCTTGCAGCTTTATCCTCCCTACTTAATTATGCACCCCTCAAGGGCAAGGGACGTGTCTTACTCACCTTTATGCTCAGAATCTTCTAGGACCTCAACACATATGTGACGAATGAATGAGCAAAAATGGTAATAAACGTACCTCTGATTTCAAGTTAGTCCCTGAGTTCTAGTTTATCAAGTTTTTAAATACCAGTAATATGACCTACTTAAAATTTGAATTTGAAAACTAAAATGGAAAAAGCCTGAGTTAGTAAAGGAAAAACAGGACTCTTCATTGAAAGTTAGTTGTGACATCAACTCTCTAAGGAGGAGCCATCCCATAGTTAAGGTGAAAGCACAAACCAGGGGCATGAATATTGTGAATAATCAAGACTCCCCATCTTTAAAATTCAGACCTAGAATTTTATGTAACAACGATTTCATCTGTAACTTCCTTTTAGTGCAACACTCAAATGTTAGCTAGTGCTAAAAGTATGGAAGGGTGTTTTTTTGAAAAGCTGTTTTTCAGAGTCTAAAAAACCCTCAAGCCCAGTTCCATCGCTTCTGAGATTTTATGAGACTTTCGAAACTGACTAGGGCCATGTCTGAGGGTGACAAGATGAGCACCAGATTACTAATTGAAAATACCCAGAACTTTCTATCAGGCACTCAAATCCAAAACTAAGAGAACTCAGGAGGCTGAGGCAGGAGAATCGCTTGAACCCAGGAGGCAGAGGGTGCAGTAAGCTGAGATTGCGCCTTTGCACTCCAACCAGGGCGACAGAGCGAGACTCTGTCTCAAAAAAAAAAAAAAGAAAAAGAAAAAAGAAAAAAAAAAGAAAACTCATGGGTTAGAATTTCATGATGTTTGCACACGTGACAGGAGAGGGTTCCGTGGGTTTGCAGACTTCTGTGTAACTGAGGTAAAACTGGATAGGCTCCCCAAGTTTGGGAGCACAGGTATGGGTGACAGATGGATCTAGGAATGCCTTTGCAGTGGGGGCCTCCTGAGTGATTGTTCTGGGGCTGCTTCTGAAGGCTACAACCGCAAATTTCAGGAACTGAGAGTGGTGAGGAGGAAGTGGAAACAGCCTGGGTAGCACCAGGAATCTCTCTGGGACCTCTTGTTCCTCTCACCTACCTCAATTCTTCCTCCTGGGTTAATGAACAGGAACCACACAGGGTTCACCAACTCATACCCTCAGCGCTACCGGGAAAGCAAGGCAGTCCCTGGCTAACTCTCAAAGCTGTTGTTCTGTGTCTTCCATTTGGTTCTCGAGGGCAGTGGAGACCCTGGGAACTGCCCCATCCCTGACCACTGGACACAGCAGCATGAAGAAGACTGTGATCCTTTTCTTACGCTGATCTCAAGTCATATTTTTTTAGATGCTTTTCAAATATGCACATCAATTATTTCTCTAGGTTATCTTCAGTGTAGCATCAGTACAGTGTATACTATATTTTAGAATTTAAAAACTCCATGAAAGCAGACCTTAGGTGAGATTTCCCTCTAGGTACCTTCCCATTAAGAGCAGTAGGCATGTAAATTAAGAGTGCCCCTTGATTGCAGGAATGCGGAAAGCACAAATAAGGCCAGGTACGGTGGCTCACGCCTGGAGCCCCAACGCTTTGGTAGGCTGAAACAAGAGGATTGCTTGAGCCCAAGAGTTCAAGGCTGCAGTGAGCTAAAAAAAAAAAAGGCACAAATGAAGGTGTGGCTGAGATCTTCCACTATGCACTGCTCTAGGCAGGGAAGCTAGTTTGAATTTTCTCCTTGCTTCCTGCTTCTGGACTTTTCCCTTGCCCAGGGCAAAAGGCTCAAGCTAAAATCTTCTGATTCCTTTGCTTCTTGGCCTTTTGGCTAAGATCAAGTGTAAAATCTTCTAATTCCTCTGGTCTTGGCATTCAGTGTTGGCTTCAGGTCTGAAGGTCACACCAATTTGTCTGGACCTTGTTGATCTACAAAGAATAGAATCTTTCCTCCCGGCAGCCATTTAAAAAACTCTCCTAAGGGCTGGGCATCCTTATTTTTGGAGGCTCCAACCCTTCAGCGTATCAAACATATGAAAATGCATTCACAGTCCACATTTAATTCAACGTTTTTGCTGTAAAATAAATTAGAAAAGATTTTTATAATTTTGCTCTAAAAATGTTTAGCTATGCCTTTTTTTTTTTTTTTTTTTTGGAGATTCAGAATCTCAATCCACCCAGACTAGAGTGCCACTGATCACAGTTCACTGCAGCCTCAATCTCCCAGGCTCAAGTGATCTTCCCACCTCAGTCCCTCGAGTAGCTGGGACCACAGGCACACACCACTATGACTGGATAATGTTTTATTTTTTATAGAGGCAGGGTCTCCCTATGTTGCCCAGGCTGGTCTCTAACTCCTAGGCTCAAGCAATCCTACCACCTCAACCTCTTAAAGTGCTGGGATTACAGGCATGAATCACCACGTCCAGCCAAACATTTAATTTTTGATTGACTATTTACTATCTTTTTTATCAATCATTATGCATACTTGTAACATAAGAAAAGCTAACTCACAAATTCTTTATATACGTAATGACTTTTTAAATACTAAATTTAAATTTAATAAATGGCAACATTTAGTCAAATGTTATTATTGATATCACTTTTGCAGTTTTCTTTTGTAATCAAAATTTTTGTTTTCACATCTCAAATTTTTTCTAGGTCCCCGAAAAACGCATAGGCTGTATGCATTGGGAAGATGATGCCCAATGGGTAAACAATTTGTAAACTTGCATAAGGACTCTTTGCGAACACAGGAGGTTCCCTTTTTCCTACATATAGGAAAATGTTCACCACAGGCTTAGTTCGCCATTGCCTAAATCATACAACGACTATTATAAATAGCAAGGAGCAAGTGAAAATGCTGGTCTCTTATTGGAATTGGGTTAGTATGTTAAATGACATTACTGTGTTACTTATTTAACTAGGAAAGATAGTTGCATTAAAAAAATTATAAAAGTAACACGTATGCATCTTATAACATTTGGAAAATGCAGAAATATATTTTAAAAATCATCCATAATCCTAACTGCACCCCTGATATAGCACTGTCAAAAGTATGCTCTGTTTTCTTTCAGTGTTTTACATGCACACACATTTTATAATACACTTTTTACTTTTTAAAAATTTTTAATTTTTATTTTGTAAAGATAGGGCCTTGCTGTGTTGCCCAGGCTGGTCTTGAACTCCTGGCCTCAAGAGAGCCTTCCACCATGGCCCCCTAAAGTGCAGAGATTATAGGTGTTAGTGCTATTTGGAAGCTTTGTGCTTTTTAAAAAAAGCTTTGTGCTATTAAAACCATAGCATATATATGATATGTATCCTATTTTTTCACTTATATTAATATCATGATTATTTTATGTCATTACATTTTCTGTGAAAATATCATGTTTATTGGATGCATTATATCCTGCCATGTGATCTCCCAATGTTGAAATTTCCATTTCTATAATAAAGAAAACTTTCATATATATATAAAGATATATATGATCAAGATATAATGTCCTTCACACAGCTTCCTGTCTTCCAGCGGGGGAGGCTAGCTCAAGTTCTCATGTTGCTGCTTGGGGAGTGGAGAAGGTGGGGTGGTCTGGGGAATGGTTAGTCTGCGCATTACCTGCTTTTTACTCCATCTTCTCCCAGTCCAATCTCCCCAAGTCAGGCTAACCAGACAGGAGTCAACTAACTGGTAGATTCCTGGAATGGCTGCCACTGTCCAGGAAGTCCCAGCCAGCTACAGAAGCCAGAAGAATCACCATCGATATTTAAATTGGAGTGGAAAACCCCAACTGGCTGGCACCAAACCACAGCCAGTCCAGGAAGTTTAGCCAGACCCCTGGAACTCCCAGAAAGCAAGCTGTGCTGCATCATGTCAATAGCTTATCCCCCCAAAAGTAACTCACTTGTCACAGTTGAATTTTTAGAGCCCATTTATTGCATTTGTAGCTTACTTATTGCCTTTTGGCTAGATTTGACAGCTTATGCACTTTAAGAATGGTCTTCCAACATAATAATTTTGCATGGCAAAGCTCAAGGTGACATTGTAGAAGGATGAATGGAATTGTCTCACATCTTGCTCTGATCTTTTCATAAAGCAAGGAAAAGCACAAAGCTTCCAAATAGCACTAAGTCAAAAAAGCTACCACTTCCCTTTTCTCAAGGAAGAATTGGAATTATTCGATTGATAGTATTTTTTTATTAAAAAGGGTAATATAAAAAATCAGAGCATCTACCCTATTCGACCTCTACTTCTGGTCTTGTATACCTTAGGCAACATAATATTTACACCATGTAGTTTTATACTAAATAAAGTTATTTATACTAAATAAAGATACTAAATAAAGTTGATTATAGTAAATGTAAGCAAAAACAAAACCACAACAACAAGAAGCATAAACAAGTCAGTATTGGGGGCTGGGCACAGTGGTTCACGCCTATAATCCCATCACTTCGGGAGGCGAAGGACGGGGATCACTTGAGGCCAAGAGTTCCAGACCAGCCTGGGCAACACAGTGAGACCTTGTCTCTACAAAAAAATACAAAAATTAGCTGGGCATGGTGGTGTGCACCTGTAGTCCCAGCTATTAGGGAGGTGGGAGGCAAGAGGATCACTTGAGCCCAGGAGGTTGAGGTTGCCATGAGCCATGATTATGCCACTGCACTCCAGCCTGGGGCACAGAGTGAGACCCTATCTCAGAAATAAATAAATAAATAAATAAATAAATAAATAAATAAATAAAACCAAGTCAGTATTGGGAACGTTTTAAATCTTCTTGACATGTCCTTCTTTCTTCTTAGTGAACTTGGCTGCTGGAGCCTTTCTTCCATTTGTGATGGCTTTGCCATCTGGATGTGTAACATCCCACCAGGCCAAATGCAAAAGGATGTGGCTGTTGAGGAGGGCATGGCATTCTTCTTGACTGACACAACCACATGCTCTTCTTGAAGTCACACTCCCTTGATCTTCCTCCTAGAGAAGGAAGATCTATGCCTCTCTTCCAGACCTTTGGCGAATGTTGATGGTTTGGCAGCTTGACAAGGTAAGCAGCTTGAACCAGGTGGGCTGAACCAAGAACAAGCAGGACATACACTTTGTCTCATTAGCATGCAAACCCCAAAGGAAAACAGCGATCAAATTGCTAGGTGGCTAAGTCCGCATGTAGTATCTAGCCCTCGAGTTTAAATATTATGTCTAGCCTAATTTCCTAACAAAGTATTTCTGAATGGAACCTTGCACAAAACATTTTCTGGCTACGCAAACTTTACATGTAACTTTGTTATGAGAGATAAAATATTCCTTTTTTCTTTATTCACCAAAATTTCACCACGGGTGCTATGGGAAAGGGAGTATTCAGGGTTCACTGAGACGCCCTAGAAGTGGGTACACCATGGTCCTTGCCTTCAAAGTTTCTTATTGCCCAAGAAATTACTTATTACATTTCTCTAGATATCAATTGTCTATCGAATGCATACAATTTGAGAATTGGATTACACATTTTGAGGTCACTTTGTTCTTCTTTCCTTTTCTTTCTTATTTTTAGAGACGGTCTCACTCTGTTGCCCAGGCTGGAGTGCAGTGGCACAATCAGAGCTCACTGTAACCTCAAACTCCTGGGCTCAAGCGATCCTCCTGCCTTGGCCTGCCAAAGCTCTGGGATGACAGGCGTGAGCTAAGGTCATTTCTGTGACTCTAGAACTCTTGCATCACACATACCCTCCACAGAGCACAAAGCTAATGTGAAAGGTTATTGGCAAAATCATTTAATAAGGCAGGAGATGGCTTGAGGTCAGGAGTTCAAGGCTGCAGTGAGCTGTGTTCTTGCCACTGCACTCCAGCCTGGGTGTCAGAGTGAGACCCTGTCTCAAAAAAAATAAATAATAAAATAAATAAATAAATAATTTAATGATGTATTTGTGAATGGTATTGTGTTAGATGGCTTTCAAAACATGTTAAATCACCAGAAATTCTGTCCTTTGAAACCTGCAAGTCTCCTCATAACTACCTAAAAATACCACACTATGCCCCTATCTGTCCCTCACATGGTGCTATTGGCCTCTGCACCCACCCACAGATTGCTGCTTTCCTAAGGCGGAGCCTCTCCTAACAACAGGTATCCATCCCCTCTTCCTCTAGGGTCATTCAGCACTCTGTCATCACTAAATTCAGTTTTTTGGCAGTTGCAGCAAGCCTATTGTCTTGCATTATTAATATAAAATTAAGTATAATATAGCTATTATGAAACAAATAAATGCTATGGAAGCACTGAGGTGGAAGGATGAATTTGAATTAGGAGGATCAGGAAAGCATCAGGGAAGAGAGGATTTTTGAGTCTAATTGTTTTCAAGGGCAGGATCCAATAAAGGAGTTTAGGTTGGGTGGTGGTGAAAGGCAATAATTGATGATGATGGTAAGCCTTCAAGCCTGGCCAATGAAAATTTGTTAAATAAAAGAACTTCCAGCTGGGGTAACCGAGTGATATGAATGCCATTTCCAATATAATACAAGAAATAAAGTAACTTGTGGATGGGGAAAGATGTCAAACTTGGCTTTAGATATCTTTTTTTTTTTTTTTGAGATAGGGTCTTGCTCTGTTGCCCAGGCTGGAGTGCAGTGGTGCAGTCATAGCTCACTGCAGCCTCAGTGATCCTCCTGCCTCAGCCTCCCAAGTAACTGAGACCACAGGATGCATACCACCATGTGCAGCTAATTTAAATTTTTTTTTTTTTTTTTGGTAGAAATGAGATCTCGCTATTATATCCAGGCTACCCTTGAACTCCTGGGCTCAAGTGATTCTCCCATCTTGGCGTCCCAAAAGTGCTGGGATTACAGGCATCAGCCAGCATGCCCAGATGGTTTTAGACACTTTTAAAAGATGCCTGTGGAAAAATGATGTACAAATGTGCAACCAGGCATTTCTCTGGGGTCGGGGAAGAGTTTATGAGTTACTTGCAAGCACTCTACATTTTCTATTGTGTTGTCTGGTTTACAAAGGGTTTTCATTGCCATTATCTACTATTGATTTTGATTCTAACAAACATCCTATAATGTAGGTAGGGGAGGATTATATTACTAGGTTCAAAATAGTTCCTAAAGTGACATTTGTGTCTGATGATAGTTACTGTTAACATAAAGAACCCGAGGCTGGGAGAGGTTAAGTGATTTGCTCAAGTAAGTGGGAGAGCTACAGCTCAGTCCCCGTGATGTCTCACTAAAAATTTAGGTTTTGGGCTTTTTTAAACCACTAAGAGCAGTGATGGTTGATGCTGGAGAAGCAGATATCATTTTGGATGAAAGCAAGCAGGAAATTACGACGAGGGGACTTAAAAAACAGTCAAAGAAAGAATAGGAGCAAATGAAGGTGACCACATGACCTCCCCTCAACCCCTGAGGAGACTCAAGATCCTAAAGGGATAATGGCCTGTCATCCTTCATCTCCCTGACAGGACCAAGCAGTCTGCCAAGGGCACAGAAGGTATCTACTATATTTGAGTGGAGTAATAATGACAACAGACAACTTACAGCGGGTCCTCAAATACTGTCATTTTGTTCAATGTTGTTTTGTTATAATGTTGATGAGAAAAAAATGGATTTCTAGCCGGGACCACTGTTTGTATTTGCAGGTTCTCCTCGTGCCTGCAAGAGTTTTCTTTGGGTACCTTGGTTTCCTCTCACATCTTAAAGACATGCACGTTCAGTTCATAGGCTTGTCTACATGATACCAGTAGTTTTTCTTTTCTTTTTTTTTTTTTGTTTTAAGAGACGGGGTCTCCATCTATTACCCAAGCTAGAGTGTAGTGGCATTATCACAGCTCACTGCAGCCTCCAACTCCTGGGCTCAAGCAATCCGCCTACTGCAGCCTCCAGAATAGCTGAGACTACAGGTGTGTACCACCATGCCTGGTTAATTTTTGTATTTATGGTAGAGATGGGGTTTCACCATATTGCTCAGGCTGGTCTCCAACTCCTGGGCTCAAGCAGTCCACCTGCCTCATGCCTCCCAAAGTGCTGGGACTACAGGCATGAATCACTGCCCCCTTCCTAAATGGTCCCAGTTTAAGTGAGTGTAGGGGTGTGTGTGTGTGTGTGTGGTGTGTGTGTGTGTGTGTGTGTGTGTGTGTGTGTCTTGCAACAGAATGGCATCCTATCCAGGGATGGTTCCCACCTTTTGCCCAAGCTGAGCAGCTGGGATAAGGCTCCCACTATCTGTGACCTTGAACTGGAATAAATGAGTTGGAAAAATGAATAAATCCGTGAAACAAATGACTGTAAAATAAAAATATGTAAGTGTACATTAATCATAAAAATGCACGACAATAAATGAGATAGGAGTGCACTCAGCTACCATATTTGTGATTGTTTTTGAATTTCATGGTAGCAGCAGGTCCTACAGGCAACTTTTGCTTTGCAAACACTTATTCCTTGACTTAACCCAGCACCACAGCAACCATCGCTCACTTAATCACTAGAAATTTGGCAAACCATTATCTTGTTTTTATCAATCTTTAAAAAATGTAGGTAGGCCAGGTGCAGTGGCTGGTGCCTGTATTCCCAGCACTTTAGGAGGCCAAGGTGGGCAGATTCCTTAAGCCCAGGAGTTCGAGACCAACCTGGGCAGCATGGTGAAACCCCATCTCTACCAAAAATACAAGAAGTTTATCCAGGCTTGGTGGTGCGCGCCTGTAGTCTCAACTACTGGGGAGTCTGAAGTGGGAGAATCACCTGAGTCTGGGGAAGTAGAGCCTGCAGTGAGCTGTGATTGCACCACTGCACCCCCAGCCTGGTTGACACAGCGAGACCCTATCTCAAGGGAAAAAATAAAAATAAAAAAGAGGTATAGCTCACATTTATTTTAATGTTTAATATTAGAAGTGTTTTGAATTTTTACTTTGAAGTTCGGTGATGTTTTTGTAACCGGAAATAATGCTGTAGGAACTTAACTCTTTTTTTATATGTCAGCCTATGGCAAATTTGGTTTTGTTATATGTTGTTTTGCTTAAGGTGACAGTTTCCAAGAACCTACTCCGTGAGGACTGGTGAGCTGGGTCAGAGTAAATAGCACAGGATGACGACTGCAAGGACGATATGGGGGCAGCAGGGTTTTAGACATACTTGGAATGGCAGCTTCCTGAGGTAGGCCAAGTATTCTCAGCATAATAAGGGCTACATTTAGGTGTATCTGGAGGAAGACGGTGAACAGATTTCCACGGACGGTGAGTGCACTGGAAAACAGGCAGGGATGGCAAGTACCATAGTGATGGATTGGAAGAAGGTGCACTTTGGGGCATGATTCTACTGGTTAAGCCAAGGGCTCTCGATGAGGTCCGAGGTTCCTGCCCCGGGCACGGAGTGGGTTGGCAGTGACAGCCCAGCCTATTACGTGGGAGTCTCCCTCTTGAATGGCTCCAGGAGGCCCATATCGAGGGTCTGAAAGGCCAGACGGTTATCCGCACAAAAGTATTAAGTTCATTTCAGGGACTGACCCGGCAATGTGCCCGGGTCCTTCCCCTCGGTGCTGGGAAGCCCTGGTCTCCCTGCAGCATTTCACACCTGGCTGGGTCTCCTGACTCGTGGCGTGGGTGAGTGCATGAGCCTCCCTCCTTCGCCTGATCGACGCCTGGGGGCTCCTCTCCCCAACCTCCTCACTCTGCCCACTCTGTCCTCTCCCTCCTTGGGGAGCGGCAGGGGACGCCTAGCCGGGGTCCCCAGGCTCCCGCTCGCAACCCACGGCCTCCTCCGCGGGCAGGGAGCGAACGCCCGGAGGTCGCCCGCGCACAGGGGGCGGCCCGGCTGCAGCGGAGCCGGGGCGGGAAGGCGCAGCCTAACGGTCCAGCTGCCGCGCCCCGCGCCCCGCACCCAGTGCCCCGCCCGCGGCGCCGCAGCCGCCTCCCGCCTGCCCGCCCGCCCCCTGCGTCATGACGCCGGCGCCCAACGCGGAAGCCGCTCGCCGCGCGCCGGGTCCAGCCGCGGGCTGAGCGCGGATCCGCGGCGGGCGCAGGATACGGGCCGGGGCGCGAGCCGAGCGCAGTCTGCCGGGCCGAGCGGGCGGAGCGAGCCGAGTGGGGCTGAGCGCGCCGGCGGCGGCGGGCGGAGCGGAGCGCGGCGCGCCGGGGCCGCCGCCGGGGGGATGCGGCTGCCTCCCCGGGCCGGGGTGTAGAGAGGGCGGGTCCCCGGCCTCGGGAGCACGGCGGTGGAGGGGACATAGGAGGCGGCCATGGCGACCCCCGGCAACCTAGGGTCCTCTGTCCTGGCGAGCAAGACCAAGACCAAGAAGAAGCACTTCGTAGCGCAGAAAGTGAAGCTGTTTCGGGCCAGCGACCCGCTGCTCAGCGTCCTCATGTGGGGGGTAAACCACTCGGTAAGGGCTCAGCTGCGGCGCGCGGTCCCCTTCCTCCTCCTCCTCTTCCTCCTCGTTCCCCTCCTCCTCCGGCTGCAGCTGCTGCGGGGCGGGGAGCCGGAGTCAGCCCTGGACCTCCGGCTGCTCGCCCGCCTCGAAGCCCCCAGCCCCGCGGCGCGTGCCCCCAGCCCTCTGGGCCGCCCAGGCACCACCACTTGCGTCCCCTTTAGATCTATGGCCCGGTGCGGGTCGGGGGTCCCGTGTGCATGTGAGTCTCACGGTGGGTGCCAGTGCCGCCCCCGGTCCGCCCGCCCGCCCGCAGGTCGGTCCCCGCAGCCTGGGAGGTAGGAAGTTTGTGCGGGGCACGGCGCCTCGGCTGTCAGCCCCGGCGGGAGCTGCTGGGGGCCGGGTCCGGGCGACCGCTACCCGGTGTGGGGGCCGCGCGGCGCCCGCGTCTTCCGCTTGCGGGCAGGTGTACCTGTCCCGGGCTGGGCGCGTGCGAGCCTCCCACTGGGGCACTGGGGCGAGGATACCGGAGCGCGAGCAGATTTGGGGCAGCAGCTTTAGTGCTTAGGTCCTTTCTTTTTCCTTTAAAGGCAATATTACTGGGCACAAGTCGGCTTTTTGGCAAAGCAGCAGCCGATGTAAATATGGCTCTGGCGTCGGGCGGCATCCCTGCGCTTCTCCCGCATCGCCCTGCCGCTGTGCGGGCTGGAGAGCCCTTGGCGGGGAGTCTTCCTCCCTTCGTCGCCTCCCCCCACTTTGGGGAGTCAGGCAGAAGTCACCGACTGCGGAAGGGCGGCCGGGGCGGGGACAGCAGGCGGGGGTCCCGGCGGGCGCGGGCGGAGGGGGTCCCGAGTTGGCCGCACCCGCTGTGGGGGGTGTGGGAAAGGCTGGAGAACGCGTGGAAAGGTTAGCGTCACGCACAGTCGGGGATTGGAGGATGCGCCGCTGCGGGCTATGCGGACTGCGGTTCGAGGGTCTGAAATAGCCTCCTGCTGATCTGACAGCGAGAAACTCCTGCAGTTTTAATCCACTTCGATAGGATCAGGAAACATGATCGGAGCTGTTGGCTCAGCCAGGAAAGTTTAAACGAGCTGTGAATTTTGACCATGACCTTAGCCACTGCAGTCACTTAGCATCTGGGGAAAAGTGTAAGTTCGCTTTCCCTGCTTTTGATTTCGATGGATGTCTGTATGTCCTTTTCAGCGTAATGGAAATGACAGAAAACCATGCTGGTTTTTCGGAAAACACACACACAGACACACACACACACACACACACACACACCCTCAATGTAGTGAAGTTGTTTAAAATGCCTAAAAGCATCGTTTTTGTATTTTTCTTCCCCAAGCTGAGCAGGGGGAAGGGCAAAACAGTATCAGGATCGATCGTGTTTGCATGGAGTGAGTGTTTTTGGAAAAGTTGAGAAATGATTATTTTTATCCAGCTTAATGACTGACTCACTGAAGTTCATTTTAACTTCCTGGCAACTTCTTTAGCTATTTGGGAATGTAAGTTGTTACAAGAGCATGCATTACTGCACCAAAAACTCCTCTCTCAAGTTTTATTACGGAAAATGAAATGCAATTTTTCCTAAGTAATAAGTTTACAATGTAGAGTTATGTATAATTTTGTTAAGCTCTTTTATTATTTATGTTAGTAGTTTTTGGGTCCCTTATTACTAGAATAGAAACTTACAATTTAAAAAAAGGATGAATACTGTAGTGCTTACTCATATTTATGGTGCTTTTATCTCCTTTGGAGTTCTGGTGTTTTGGTCAGGAGAGTGTTTCTGTCTCGGGGTTTAATTTAGTAAGGTAGTGTCAACAATATGCTGCCGAAAAAGAGTGTGCTTTCTGGGAACTCGTCTGAATTCCAGTTTGCCTTAAAAAATCTTGTAATTGTGTATGTTTTACTGTAACCACTTACGTTGCTACCTTATATTTATGAATTGCTACATTTGTTTTAGAGTTTCTTGCTAATTGGAAATATTTTGAAACTACTTAAGTGTTTCATAGTGTATGACTTGTAAATAGTACATTTGGTGTTATTTTCTTTTGCTCTCAAGAGAAGTTGGCAGTTCTAAGTATCCACAACCAGAGGAGTGAAGTTTCCATTTCATATAAATGTAAGCATGTTACTCATTCAACAGATATATATTGGGCACATACAGTGCCAGCTACTGTGGGAAGAATTGCTAAAACACCTCTAATATTTTTATCCAACTGTCTTTATTTTGAGGGCTCTGAGTTGACATAAGAAAGGTCTGTTTCACAGCCTTTTTTTTCAAAATGTCTATTTTCTTTACTATATTATTTTTGAAAAAAGAATGGAGGTGTAATATAAACATGAAATCTAAAACCCTTAGATGCCATGTATTTCTGGTTTGATTTCATTTTAGGTGACAATGTCTGATATTAGATAAATGTTTTATATGACCTTCTGTGCACCAAAGTTTATAGTATAATGTGAGAATAAATATGTCAGCAGTCTTAAGAACAAACAAGCATGGTGTTGTATACGAGCATCTTCCACATACTGTGGTAAAACGCTCATTGAATCTGCGCTTTAAGTTTTTCTTAAATTCTAACTGTTGACCTTGGGCATGTTAAGGTCAGGTTTTGGCATCAGTGTTTGCATCTGTGAACTGAGGTTGTTTGGATGATTTCCAAGTCTAACTCAAGATTCTGTTTTTTCAGTCTACTAGGTGCACAGTGTTATACTAGGATTTGTAGAATACTATATAAAAGTTGTCTTACTATTATAACCTTCCAAATGCAGCAACATTCAGGGAATTTTCAAGACCTTGACTACAGGGGAAGGAAATCTATGGTGATTTTAAGAGACTGTGAACTAAGGGTTTGTTATATTGAATGTAGCTGAACTGCATTGCAGTCTATTAAGCCAAAGTCGATTTGATTGAAACATAACAACTTGCAATTAAGGTGAAAATGTTCAAGTCCATTGAGGTGGTAATGAAAATCTTGATTTGGGCAATGGTCATAGTCGGGAGTAAGCCTGCCATTGTGTGGTTAATTTGATATGTTACTGCTTTGTAACTTAAAATACCCATCAGTGAATGGATCAGTGCCAATTTTTAAGTATTTTAAGCAGAGAATATAACTGAATACATAAAGGAAAAGACTTAAGGCAGTTTTGTCTTGTTACATTTAGAATTAAACTAAAAATGATCAAACAGTAAGCGTCTTAAGATGATATTTTAATAGTGTGGGGAGGATGTTGAATGATATGAGCCAAGACTTGTTTTAAATAGATACTCTAAAAGATTTTTATCCACAGTGAAATGTGAGCCTTTTAGAAATTAGTATTTTAAAACCTATTTAAATATCCAAAGGAAAACATTATCTGTATAGAAAAATCTTAAAGCACATAAAACTTGTTTAAAACATGTAGCATTTAGAAGTAGCTAAGTATTGATGTTAGAGGCTTTTGGTTTAAAGCTGTAGAAGTTGAAATGAGCTTTGGCAAAAATGTCAGGTATTGAGGGGTTTGGGGGGCCTATCACAGTAGAAGGAAAGGCTGGTAATGGAACCATGTGAAGAGCTGGGTGCTTGAGTGTGTGGGTGTGTGAGTGCGTGGGACTTTTCTGTACCCTTTGGCTCAGTTCTCCTTCATAGCTGGCTGGTTCCTCCACAGAGCAGGGAATGAACGGTTCCTGTATTTCACATTTTGTCATTTCTGCTCCCCCAAAAGGGTTTCCTGTCTCTAATTCAGTTATAAAAATACCGTGGAAGGATTCCACTTGGGATTGGTCTGGCCTTGGTCATTTGTGGCCGTCCCTTGGACTAAGCAGTTATAAAAACATGGCAGCGCTTGCCTGTTGGCGTTGGGGAAAGAACAGTCCCCAGAGAGGGGAAAGGGCCTGCCAGGCAGTTTCAGGCAGGTCTCTGTCCGAGTAATAGAGCTGGATGGTTCTGGACATCCGTGGGTCTTTACCGTGGGAATCTGTGAGGGCCAGCCTGATGAGCACCATGTGCTGTGTTGTGTGTGGATTGGAGAATTCATGGTGTCCTTGGTGGAGCGTCAGTAGCTTTGATTATATTCTCCACAAGCTCTGGTTTTTGGAATAGACAAAGACCATATTGGATACATCATAATTTTTTTTTTTTTTTTTTTGGTTCATGGGTTTTTATTTGGGCACTGAAAGAAGATAAGGAAACTAAGTTTTAAAGTGATTTGAGTGACTGTGAAATGACTTTGACTGAATAGGACATAATAAGGCAATTACATTAAAATTAAAATTAGACATTAGATGAAATTATTGAGTGGAACCCAGCTACCATTCATTCAAGAACTAGTCTCCTCAAACTATTTTTTTGTTCTTTTTAATCTTCAGAGGAAAGAAACATACCAAGCAGACATACAGAAAGTTTATTAGGGAAGTCGTTTTATACTCCTTAAAACTTGGGATTATAACCAGAGAACAGAATACATTTTCCTCTCCATTTGTCAGATACTTTAGAGTGAACTCTAAGTATTTATACTTAGTACTTAGTGTTACTTAGTACTTACAGTTACTAAACTTCAGTACTCAGAATGATGCCCCATGTCAGGTCAGTGATTTCTATTTCCAGGGTATCCTGATCTGCTGTGTCTTTAGATAGGTTGCCGGCAAGAATTATAATAAACCACCAAAATCTGCCTTAAGTTGATTAGAAAATACAGGCAACCAGAGTAATTAATTCTGCCAGCATAGCCTTCGAAATACAAATTTTGGAATTGAAGGGAATTGGTGCAATTTGGCAAAAAAGGTTTGTGGTTAGACAGATGAGGTTCAAATGCTAACTTTGGAACTGATGGGCTCTTTGAGCAGGTGATTTAGTCACTTGAGCCTCAATTTTCACATTCTTAAAATGGAGATAATGATATGACTTCACAGGGTTGAGAGTTAAATGAGATACTGTGTTTAAGGCCTAGCACTGTAATTAGCACATCATAAGGATTCAGTAAATGATGCCTAAAAGTAATAAAGTTCAAATGCAGTTTGGATGGTGATATATTAAAAGAACCAGATCCCTGTTTCTCAAAATTTAAGGTGTTTATCAATCGGGGACTTTTAAAAAAAAAAAAAAAGTCTGCTAAATTAGGCTCTGCTGCTGGGTAGGTGGCTCATGCATGTAATCCTAGTCATGCATTGGGAGGCTGAGGCAGGAGGATTGCTTGAGGCCAAGATTTTGAGACCAGCCTGGGCAGCATAGCAAGACCCTGTCTCTACAAAAAATGTAAAAACATAGATGGGTATGGTGGCACACACCTGTAGCCTGAACTACTCAGGAGGCTGAGGTGGGAGGATCATCTGAGTCCAGGAGGTCCAGGCTGCAGGGAGCCATGGTTGTACAGTGTACTGTAGCTTGGGTGACAGATGGAGGCTCCCACTAAATGTGAAACAATAAAAATTAAAATGCAGTGTCTAATTCAGCAGATCTGTTGGGAGTGCTGCCTGAGACTGTGCATTTATCATACTCTCGGGTGGTACTGATGCTGCAGGTCCACAGGCTACATAGCAGTAGAAGGAAGAACTTTACCACTAAGGATTCCTCCCCCAGCCCCAACTGTATGTGATGAGCCCTTAGAAGAATGGTGGCCCCATGATAGATTAGAGAATTTGGGAGAAGAAATTGTAGGTTGGAAAGGGACACAAGCAATTTAGATTTAAGAATGTGGAATTGCAGGTGATGGTGGTGGGTGGATCCTGCAGTTACAGTACCATGTAGGATGCTGGAAAGGTGTGATTGGAGCTCGGGAGCCACTAGGGCTGGGATAGACCATTGAGACCTGCCCGTACAGAATCGGTAAGTCAGATCTCCACCGGAGGAGCAGGGACACTGGGGACACTTGGCTTTGAGGGAAGGACAGAGGAAGAAGAAACAGGAGGAGAAAACAGAGGTCGGCACAATTAGATGTTCCCAAGTGCTTGAAAGTCATGGCTGTGCTTGTGGTTGATTGCGGGTGGCTGTGAAAGCTTAAAGACTTAAGGAGTGAATGAGTGGAAGTAGAGGCAATTCCTCTTTTTTGGAAGGTAAGTAGAAGGAAGGTGAAAGATGCCATTTTGTTAGGAATCCCTGGGGAGTTTCCTTGAATCCGTCTCTTCGTTTCCATTCTCACTTCTGTCACTCCTAACCAGATTTGTTTCCCTCTTTCCTAGACTGATATTAAACCCCCCTAGCTTATTTCCCTGTGTCTGCCTTTATCCTCATTTCTTTTCTTTTTTGTACTAGGAACTCCTATGGCAGTCCAGTGAAGGCCATAGACTCCTCAGAATGAGGCTTTTAAAGGAATAAATGAAAATACAGAGGATATGTCCTAGCAAGTTCAAGGATCCTTTTAATTCTATCCATGGACCACTTGGGAGTTCATGGAACCCCATCAAGAACCCTTGCAAGAATAAGATGGGGATAGTGTGGGGTGAGAAAGTGGGGAGAGCACGCAGCAGCCAGGAAGAATTCTTGGGGGGGAACACGCATAGGCTGAATTGATTACCCGCCTGGGTCACAGTGCCTAGTACTTGGGATTCACAACGGTACCGTTAACCACTGAGCTGTGCTGCCTGGGCCAAGCTCAGGAATCATTCATTTCTTTGAGTTCTTTTATTTTCTTAGTCTTAAGAGCTGTTCTTCTTGGATGGACAGAGTATTAGCTGTTAACATGGGAGAAAACTACTTGAAAACCAGTTTTTCCCTTCATAGAAAGAAAATCATTGTTAATGTTCAGAGCATGTAGGGAGAGAACCAGTACATAATTTATTTAAGAAAAATGTTGTAGGGAGTTTTAAAACAGTAACTTACCTAAAGCTAAGCCTCACAATTCTAAATCTTTATAGTTTTTCAGCTACCTGGGCACAGTGATTAAGAGCTCTGGAGTCCTTGTTCGGTTGGCTATGTGACCTTGAACAAGTTATTTTGCCTCTCAGTTCCTTGATTATAAAAGGAGGTAATAATGGTACCTACTTTGGAAGTTTGTTATATGGATTAAATCAATTCATACTTGTAAGATGCCTAAATAGTTGCTGGCACATGGTAAGTTCTTAATGTGCTAGCTGTCATTATTACTATCCTTTAAAATAGAGACAGGGTCTTGCTGTATTGGCCAGGCTGGTCTCAAACTTCTGACCTCAAGCAATCCTCTCACCTCAGCCTCCCAAAGTGCTGGAAATAGAGCCTTGAGCCACCATGCCTATCCTATTTTTTTTTTTAATATCTTAAATGCTAAGAGGTAGCAAATTATCAGATTGTATGCTAAATCAATGGTTACTTTATCCTGTTTTGTAGTAGAACATCATCGTTGTTCTTGGCATCCTTGTGTATTTTTGAGTTATGAATTATCATTTTAGAATTACCCTTGTGCCCTTGCTTTGCTTTCTGTATCTATTTTGTTATGTTCTTTCTTGTATTTTTCACACTTCCACTAGCGATTAGGTTCTTTGAAGTGTCAGAAATCTAATTCACATCCATTAGTTGCAAGTTATGTCAGCTATTGACTTGATATTTCACCTTGTCTTTAAATATGGAGACACTGCAAGATGCTTCAGATGCAAAATGAATATATTGTGGACCTTGCTCTCAAATTGTGCATAACTACAGGGGACACAGACGTAAAATAAATATATGTGTAAATAACTACAGTGTCCAGAATGCTAGGGGTGGAAGGTATTAAATAGACCGTGCAGAACATTGAGCAAAGGCATGACGTCGGTGAAGGGCTTAGACATGAGGCAGTTTGGGAGAAGAGCATTTCAGGCGGAGGGGTCAGCTGGTGCAAAGGCCGTGAGGCTGGTGTTTGCTTGGCTTGTTATGGCAACTGCAGGAAAGCTGGCATGGCTGGAGCACAGCAAGAGGGGGATATAGTGGTAGGAGATCTGCCAAGGTGCTAACCAGGACTGGATCATGATTACTTCTGCCTGGGGGACTTGGAGAATCCTTGAGAGGAGGTAACAATGAGGAGGACCTTGAGGATTAGATAGAATCTCCCAGCTGCAGAAGATGGGTGATATGGTTTGGCTGTGTCCCCACTCAAATCTAATCTTGAATTGTACCCATAATCCCCAGGTGTTGTGGGTGGATCAGCTGGAGATAATTGAATCATGGGGGCAGTTTTCCCCATCGTATTCTCGTGATAGTTAGTTCTCACGAGACCTAATGATTTTAAATAAGGAGCTTCTCCTTTTGCTGGGTGTTCATTCTTCTGCTTGCTGCTGCCATGTGAAGAAGGATGTGTTTGCTTCCCCTTCTGCCATGATCGTAAGTTTCTTGAGGTCTCCCCAGCCCTGCAGAACTGAGTCAGTTAAACCTCTTTCCTTTATAAATTACCCAGTCTTGGGTATTTCTTCACAGCAGCGTGAGAACAGACTAATACAATGGGGAAAGGCATATGCAGCTGAGGGTCCGACAGCGGGCAAAACCAAGCAGAGCGGAGAATGTGAGTAGTTGGCTTTGGGTGTGGCCACAGTGGCAGAACCCAGTAACATGTTAGAAATGCAGAGCTTGGGCCTCTGCAGACCTGCTGGAGCAGAATGTACATTTTAACAAGACATGTTGATCGTCAGCATATTTAAGTCTGAGAAACACCCATCAGGGTAAATCTTTGGTTTCAAGCCCTGAGATTCCTTAGATGTGCCTCAGGGGCTGGTGGGAGGGGGCCAAGCTGGTGGGGGAATTTAGGCCTACCTCAGTTTCCTCCAGAACAGCCTTGTTTTTGTCCTCATTGTCATCTCTCTGTCCTTTTTTTTTTTTTTTTTTTTTTTTTTTTTTTTTTTTAACTGGGGTACTGAATATAATACGTAAAGGGGGTAAAAAAGATCCTGCAGCCAAGAAAATTGAAAACCACAGAGGAACATAAAGGGAGTGTCAGGAGATGGTTGAAAGAGTAGTTTGAGGCCACCTTTGAAG
Source organism: Homo sapiens (assembly GCF_000001405.40). Lineage (NCBI taxonomy): Eukaryota > Metazoa > Chordata > Mammalia > Primates > Hominidae > Homo > Homo sapiens. Next base: position 22,705,294 of record NC_000010.11, on the reverse strand, counting down.
GGCCAAGTGGTTGATGTTTGCCAGAGAAAAGCCAGCAGTTCTGACCAGGGTTACTTTAAAATTTGCCACAAATCTCAAATGACACTCGACCCGGAAGTGTTACTGCCTCCTTTAATATGTTCTCCACTCTCTGAAGTCATTTCTTCCTTTTCACTTCTCCTTGAACTTCACCTAGTGTCCTGTCCCCCACTTCCCCCACCCCGTCCTTCCCTCAGCATATAACCTCATTTAGAAAGCATTGAACAAATAGAAGCCGTCAGCTTCCACTCTTCCCACCATCCCATCTAAATTTTGGACAGCTGGGTCCGTCAGTCTACAGACATGCTGGAGGGGCTGCCCTGCCTGGTTTTGTAGCTGCTAGCTATATATGGCAATTTAAATTTCAGCTAATAAAACTTAAAATTCAGTTTCTCATATCAAGTGCTCACTAGCCACATGTGGTTAGTGGTTACTGGATTGAACAGTGCAGATATAGACGATTCCCACCATTGCAGTGTCTTCCACTGACATGGCTCACCATTCCGGGGCCGCCCATCTTGAAAGCAAAATAAACTACAGTAACAGCAGAAGCTCTCCTTCACCCTTAGTCTCTCATTTTAGTGTCTTCTCGTGTTTTCTGTTCCTTTTTTTTTTTTTTTTTTTTCAGATGAGGTCTTGCTTTTTGGCCTGGGCTGGAGTGCATGGTGCAATCATGGCTCACTGCTGCCTCAAACTCCTGGTCTCAAGCAGTCCTGCTTCAGACTCCCTAAGTGCTGGGATTATACATGTGAGCTACCACACCTGCCCTGTTCCTTTTCATAGCAGGAGTGAAAAGCCTTGTCTAAAGCTGAGGTCTCCTATTTCTATAGAGACACCGTACCTGGCAACCGTCAACTTACCTGCGATGATCTCCTTAACTTACCCCAATCTAGCTTTCACCTCCAGCACACCTAGGAAACTGCTCAAGTCAGCATCACTGGCAGTGCTAACATTTTCAAATGCAGGGGGCTCCTTTTTTTTTGTCTCTTGTTTTCCTTCTGCTTCACTAGCCACTCCTTAGGTGCAGGCTCCTCTTTTGCTCAGTCTGGAAATGTTGGAATGCCCCAGGCCTGTGTCCAGGATCATCTTCTACAATTACATTTACTTTACCTACATGATTTCATTTAGTCTCATGGCTTTTTATACCATTTTACAGTCATGATTGAGAAATTTTTAACTTCAGCTCTAACTTTCCTCTTGGGCTCTATATGCAGTTTCTTACCAGGTATCTTCACATGAATAACTAATAGACATCTCAGATGTCCCAAGCAGGCCTCTTGATTTCCTCCCTGCACTCTGCCCCGTCCCCTGTCATAACTTAAACTGGCCTCTTCCCGTCTCAGAAAATGGACCACCATAGACCCAGGTGCTCAAGCTTAAACGTAGGGAGCAACCTTGATTATGCTTTTTTCTCCCCACTCCTTCTCCACATCCAATTTTTGAGTCCCGAATCCACATGCTTTCTATTTGAATCTTCTTTCTCAGGAACACTGTGGTAGCCTCCTGTTTGGTCTCCCGGCATTCAGTTTTGCCCTGTTTCAGTCCACCTTGTCTGCAGCAGTGGCAGAGGAATCTTGCTAAACTGTAGATGATTTCATGTCATGTCCTCAGTTAAACCTTCCAAAGGCTTTACATTGCATTTAGAATAAAATCCAAACCTTTTCTGACCTGCAGGATCTTACTGGCCTGGGCCCCACTTTCCTCCTTGCCCTCATCCCATAACACCCTCTTCATGATTCCTATGTTCCAGCTGCCCTGCGCTTTTTCTGTTCCTAAAGGCAAGCTCAGAGCAGCCACAGTTCTTCAGTCTTTATTTTTCTCTTCGTCGGGAATGTTTTTCCCTCTTTTATTTATTTATTTTTTTATTTGAGACAAGGTCTCGCTCTGTTACCTGGGCTGGAGTGCAGTGGCATGGTCATAGCTCACTGCAGCCTTGAAGTCCTGGGCTCAAGCAATCCTCCTGCCTCAGCCTCCTATGTAGCTGGGACTACAGGTGTGCACCACCATGCCTGGATAATTTTTATAATTTTTGTAAGAGATGGGGGGTCTCGCTGTGTTGCCCAGGCTGGTCTTCAACTCTTGGCCTCAAGTAATCCTCCTGCCTCAGCCTCCCTAGGTGCTGGGATTAGAGGCATGAACCACCATGCCCAGCCTGCCCTCAGATCTTTGGATGGTTGGCTCCTATTAGTTATTTTAGTCTCTTAGCTAAGGGGTTGCCTTCTCAGATGGCCTCTCTGACCTCCTAAGCTAAGGGAGCCCCTCCACTATCATACTGTTATTTTCTCTGTGACACTTAACACTGTTTGAAACTGAGTTGTGTACATTTTTATTGCTTATCTCCCTCAACTAGAACAATAAGTTTCATAGCAACTGAGACTTTTTCCTATTTACTAGGTGTATCCCTGCATCTAGAACAGTGTGTTTAGATAGTAGGTGCTCAGTACATATTGTTGAATGAATGAGTGGGGCTGGGATTCTAAACCGTAGGCCATTAGTTCTCAGGTGGTATACCATGAGGCCTCCCATATTCAATTTTCATAAACATAGAAAGTTGACTTTTGTTATAATCAAGCATAGAGCATTTTAGAGCATTTTGCTGAGCGGGTTGTGCAGTGTGTTAGAGAGTGGGGAAAAACTTGCTGCAAATTGGTGATAAGAGGTATGGGGTAACTGCAAGCCAGTGCCAAAGAAAGAGGTTATGTTTACAGCAGCATGCAAGAACTGTGTCTTGTGAACACGACAGAAAAGGTTCAGAAAGTAAACAACTTCTTTCAAACAGTGTCAGATGTTGAAGGGCCGCCAAGTGAACTGCGTGAAGACTATGAATGCATTTCTAAGTAATCTGAGATATTATGTTAGAAGAGTGTGCTGCAGTGTTATTACTGACTTGTTCTTTTAATGGCTTCAGACATGCCTCTAAAAATTGTAGTATTCAGAAGTGTACCATAAGTTAAATTTAAGATTGCATAAACATTGTAAGAATAGGGATAATGTCAGTATCTCAGTCCTTTGTGGGTCTTTTTCTATTGTGTATTGTTTCTGCTGGTTCTTCTTCATGGTGCCTTGTTGCCATTTATGTTTGGTTCATTTTGGCTCTGAGCTGCTCACTTCCTTGGATAGTCATTCAGGGAACATTCTTCAAGTCTTAAGATAAAGATGTATCCTTCCAGAGAGAATTGTTTGTTTTTGCCACATGGCTAGGGATACTGGAGACCAAGACCATTTGAAACTAAATTCACAGCTTGGAATTTTTTGGACCTCATGGTGATATAAAATTGGGCTGCAGTCCCTGGGGTGGCATGGTTTTATTTTTGGTAGACCCATTGTAGCCTTATGGAGAAAAGGTTTCCTATTAGACTTCACACCTTGGGTGGGCCCTAGTCTTTGTCTTCTGTTCCTGTCAACCCATGAGGCCATCAAAGCCCTTAGAGCCAAAGTGGCTTCCATGACTAACTTATTCTTCCTGCTTCCAGTTTTCACTAAGATCTTGACAGGCCGACTTCTCTCCTCCCTCTTCCAACTCTTTCATGCCTTCAAGAAGATGTTTAAGAACATATTTTATTCAGGACGCTTACTTATTTTCAGTGCAGAGCTGACCTGAATAACCCTGTCAGCAGAAATGCAAATCAACCTCAAAGTTTCAAAAGAGGGAATCCAACAGTAAGTGAGACAGTGAGAAGCCAAAGCATGGTGGCACTTCTGCAGCCTTCCAGGGATGGATCTGTGAGGGGAGTCAGTGGGACAGGAGGTGGGACTGCAAGAAGGAAGAATGCCATTTCTGTCTTCCAGAGGTGATGGGAACCTGAGCTTGGGCAGGGGTAACAGACATTGTTGGATAACCAGGTATAGATGTGGTAGAAGCTGTGTTGTCTAAGTGGCCCATAGCCTAAAAGGTTTGAAGATACTGCTGTAAACAAGCAGACAAAGGATGTGCTTAGAGAGATTTCAGGTAGAATCAGCTGGATTTGGTGACTGTTAGGTAACAGGAAGGAATCGACAGTGACTCACCTAGGTCATTTTCTTACCATTCACACTCTCCATTACATTATTGTTATTTGGGGGCTGTTAGCTTCTGGCGGGATACCCCTGCCCCTCTTGCCACAACTGGGATTGTACACACAGATACTGTGAGACAGAAGAGGATTAATAAACTGCCCTGGGAGAGTTAGTGGTAGGCTCTTGAAATTCTTCAAGAATTGAATTAGCGTGGTGGATGGAGAAGCTGGAGAAAACATGTTACAGGCAGAGTAATGCATAGAAAAGCATAAAGGGTATGTGGCATTTCCAGGGAACTGCCAAACCCTTCTTCAGGTGCTTCTATACTTCTCTCCTTCTGATTTTATGGTTTTATTCATTTCCATTCTTATGGACATGTTCTTATTTAAATTACTTTTGTTTGTGTTTCTGTAGGCTTGGTCATTTAGGCTTAGAAACATATTTGCAAGTTGCTAGACACCCTAACATTCAGAGCTTAGTTTATTTGTAGTTGTAATAAATAAGCCTTGCTTTTGTTTTTTCAGCCTGGACTTTGAGGAAGGTGTTAGGTATTAGTCAACCCGAGAATGACCTCTGTAGCATTCTACATGACCTGCACAAAGGCTCCAGGTGGTAGGGGCAGGTGGGGGCTGACGTCAGTATTGCCACCTGCACACCATAGCAAGGGGCTGCATTAGCGGGAGACAGGCACCCTTTTTGTGAGTTGTCCGCACAGAGGAGGCTCATTTTCTGATGTGCACAGAGGTGCCTGTGTGCTAGCAGCTGCCCTGGTTTGCCTTGCTTTTCTCGGGTCATGCATCCAAAATTTCTCATGTCACGTTCCCAAGCACTGGTGTCTTTGGAGGAGCGTTCAGGTGGTGTTCAGTCTGGACAGAAGAAAAGAAAGTGGGGTTTATAAAGTCCCCTTATAGATTTGAATCTGCTTTAGAAAATGCACCGTTGTGCAGTCTTTGCTGCTGCTACATACATGCTTCTATAATGCAGATTCACTTGTATGAGATCGGTGCTATCGGGAATGTGGTGTAGGATGTATGAATTGGTCCATAAGCAGTTTTCCTTGAGTATGCCACTGCCTCCAAGTATCAGCAGCTAGGTGCAAAGTACACTAATACAGCTCAAGGCAGCAAGCCAAATTGAGAAACAGGACTGCATACCTTGCTCTTGTATCCGTTTTCTTCCTCCTGACTCCAGCAGGCTTCTGCTCGATCTCAGAAGTACTCATTTCAGGGTTCTCTCCAATCTCTGGACATTTTCTCCTAGTCTGTGTAACTTAGAAGCTTGGTTACTCCTTGTATTCCTTCCATCAAATGATCCTCACCTTTGTGTTTCTAAAGTCCATTATATATCTATTAGAAATTACACTAAAATACTGTTTATTTTTCTATTTTTAGGATTTTTATTTTTAAGCATTCTGGTGATAGAGTTTCATAGTTTTTCAGTGGTCTGCCTAAAATCTGGATTTTAGTGTCTATGTAGAACTTAGAAATTTTTCAGAAATACATATATTGCATTACAATAAAAGTGTTTGTATTTACAATGTATTTTGAACAACTATATGCCCAGGCTGCAAGTTTCCCAAAGAAAGATGTAATCGTTGGTTTTTTTGTTTCCAAGGATAACCAGGTATAGATGTGGTAGAAGCTGTGTTGTCTAAGTGGCCCGTAGCCTAAAAGGTTTGAAGATACTGCTCTAAACAAGCAGAACATTAATTTATTTGTCGGCCCTTTGAGTTTTCTTACTAATCCTCTTCTGGCCTGACCATGTGCCCCTCCCAAGTTTCGCACATTCCCAGGTATCTAGTGTGTTCAGTTGTCTCCCTGCGCTACTCAGCAGCTACCTTTTTCAGCATTGGCCCTAGCTTGCTTCTGTGCCCAGGAACAGGAACAGAAGTTTTCTTCTCAGGGGTCCCCTGTCTCTCTTAGACCAAGTCCACAGGCTTTTACTACATTAGGCCTTGGAGTACATTTCCTGTAGAATCAAAGGGCCAACTTACAAATGAATGTTTGGAACACAACCCATTCATAAATTAGGTTCTGCCTGCACCCAGATGGAAAGTTAAATGCTTTGGCATCAGAAGAACTGTTGGGAAACAGATATTGTTTCTGAAATTATGATAAATCCATAAGGCACTTTCTTTTTGGCACGTTGCGCCAAAGTAGGAGGACAGGAGCAAATTTTAGGGACATTAAAAAAATAGGTTAGGAGAAGCTAATCTTTTTGTCTAATTCACTTTCTCTTGCAGTTCTGGCATCGGATACTCACAGATTTAACACATGCCAATGAATATTTGAGCCAGGAAATAGCCAATAGTGAATATTTTTATTATGTGTTAGATAAAGCTTCTTTCTTCTTATGCTTATTTAGGTGAACTAGAAATATGGTTTCAGTGAAATTTAAGTTCTGATAAGTACAGATACATAGCATATTTTCTGAAAAATTTGAAAAACACACACAAATATAAAAAATTACCATAACCATTCTATCAAGCAACCAGTGTTAATGTTTTAATGTTTCTTTCCAATGTCTTTTTAAAAAAATCTCATTGAGACTATTCTATGTATTTAATCTTACTATGTATTCTTAACAATTATTTTAAATTTTTGATCACTGCTTAATAATTAGGTTGGTGCAAAAGTAATTGTGGTTGTTGCCATTACTTTCAGTGGCAAAAACTGCTATTCCTTTTGCACCAACCTAAATAGTTTAATGAAGTTTAATAGTCCAAACATTGGTCCCAGTATTTTGCCACCACAAATAATGTTGCTGTCAGCATCTCCCTGTATGAAACTCTTTCTTATTTAGGATGATTTCCTTAGAAGAGATTCTCTTTTTGGGGAATTTACTTGGTCAAAGGGTATGAATATTTTAAGGCTCTTGGTACATGTTGCCAAGTTGCTTTCAAAAAGGGTTATACCAGATTATAACCCTAGCAGTGTGGCTAAGAGCTGCTTTCCCACATCTTCTGCTTTCAGGGTTCTAAATTGAACAGCAAAGATTGGAATAAAAAGATATCCTTTTTTCCCATATGCTTTTAACCCATTTAAATCTCTTTATAGAGATTTTCAGCAGTTTGACCAAAGATGTACGCACATGGGCAGTGTGGGAGTATCAGGTCTGAGGTTGGAAGATGGCTTCCACATAGGCTGCCTGGCCCGAGTCTGCCCTCTGAAAAGAGCTGCTTTCAACTGACCCACTTCTCCCAGTTTTTCTTCGTCGGACTCTAAGCAGAGAGTGCCTGCATCCCAGAAGCAGGTCGCTGTCCACTGTCTGTGGTTGGTTAATTTTTGCTGGCCATAGCCCACATGATTTATATTAAACTCAATCCAATAGCATTTAATGGCAGGCAGAATTCTTCCCATGTAAGTAGACTAGTCAGGAATTTGCCTTTCATTATCCTCGGTCTGACTGCTTAACGTTAGACTCGACCTATGGACGATTCACATGAACCGTTTCAGAAAATGTAATGTGACATCTGCTAGAGTCCACAATTACAGGGTGTGTGTGTGTTTGTGTGTGTGTGTGTATGTGTGTGTTTAATTTTTTAAAAAATTTTCCGAGATGCAGTTTTGCCCTGTTACCCAGGCTGGAGTACAGTGGTGTGATCATAGCTCACTACAGCCTCGAATTCTTGGGTACAAGTGATTCTCCTGCTTCAGCCTCCTGTAATAGCTGGGACTATAGTTGTGTGCCACCATACCCCGCTAATTTTTAAAAACAAATTTTTGTAGAGATGGGGGTCTTGCTGTGTTGCCTAGTAGGATAGTCTTGAACTCCTGGGCTCAAGTGATCTTTCTGCCTCGGCCTCCTAAAGTTTTGGGATTTCAGACATGAGCCACCACACCCAGCCTTGCTTTTTAAATGTTGGATGTTACCATCCCTCTACTGTGGTCCTGTAGTTTGGCTTGAAGCTTGATTCTGTGCGCTAGCCACTCTGTCAAGAATTATGTAGTATAAATAATGCCGGTCACTTGTGCTGACCTCACAAACATTCCGAAGCCTGGCAAGGCAGGTGTGGAAGCTCAGAGCTTTGCCATCTAACTGAGTACTCAGGCTTCTTTCCATTTAGATAAGACACTCAGAAAGGAAAAGCAATGCAATTTTAATTTTTACTTAACATACAAAGTAGCCTTTTTTTTTTTTTTAAGCTGAAGGAAATGAACTCCAGAGAACACTGAAGAAAATTGAAGGAAAAAAGTAGAGCTCTTAGAAAGAAAGGAAAGGTCACGCTTATAAACTGTAGCCATCTAGATAAACTGTTATTTCCACTTTATGTGGATGTATTTTATTGTGACAGTGCTAACTACAGTTGCCAATTTTCAGGAGGCCTAAATTACTGACTATTTTAGATGAATTCAGGCTTTAAAATTAGCCCTGGGATAATATATTTCTTTTAAAATGGGACCTTAATTGATCCTTATTTTTTAAAGCTTGAATTAAGTAGAAAATTAAGGGTCTTTTGTAAAAGATGATAATATATATTTAACTTGGATGATTACCTAATAGAGAATTATTCCTTGTTCTAGTATTTTAAAATATTAAATGTTTGACACAAAAACAGACCATTCTGAATAGGCTTTAGGAAGTAGGTGACTTTTCAGTATGAATAAACTATATGTAATTTTTCATTAACTTCAAAATAAGAACTTTAAAAATTATGGATATAAATTTTTATGCCCTATTTTAAGAAACTACCCTTTTTTTCTTATGAGAAAAATGTCTGCAAGATTGAAAAAAGCTTCCATATAGAGTAATACATTGAATGAAATGAGTTGTTTTCTACTTAATCAGAGTGGCCAAAGGCTATTTCAAAACAAATTTATTCCCATTTCTGAACCTTCAAATCAAGAGACCATTTAAGGATTCATTTCAATTTGGTTATTTATAAGAAGAAAAGACTATTCTGATGGCATGTAGGATGGTCCTAAAGTAATCGGCTCAGCTAAAAACACACTTATAACAGTTGGGCATGTCAGCTGAGGAGAGACCCTTATAGCCTGTGTTTCCTACAAAAACAAAAACACAGTTCTTTTATGAAAGTAGACAAGTTGATGGTATATTTGGGCTAAATAAAATACAATGTTGACATATGTTGAAATATTCTATAGTTGTTACACATGTTGGCTGAGGTGGTTGTACTGATCCAGACACATGGCTGATACTTTGAGTGGGAACATAGCCAGTGTGGTTTTAAAATATTATGTCCCTCTGAGGAGGGATTACAGATGATTTTTTGCTTTCTACTTACACCTTTTTATAGGTTTCTTACAAAAATATTGCGCATGCAGTCTTCTTACAATTAGGGAAAAAACCCAAGACATGCTCTAAGGTGAGATGAGTGGGGGGAAGAAATCTGTATACAGTCAGCCCTCTGTATCCAAGGCTTCTGAATCTTCAGATTCAACCAACCACGGGTCGAAAATATTAAAGGAAAAAAATGAAAAATAATATAAGTAAAAGCACCAATACAGTAAAACAGCTACTTACTGTGACCATACATTGTGTTAGGTACTTACACATGGACTAGAGATGATATAGAGTATATGGGAGGATGTGTGCAGGTTTTATACAAATACAATGTTTTGTATTAGGGACTTGAGCATCTGGGGAGTGTGGTATCCTGGGGAGTCCTGGAACCAATCCCCCAAAGATACCAAGGGAAGACTGTATATTGAATTCAGTGAGGCAGAAATGACTTGTACATTTTGGTTTGTGAAATAAAATATTCTCTTCATATAGGGGATTTTTCTCTCTGTGTAGCTCTCCTAGGAAATCCCTTGATTAAAAGAAATATTGATTGTACTGGGAGAAACAAATAATAAATGATTCTAAAAGTTGTCACTTTTTGTGAGTTTGGGAAAAACAAGGATAAACTGCAGTGATGACCACTAATTTACCTACAGGTATCCAAGTTTTTATTGCATCTTAGCAGTGAAAAAAATCGGAGCATGTGCTCTCAATATATGAATTTTTATTTATAAGTTTTCCTGTGTGTACTACTGAATTATTTTGTCTTATACATAGAAGTTTTAAAAGGATCCACTGACGGTAAATATTAGTAACTAAAACTTGTTTTGTTAAAAATTATTGATAGCGTGAAAAATTATCATTAGTGTGTAGTGGATTTTATTTTTTCAAATGAAGGTTATGTGGATGAGTTTGTATCACTGTTTTTAAAAATGGTGAATATTTTATGATAAAGCAATTTGAAGGTCTGGTCCTATATTCATTTTGCTATTTGGTTTTAATAGCTCAAAAAGTTACCTACAAAGATACACGGATCCAAATGGGTGAAGTGCATTGTTGACTGTGCTTTCTAACTGGTGATTCTCATTTTCACACTGTCCACCAGTTAGATAAAAATTTTTCTGGTAAATTTCCATTTTTGTGGATAGCAGTAAGTTCTCATAAAATGTGTTCCAGTTTATGTTAAGGATAAAGAGGGTTGAAAATAAAAAACTTTTTACATTTATTGAAAATTTTAAAACAGATGAGAAGTATTTTATAAGTTCTTTGTACAAAAGATACAAAAGCACATCTCTTTTCAAAATACTTTCTGTACAGTCTGAGTTTCTTTTCAAAAAAGCAGTTATTTTCTTGCACTTCTTAAAACCTCATCTTTACCTTGAAGGGACTGATTAAGTAAGGTCATTGAAAAAAACATCTGCCAGGTATTACTGACAGCCACTTGTGATCACAGAGTAGGTCAGGAAATTTGGAGCAAATTGTATTTATGTAAGGGAAAAATGTGTTAATCATTCTTAAAACAATTCTTCTATGTATTTTGCCACAAGAGAACTGGAACACCTCTGTATGGTACAAAACATTTTTGGGGTCACGCCCCACCTCATTACTGAAAGGCTTTGTTTTTTATACTACATAGATGGTAGCCCTACATGAATAAATTGAACAGATGACAGAGGGACCCACTGCCACATCTTGAGTTATTTAAGTGGCATGTGACATCTAACCTGTGGACCCAAATAAGGGCTGTCAGTGTTGGTAAAAGCTGCATTTCTTAGCTTTTAAGGTAAAATTAAGTGTAAGTAGACATTCTGACAGTTTCTTCTTGCACTCAGTAGATTGTCTTGCTTACCCCTCGCCTATACACATCACTTAGATTTTCAGGTACAGTAACCCCTTGGTATCCCCAGGGGATTGGTACTAGGATCCTGCAGACACCAAAATCCTCAGATGCTCAAGGCCTTGCAGTCAGCCCTGTGGCACCCAGGGGTATGAAAAGGTAGTCCGCCGTATCCATGGGCTCTGCATCCAGCCAGTAATGTATTTTTGAATCGCCTTTGCTTTAATCCGAGGGCTCCGCATACTCAGATAAGGTGTGTAAATGAAGGAGAGAGTGACTCTGGACTTAACACCTCTTTTATCATGCTCTCTTCATTTCTTGGATTCCATTAAAAAAAATCATAACCCATCAGAACCAGATGGTAGTTGTAATTTTTTTTTTCCTAATCCCTTCATGTTATAGCTGAGAAAGCTGAGACAGTAAAATAAAGAAACAGTGCTCAGTGATAGAGCGAGGACCAGAATTATGTCTCCCAACGCAGCACCAGGCTGGGTGTGTGTGTTAAGGTCATCTGTGGGTAGTGTGTCGATGACTAAGCTCCCCAGATGGGAACTAGTGGAGATCTGTTGATATCTGACTTTCTAAAAACTAATTTCTCTCTCAGATCTCTCGGCTCTGTTCTTTTGTTTCTTAAACATACGGCCTTGAAATCATCTTTAGTTTTTGTCTTTTTGCTTTCTTATAGACACATGCTTTGTCTAGCTATTACTGAAACATAAAGAATACTCATAAATAGATTCTCATTTCCTGAGAAGTTGCCTTCTGAGTGAATCAACATGCCATGTAGAATCACTCTTGGACTCTTTTTAGTGATGATGGTGAAATCCTTGTATGTATTACTCTCCAAAAGCCTTAAAAATGTTAACAAAGAATACATAGGTAAAATAAAGCAAAATGCAATCAGCTAAAAAAAAAATGAAGTTGTAAAGATGGGGAGAGAAAAACACATTTACCATAAAATTTTTCACAGTCCTGGTTAAGGAAATTGACATTGGAACTTGAAACTTAGGTTTGAATTTCTTAGCAACCTTGACAAATCTGTGATCTAACTATCCTTGTCTAATGGGAGGACAGATACTGGTTTATTTTCACCCCCTGATTCTAAGGAAAACTTATGACCCCAATCGATTAAAACAGGACTAAAATTAATGGATATGCAGAACTATTTGTTATTGAGTCCCATGAAAGCCAAGGCAAAATGGGACACACACCAGGTATCAGAGTGAGGCAGCCCAGAGGTACGGCTTTCTCCCAGCCTGGCTGTAAACAGAGATCAGCCTTGAATAAATGATTCCTTGACGAACATTTTCCAGTCCAGCTTGGTGAAAAATTGAGATCACTATTGAGTGCCTAAAGGACATGTTTTCTGCATTGTTGACTGAAAGAAGATTCCTATACCATAGTTACCTTGGTATGTAGGTAGTAAAGACCTTGTACCATTGGGTCAAATGAGAACCTCACTTGTGGTCTTGTATGAAGGGCTGTTCCATCTCTAAGGGAAGGCCGTAAGTGGGGCCTGGATATTTCTGAGAAAACATTTGATGGTAGTACTCTATTGAAGCCCCAAATTCTAAGCTACAGAGCAGAAAAGACAACGTCTAGGAAAAGAGACACCAAGTGCCTACCCCTTTCACAGAAGAATCTAGCTGCAGCTTCTGTAATATGTTTATTTAGAATCACATCCCACCCTGCCCTAGTTCTCAAATAATCTAGTGTGGATTTTAGACAATTTTCTGTTGTCTAAGACAGATCCCCAACCCCTACTCCACAGATGGACCAGTAGTGGTCCATGGCCTGTTAGGAACTGGGCCACACAGCAGGAGGTGAGCAGCGGGCAAAGGATCAAAGCTTCATCTGTATTTACAGCCGCTCCCCATTGCTCACATTACCGCCTGAGCTCTGCCTCCTGTCAGATCAGCAGCAGCATTAGATTCTCATAGGAGCGCAAACCCTATTGTGAACTGCACACGTGAGCAATCTAGGTTACTCACTCCTTATGAAAATCTAATACCTGATGATCTGTCACTGTCTCCCATCACCCCCAGATGGGACCATCTAGTTGCAGGAAAACAAGCTCAGGGCTCCCACTGATTCTATATATTATTGAGTTGTATAATTATCTCATTATGTATTACAGTGTAATAATAGAAATTAAGTGCACAATAAAGGTAATGGTCTTGAGTCATCCCAAAACCATCCCCACACCACCCCAGTCCCTGGAAAAATTGTCTTCCACAAAACCAGTCCCTGGTGCCTGAAAGGTTGGGGACTGCTAGTCTATAAGATGGTTTTCTATTGCACAGTCCAGACTGACAATGACAAGGAATTTAGAATCTCAGCTATTGTTCTATTTCCAGCAGCTCTTCCTATTGATTAACTATGAGAAACATATTTTTAAGAAGGCTTATTTTTGGGAAGTTAGAGTTGTGTTGTTTGAGGTGTGCTCCTGAAAGCTGTTTACTCAAACCTTTATGGGTCAAGTTTTGTGCTGGGAGCAGGGTTTCCCTTGTAGTGAGGAGCTTACACCTGGAAACATAGCAAATGACGCAATGGGAGAGCCACCTCACTGTGGAATCAGGTAGGGCATACATACAGAAATGAATTTTAAATGTTAAAGTATTTCTATTTTACACAAATGATCATGTGAGGACTTAGATTTTATGATAAAAAGTAAGGAATAAAATTTGAAAAAGCTTTATAAGAACTTCTGGAAAACAAAAGCAAAAACAAGTCTCCCTGGTATAAAGATGCATATGCAGTGGAAGGAAATGTACTGGGGTGGCAATCGAGCATCCTGGGAGGAGGAGAAGGGGCAAGAGTCAGAATAAACATAGGGCTCTGTCATGTATAGGTCTGAAGAAAAGAGGGCCGGTATATGGATGAGCATTTCGGGCCTTTTAACTACAGAGCTGGAAGATAATGCAGGTTCCCAGGAGGTAGGATGACAAGGACAAAGGAGGGCAGGCCTGAACTATTCAGGGGACGAGCTCTGGGCTGTTCTGAATCGCAGATGCCATCCTGAATTGCATTTGTGTCAAATAGGCTGCAGTGGTTCATGCATACCTTTGCTTCTGTTTGGCACACACCGTCTGAACCTCAGGCATTTCTTAAGACTTTACCAAAACCATTCAGTTTTCTTATTGTAAAATCGAGACACCACCACCTCTTCTGTCTCCCTTAGGGGGTTACGTGGGGGACCAAATCCTTTTTTCTACCCTGGAGCAAGTGCCAGCACAGGGAGGTGGTAGAAATGTTTGCTCAGGTGCCCACAGCCAATTGATGCCCCACTGCTCTTGTGTTTGTATTGAATCCCTTTGTTAATTTTTTTCTTGTTTAGAGGAAATACATATGGTGATTTTGCAATCAATGCAGCATTGCATAATAATTAAAGGGCTAGCCTTGGGGCCAGACTATTTCAGATTCTAGCCCTCCCATTTGCCTTGCATGATTACTTATCTCAAGCTCAGTTTTCTCTTCTGTAAAACGGTTATTTCTTACCATGCTATTAAGAGGACAGAATGAGGTAAGGATGACCCAAATGTCAGTCCATGTGCACTCATTGAATCTTAGGGTTTTTCCTCCCCTTCTTTGGTATTTGTGCTCTTTGAAGAAAAGAGCACATATCTCCTCTTGAAAGAGGAGATATGTTGGGTTTTTGTTACTCTCTTCCACAAGAGGAGATGTAAAAACTTTTCAAAATTTTATTTAGTATTTCAGCTTGTGGAAAACACATTAAGATGGCAAATAATCTTAAAATAAATTAGTGGAGTTAATGATTTCCAAGTAGGGGGAACCCTAATGATTTAAATATGTCCCGATGCTGTATTAACTTACAGAGTGTAGCATAGTGCCTGAGTTCAGATTTAGGAGCCTACTGGCTGGACTCAGCACTTATTAGCTGTGTGACCTTGGGCAAGTGAATTAATCTCTCTGTACCTCAGTTTTATTATTTATACAACGTGGGTAGTATTAGCACCTAGATTTTGGGATTGTTCCCCCAACCTCTACTCCAAAATAGGGTTTTTTTGAGGTTTAAATGAGTTAATATACATTAAACCCTTAGAACCATGCCTGGCCCTGTTTGCTGTTATTTATTATTGTTATGATGCTGCTGCTGTAGTGTGAATAAAGTCAAGAGTAATTTAAGTTTTGAGAAATACTTAATTATAATAAAATGTCTTTGGACAAGCAGTTATAAGGATTTTTTTTTCCCCCTGCAGGGCTCAAGTGTTTGAAAAGAGTAAGTACATTCCAGCCTTATTCAGTGATGTCCTTACAGGGACCTTGCTTTTGTGCATCAGTCTTTTGTGACATGAAAATGTTGCTAAAGAAAAACTTGAGCAGTTGGTAAAGACATCGCAAGGTGTTGTGGCAACAACCATCAGTTTGCAGTGATTATGCTATGGTTGGTTGTTCTCATATGTTTCCACTTTCTTTGCAGTAATACCTGTATGCATTATTTACAATTCCAAATTGAAGCCATCCATTCCTTTACTGTCATGCACCTTGAAATCTGTTTACAGTCATCCCTCAGTATCTGTGAGGGATTGGTTTCAGGACCACTCCCCATACCAAAATCCTGAAGATGCTCAAGTCCCTGATACAAAATGGCATGATGTTTGCATTTATACTGTGCACATCCTCCTGCATGCTTTAAATTCTGTCTCTAGATTATAGTACTTAATACAATGTAAGTGCTATGTACATAGTTGCCATACTGTGTTGTTTAGGGAATAATGGCACGAAAAAAAGTCTGTACATGTTCAGTATAGCTGCAACCATGGTAGGCCTAGTTACATTTTCCATCGGATGCGGAACCTGAAAATATGGAGGACCTGTTGTGTGGGCTTCATCTAGGTGATTAATGACATAGCAGAGCAGTGTTTTTTTGTTGTTGTTTTTTAAAAATATTTTTCAATGTACAGGCCTTTATTAACTGAGTGCTCAGAAGTAAGCTCAGTGTGTGTCACAAGCATGGAGATGGGGGATTGCTCCCAAGGAGAAGAGAGGGGGTGAGGGGCAGCTTGGGGAGTGAGGAGGGGAGGAAGGACAGTGGGACCAGGGCTAGTCCCCCACCTCCGACACCCTAGCTCCTGAAGAGTTCCACCAGACCCACCCTTGTGCTCCTCGAAGAAAAATCTGCTAAGGAAGAAGAAAAAGATAGGTTAGTGTTTTTAATGTGACAGACAAATGAATCTTTAAGTGATTCCTTGCATGAATCTAATTCTTGATGATAGCCAATTATTTGAGATGGGTGATAAATTATAACAAGCCCAGACCTTTTACCCTTGGCTCTGGGTATGCATATATGTAAGGAACTTAATGGTAATAGGAACACCCCGTTATCCAGTCTAATAATAAACCACTAATTGTACCAGATAAAAAATATTATGAACTGAAGACCTAATATTGTTGAAATGTCACAACTTCTGTGAGTAAAACATTTCAGCTGGGCACGGTGGCTCATGCCTATAATCTCAGCACTTTGGGAGTCTGAGGTAGGAGGATCACTTTAGCCCAGGAGTTCAAGACCAGCCTAGGCAACGTAGCAGGACCCCATCTCTATGAAAAATAAAAAAATTAACCAGGCATGGTGGTGAGTGCCTGTAGTCTCAGCTACTCGGGAGGCTGAGGTGGGAGGATGACTTGAGCCCAGGAGGTCAAGGCTGCAGTGAGCCAAGATGGTGTCAGTGTACTCCAGCCTGGGCGACAGAGGAAGACCCTGTCTTAATCAGTCAATCAGTATTTCATGCTTTTAGATACTTTGTGGTTTTCCCACCAGATACTGTCACTACTATCAAAGAACCACGTAAGGAAATTCTGTAAATGGTTCTTAACTTTGTGCCAGACACCTGAGAATGTGCGCAGGTTTATTAGCTATAGTCCTTCATCTTGAGTCTGTATAGAATCCTGTCCTCTCCTGATACTGTACGTAAGTTACTCAGTGTTACCAGTTTTCTTTTTTCTTCATGTCGCTTTCTTACTGTATTCAGAAAATTTTCTTCTTTAAAAATATTTCAGATTATTGTCACTTTGGTGGACCCTTTACTCGTCTCTAATAAAATGTGAACTGAATACATTTTCAGGTGAGATGTTTCAGTTCATGCTGTGGGGTCTCCTGTCTGTGTGAAGATTTGACCTATGGTGTACTTTCTCTTCATTTTTTCCCCTATTTCTTTTTCTAAAATTAATTTTACTCTGTATATTTGAGGTTTACAACATGATGCTATGGGATTCACAGAGATAATAGTGACTATAGTGAAGCAAATTCATCTATCAATGATCTCGCACAAAGTAGGCCCTTTGTATCTGCATGTTCCGCATTTGCAGATCCCACCAACCACAGATCGAAAATACTTGGGAGAAAAACAAATAATAATGTAACAATGAGAATAATACAGATTTTTTAAAAATGCAATATAACTATTCACATAGCATTTACTTTATATTTGGGATTATAGAAATGATATAGAGTATCCAGGAGGATGTGTGCAGATTATATGCAAAGCTGCGTCATTTTGTATCAGGGACTTGATCGTTGCGGATTTTGGTGTCCTGAGGGATTCCTGCAACCGGTTGTCCACTGATCTCAAAGGATGATGGTAGTTAATTTGTGTGTGTGTTTGCATGTGTATGCGTGTGTGTGTGTGTGTGTCTGCTTTCGTAACGAGTAACTAAAACCTATTTATTTAACAAAAATCCCCAATACAGTTTTATGAACTCTAGGCCTCATGTTAATACATGAGGTCTACATTAGACCTCTAAACTTGTTCATCCTCTGTATCTGCTATTTTGTATCTTTTGACCTCCATCTCTTCATTTGGGCCTCCCTCCACCTCGGCTCTGATAACCATTGTTTGATTAAATGCATACCTGACCTTTTTAAAAAGAGTCCACATATAAAATCATGCAACATTTTTCTCTCTGTGCCTGGCGTATTTCACTTAACATAATGTCCTCCAGGTCACTTCGTGTTGTGGCAAATGGCAGGGTCTCAGGAAGGGTTTCTCTTTCATCTGAGGTCGACATTTCCTTCATCCTTTTTTTTTTTTTTTAATCTGACTTATTCTTGCCTACTTGAATTGCAGATTAGTATAGTGTCACATAGCATGCCGCATCATGAGCATATCAGAATATCACATTTAATGTATAAGAACTTAATCCAGTAAAACAAATAAGGTCTCATTTGCTATTTACGAGTGAGCATGTATGTGCTAAGTAACTGTGGAGCAGGAGACAGAATGTGCGCGTTCTTCAGCTGCGGAATACCTCTCATAACAGACGGCCCTAAATGCGCTTCTGGCGTCTCCAGACATGAAAAATTCAAATGGTCTAATTTAGCTGCGTCAGCGTGAGAAATTTAAAATGTTGAAATGTTACCTACTTTGTACCATACTCTACTTTATTCCTAGATTAAAGAAAAAAATAGAGGCTGGGCACGGTGGCTCACACCTATAATCCCATTCCTTTGGGAGACAAAGGTGGGAGGATTGCTAGAAGTCAGGAGTTTGAGACCAGCCTGGGCAACAAAGCAAGACCTCGTTTCTACTAAAAAAAAATTTTTTTAACTAATTAGTTGGTGTATGCCTGTGGTCTCAGTACTCAGGAGGCTGAGGTGGAACTTAAGCCCAGGAGTTCAAGGCTGCATTGAGCTTTGATTGCAACACTGCACTCCAGCTTGGGCAACAGAGTAAAACCCCATCTCTTAATTAAAAAATAAAAATCCAATAAGAAGAAAATAGAGCTTGCTTTCTTCAATTATTGAGTGACTTCTCAACCTAGTATAACTAACAGGAAGAAAAGTCTTTTTGATGCCTACTGATGTCAGTTTTCAGAACCCTGAAAGGAATCCAGGGGTTTAAAGTCCCCTCTCTCAAATGGTTTGTGGGGTTTAGTTAAGACGTAATTTGTGGAATCTATTGGGAGATTACATTTCCTTCAGGAGAGAAGAACAACTATCTAGGAGTTCAAGTTGTCCAAGGATTTGGCCAACTGCCTTTGGGAATAATGAGTTTCCTGTTCCTGAAATTATCCGAAATGTGCCGGTTCAGCATGTTTCCAAGTTGTTTTCCACAGTGATAGACAGGATGGATAAACACTCAAAAGCACAGCAGACTCCCATGGGCACTGTCGGAAGTTTGCAGCAATCTTGACACGCCCAGTATTACTCGATCCCTGCCTCACTTAAGGCGAATATTGGAATGAGAGGGAGAGGATGGCGTGGCATTGAATCTACTCACATTCATATATAAAAAGTAAATTAGAGAACTGTAATTGTTATTAAATTACAAACAACAAAATAGGTAACTGAGTATTGCAGTCACCAGTGTGAATGACTGGAGGTGTTGTCTGCTGACCTCATGGCCTGCCATTGCTGTGAGGGGCATGGCACCAGACGAGTGATAGGACTAGGTAGCTTTTCTCTTTCTCCCTCCCTGCCCCGCCGCCACCCCCACTTCTTCTCTTCTGTTGTCTCTTTTTTTCTGAGACAGTATCTGTCACCCAGGCTGGAATGCAGTGGTGGGATCATAGCTTACCACAGCCTCAATCTCCTGGGCTCAAGGGATCCTCCTGCATCAGCCTTAGCCCCCCTGGGTAGCTGAGACTAAAGGCACATGCCACCATGCCCAGCGAATTTTTAAAGTTTTTGTTTGTTTGTTTGTTTTTTATAGAAAATGGGTGTCACTTTGTTGATCAGGCCTGTCTTGAACTCCTGGCATCAAGTGATCCTCCTGCCTCAGCCTCCCAAAGAGCTGGGATCACAGGTGCAAGCCACTGTGCCCAACCCTTTTCACTTTCTTAACCCTGAGATTTTGATTCTGTCATGACCAAAATTTCACAAGGAAAATTGTCTTAATGATTCGCCTCTCTTCTGAAATTTTTTAGTATTATGATTCATTAATAGTATGACTTGATGCTAAATGTCCAAAACATTGTTTAATAAAATCAGTTGAAGAGTATACACTGGGACTCTTAAACTCCTTTTAAAAATTATCTGGATATAATCTCTTATGCTGTGTAATTATAAGTTGTACTTCTTATCTCATAACTTTAAATACTCAATTCAAGCAGAACCATTTTCAGAATCAAAGTCCTATTGAAAATGTAAACATTAGACTTCTTGAAAAAATATATACATGGCAGATCTACTGTGGTTGAAATTAAATGACAAGAGTGTCACCAGTAATGCGGTTTCTGTTATTGCACGGGTTCCACAGGTGTAAAAATAACCCTTACTAGCACCCTGTTTTACTAGCTGGACACTTGCCGAAATGGTCAGGAACACAAAAGTGAAGCAGCTGTGTATCGGACAGCTGTGGACAAGATGTCCATAAGCAGTGCTATAAGGACCCACCAAAGCACAACTTCAGATGACTTGGCAGGGCGGTGACATGCTGGGAAGCAACAGTCATGGGCTGTGCATTTTCACAGAAGTGTTCAAGGAACTCCAGGGTAATTTACAAATGGCCACTTTGCCATATGCCTGAGACACTGGAAAGATTTTTAGTGGGTGGCATCCTATAGACCAGGGATTGTTTTGATGCCAGGGAGCTCGAGCTGATACTGGACATTGGAAGGTGTGTCAGGTTTTCTGATAGACAAATTATGTTTCACTAATAGAATGTTTTGTTTGAGGTAGGGAATATTTTTAAGAGGACAAGGAAAGCCAATAGGTATATTTTTAAAAATTATGAACATATATGTATAAGAAACAGTATAATGAAACAAGCGCATTACAAAGAATAATGATAAAACACATTGTGTGTTAGCTTTTGGCAGAAGGAATATAAGCTTAAAAGTTTTTTAAACAACTTTCTTTGGCAAAAGAAGTAGAGGCAGTGGCAATCAAAGAAAAAATAAGGGATTCAGACAAAGCGTACCTAGTATTAACTGTTAGTACCACAGATACTAATGCTGGTTTTTAATTAAAACGACCCAATCAGTAATGTCTTTGAGATTGCCTAAATTTACATTTTGCTCTCAAGTATTTTTAAGTCATAAAACAGCAAGCCAGTGGGGAAAATAAACTGAAAGATGGTTTGCCACAGGCCTGAAACTGTGAGTGGGGAAGTTGGCATACTAAATTGTAATACAGACAGATGTGAGGTAATGCATTTAAGGGGGGGAAAAAGACTACATTCTACACACAAAGTAATGGGCTCCAGGCTTCTTGTGAGTATTTCAGATAGGAATCATTCAGTTTCTAATGGGTATTTGGCCGATGTGGTGCTTATTGTAGCCAGGAACGTTCCGGGCAAGGAAGCGCTGGGCGATTCCAGGAGAGATATAAAGAAAATATTTCAAGATCTGACACACTTTGAATTGTGTGTGTGTGTGTGTGTGTGTGTGTGTGTGTGTGTGTGAACTGCTTGGTAGGAAAGCTACAAGAGAGACTGGGAAAGGCTAAGGGAGGGGCGACTGAAAGAGGTACCAAACCATGAGAAGAAATTACAGTCAGGAGGGACGCTGCAGTCTGGAAAGATGAAGCTGTGATTAAAAACCATGATAAACACGTGCTCAACAGACTTCTTTATCAAACCCTGCAGAAGGGAACAGAAGAAAGCAGTTGCTGCTTGAGGGGGAAAGTTAATGGAAGAAGAAAATAACTTGTTTTCGACAGTTGACAAAGCAGTTTCACCTTTGTCATCTCACCTGACCTGTACCCAGCACTGAGGAGAAGGCTGGGGACAAGTCATTATTCACATTTGACAGATGAGCAAACAGATCAGAGTAAGTGACTCGGCTAAGTCCACACTGTCAGCTCTGCGGTCAGGATCAAACCTGGCTCTGACTCAGGTCCCCTTGCACTTGGCCCACCTCTGAGTTGCGAAAACTTGGGGTCTGTACCACAGCATGGAAGACTTAGGATCACTGTGAAAAACTGTGACTTAAGATCACAGTGAAAAACGGCAAATGCAAATACTGTTAAAGCCTTGACTCGGTGGTATGAGCAGAACTCATAAGAGTTGAGTCAGAGAGCAGTCCAGGTGTCTTCAGCTCAGATAGCTGCCCTTGCTAGAGAGGCTGCTGGTTGAACAGTAATTTATCAGCTTGATCCAACATAAAGTTTCTTCATTTTTATTTATACTGTACTGTCGTGTCAGCTGTTTTTGTTGTTGTTGTTGTTGTTGTTGTTTTTCTTTTTCTTTTCTTTTTGGCTTCAGAAATGGCCTCAGCTACGCAAAAATAAAGAAGGATCTGAAAGATCAGTCTTGTTGTAAAGAAGACAGCAGGTGACATGGTAGATGACCGCACATTGTTCATTCCCAAGGTCATGGGTAGTGCCAGGATTTTCAGACGCAAATGATGCATATGTAAAGATGACTGGACCATCTGTGTCTCTTCAGATCCTGTTGCAATTACCAAGTGTTCCCAGCAAGGGTTAATGTGGTGTGTGAACCTGACTAACCTCAGGTTCTAGTTCTCCCTCCCTGAGTAGAGAGTCTAGGAGCCAAGTTCAGACTGGCTCAGTCTGGAGGAATTCACAAGTGAGGCAGGTTTAATGGAAGAACAGATACTCTGAGGTTTTGGAGGGCCTGTGATGTGCTTGTCAGCGGGTTCCTGCTTCTGCCACCCCCACCACGGAGCACCAACCATGTGGTTTGTTCTTTGTGTACTTTGTTAGCTAAACTCTCAAGTGTCAAGTTGATGGCACTTTTTTTTTAGGTTCATGGACACTGTTACTGTCCAATAATTTGTAAGTCAGCAATGCTTTGTTTTATCAGTAAAATAAAACACTATATTAGGAATAGCATGATCAGAACAGGGTGGTTTCCTAATTTTTAGATTGCTGGCCTTTTCTAGAAAATAAAGGCAAGGTGTGCATACTTGAGGTTTGAGGGCTACCATTGCCTCCTGGCAGAGGAAATGAGTAGGCCTGATAGTTGCTAGGTTAAAAAGAAACAGTAGTTGAAATACTGAGAAAAGTTTAATGAAAAGTAACTTTGGCTCTTAAGTAGAACAGTTTGAGGACAGTGAAAAATTCAGTAGCTAAGGGTTGTGTGCTCTCTACACAGGGATGGTGTGTGGATTTGTGGATAAGGTATGCAACAGAGTACTCCTCTTTGAGCATTTTTATATCTTGAATTAACTATAGCACAGGAGTTGGCAGACTATGGCTTGTGGGCCAGATCTGGCCCGCTGCTTGTTTTTGTGTGGCCACGAACTAAGGATAGTTTTTACGTATGTACAAAAAAAAAAATGGTTTTCTAAAAAAGTATTTCATAATGTGAAAATTCTATGAAATTCAAATTTCAGTGTCTGTAGATAAGTTTGATTGGAACAGAGCCACACTCATTTGTTTGCCAGTTTGTAGCTGCTCAAACAGCAGAGGTGAGTCATTGTGACAGAGACTGTGTGGCCCGCAGAGCCTAGAATTATTTACTGTCTAACCCTTGCAGGGAAAGTTAGTCAGTTTCTGCTACAGTAAAATATTGCTGGTAGCTGAAATTAGGAGTTTTCACCTCTTTTCCTGCGTTTTATTTTTTAATTTTAATTTAATTTTATTTATTTTATTTTTTTTTAGAAATAG
Organism: Homo sapiens; assembly: GCF_000001405.40. Lineage (NCBI taxonomy): Eukaryota > Metazoa > Chordata > Mammalia > Primates > Hominidae > Homo > Homo sapiens. The sequence goes on along the minus strand of NC_000010.11, from coordinate 22,681,667 downwards.
GGTCTTGCTCTGTCACACAGGCTAGAGTACAGTGGCGCCATCATGGCTCAATGCAGCCTCTACCCCCCAGGCTCAAGGCATCCTCCTACCTCAGCCTCTTGAGTATGTGGGACCACAGGTGCATGCCACCACACCTGGCTAATTTTTAAAATTTTTTGAAGAGACAAGGTCTCACTGTGTTGCCAAGGCTGGTCTCAAACTCTGAAACTTAAACAGTCCTCCTGCCTGGGCCTCTCAAGGTGATGGGATTACAGGCATGAGCCACTGTGTCTGGCTGAGAAGCCAGGTCTTGAGAAGCCAGGTGGCTCAGAAGGCCTAGCTGACAGTGTAGGGGAGACAGAGGTCCCCTCCAACCTCCCTTTAGCTCTTAGTGGGCTCTTCAGCTGGATCTAGAAGTCAGGTTGACATCAGGCAGATTAATAGGAGAAAGGAATACAAATTTTCTTAGTGTTACTTGCACCTGGGAATCTTTAAAAGAGTGAAATCCAAAGGAATTGGCCAAAGCAAGACACTTTTATGCTGAGAACGATACATTTGAGAAGAAATGACAAGAAAAAATCTGGGGCAGTACATTTCTAGGGGAGTCACTGGGAGGATACATGGGGAGTATAAAACAGGTAGAAGATAAGGGCTACTTCCAGAAATTTCCTTATTCAGGTTAGTTGCATCTTCCAAACCCTAGTCTCTGGGATAAGGGCTATTTTCTCGCCTGAATAGGTGAGGGGCCCCTCCCAAAGGAATCTTTGTGGCTTGCTACATGCAGGAAGACCCAGGTCACCTGGCTTGTTGGGGTCAAGTTGGAATCTACAACTTTTTCAGTGTTTTCAGCTCACACTAATCAATATAAAAATCCGGCATATTTTGGGATGGCATGTCCTTCACTCTTTGAACAACATCACCAAGACCTCAATACATGTGTAGGGTCACCTTGGATCACCAGCCCTCGCTGAGCTGTCGCAGGAACACAATGTTGAGCCTCCTTGAGTTCTTGACCCATGTCATTATGAGCCAATAAAATGGCAGTGGTTTTAAGCCATGAAGTTTTGGGGTGTTTTTTACGCAGTGTTACTTAACTGAAAAGGACTAGGGATGTATGCTAGCCTTTTTATTGTCATTCATGACAGAGGGAAAATACCCTCTCATCCAGGATGTTAGTAAAGAATGTAGTTAAATCCTTCTGCCACTTGAGTTCCTGGTACGTGTGGCTCATCTAAGACATTAAATGCTATTTTTATGATTATAAAAACAATGCATGCTTATTGGAGAAGATTTAGAAAAGGATAGAAAATTCTAAAGCACAATATTTAAATTACTCATAATTCGGCCATCTAAAGATAATCACGATTAATACCAGCCTTTTCTTTAAAAATATATTCTTGTTTTATAAAATTTATTTATAGTTTTGTACTCTGCTTTATTCGTGTAGTAAACAAGCATATTTCAAAAACATAATTTTTAATGACCACAGCAGCCCATTTAAGTGGATTTAAAAATCCACATAATTCAAAAGTAGTGCATGGTCTTCATTTTTTGTTTCTAGGTTTGCTAGAGTATTTTTTTTTAAAGGAATCCTTTTTAAAGACAGCTTTATTGAGATATAATTCACATATGATATAAAGTGTACAATTCAAATACCATTTAGAATATGCAATTCATTGCTTTTTAGTATATTTACTAAAATGTATATATTTTTATATACTATTTAAATATAGGGGTTGTATAACCATTCTCAATCTAATCTTAGAACATTTTCATCCTCTCTAAAAGAAACCTAAACCTTATTTCCCCCAACCCCTACCCCCAGCCCTAGGCAACCACTAATCTGCTTCCTGTCTCTGTAGATTTGTATGTGGGCTTTTGTGACTGGCTTTGTTCATTTGGCATAAGGTTTCCAAGGTTCATCCACATTGTACCTTGTAACAATACTTAATTCCTTTTTATGGGGGTCAAGGCATATTCTATTGTGTGGATAGACCACATTTTGTTTATCCTTTCACCCATTAATGGACCTTTGGATTGTGTTCATGTTTTGGCTATTACGAATAATGCTGCTATGAACATTTGTGTAGAAGTTTTTGTGTGGACCCATGTTTTTATTTTTCCTGGGTACATACCTAGTAGTGAAATTGTTGGGTTATATGGTACCTCTGTGTTTAATTTTCTGAGGAATGGCCAAAGCAACTGTATAATTTTACATTCTTACTAGCAATGTATGAAGTTTCTAATTTCACTGCATCCATGCCAATACTTGATATTGTCTGTCCTTCTTCTTATAGCCATCCTAGTAGGTATGAAAGAGTAGTATCTCATTGTGGTTTTGATTCACATGTTCCAAAGGACTGATGATATTGAGGAGGTATCCATATACTTATTGGCCATTTTTGTATCTTCTGGAGAAATAGCTATTCAGATATTTTGCCCATTTTTTAATTAGGTTGTCTTTTTATTGAATTGTAAGAGTTCTGTATATATTTTGAGTAAAAGTCACTTGTCAGATTTGCAAATATTTTCTCTCATTTTATTAGTTTTCTTTTCACTTTGATAGTATTGTTTGCAGCATTAGGTGTAAATTTTGATATAGTCCACTTCCTCTAGTTTGTTGCTTCTGCCGTTGGTGTCACATCCAAGAAACCATTGCCTAACACAAGTCACAAAGATTTTAGAGAATTTTTTAAATGTTATTTTATTCATTTATCTTACACTTTATAGCTCATTCTGCTGTATTTTTAAAAAGGCAGATCCTTCAAGGACAATACATAGGGAACACATTCTTTTTCATAGCTGTCTAATACTCTAGGTATAAGTAGACCTTAATGTATTCAACCATTTCCTATTGATAGACATAACCTATTTCCAGTTTTTTGGGTTTTGCCACAAATAAGACTGCAAAACTGTGTACATTTATTATTTTGTTCTGGTGTCTTTATTCCTAAAGGATACATTACCTAGGGCGGAATGGGAAGCTTCCTTCGGAATCTAAGTACCAAGATTTGTCTGACATTAGAATTTGAGCACTCCAGTCTGCTGGCTAGGAAAAAAATAGGAATCTGCTGGAGAAGAGTTTTCATCACAGCAAACTCATTTCATAAAGCTGGGTTGCCTTCACATTCTGTTGCTCTTTCAACAGCTTATTTTTATTTATTTATTTATTTATTTTTTACTGTCTTCAAGGAAGTAAAACAGACTTTTCCCCATAGAACGACAAAGGAAAGAAATGCAGAAAGGTTTGGGAAATAGCCACTAAGAAAAGTATGCCGGTGTTCATTCTCAGTCTTGTATTTGGAGTGTGTGTGTATGTATGTGTGTTCTCTTTATCATGCACTGCTAAAAAGAATTCAGGGACCACATGAAGACACGCACATGTGTGGTGCCGTATCTGCTGGTGTATGAACCTAATGGGATCACCGAGAAAGTGGAACCCTCCTGGCTCTGCTCTGGTCCCTGGTATCTCATTTCTGTTGTTGAAAGGGGGGTTGGCAGGGGTAACACTGAGAAGACAATTGTGACAAAATAGAGATTTTTTTTTTAAAGTCCAGCAATTAAAATTGAACATAATTTTTATATCATTCATTCCTCATGGTTTAAAAGGAGTGAAAAATGTACAGGAGCTTTAACTGATGTCTGCTCTGTAAAATCTGTGTTAATGTGATTAATGGTCAGCTATTCATTTAGAGGAGCCAAAGTAGCAGATGAGTGTTTTCGTATTTTTAGATTCTTTTTAAGAGCCCTTAGTGGCCTATTATATCGACTCTTCCTTAGACCACACGCAGCCTCCCTTTAGCAAATCTCCGAATTGTTACTTTCATTTAAACTTCAGCTAGAAGGCCACTTTAGGACCTTACTGACTGATTGAGATGCTAGATTATATTTTAGCTGCATCTTAGAAACATTTTCTGATGGTTTGAAGAATCTGTGTTACTGCTTGCCATGAACTAAGTAAGCTAAGTGAATAGTTTGTAGGAAACTGACAAGTGGAAGTGGTTTTGAGGATTTATTTTTTTCTTGTACCTTTTTATTGAGGGAAACTTAAAACATTTCAAAAGTAGAGGGAATACGCATGAACCCATCACTCAGTTTCCACATTCATCCTCTCAGAGCTCATTCTGTTTCATCATTCTGCAGGATCCCACATGCAGCCACGAGCCACGTGTGGCTGCTGAATGCTTGCCTTGTGGCTATCTGCAGGGAGTTGTGCCCCAGTGTAAAATGCAGCCTGAGAGCCTGTTCCAGCAGCCTACTCCCTCTTGGGGTCTCCTCATAACTAAGCAGACCCTCGCGCTAGCCCTATCTCTGTGTAAGCCCCTCCTTTCTTTCCTTTAAAACACTTTGAAAGTGCCACTGTTTAATTATTTGGCGTGCCCATTAAGTCTCAGTCTGATTCCCTATGATAATACAGTCTCCAGAAGGGGTAGGGCCTGGTGTGGAATCGGTGCCCGGAGTGCACCCAGTGAATGAGCACACCCCAGTAGGAATTCTCAACCCCAGCTGGGCCCAATACCTTCTTTGCCAGGTGATGCAAACATGTACATGCAAAACATGTACATGGTAACCTCCTTTAATAACTTGATATGAAATTCACAGATGATAGCTCTTAAAAAATGAATATAATGTCCTAAGTATAACAGGAAAGAGAAATATAAGGAAAGTAATTTGCAATAAAATCATGCTTTTTCTTCTCCTATTTCTAGTATTGGTGGCACAGATTGTACCAGACTAACCTACTAGCAGGTAATAAATATTGTAAGCCTCTTAGGCAAAACAGCATCTCCCAGTATTCAGCTCTTGCCATCCCTCTGAGCTAAGCCTTTCTCCCCTGTGGCACTTAGTACTGAGTGACATTCTGGTTTTTTAATTGTTGGCTTCCTCCTCTGCTAAGAAGCTCCATGAGGGAAAGGAATGTTTTCTGTTTCATTCAGCTCTGTATCCTCAGCACCCAGAACAGTGCCTGGACTATAGCAGTTGCCCAGTTAAGCAGATGTACCTTTTACTTCTTGTTCTCTGATTCATCAGCAGGAAGAGCCTATGAAAGGTCTCCCTTATCAGCCCATCACTGAGCCAGATATTCCCTCTGGTTAGTCTCTTGCCCTTGTTCCTCTCTGCTGGATGAGATGATGTAGCAGCTGAAGACTCTCCACCTATAACTGTATCGTGCCACATTCAGATTTTTAGAATGCCCCTCTTGATCTGGCCATATCTACATTAAATGCTATTTTCTTCAAGCAGTGAGACAAAGCTGAGAGACGATAGGTTTAAAGATTGGTTACAAATTCTGATGAAGACTGGTCCTTGAAGTCTTTGGGCTGTTACATGGCCCTTTGGAAGCAATAGGTCATCACTGTGAACAACTTCTGTAGGTACTGGTTTCCATACGAAGGGAATACATCTTGATGACTTTACATGAAGTCTTAACTTTATTTGCTGTTTAATGTAAGTTGGTCAAGGGTCTTATTGAGCAGAAGAAACTTGGGAAATGAAAGCACTGTTACTGGGACCACAGTTTTTGAGCCTCTGCTGTCAATGGAAACAGACACTTCAAAAATGCTCTCCACGGAGGCTCAGAGAGATGAAAAGACAGGAAAAGGAGCCGAAAAGATGAAAAGACAGGAAAGAAAAGACAAAAAGGAAAAGGAGCTCCATGTGCCATCATGGAGCACAGGGACAAAGAAATGGCAACAGTGTGTCTGTTTCCCTGTTAATGGTTGTTGAGAAATACTAGCCACAGTTTCCAAAGTATTTAAGGAATAGGAAATGTGCAATAAATTATGTGATTTTTTTGTGGATCAGTTTCCTTCTTCCAAGTCGGGAAATGTCAGAGAAACACTGTGTTGTTCAAGGATGACAGCCAGGAACTAGTCAGGCTTCAGCACCTCCTGCCATTGACCCTCTTCTCTGAGCATTATGTAGAGTGGATGTGAGGGCTCATTCATGGACTGTGTCAGGAGAATTGTACTACATTGATCATTTAAGGGAACCATTCTGCTTGTTCAGGAGAGTCTTTTCATTACTTATAATGGCTTGTTTATTGACATTTCTTATTTACTGTTTCTCCTCAACAGTGTTTTTGTTTGTTTGTTTTTTGAGACGGAGTCTCACTCTGTTGCTCACGCTGGAGTGCAGTGGTGCAATCTTGGCTCACTGACTGCAACCTCCACCTCCCGGGTTCAAGCGATTCTCCTGCCTCAGCCTCCTGAGTAGCTGGGATTACAGGCACACGACACCATGTTCGGCTAATTTTTGTATTTTTAGTAGAGATGGGGTTTCACCATGTTGGTCAGGCTGGTCTCAAACTCCTGATTTCGTGATCTGCCCACCTCGGCCTCCCAAAGTGCTGGGATTACAGGTGTGAGCCACCGTGCCTGGCTTCTCCTCAACAATGTTCTAAGAGATAAAGCAAAAGTATCAGGTAATATGTCATTGTAATGGTACCTGGGATAGAAGAATTTCATTTGCTTGCTACTATCTCCACTCTTACATGAATACAAATGTTCCCAATTTTTAGTCAATGTACCAATCAACATTGAATGAATGATATGTAAATTACAAGAATGAAGGGCCAGAAAGATGTCACGTATCAGTGATGACTGTTCTGAGCTGTGCCCTCTTAAAGCAATAAAGTAAGTTCTCTTTGATTAATAGTTACGTTGGCTACCTTTTAGCTGCCCATGAAAAATATAGATGGACTTTTTTTTGTTTTTTAAAGACAGAATCCTACGGTCTTGTTTTGTTGCCCAAGCTGGAGTACAGTGGCATGATGATAGCTCACTGCAGCCTCAAACTCCTGGGCTTAAGCAATCTTCCTGCCTCAGCCTGCTGAGTAGCTACGACCATAGGCACACCACCACTCCTGGCTGGGTTTTATTTATTTATTTATTTATTTATTTATTTTTTGGTAGAGACTGAGTCTTGCAATATTGCCTGGACTGGTCCTGAAATCTTGGCCTCAAGCATCCTCCCACGTTTAGCCTCCCAAAGTGCTGGGATTACAGGCATGAATCACTGTGCCTGGCTGGAAATTTCTTAGTAAAACAAAATTCGTTAGTGGTTCAAATATATTTTCAGTGCTATAAAGAATATAACATTTCTACCTATTGTCAGCTAAAGCTAAGAGTTAAAGAACTACACCTAACATAGTGACTGGCATAAAGTAGATGTACAATAAGTATTTGCTGAATGTGTAACTGGATGGCTGGAATTAACTTTGAGTAGGAGAAACAGCTGGTCTGGTCTTCTTTTTTTTTTTTTTTTTTTTTTTGCTCCCAAGTGTCTTGTCTCTTGTCTCTTCTCTGATCACCACAGCATGGTTCTTAGGAGTCACAGTGTCTGGTATATACGGAAAGAGTGTTTTTGGAGGGAGAATTCACCAAAAGAACATGATACAAGCCAAAAGGGGTTATTATTAGAGAAGAACAGTGTTGATATGAAGGCTAGTTAATGCTTTGTGAATACCCACCATGCACAAGACAGTGTCTGCTGGTTGCTGGAAGTCCAAGATGATCAGTTTGTGTCCCTGTGGCTAAATGTTTGGTTGTTAGTCTGCATGAAATAGATATGACACCAAATTAGAAATAGGAGAAAGCAGCAGAAGAAAAGCAAAGGTTCTGTGTATAACCAAGACAATGGGGTTAAAAAAACACACACACATTGCTGAAGAAAGTAAGTTAAGTAAGTTGAGCTTTCATTTGCAAAATGACTTTTTATTTGGCTGTAATATTCCTCTGGGATGGCTCTGTGAATTCAGTAAAACAAAGCTAAAGAAAAACCTATTCTGTTTGAGGGACCGTATAATTAACCATAGAAATGAGTGCCATCCAGTGTATTACTGAAGAAAAAGGATTAAATAGTGGTATGAATAAAAATAGTATCCCTTTTTATTCTCTCTAGGCTAAAATTATAAGGACTGTCAGTCATTTTGTTAAGGGTCTAGTTTATTATTGGCTGTGTTGGGAATAGTGCTTTCTATCTTCCTATTATGTAATAGTCCACAATTACATGAATAGTGGGATTTTTATTTTTTTTATTTTTTATTTTTTTTCCTCAGAAGAGCCTGGTGTTGAGGGGCTGCAGGAGCAGAACAGGAAGTTATGGTTGTTTTGGAATTGTGTGTGGTGTATGTTTAAATTGTATTAGAATAATTTTTATTCTTTTTAAACTGTCTTTCTGGTTGTCTCATGCTACTTTGAGTTTAATATACCCTGGGCTTGATGCAAGACCCCGGGCCAGGGCCAGAGCACCTGGTTCTAGTTCTAGGTCTACCTTTGACTGTTGTGGTCATTTTAATTAATTCATGCATACATATTTATTGCATTTTCCTGCACTGAGTCCTGCGCATACAAAAATGAATAAAACCCAGTTCCTTCCTGTAAGGAATCAGTTTAGTTGGAGGATCACAGAGATAAGCATAATTATAAGACAGCTTAGAGATGTATATGGAGTATTTTGTGATGTAAGGGAAGGAACCCAAACCATCCTTGGCAGGAAGTAATGGGAAAGACTTCCTGGAGGAGGTGATGCCTGAATTAGGTAGAAGTCATAACCATGGGGATCAGGGGCTTTGTAGGGCATTCTGGCTAGAGGTTATCAAATAGCAAGGCAGATAGACCCCAAGTGTGTTCAGAGCACTCACCTGTCCAGGAAGTGGCCCTGGACAGGGAGACAGGAAATGAGGCTGCAGGAATGAGAGAGATCACTGGATCTCCGTTTCCTTACCTAGAAGTGAAGCTCTGTTAATACTAGAAGGCTTCTCAGGAACTCACTCATTTTCTGGAAAGCTTTCATATTGCTGCTTGTTGGAGAATGACATGTTAACCTGCTGCTCACCTTTTTAGGACGTTGAGGGCTGGGTATTAACTGTCTTGAGTTTGGCAGTATTTTGAAGAAGGACATCCTAAATTACGGTTGGTGTGACTCATGTGAGTTATCAGATTTGTATCTGTTGGTCTTTTTCTCTGCGTCTGTCTGGTTGTCCAGGCGTTTGTGCTTCTCCACCCCTTCTTAATAGGCCCTTCTGGAATTGATCTCTGCATCCATCTCCTCTGGACGTAAATATTCATTTCTCTTTTCTCTGACCCTTCACCAGCTCCCATGCCCTTTGTGTGCAGATGCCCCACAGATCTGGCTGGGTTTTCCCTATCCCTGTATATATTCACAAGTACACCTGTGACATTCAAGTATTGTAATTTAAAAATCAGCATTAGCAAGAAATATGCACATATCAGAAACTGAAGTGGGCGTGTTATCCAGATTAAATCACTATAGACAAATCTCTTTATCCATTTTTTTAATTCTTTGGAAGTGGTTATGAAGGTGTGAATAGTTCATTGTTCAAGGACAGTGCATTGGATTCTGTTTTTTAATCTCATCCGCCTCCAACAATCCCCCCCCACACTGTCCCCCCGACCCAGAGCTGTCAGGGCAGCCAGAGGGAACCTTGTTTTCAGGATGCTGATGCTGATATATTATTCATGATGTAGCGGCATTAAATGTGTTAGATAGCTGGCCTCCTTTTTTTCATTTAACAATAACTGCCTATTGTACATCGGTCTTTTTCTGTAGTAGGATAAGAATTACAAAGAGTCTTTGGAGGAAGAACCAGTGCTTCAGGTTATGATATACCTTATATTGTTTTTGTTGTTAGGGGCTATATGTAAAATATAGCTGCATATTTGTCTAATAGCTTTGACTTAGACTGAAACATTGGTTGCCAAAAACAAATTATTTCACATTAACAAATATTATATTATTAGTTATTTTAATAATTTATTCCTCTCAGTGGGTGCTAGTCCAGACATTTTTTGTGTTTCTTAGTGGTAATGGGCCTGTCTACTTCATGAAAGAACAACAGCGTCTCTGCATTTCGCTAGAAAAATATTCTTGGAGGAGAGTCCTAGACCACGTGTGTGTGTGTGTGTGTGTGTGTGTGTGTATTTTCCAAGTAAATCAGAAAATTCAGGCAATTAATAGTGAAAACTGTCTTCTCAGTAACCTTTTCTTCAAGTCTTAACATAAATGACATTTCTTTGAGAGGGCCCCCTAGATCTGGTTGTACCCCTTTGCCTCCCAGCATCCTGTGTTCTCTTACAATGCCCCTAATGACTCGCACAGCCTCGGAGCTCCATGTGGCCCATGTGGCAGGACCCAGGTGGGCAGTCTTGTTTATCGCAGTGCCAGGCATCAGGCTGCCACCTTCCAGCGACCTACCCTAGGAGTGTGATTCTGAGGATTCAGTGAAACGGTTTAGGCAAACTCCTCGGAGCAGTGGCTGACCAGAGCAAGTCATTAATAAGTGCCAGCTCTTTTTAAAAATTCATCAGGTGTACTCTCTCCACCCAGAAGAGACTAGTAGTTTAGGCTTACCAGGTCTTTCTTCCCACTTCTTTCTCTGCATTGTTATTTATTCATATTTCTTTCTATAATGGTTTATTGCCAAAGGCAGTCAATAGTATGTTGAATTAGCTATTTCTATAATATTTTAGACTGATATATGTGTGTGTATATATAAATATATGTAAAGGTATATATATATGTGTGGACGTGGGTGTGTGAATTATATGTATATAATATATGTTCGCTTTCCCTGGCTTTTCACTAAGAAACATGAGGATTTACCACAGTGTCTCTTGGGTACTCAGTGAAGGGAAAGGCATTTACATCATAGCCAGTAGTTACTGGATGCCCGATGGGATGATGCCAATATGATGACTGCTTCTCTGCTCTTTCTTCTCTGAGCCAATTTATTCCAGGAACTTTGTGCTCACTGCAGCTGTGACTATAATTGCAATCAAATTATAGTTTCTAGTGTCACACTTACATTTGCCGTTTTTTAAAAAAAGCTAGAATTACGTTACTGTCCATAGCAGGAATTTTTAGTGCAAAGAGATAATCAAGTGTTTGTAATGATTCATATCAACTGGTTGTAATATGTGAAAAGGCTACAGTATTTTTAAATATTTCTAGGGTGTGTGGTGAACTGTTTTTGAATACTATGGAGAAATATATAAGTTTTTACTAAATTAGCTTTAAAATTATGTAAATAACATATTATGGAAAATGCAGACGATATGGGTGAGACAAAATTTTTGAAATTACTATTATTAATTGCACTATTAGCCCCTGGAATCGATTTTGATGCCCTGTACGTATGCAATAAAGAATTGCCGAGTAAGAGGGTGAATAAATGAACCCCTGTCTTTGTAGTGAACACCCCATAGAAGGAAGGTCACAGCTGTTTGCATATGGAAGAAGTTTGTCAGTCAGGTGGACCTTAAGGAGTGTGTTGGCTATCATACTGTTTTGTTTTTGGTTTTGTTTTTTGCCCAGGCTGGAGTACAGTGGTGCCATAACGGCTCACTGCAGCCTCAACTTCCTGGGCTCAAGCGATCCTCCCACCTCAGCCTCCCAAGTAGGTGGGACTACAGGGGCGCACCACCATGCCTGACTAATTTTTGTAGTTTTTGTAGAGATGGGATTTCACCATGTTGCCCAGGCTAGTCTTAAACTTCTGGGCTCAAGTGACCCTCCTGCATTGGCCTCCCAAAGTTCTGGGATTACAGGCTTGAGCCACAACACCTGGCCTGTCATACTTTTTAGTTGTCAGAATGAGTTGTAAATTACATGTGGTATGATTATTAAGACTGCAATTAATGGAAGCACTAAGAAACACAATAGGTCATGGTAGCCTGGGGCTCTAATTTATGTATGCATCATGCTGAGGTCCCATAATGTCCAGATGAGGTGCTCTGCTTCTAGTGGCTGGCCCAGCCTGGCTTTCTGTAATCATGGTCAGCTTGTGAACTAACAGGTCATAGTCATTCATTTTCACTGAGATTCTGCAAATAAACAAATATGCAGACTAGAAATCAGAAAGACATTCATATTTTTTGCTAGCAAAAAACGGTTGGTAAAAAAGTGATTGCACAAAGTCTTCCAAGCTCCACTGCCCCATTGCCTGCACCTGGAACTTGGCAAGTCGCAGACCGTCTGTATCCTGCATCCGTGGTGTCCTCTGAGTGTGCATGGCCTCTCCAGTGGGCACGCCCGCAATAAACCCGGTGTCCATAGCCTCAGCTGCATTACCCTACAGGGTTTGCTGTCTTGACTCTGTGGAGAGGACTTAGTGGGGAGAAGTGCTCCTTTTCCTTCTTTCTTTCATAGCTTGGTTTTTGCTTCTGACAGTTTTGTTGTTTTTTGTTTGTTTGTTTTTGTTTTTTTCATTTATGCATAGTCATGTGTTGCTTAATGATAGGGATATGTTCTGAGAAATGTGTTGTTAGGCGATTACGTTGTTGTGTGAACATTACAGAGTGTACTCACATGACCCTAGGTGGTGTTGCCTGCCCCACACCTATAATCTTATGGCACCACCGTCGTGTATAGGCTGTGTCCTTGACTGCAGTGTCGTTATGCGGCTCATAACTATACATACCTTTCCTTCTTTCCTTTTTTGATCTTCGGTCTCTTCTAATTTCCTTTTTACTCATTCTCTTTGTGAGCCAAAAATCTCCCCTCATTATAGTTGCAAAGCATATGGCTAGTACTGTGACACTTCCCTATCAAAGGATTTCAGAGCCACATTATTTTTGAAGCAAAGTGAGACTTGTGAATGTAGTGTTCTTAGTCCCCAGAGCTCTTGAAAACTCCATAGACATGTTCAAATTATCAACTAGCAACAAAAAAAGAGTATTAAAACCAGGAGTGTTTTATTAAAAATGAAATGTATTAAAACAGAAAATTGAGCTAACAGAAACAAAACATGAAGAAACATCCCCAAAGTTTACTGTTAAATTATCTTATTTGGTATTTTTTCTTTACAAAAACAGCCCAAACCATGTTTTGCTTGAAGCATCAGGCTTCAAGAGAAGTACATGTTTCTTATATAAATTCCCATTCGTGTTTTGTTTGGTTTAATATCTACTGTTGCTAGTAGACTGTGTATTGGAAAGGAATATTTTCTAGTATTTTCTGCATTGATCCACATGCATAGTATTTCATTTACATTGTGGGCCATATAGAATTTTGCAGACTAGTTCAGAAAACCAGCTTCTATTTATAACATTGAATTTTCAGGAAAATGCATTCTGAGTTCCAAATAATGAGCTTAGAGCTTTACTTTTGAAATACAGCCCAATTGTATGTTGAGAGCTGCCTACCCTGTAAGCCAATGAAGGGTTTTTATTTTGTATGATATTTCAATATGATCCAGAAGCATCTGGTTTATCTAGCATACCATTAAAAAACAAACAAACAAAAAAAACACTGTGCTACTTAGCCAGGAGAGGTCTTAGTTTTGCTTTGACTTCAGCCCATTGTCTTTTTAGTTGGTGATAGTCTGTGATGAAAAGGCCTACTGGGAAACGTTGAGAGAATCTTTTAAAATTTTAATGCAGGGAATTTTAAAGACCAGTTTAAAAAATACTACTTAAGATTGGGCGTGGTGGCTCACGCCTGTAATCCTAGCACTTTGGGAGGCCAAGGCAGGCGGATCACGAGGTCAGGAGTTCAAGACCAGCCTGGCCAACATAGTAAAACGCTGTCTCTACTAAAAATACAAAAATCAGCTGGGATTGGTAGCACGCGCCTATAGTCCCAGCTACTCAGGAGGCTAAGGCAGGTGAATTGCTTGAACCTGGGAGGCGGAGGTTGCAGTGAGCCGAGACCATGCCATTACAGTCCAGCCTGGGTGATAGAGTGAGACTCTGTCTGTCTTTCTGTCTGTCTCTCTCTCTGTCTCTCTGTCTCCCTCCCTCCCCCTCTCTACACACACACACACACACACACACACACACACACACACACACACACACACAGAAGTTCACTGAAAACTTCAGGATTTTCTGTGGCTAAGAGTCCTTTCAATCATGAAAGTATTATTTACTTCTAAAACTTTTTGGAGGACTTTTAAAATTGTTACAAAGTTTTTTTCAAAATCCTCTTTTTACAAGTATTAGTTTCTGGGAAAAGCTGGAAGACATCTATTTTCTAGTTAAAAAATAAAGGCAAAGGATTCATTTTCTAAGAGAATTTTAATTTTATAACCTCCCAGATTAATGTCTTGGTGTATAAATGTGTATCTCATGGAATGTGACATGAGAAGCACGTCATTTGTTAGGTGCTAAATTTGTTTTTACGATTATCGATTTTATAAGTGATCTTCAGTTTGTTGAAGAATGAGTAAAACCACATAGATATTACTTTCCCACTTTAATCTTTTGGATGAAAGCAACACATTCAAAGCCAAAGGACTTAGAGTGAAATCTTAAGGTGTTTGCTACCATAATTCTAATTTGGTATTCATAAAAAATTATGTAATATTTCAAGACTTAACGTGCTCTGTTTGAATACACACATCAAAACTCTGTGGTTGCTTTCTTTTTTCCACTTGAGAAACTAAATTAATTTAAAGCTAGTTTGTGGAATATAATTGAACACTAGTTATTTTAATTTCCTTGCTACTTGATCAAGATCTTGCTCTTTTAAGCATCATGTGAAACCGTTAGTACCCACTTTCACCTGGCAAAATAAGGCATTTTACATGATCAGGGCAAATATTTTTCTGACTCTGATGAAGGACTTCTGTGCCAGTCAACACATTATTATTTTTACAAAGTTATAGTCTGTGAGTTGGAAATGTGGGTATTTTTTTCTTTCCATGTTATTTGCTATAGTTATTAATATTAATTGGAAAGTGATTGTTATTAAGCAGGTAGTGAATAGATTCACCTGCCCTTTTTACATGTGCCTCATAGAATGGCATCGGCCAATGATTAACTTTCTTGCAGAGATGTGGATGTTGGTTGTTCTGATGCTATATTGGTATATTATTCCTATCGGTATAGGACTATTAAAAACTTTCTACAAATGTAATGGGAAAATGTACGTTCGGGGAGCAAAGGGGTAGTAGGGCTTATCAAATGCAAGTGACTACTGGGAGAGTGCTGTTTCAGATGAAGCCTGCAGAAAGAAAAAAAGAAATGTAGGTGCCGGAAACAGTGCAGGGAGAACTTAAGAAGAACCGCAGTTGGGGTTTGTGCAGGCTGAAGAAAGCATTTGATGATAAGCCAGCTGCAGGATGTTGACACAGGGGCTGTGTTAGCCTGGGTGTTTGGAATTGCCTTCTGAGTAGAATTTTAGAGCTGTTCCTTGGTTCTACTTAAGTATTTGATAATATCTTTTGGGATCGATAATTTTTCAAAACAGGCTTCCTAAATTAATGCCTTCCTGCTGCATAAAAAGCTGTTCCTTTTCTTTGGTAGATTGGGAAAAGAGCATTGAAAGGTCATGGTTTCTCCCGTGACTTTTATATGAGGGTACGTTTTTCTCCCCCTGGAGTTTAGATGGCCATCATAAAAACTGGTTGATAATCAGTAAGTTATACAATATACTTTAAAGGCATTGTAGCTCTCAACATTTCTCAGATATTTATTTTGAAATTCATGGTGGAAGAATTTGTGTAATGTATTCTTTTCTGTGTTTCCCTATGTAATATTGGTAAAAGCATTATTGGGAAACAAGGAGAGTAATGAAAGTAGCATCAAAACTTATTGGAGTTAGGGGAAAATAATTAAAATGTGTTGTATTAGATTTTTTCCTAAAGATAGGTGGCAAGGCAACCTTTCCTTGGTCAAGTTTATTAGAAACCTATTTCAGACATTGTAGAGAATGTTGTATGTTTATATAGCATTCCTGGAAAGCCATCTGAAAATAGTAATCAAAATTAATATATATGGCCTTTGATCTCACAGTCCCACTTCTGATAATCTATCCCATAGAACTAAAAGTACTGATTAGTAAAACTGTGTGTGTGTATATATATGTATATATATGTATGTGTCTGTGTGTGTATGTATATATATGTGTATGTCTATATATATAAATATATTTATAGCATCATAGTATATTGCATCTAAACATTGGAAACAGGCCAGGTGCAGTGGTCTCACATCTGTAATCCCAGCACTTTGGGAGGCCAAGGTGGGAGGATTGCTTGAGCCCAAGAGTTTGAGACCAGTGTGGGCAACATAGTGAGACACCATTACTTTTTTCTTAAAAAAAAAAAAAAAAAAAAAAGCCAGGTGTGGTGGTGCACCTCTGTAGTTTCAACTACTTGGGAGGCTGAGGCAGGAGGATCTCTTGAGCCCAGGAGGTTGAGGCTGCAATGAGCCATGATAGTGCCACTGTACTCCAGCACGGGTGACAGAGTGAGACCCTGTCTCAAAAGATACAATGGAAACAAAGTGAATGACCTTCAGTAGTGGAACAGCTAAATAAATTATAGTGCGTTCACTCTCTGAAGTAATATAATTAAAAGTGAGCTAGACCAGTTGTGTAGGAGGGATCTGTATGATGTAGTTTAGGAAAAGGCACATTCAGAGAAATATATGTAATAGGATTTCATATTTTTAAAACGCAAAGCATTTCTCTTGTTGCTTTTGTCATCACACATACCAACCAAGCTGCGCACCTTGGCTTGTTAAGGCTTGAAAGTCACAGGTTGGTTAGAGGGAAAAAAGTAAAGTGATGAAGACAGACATCATAGAGCCAGTTTTTCATTTATGTAAAAATGTATGTGTGTGTGTTTGTATATGAATGTATTAAATATATCCATAAAGATATGTATACAAAAATCAAAATATTGTGGTTATCTTGGGTATTGCTATTACAATAATGTTATGTTTTTTTCCTTATTTTTCTCTATTTGAATTTTTTTCAAGGATCCTGTGTTTATATAATGTGAAAGGAAAATAAAACTTTTCATGGAGTGGGGGACAAAAGAACAATGATGTCCAGTTTTCCATTTTGTGTTATTAGTATTCTAATATAAACCTCAAAGTTTTAATGAAATCTGCTAATTCACCCAAACAGAGTTCTCACTTTCAAATGTAATATATTTTAAGACCTAGAAGATGTCTGTGGCTCTGTGGTAGTACTTCGTACTGAAAGCATACAGCTAAATGTTTCTTTTATGTTGAAACTCTAGGACATTATTTATTAGCATTAAAAAATAAAAGTAAAACATTTTGGATTGTAGAATTTTTGTTTAAAAGCATGTATATACCAAATAGAAAACAAAGGGCTTAAAGACTAATAGATTTAACCACATAAGAGCGAAAACTTCTTTTATCAATGCTTATCATAAGTAAGATCAAAAGAAAAAAATGGAGAAAAATTGGCAAGCATAAAGGCATACTATTGTGTGTGATCACCAAGAAAAAGTAATTCTGTAGAAAATGGAATTAAAAAAACCATGAAGAGGAAAAACCACAGATAAAAAATATAAATAGCCAGGAAACATAAATATGTTCAGTCACAGTAGTTATCCATGTAAATTAAAACAACAGTTACACATTGCTGATGAGAATGTAATTTAATAGTCTTTCTGAACAATAGTTCGTGTATGTGTGTATGTGTGTGTATATATATATGTGTGTGTGTGTGTGTGTGTGTATATATATATGTATATATATATATGTATATATATATGTATATATATGTATATATATATATGTATATATATATATGTGTATATATATGTATATATATATGTATATATATATATGTATATATATATGTATATATATATATGTATATATATATACGTATATATATATATGTATATATACATATGTATATATATATATATGTATATATATGGAGAGAGAGAGAGAGCCTTAAGTGGGCATACCCCTGACCCTAGTAATTCTTCCTCTAGGAATTTATTATGATTTAGCTAATTAGGAATGTCTTTTTAGAAGAATGTATATACAGTGATATTTATCATGCAACTCTGTTGATAATGGCCAAAATGGGGGGAAAATTGTGAATGCACAACAGTGAGATTAAATGATGGTGTAGTTACACAATTGAGTCCTATGTCATTACAAATCATGTGACTGTGTATTTATGTGGAATATTAATGTAGAATTAATTTGCAAAATAGTATGTTTAGTGTGCTTTCCGCTTTTATAAAAATATTTATGGAACACTGTATAGAAAAATGTCTAGAAGAATATATATCAAAAACATTTATAGTGACTATCCCTAGATGATAGTCAGTGATTTTTATTTTTTCTCTTCGTATTCTTTTAGCTTTCTGATATAAGCCCCAAACTTTTAATGAAATATGCTACCTACATACATTTGTCAGTTTACAAATATAATATATAATTTGTTCTTTCTGCAATGAACATGTGTTACTTTTATAATTAGAAAAAAGTTGAATTGGCTTTGTTCATTTGAGATATTAAGAAAAAGCCAAACAACCAACCATATGGAAATTATACACAAAAGATTTCTCCAAAGTTAGAGGAAGAGGAGAATCAAGGTAGTGAACATTTATTAGGCTCTAATTGTATGCCAGTTCTTGGCATACATTATTTCAACTAAGCCTCGATTTACTACCTTAGCAAATATATATCAGATACCTCTTCCTATGTTACAGTCACAACAAAGAGTCATTTATGCAGAAAAAGAAATAGTCTCAGAGACGTGACCTTTGAGATCACACAGCTAGTTAAGTGGAAAGCCAAGAATTTAAATACAGCTGGAATTGTCAGGATCCTCTCAGTTTACTGCTGACACTAAGCTCAAATGACTGATGTACCAGAGGTCACCATACTGTCACTAGGAGTGGCAGAGCCCAAAAGAATGTGCATCTAATTCCAGATTTTTGGATTCATCAGTTGCCTCCTCTTTCTCCTCACCCTGGGGCGACACACACCAGACGTTGCAGAACTGCGTGGGGGCTGCATTGCTGCATTACCCCATGTAGATGTGTGCATATCTCTGTAAGCCCAGGCTTGGAGTTCTCTTACTTTCCCCTAGCTTGGCTACATTATCAGATTTTATGGGAAGGGACAATTTGTATCATAGTCTTTGGGTGTCCTCACCATTGTGGCGGGGGGAGTTTTAGTTAATTCCTTGCCCCTGTGGTGTCTCTAGATATACTGTGCTAATATATTTCTCCATTTTCTGGTGAGTGCCTGTGAGTTTTTTCAACCATTCAAGCAGTCATCGGGCTAAAAGTTTCTTTTATATTACTTTACTCAGCAAATAAGCTTTTAAGCTAGCTCAAGAGTATCTTTTTCTCCCAGATAAACAGTGATGTACCCTGTATATTAAAGGGCAAAGCTGAACACTGAAGGCAAGTACCCTTAATTATGTGCAAAACGTTTTCAATCAAATCTATTGTCGTACGCACAAATATCAAATTTAGAGGTTGGCCTTTGGAAAACTCACAGCACAACATTTCAGAAATCTTCAGCATTCAGCAGAGTCTCCCTGAAATGTTACACCCAAACCAGAGAGAAAACTCTTGTGATCTTACAAAAGGTTCTTGATTCTTTGAATTATATTTGGGATAAAGGAGAAGAAGAGGAGTTGGAGTGTGGGAAGATAGATGTAAGTGATGGAAGAATGCAGTCTGGTGGAAGAATGGGGATGCCTAGATTAAACAATTGGCATTTGTAAAAATGAAAATGAAGTGGAATAGGAGCGTACAGAATCTGGCAAATAATAGGTGATGCAAAATTCAGTATCAAAAATAAAGACAGCTTTTCCCCTCTGCTTCCTGCAGTATAAATGGTGGGTACATTTTTGTTTTCTTGTCATTCATTCCTTGCACCCAACTTTTCAGAGATGGATTTATAATAAATGATCAAGGGTGTTGTTTTGACTGTTAAGATCCATTTTGGTATCCAGCTAAATTTTACAGAATTCCTTTCACATCACAATCTTGTTCCTCATGTTTCACAGTGTTTGTCTTTGCTTTCCCTACTGAGACTTGTTTTCTAATTTTCAGCCTCTTCTCTCTGGTCCTTCATCCTAGAATTTGCATCCGGTGTTTCTAACTTCTGCTCAGAAACCGTGAAAATAATATATTCATTTACCGATTGATTCATCCAAACAATAATTGGGTACACACTACATACCAGGTATCGGGAATAAAGAGCAATGAAAAGCAAGTCCCTTGTCCTCAAGGAGCTTAGTTTAACTTAAAAGTGTTCTCCTATTTAAGGCCAGTGAGTGGCTCACACCAGTAATCCCAGCACGTTAGGAGGCTGAGGCAGGAGAATCATTTGAGGCCAGGAATTTGAGACCAGCCTGGGCAACAAAGTGAGACATTGTTTCTACAAAAAAAATTTTTTTTAAAACTTAGCCTGGCACAGTGGTGCGTGCCTGTGGTCCAGCTACCCAGAAGACTGAGGCAGGAGGATCACTTGAGCCCAGGAGTTCGAGGCTGCAGTGAGCTATGACTGTGCTACTGCACTCCAGCCCGAGCGACAGAACAAGACCCCATCTCTTAAAAAAAAAAAAAAAAAAAAAAAGGCAGCATCATCCTCACAGATAGGTATAGACTAGTATATACAAGTCTGAATCAAAAACAAGATGAATTTGGAGGATAAGTGTTGCTTTCATGAGAAAACTCCATCTGATCAATGTTTAGGCACTTGGAGTTAACAGTGGTTTTTGTCACACTGTGCTTTGCAACTGCAAAGATGAATACATGGTCTAAGTTAAAACATTTGACTCTAACAATGTGGATTAACTGAAGTGGTGTTCACTTTTTAAAAATCAGCTTTATTTTTAGAGCCATTTTAGTTTCACAGCAAAACTGAGTGGAAAATATGGAGAGATTCTGTATAACTCCCTGTCCCCAGACACACACAACCGCTCTCCTGTTGTCCCACACCTGAGTGGCTTGTTTGTTACAATTGATGAACCTACATTGACACGTCGTTATCACCGAGTCTGTAAAGTGACCTTAAGGTTTGCTCTTGGTGTTACATGTTCTGTGGGTTTTGACAAATGTATGACAGGTATCCACCATTGTAGTTTCATATAAACTTTTTTTTTTTTGCTTTAAAGTACTATACATTTTCTTGAGTTCTAGAAGTATGGTGTATTGATTATTTATTGATGTCATAGAGTTAGGAGGCTGTACAGATTATTAAAGAAAAATGTAAGGAAAGGCTATATTTGAAATTAAGGTTAGGTTCTTGGAAAATATTAGCAAGCTGAATCAAGGTATAAATCTCATCTTTTGTGCAAAGTGAGATAGGGCTGTGCTTGGTATTTGTTTAACGGGATCCTGTGAGTCATAAAGCACATGGATCACCTAGATTCTTGCATCTTCTTTCCTGCCTGCCTTTCAGGAAAAAAAAAATTCAGGATTCAGTAAGCGTTTATTTATTTTTTATTTTTTTGAGATGGAGTCTCACTCTGTCGCCCAGGCTGGAGTGCAGTGGCGTGATCTCAGCTCACTGCAGTCTCTGCCTCCCGGGTTCAAGCAGTTCTCCTGCCTCAGCCTCCCAAGTAGCTGGGATTACAGGCACGCGCTTCCACACCCGGCTAATTTTTTATATTTTAGTAGAAATGGGGTTTGACCATGTTGCCCAGGCTGGTCTCGAATTCCTGAGCTCAGGCAATCCGCCCGCCTTGGTCTCCCAAAGTGCTAGGATTACAGGTATGAGCCACCGTGTCCGTCCTCAGTAAGCATTTATAAACACTGATTATGCGCCAGGCACAGTAGCAAGGAGTGGGTGCTGGGGATGTAGGGGGAAGTGAGACGGTTTTCATGTCTACTAGGGGCCCACATCTGTGTAGCAAGGCAGAAAGTCCTGGAAACAATCAAAGTTTGTGGGGGTGGTTAAGGACACAATGTCTGTACCTTGCAGCCAGGAGGGACCCAGAGCTCTGCTTCGCAAGACAAGTGATAAATGACGTTTAAGCTAAATTAAAGATAGCCAGCCCTGCCTCAGTCTGAAAACAGCCCTAGGAAGAGATTCCTGATAGACCTGCCCTTTAGGCTATTAAATCAAACCCTATTTTTTTTGTTGTTGGGGGTGGGAGGAGGGGCGCGGAGTGGGAGGGTTGGAATCTTGTTCTGTCGCCCAAGCTGGAGTGCAGTGGTGCAATCTTGGCTCTCTGCAACTTCCACTTCCAGGTTCAAGCGATTCTCCTGCCTCAGCCTCCCGAGTAGCTGGGATTACAGGCGCCTGCCACCATGCCCTGCCCCCATTAGCATCTTGGGGGAATCAAACCAAGAATCTACCAACCCTTAAGAGGCAAGTTCCTATCGATCTGCTCTACGGAGCATTAATGTCTCAATGACCCCAGACCTTGCTACCGTCCTCCTCTCAACTCCTGTGGCACATTTAATGAAATAATATAGAATTACTCCTAAGTGTTTCATCTCATGTTATTGTTATTACAGGCACCATGCCCAGCTAATTTTTGTATTTTTAGTAGAGACGGGGTTTTGCCATATTGGCTAGGCCGGTCTCAAACTCCTGCTCAGGTGATCCGCCCACCTTGGCCTCCCAAAGTGTTGGGATTACAGGCATGAGCCACTGCACCCAGCCAAATCAAAGCCTTTTGTCTGTAGTCCTTATGGTGCTTGAATCCTTTTGTGGCCATAAAGACGTGTTATGAGTATATTCAGTGGTATGTGCCTAGGAAAAGAAAAAGAAAATGACTGAAGACTGGGTAAAGCTAGCTTTTTCCTATGGAATCCAAGTGTTAGCCAGAAGGAACCAGGGTGCATTCAGTCCAACCTGTTCATGTTATGCAGAGGGACCTGAGGCCAGAGGGGTGGTGGTTTGACAAACCAAGATTACTAGTCCCAACCTCGGAGCCAAGGCAGACCCAAGTTTCTTGGATTCTGGTGGGGGTACATTCCGCAGCCTTGAGCTGCCCCAAGGGGCCTGGAGATTTGCTTAGGAACCCTATGGAGCCCTTATCAGAAAGATGTGTAAAGCTCCAGGCTTTGTCATCTGATAGTCATGGGATTGAATATGACCTTGTGACCTCGGGTGAGTTACGTAACTTTTCTAAACTCAGTTTTTTCTTCTATAAAATGGAGACAAAAATTCATATCCACCAATGGAATTGCTCTGCAGACTTTTTGAGATCATGTATGTAAAATGCCTGTGACATTCCTGGGCTTAGGATAACTGCTGGAGAGATGTTCACATTCTCATTCTTATGGGATCTTTTGCTGCGCAGCAACCATATGATCCCACTGGATTGATGAAATAGAGATTTGGTAAAGATCTAGTCTAAGAAGCTTTACATTTTTTAAAAAAGCAGGTATAGAATAGCTTCTAATTGCAGTTCTTGAATTCACTGTCTCCCTGTATTTTGAATGTTTGGTAGTTTAAGCCTATTATCCTTCCTGCTTTACTTTTTAATTTATTTGTATCAGTTTAACAGGTAGTATTTTAAGTTCTCAGATTCTTACAGTTATATGAAACATTAATATACCGTGGTCCCTTTCTCCACCAATACATGTACCTCAAGTATTAGAGATGGTGTTATTTTGTAAAGTATTTCAGTTCTTTCCGGTAATAACCTTGCTTGTTATCCAAGTATTTCTTCCGTTTCAGTTTATGTCACATTCAACACTTTTAGTCTCCTTTTGTTAACTGTTAACATTTTCTATAGTATTTTTCCAAAATGATTTGTATTGTGGTGTGACATTTTGATGCCACATATTCAAAGTAGAGCAAACCTTGAAATTCTACTAATTCTGAGAAGATCAACAAAGGAAGTTTTTAAGAAACATTTTCCCTGTGGGGTGAGTAAAGTATTCTTGCATTTTATTCATAGCTGATTGCTTAGAAAAAAATTACACGTTTCTCTTCCTGTCTGTACTTCTGGCGCCACATATTTCTGTAGCAGTGATCTCAGTAGGGTTTCTAGCCTGAAAAAAACAGGTCCCACTTTCTACGTCCAGCTAAAAAATGATTTCACAATAGCATTAGTTTATATCCAGAAAAAAAACTACTAGATTTGAAATTTAGCGATTGCACCCATATTAAAAATTGATGGGATGTTTAATAACAGTGTTCTTATTTACTGTCTCTAATTCCATGCCTGGGCAAAATGGGTTTCAGTTTTTCAAGTGGGCAGGCCAGCTACACTTCTTGCTTTTTCAAGTAGTCACATGGATAAGGACACATTTCCAAAATTCAAGCTATGACATCAAGTCTTTGTTTTATTTGGTGAAGCATATTCTTTCAGAAGACATTTATATCAAGGCTAAAGACTCTTTGGTTTACCATTGTAGAATCTAAATTGGTTTCAGCCTGTTTTTTTCGTGTCAAAGCAGTGCGTCTGTCTTTGCTTTGGAATAGGGAGTTGAAAGGCATCCTTTTGAAGATCCTTCAGGTGAAAAGAAAAATCCAAAATTGCTCTAGGAAGACTTGTTACTGACCCACAACAGTCAAAAATAAAATTGAAGAAGTTCCTTGAAAAGACAAATTTTAGTCCCTTGAAATATGGAATACCTTTTGATAAGGGCTGATGGAAGACTGGTGCTTTGTTCCTAAACGTCATTCATTATCTTAAGTGCTTTGGGGTTATTCCCAGCTGTCTCCCATGGATGTCTGGAGGTGAAGGCATCCCATTGCAGAGGGAGGAAAAAGTACTGCGTTGCCAACAGAGTTATCTCCACCAGCTGTCTGGGGCGGTTGGTGCTTCTGAGAATGTTCTGTTCCAATTGTGGCCTGAGTGCTACAAAGTAAGACACAGATGTTTGATATATCAATCACAGTATTAGATGTTGGGGCAGATATAAAGCAAAATAAAATATGGCCCTAGAGCCAAAGTGTACATTAAATGCTGAACACTGCTCTTGGCCCCGTTGGGAACTGGAAGAGGCTTCCTCAAGCTCAGGGAGTTTAGAATCTAACTGGCGAATCATTTAGGACTCTATTTTGAAAGTCAGTTTTGAAAGTGACATAAAATAACTCAAACTGACTTGATCAGAAAGAGAACTTCAAGTATAAAAAAAATCCAGGTGTAGTTCTACCTAGAGTCTCATATAGTTTACCATGGCCTGGCTCTTTCTTTTTTCTTTGCTTTTTTTTTTTTTTTGAGATGGAGTCTGGCTCTTCTCACCCAGGCTGGAGTGCAGTGGCACGATCTCGGCTCACTGCAACCTCCGCCTCCCAGGTTCAAGCTATTCTTCTGCCTCAGCCTCCTGAATAGCTGGGATTACAGGTACCCGCCACCACACCCAGCAAATTTTTTACTTTTAGTAGAGATGGGGTTTCACCATGTTGGCCTCAAACTCCTGACCTCAGGTGATCCACCCGCCTCAGCCTCCCAAAGTGCCGGGATTACAGGTGTGAACCACCGTGCCTTTATTTGCACCCTTGTAGCAGCAAGATGGTCTCAGCAGCTCCAGCCTTACCGTGTTCACCACTGAGTCCAGCAAGACAGTGTCTCTTCCCTTAACAGTGGAATGAAAGTCTTAGGCCTGACTGTCCTTACCCCAAATTGGGTCATACGTCTGTCCCTGAAGCAGTTGTCGTGTCCAGGGGAATGGGAAGTGCTTATTTTTTTTAGGCACAGTTCCCCTCTCCCACTTCTGGAGCTGGACTGGGAATTCGAGAGGGGCCGGTGCCCCAGGTGGGGACACAGGACACTAACCAGAAGGAGCTGAGTAGATGTGGAGGAGCGGGAACAGCCGGTGTCCCTCACACGGGAGTCAGAACTCATCCATGAGGAAACAATAACATGAGATGAAACACTTAGGAGTAATTCTATATTATTTCATTAAATGTGCCATAGGAGTTGAGAGGAGGATGGCAGCAAGGTCTGGGGTCATTGAGGTCTTAATGCTCCGTAGAGCAGATCGATAGGAACTTGCCCCTTAAGGATTGGTGGATTCTTGGTTTGATTCCCCCAAGATGCTAATGGGGGAATGCCTGGAGTTGGAATTGATGCCCACTCCAGCGCTTTGTGCCCCTCCAGTGGAACGATGCAACACTACACAACACACCCAGCACAACACACTCAGCTCTTAAGGCTGACACAGGAACCCGGAAACTCCACTCTTGCACAAATCACAGATTTGGTAAAAAGCCAGGGTATGCTTCAGCAACAGTCAATAAATGAGTAAGTAAGCGAATCGTGGTACAGATGCATGTCGGAATGTTTTCTAGCCATCCAGTCATGTTTACATTTTAATAAATAGTTGTTGAGCACCTACTCATTAAAATATTTGGAAGAATTTTTAAATGAGAAACGCTGAGCTGCAGAATTGTTTACAGGATGAGTTCAGCCATCTGCAAACAACTTAGAACACAAAAGCCTAGAAGGAAATACATCAAAAAGATATGTGGTTGTTTCTGTTCTTTATACTTACCTGTAATTTTAAGACAAATGAAAAAGACCGCACAGCTGTGAACTGGCTAAATCAAGAGACAGCATTTGAAATATGGGGCGTCAGGCTTGTGCAGAGAAGAAACATAAATTACCATGGTTCTGGAAGGCAGGGCAGCAGTCACAAACAGACCTCCACCTCCTGCCGAGGGCTCCAGCTCTGAAGATCTCATCTTGTGCATGGCTGCATAGACAGGGATCGGTGCCTGTTACACTGGGTTAAGAGCTTCAGCTTTTCTTAAAAATCTTCAGACCTCTGCCTTAGAGATGGTATTTTGCAAAGTGTTTCAATTGAGTCAAATTGTTATTTTTCCACCTGGTGGTATCCCAGGGCTTCTATCAATTTACCTTGTGTATGTCCTCTGTCCTGCCTCTTGAGGCACAATTTCCTTTTTCCATTTTCATTTTTAAATTTTAAATTTTCTTTTTTAGAGACAGAGTCTCACTTTGTTGCCCAGGCTGGTCTCAAACTCCTGGCCCCAGGTGGTCCTCCCTCCTTGGCCTTCTAAAGTAGGGATTATAGGTGTGAGCCACCCTCCTGGTGCACTGTTTTTTCAGTCCACTCATTTCTGTCCCCTGCATTTTCCTTGGGTAAAGCCCCAGGCCCACTTTTGCCGTAGCCTTCTTTGATTTGCTTTAATTTGAACTTTCACAGGTAAAACCTTTCATAGGTTTCAAAGCAGTCGCACACATCTCATTTGCTGCCTTGAGATATAGCTGGATGATGCCATCATCCCTATTAAAATATGTGAGGGGAGGGCTCAGAGGTGTTAACTGCCCAGAATTATACAACCCTGGTCTCCCAACTCCAGCTTGCAGGGCTTCCCCACCATGACCAGCAGCTGGACCAGACCCTTTCTTGGGAATGCACACTTGACTACCCCTGAATCACTTTAAAACTCACCTGTCTCTGAAGACATTGTTTCTCAGCGACAGCTTCACTAGCACTGTTTGGTCTTATTAACCCCTTTCCCTTCTGTTGCCCTTTTGATCCTGAAATCTTAGCCCATGTTAAGAACGCCTTTCACAGATGTCGTTGTTACTAAGATTCTCCAATTTTTAGCTTTTTGTACTTACGATTTGGATCATTTGCCCACTCTGAGTATCTATTTTTACACGTCTTTTTTTTCTCCACACATGGTAAATTCTTGGAAAGTGAGAGCTGTGTTTTTCATTTCCTTAATAGTGGATATTTCTGCTAGGGGGAAGTTTAATCTGAGTGAGTGTCCAGCTCACCTTGAGGAAATAAAATAATTCAACCTTGAATATTTTCATAGCATTTTTAAAAATTATGAGATTAAATTTTCCTGAAAAATTTACGGAAACATGTGTTTTTCAAAATTAAGTTGGAAATATTAATGGCCTTGGGCATCTGCGGCCAGCAAAGTCATTGCCATTCCAGAACCCCTCACTGCAGGGTTTCCTTTCGTCCATTTATTAAATCTAAGCCCCATAGTGAGGAGAGACACTGCTGCACTCACCAAAAAACCACTGTTTATAAAATGCTTGGGCACTTCAGAGACAGCAGCTGTTTTCTCTTGGTATTAACACCGATCTGCAGATTGCCAGTTCTTCAGAATACAGACCTTTCCCAAATCTCCACTAATTTTGTTTATTTATTTATTTATTTTGAGATGGAGTCTCACTCTGTTGCCCAGGCTGGAGTGCAGTGGCGCAATCTTGGCTCACTGCAACCTCCGCCTTCTGGATTCATGCGATTCTCCTGCCTCAGCCTCCGAGTAGCTGGGATTACAGTAGAGACAGGATTTCGCCATGCCGGCCAGGCTGGTCTCGAACTCCTGGCCTCAAGTGATCCACCCACCTCAGCCTCCCGAAGTGCTGGGATTACAGGGGTGAGCCACCATGCCCGATCCCAAATCTCCACTAACTTTAGGTGCGTAGGATGGACTGAGCAATTTTGGAAATTCCAAAGCACCAGGGCCCTACCTCCTTTCTTCTGTCTGCCTCCCCTGCCTTCCCAGTGTGCATCTGCTGAATTGAATCATTAAGAGAAAGATTAAGATGAGTGGAAGGTGAGCCTGTTGTTGCTGACAGTTCACTTTCCCCAGTGAAACTGTCAGGAAGACAAAGAGATGTTGAAGTTTTAGAGTAAGTGGCCCAGGGTCTTACGGTATCCTGCAGTGTGACACTGGGTAGAAAGAGGTGGAGGAGAAGGAAGGAAGTGGCCTGGCTTGGCTGTCATGCACTGCCTTCCTTCATTTCCTTACCTCCCACGTACTGCCCCCCACCTGAGGCAAGAGGGGAGGAGTTTTCACCTTTTCCATATCTTCTTCTTTATTCTTTGAAACTATTTTTCTTCTTAGAGTTGTCTTTGGTAGAGTGGCCCTTAACTTAGTGTACAGTATGATTCATACCCCCGGGGGTGGTCCTTTCTCATAAACCCTTCTTTCTTTTTTTTGAGATACTCTGTTGCCCAGACCGGAGTGCAGCAGCACCATCATAGCTCACTGCAACCTCAAACTTACGGGCTCGAGCCATCCTCCCACATCAGCCTCCTGAGCAGCTCAGACTGAAGGTGTGTACCACCACTCTCAGCTTATTTTTGTGGTTTTGTGGAGATGGGGGTCTCATTATGTTACTCAGGCTGGTCTCAAACTACTGGGCTCGAGTGATCCTCAAGCCTCAGCCTCCCAAAGCTCTGGGCTTGTAGGCGTGAGCCACTGCGATGGACCCTTCATAAACGTTTCAAGCAGCATTGAACCAGAACAAGGAGCAGCGTTTTCAGTTGGGAATTCATTGTGTATTTTTCATTAAGAACATAACATTTCTTAACTTAGATGTTTGTGTAACCTGAGTTGCAAGATGAATTTACCACACAGTGACAGACTTTAAATTTTTGGTTTTAATACACATTTGCGTATTTTAAAAGCAAATGTACCTTCAGCCTGTGAAATAATATGCTAGATAATTACAGGTACTTTGACTTCAGTTATGTCTTAGATTTATTATAACTACAGTGTTGATTACTACGAAGACATTGCTTTGCAGAGGGAGATGTCTCAAAATGTCACAATTCAGTGTTTTATTATCAGACAGTTGCTAAAGTGGATAGTTAAAAATTGAGGCCTGGCATGGTGGCTCACACTTGTAATCCCTGTACTTTGGGAGGATGAGGCAGGCGGATCACTTGAGGTCAGGAGTTCAATACCAGCCTGGGCAACATGGTGAAACCCTGTCTCTACTAAAAATACCAAAAAAATAGGCATGGTGGTGCGCACCTGTAGTCCCAGCTACTCGGGAGACTGAGGCAGGAGAATCGCTTGGCTTGAACCTAGGAGGCAGAGGTTGCAGTGAGCCAAGACCATGCCGCTGCACTCCAGCCTGGGTGACAGAGTAAGAGTCTGTCTCAAAAAAAAAAAAATTTGTGTGCAGTTTTTCAGTTATTTCATGACTATTAGTGGTTATTCAACACAAATTAAGCACTGTATCAGTTACAGGGCTCAGTTAAATAATACAGAATCTACAGGAGCTGATTTAGATAGCAAGGCATTAAATGTACTAGTGAGTATTAATAGTGGCTCAGTCTCTGCAAATGCTGAAAAAGCAGCTCTGGATAGTGCTAGCAGGTGGGGAATCATTATTTTATATCCAGATCACTAGTAGCAAGGAAATCTGAGAAATTAATTTTCAGTTCCCCAGCCAAAGCAGCACAGGAAGTCACACAAGCAGTGAGGGGTCGCCCACGCATCTGTCCTTGGCACCCTGCAGCCACTGAGCTGCCTCCCGGGCACCAGCACAGACCTCAGTAGTCGTGGCCTTGCTCTCACCGGTTCCACTGTCCGGGAGACAGATGTCAGATACATCATACAAATACCAATGATGACAACTGCATAAGGCTAAAAGACAGGTTCACAATGCTTAGAAGTAAATAATAAGGGGACAGAGTCTAAAGTGGAGGTGGTGTGGACGCCTAGGAAGTCTCCTGGAGGAAGATGCATCTAAGCTGAGAGCTGGCCAGGAGAAGCAGAGTGAGGGAGTGAGAGAATTCCAGGCAGAGTTGCTGCGTGGGAGGCCCCAGGCTCGCTGGGAGAACAGAGCAAAGGCCGGGGTGATCGGAGTGAAAGGCCACAGGGCATAGAGTTGGGGACAAGGTGGGGTCAGGTAGGGCTTTGAGGTCACCAAAAGGATTTTTCCTAAGAGCAATTGGAAGTCATCTTTTGAGGCTGGGAATAGTGGCAGATGAGTGCTTTTAAACAATCACAGCCGCCTCAATTGGGAGAAAGGCTTGGAGGAGGGACAGAGTGAAAGGCAGGAGACCAGTTAAGGGTCTGCTTGGTGGACAGACTTAGTGAGTCCAGATAGCTGGTGGGGCTTAGGAGGTGGAGAGAAACTAGACATCCACTCATCCAGACTCAGGGCATGGTTTTCTGGCATAATTAACTTTGTGGTAAGAGTGCCTTTTTAGCCCTCTAAATGGAGATGTTAAGAAAGCCATTGGTCGTGGAAGTCTGGAGCTCAGAGAGTGGGTAGGAGCTAGAGCTACAAATCTGGGAGCTGTCACTTCCAGATGAGATTTAAAGTCCGGTGGTGAACCAGGTAGGCTTGAGAGGCCGTGGCCTGAGGTGGCTCGAGCCAGACCACTTGGACATGTAGAAGCAGGCTAGAGCAGGAACAGCCAGCCAGTAAAAGGTAGGGGAAAAAAAAAAACCCAGTAGATTTCCAAAAAGAAGAAACTCTCCATCTAGTTTAGGAAGTAATCTTTTTGTTTGGAAATAGACCATTTCTAGAAAGTATAGAAGTTGGTTCATGTATCTCATCCTGCTAGCAGCTAGGCTGTGCCTGGAGAAGTTAATTTAAAATAAAGAATGAGTTTATCTCTGTTGAGAACATTAACTTTCTTGCTATACCGCGAGTGGCACCTAAGTGAGAGTATATATTGAAGCGAGAAGTCCAGCTTGTTCACAATATCACAGTAAAATTGAGCTCAAATAGGTTCTCTTGTGTATAGAGTGCTCTGTATTTCATGGTGGACTACATAGGGCAGATATTCCTTCTTCCATTTTATAGTTATGAAAACTGAGGCAGCCTGGGCAACATGGCAAAACCCCATCTCTACAAAAATTAGCTGGGTGTAGTGTCATGCCCCTGTAGTCCCAGCTACTCCGGAGGCTGAGGCTGGAGGATCCCTTGAGCCCGGGAAGTCGAAGTTGCTGTGAGCTGTGGCCATGTCACTATATACTCCAGTCTGGGTGACAAAGGGATACCCAGTCTCAGAAAAAAGAAAACTGAGGCTAAAAAACGGTAAGTGATATGACTGTAAAACCTTCACACCTGCTTGTAAATACCTCTGATAGATCATCAGAGCTGGGTCACCTGGGAAGTCCCTAAGGGAGTGGCCCACAAGGCAGGCCACTTGGGATTCTGGAATAGCCTAGAAGATTTTTGGACACACACTTAGTTTTATTGGTCAAATGTTTGAGCCAAATCCCATGGATGGGTTCTGGGGAGATACACAGTCCCTGTCCCCAAGGAGTTGATGGACTAATGAGGAAGGCAGATAGAACCATGAACTCTGGGTGTTCCTGCCATTCTCTTGCAGCGATACAGGGGAACTTTTGTACCTGATGGGATGGGAGAGGGATATGAATGGCCATAAAGGAAATAGAGGAAAAAAGTAGGGCTGATATCGTTTGCTGAAGAATGAATCTACATAAGTATTTTTCCTGGGGGCAGGTCCTTCCACCTGCCTGTGCTGTGTAATTTAGCGAGGAGACTGATGTGGGTATGGCCATCCCTCTTACTGAGTAAATCTGTCCCATTATGTAGCTGTCCACCCCGTTCCTGGTCTTGCCGCTGAGGGAGCATGCCCCTCCCTTGGAGGTGAGCTAAGTCAGGATGTTCGGGTTAACCATGAGCCTGCGTGTGCTAATGCTTTCAGACTTCTTCCTTCCTTGTGTCTGCAGTGTCACCCACTAGTTATTTTATTAGCTCCTGGAGGACAGGGAGCATGTTTTCTTCTCCTGGTCTTGGCCCCTTGCACTGTGCCGGGTGCAACTTGGCGCTTAGGTGGAAAAGAGATGGCCGTTTGACACGTGTTTTGGCTCAGGGGTTTTTCTCAAGTTCAACAGTAACTCCACTCACTCAGCCCTTTTATGTGGAAGATGATTCATTTGACAGCCAAGTTAATATTTTAAAAGTGTGAACTTAAAACAATAAAGAAACTTTTGGGGAGCTGGAAAATCTATAGTCAAAGGAGAAAGAAACAGACATTATAGACCCATCTGATCGTGGAATACAGGAACATGTTAAATTATTCATAAGTTGCTTGATAACTGGTGAATAAATGTATGATGGAACATTTAGAATCTGGCGAAGCCTTCTAGAGAATCCATTAAACAAATGCATGCAACAGCAAGAAGTTTTGGATAAATTTTTATTCTTATAAATTGATGACATATAGCTAAACTCAAATTTGAACTATTAGTGAAAATATTCCAGTGCCCAGATTAGTAAATTATTTTTATTAGTGCTTTCTGGCTCTAAAAACTGGTATTTTATGGGAAATCAGAGGGTTAATTCTTGAAAGTATGATACTGATGTCCTAGAATGTGCTTTCTGCCCTCAAGCAAATGGCATGGCTTTGGGCTACGTTCTGATGATCACAAGTATCTCTGAATTGCTTTCTGTTTCAGGAATGTGTATCCTCTCTAGTATTCATTGGCCAAATTGATCTCTTAAAGACATTGTGGTCTGGCAAAGTTGCTTCTTGCTCATTAAGCTTGGGAGTATGTTTT
The DNA here is from genome assembly GCF_000001405.40 of Homo sapiens. Classification (NCBI taxonomy): domain Eukaryota; kingdom Metazoa; phylum Chordata; class Mammalia; order Primates; family Hominidae; genus Homo; species Homo sapiens. The sequence goes on along the minus strand of NC_000010.11, from coordinate 22,648,749 downwards.
AAATAGTTACATTCAATTGTTTCCTTGAAGCGTGTGAAGGAAATGTGCCTGTTTCAGACCACAAGAGCCAGGGAATTTTTTTAATGTCTGATTGTGGTTAATCAGTTTTCTGTTCTTCCTGGAGATAAACTGCATAAGAAAAGGTCACATGTTTCAGGGCTCCTCCTGCAAAATCAGAGATAGTATGAAATGACAGGAAGAGTGTTTTCCAGTCTGAGGAAAATACTTGGAAAAGGCAAAATATTCATTATCTGTAACAAGTGGTTAAAGATTTTCAAAGACATTCATAAAAATTGAAGAATAATAATGAAGTTGTCCCATGGAAGAAATATTCTTCAGATTACTTTTCCTCTTCTTTGATACTGTAATAACCAGAGGGCCATTTAATGTCAGCTAATAAAGGAGTCACAGAGTAACTACTAAGCAGACTTAAGGAATTAACTCTCCCCACACCGTCCTTAATTGAGTTTTTTGGTTGTCTGAATATTTTCTGTACATATTCTCACTCATTATTTGGTACTTTTTTTTTCTTTTTACTTAGCATATTTTAAGATACAACCTTTGCAGGAAAGAAGAGAGAAAACTGTATATTTAAACAGAGTGAATTTTGTGTTAACTCTGAAAGGACAGAGACTGGAAGGAAGATAAGTCAGGGCTTGAATATTCCAGGAAGGCTTTGAGGAGGAAGGAAATAAAGTCTGAACAGCCTTGAAGAATGGGTAGACGTAGGAAAGGATTCAGGAAGGTCTTTAGATAACAAAAGTAGAGATCCAGTGGCTGAGATGTTGTCGATGTTTTATTTTTATCTTCTAAATGCTTTTCTTGGAAGATCTTATTTCTTTTCACACATTGTTTTTCTTTTGTTTTTCCCAGCTCTCTGCTTCCAGGGCTAATGGTGAGTTTTCTGCCGTGTAAAATCCCAAAGGGTCGCTTGCATGTACTTGTTGCCAGTAGCCTGTTTTCATTGGGTCATTTACTGTGGTTTAATATGCCACTTCCCCAGTGGACCTGATGTGAAGAAAGTCCCCACAATCCTGTCTTCTGTGACCTTTCTGAGGCCTTTTCCTTGTTACTTGGAACAAAGATGTGATAGCTGATTGGGAGGAGAGTGTTTCATGTCATCTATCACACCAGTCACTTTGTTTTTCCATGTTGTTGAATGCAGATTGAGTTACTGTTGTGGCCTATGTTATTGTTGTCCATGTTGTGTAGATCTCATGACTCTCTGATGGTGTTTAAGATGGGATGCCTCTGCCATCAAATCCCAGGAGAGCCTGTTTTTCTCCACCTCGGTCCTTTCACTTTCTTATCTGCTTCCCTGCCTCCTCCTCTGGTCCCACAAGCCTTTCACAAAATAGTTAACATATTTGCTTTAAGACAGAGCTTGAAAACACACGCACACGCGCGTGCACACACACACACACATACACACACACACACAGTATTTAGAGACTAGATACTGAATTGTCTGATGAGACTTAGAATTTGATTCTCCTACCCTGTATCTTGCTACCAAAAATGGCACATGGGCACACATACACACTTTTAATAGGCAACTTAAAGCCCATGAAATAATGAGAGTAATAATAATAGTAGTTACGAAGCCTTGCATTTCCTATTCTGCTTTGGCCAGAGAGCAATAAAGCCTCATTTAAAAAGCAGCTTTCCATCTTTCTTTGAAAAAACTTTGTAGTAGAAGTAAACAATTCTGTTTGTTTCAGTGAGAGAAAACACCCATGGATCAGCCAGGTTGACAGCCTAGTCAGCTTGCATCCTGGTTTGTTTTTTTTTGTTTTGTTTTGTTTTGTTTTGTTTTTTGTTTTGTTTTGTCTTGAAGAGTTTTTGCTGAAGGAAGCATTAGAGTTCTACTTAATATGCATACAATAGAAAGTAGTAATTAAGGAAAAGGATATATCAGCCAACCTATCTTAAGAAGGATCTAACTAGATAAACTTTGTCTTTAAGACAGTCCTGACTCTCAGACTCCACAGGTGGGTGCAAACAACAGTGCTCCCCACTGGAGATCCTGGGGCCCACTTTGGCTTGCCTTCAGAAAGGGAAGACAAAGTGTCCCTCCCAAGTTACAAACGCAGGTTGTATACTGTGGCTTTTACTCTCTGATAACCAAATTAGCCTTCTAAACAACTATTCTCAGCAGAAGTAAGGGTGGTCTTGATTTTTGTGTTTTTTTTGCCATCCATACTAGTCTGCTTCCTGTCTTTTCAGAGAGCAAGGCTGTTTGTAAGAAAAATGTGTGAACTGAAAACCACCACTACCACCTATTAGATGAGTACAAGATAACCAGAAACCAAATACGAAATGAGCTGTCAGAGCTGTTGATAAGCTCTCTTGTGTGAAAGGAAAGAATAAAAATGCAGCAAAAGGCCATGAGAATTATTTTTAAAAGTAAGACTATAGACAAAAGTCCAAGGAAATCTTAATCTCCCTTTCTCTATTCCTCTTGTCTCATTCTCCAGCCAACTTTAGGGACAAGCAATGTCTTCATCGAGAGGCACATCACATCCCCAAAGGTGGGTTCTTGGTGACCAAAGTACCTGCCTACAGAAAGCAGAGAAGCCTGTTTTCTTCCTTGTGTCTGTAGGAAAGTTGTCTTTCAGATGTAGTCTTCTTTGTTCATCTGTTACTGTGCACTGCCAGGCTGACCCCTTTTCTCAGGCAGATTGATCATGAAATTAAAAATGGTTTACCTGAGTTAATTATATTATTAGGCTGGGCACAGTGGCGCACACCTATAATCCCAGCACTTTGGGACGCCAAGATCGGTGGATCTCTTGAGCCCAGGAGTTCCAGACCAGCCTGGGCAACATAGGGAGACCCCGTCTCTACAAAAAATAAAAAAATTAATACAAATAAATAAGTAGATTAGCTGGTGTGTTGGCTCGTACCTGTAGTCCCAGCTACTCAGGAGGCTGAGGTGGGAGGATCAACTGAGTCCAGGAGGTCCAGGCTGCAATGAGCCCTGAGCTGAGATCTCACCAGCTTGGAGTGTAGACCCTGTCTGAGTCCCTGAGTGAGACCCTGTCTCAGAAAAAAAAAAAAAAATTAAGTACTATCTTCATGTTTTTCAAGACATTTTCCACTTGTTACTTTAACAAAGTTTACAGTATTCTACTTGTTTTCATTCCTTCAAAACTAATCTTTTTCTTTCTTTTCTTTTCTTTTCTTTTTTTTTTTTTTTTAAAGAAATAGAATCTTTCTCTGTTACCCAGAACTGGAGCACAGTGGTGCAATCGTATCTCATTGCAACCTGAAACTCCCAGGCTCAAGTGATGCTTCCATCTCAGCCTCCCGAGTAGCTGGGACTACAGGTCCTGCCACCATGGCTGGCTAATTTTTAAAATGTTTTGTAGAGACAGGGTCTCACTATGTTGCTCAAGCTGGTCTGAAACTCCTGGGCTCAGGTAATCCCCTCACCTCAGCCTCCCAAAGTGCTGGGATTATGGGCGTGAGCCATCGTGGCTGGCCCTAATTCATTTTTAATAACTAACCAGACACACTAGTGGTGTTATACGTGAGCATTAATATTTTTTTGTCATCGTCACCCATTTAAAAAAATTGCGTTTTCAAAATGAGTTGCTTCAACCTAGTGTGGAGAATCAAAATTTTAAAAGATCAAAATTTTGGTATTTTAAAAGTCAATTCTGACCAATTATAGTGATTTGGTTCTACCTGATAGTTTAATATTTCTTTGCTCTTTTAGTAAGTCCCCAGCATAGGGGGAAGGGGGTAGGCAGTAAGTCTTAGAAAACTGTCTTGCGAATTTACTGACTCTTATGGATTGGGAATTTCTAGGAGTATCTGGAAATTAACCGAAGCAGTTCTTTTTCTTCTCCAGTTAGGGCAAGTTGCCATGAAACAAATAATGGTGACTTGGTTGGTTCATTTAGTTCATTTATTTATTGAATATTTATGGCCTGTCCACTAATTACCTGGCACAAGTGTAGGTCCTAGAAGATACACACTAGGGAAAAAATAGACACACAGACTAGATCCCTACTGTCCTGTCTTACATTCTAGGAGGCGGAGAGAAAATGTTAAAAATGAACAAAGTAAGTTGTCAGGTCAGGTGCTACCAAGTGCTAGGGAAGGAGATTAGAGTGGTGGGTGCCATCTGGATAGGGTGGTGAGGGGAGCCCCATCTGCTAAGGTGGCATTTGAGAGGAGACTTGAGGTGAGAGACTGGGAAGTGAGGTGGGGACCGAAGCCTGACGGACTAGCCATGGGCAAACCAGGCAGGAGTTTAGCCAAGGTGAGGACTTGTAGAGGAGTTGGGCAGGGATGTGAAATAATTAGCTTGATGTTCTGCATAGGATGCCCTGGGCTGCAAGGTGTGGAACTGATAAGCCAAGACCTCCCAGGAGGCTTTGCCGCCATCTGCAGAATCATGCTGATGGCTTTGAAGAGAGAGGCAGTGGTGGAGAGAAGTGGCTGATTTGGGGCATGTTTTGAATAAAGAGCCCACAGATTTGCTGAAGACTTGACTGCAGGGTGAGAGGGGAGTCAGAGTCAACTCCGGGAGTTTGGGCCCAAGCTACTCTGTGCATGGAGGTGCTACTCTGTGCGTGGAGGTCCCACTGGCTGAGAGAGGGAGGGGTGAGCAGGAGCTGGTTGCAGGCCAGGGGAGAACAGGACTTCATATTTACGTGTTGTTTAGTTTTGGGGATGCTTGTTAGAGATCCAGCTGGGGATGGTGATTAGCAGGAGTTTAGAATTCAGTGGAGAGATTAGGGCTAGAAATGTTTTAAAAACTGAGAGCCATTGCACTGCAGATGGTGGGGCAGGCTGGGTTCTGGAGGATGATAAACCCTCCAAGGGAAGGGGAAGTGGCCAGGAGCCTTCCAAGAGGCAGAGGCGTGGTGTAATGTGATGGTAGGTGCTTCAGAGGGGATGACCGCTTCAGGGAGGAGGAGGGAATGGGGGTGTGGGATTGGTCAGGAGGAGCACAAGGCACCTACCCCATCTTCTGGTTCTGTGGTTCCTGCGCAGAAGAAAAAAATACTTGAGGGGGGCTGCAAGGGAAGTGTGGTCCTTGGGGACAATCAGAATTTGGCTGGCATGAAAAGATAAAGGTTCAGCGTTAGGTTAATTTTTGCTGATGAGAAATTATGACTCTTGGAGAGCCCCATGGAGGGATTTGGGGGCCTGGGATGGCAAAGGTTCAGGTCAACTGGGTCAGGTTAGGCAATCTTTGGAGGGGAATGGAGCGAGCTGGTGGCTAGAATTCTTGTAACATCTGAATTAAACAGGGATGGAAGGCCTGGTGGGATTAATCTGCCTTCCTAAGACAGATCTAAGGGTGAGCAAACTTTTTCTGCAAAAAGACAGTAAGTATTTTAGGCACTGTATTTAGGCCATACAGTTTCTGTCAGTGACTCAAACTTCTATCATAGCACGAACACAGCCATAGATAACACAAATCAATGGGCCTGGCTCTGTTCCAATAAAACGTTATTGACAAAAGCAGCCAGCGGCCAGATTTGCCCATAGGATGTAGTCTGGCAAACTGTAGACAAGGGAGTTAGTAATTGGTGAGAGAGGGATGAGGAGATGGGTGGGAAGAAGGGGCCCGAGACTTGGAGTTGGGAAAACTGGAGCTCCAGGAGCCAAGTCCTCAGTCTGTCCCCATCCTGATGAGGTGTCCATCACCCACAGGGAGAACTAGGTGTTTCCACTCCTCCTCCTTGGTGCTGGAGCCTTTTGAAAATTGCTTAATGAAATAGGCAGGTAATCCCAGGTCTCATATTCAGGAGCGTGATGAGCTTCTCCTCATCTCCACAGCAGACAGACTAGAGGAAAGAGACTTAAGATGTAATCAGAGATGTTTACATTGACAAAAGAAAACTTCTTGGCAGGAATGAAGCTAAAATACATGAATTACTATCTAGGAAGGTCTGAAGATTGTTGGAGGTTAGAATGAACAAGACCAATTTCCTTCTCTTACCTGGACCACAGAGACTTTGTTGGTCTTTTCCAAGCCCTAGATCTTTTCATGTGAATGTGTCATTGTCTTAACTCTATAAGAGGCAAACCTGTTCTAACTATCGTTTTGATGTGCTATAAATACACTGTTCTATTATAGATCTGTTTATAAACAGATCAGTGTGTGTGTATATAGAGACACACACACTGATCTGTTTATAAATACACATATAAATATACATACAGACACACATGATCTGTTTATAAATACACTGTTATAGATACTCCTAATTTAAGAATATATATTTAAAATTTCTCAAGTTGCAAGTGGTAAAGTTATGTTTAATTATTTATCTTAATAAATTGAATACCTATTAGTGACATTCTGAGTGACAAGGTTGATTTTTCCAGCCTATCCTAGTATTCTTTGTTGGTATGATTTTATTTGCCAAAATAAATTGGTTTGCCTCAAACCACACACTAGGTGCTAAGTATCTTCAAAGCAAAATTCAATGAAACTTGAAAGTGCTATAGGACTGAGGTTGTAAGTGACAGAAACCCAATTCAGACTAAGCAGAAAGAGAGCTTTGTCTCCAGGATCCGAGGGTGCATTCTGGAGGCCCGAGCTAGGATGTGGAGCAAGGGATGTGGCTGAGCCCACAGTGCAGCTGGAACCAGGGATGCAAATGCCGCCAGGACCTCTCTGTTTCTCACCTCTGCTTCCATCCGCATCTCTGCCTCCTCCAGGCCAAATTTTGGTGAACAGTGACTGTGTCCATTCTTTATATCTCATCATTAAATTATGGGAAGAGTCCTGCGTGAAAGTCCGAAGGTCAGATCCTGGAAAGAAAACTCATTGGTCTGCTTGGGCTTGGGGCCAGCCTTGGCCAGCCCTGAACAATTCTGGCTGCAGAGTAGAGAACCCTGTGATGGCCAGAGAATAGGGTCACAGACATATAGAATCATCACTCCTGTGGTAACCAGGTAGATCTGGGGTTCAGGGAAGGGTGAGATGTGGGTGGTGAGCTGGGCATTCAAAAGAGAAGGTAGGCCGGGCATGGGGGGCTCATGGCAGCTCATGGCCTATAGTCATAGTGCTTTGGGAGGCTGAGGTGGGAGGATCACTTGAGGTCAGGAGTTTGAGACCAGCTGGGCTGATCTCAGAACCCATCTCTACAAAATTTTTTTTTTAAAAAAAAACCTATCTGAGTGTGGTTGCACGTACCTGTAGTCCCAGCTACTTGGGACATTGAGGTGGGAGGATCACTTGAGCCCATGAGTTCAAGGCTGCAGTGAGCTATGATTGTGCCACTGCACTCCAGCCTGGGTGACAGAGCAAGACCCCATCTTTAAAAAAAGAAAAAGAAAAAAAAATGATCAGGTATATGTTAAGTAAACATGAAATCTATATAACAGAACAAAAATTCACTCTTATGTCAATGTCAGCGTGTTAATGTAGATCTATTTACTGAGACAGACTCTGTAGTGGCAGAGAGTGGCCTTGTTAAGCCAGGACCCTGTTCTGCAGGCTGTGGGTAGAAGCTAGGAAGTCCCTGGAGTTTCACCCAGCTTTTCCATGAATGACCTTGGCCTCAGTCTCTTCATTTATAAAATGAGGGGGTTAGATTAGGTGGTCTCCAGAGTACCCTCCGAGTCTAAAACTGCTCTGTCTGCAGCATCATATGTCATAGGATATAATAGACTCTACAACAAGGTTTAAGATGACAAATTTTAAAAATACTGCTGCTACACAAGCATATATTACCATTTGTTGAGCTGATAAGGCTTGATAATGTAATTGGAGGCATTAAATTTTTTTTTCAAAATGGAATATGAATAAAATTTTATATTTCTCCCAAATATTTCTCTCAGTTCTTAGAACTGTTTATTACTTTTTTGCCTGTTATTTTCCCACTAGGTCTCATTGGGCTCCACATCCTTGCTCTATGTTTATGTAGAATATTAAACATCATTCCCTTTCATCTCACTGCAACTGCTTCTCTGTTTCATCCGCACTTTATTTCCACTTTGCATTAGGGAATACAAAACTGAGCCATGTTTAAGCAACGTAGTGTCAATCACCCCGTTTAGATTCCATTTTCCCAGGCGGAGGAGAAGGTAAATAAATTGGATCCAGTGAGAAGCCTGGATATTAGGATGTGCCCATCATTGTCTCTTTCAGCAGAACTCCACACAGAGGACAGGCAATCCCCTAGGCTCTGCACGGGTCACTGGGCACTCCACCCTGCTACACAGCATCAGCATAATCCACTCCCGGAGCCCTTTGTGGGGCGGTGGGTCTTGGCCAGCCTGTTTTCCCCACAGCTGCTGTCCTTAGACCCCTTCATGCTTCACATGCATTAAAAGGACCTGGTGTTGACAAACAAGCTGAGGCTCCTGTGGGATGAATCTCCCAACTGGGAGGTGCTCTTCTGTGTGCAGAAAGAGCACCTGATTGTTGCTAAGGTTTCTTTTGGTACCAAAATAGTACCTTGTGCTACCAAGGGAAATACTGTAGGAGTGAATTTCCCAGATGCAATAGCCGTCATCCTTCTTTGATGATTTATGAGTCCCTGTTAAGTCAAACATTTTCTTTCAATATTCTAAAATTAACAATTTCAAAAATCTAGTGAGCTTCATGTAGAGGATTGTGTTTTAATAAAAGTGATCATTCAAAACACCTGTTTAACTCATAGCTTTCAATTCCAATCAAAGCACTGTTAATCCTTTGCTTGGGATGTCTTGATTTTTCTTTTTCTTTTTCCTTAAAAAAAAAAAAAAAAAAAAAAAAAAAAGACAACACATCCATGCATCTATTGGATTGATATTTGATTCTTCTTGGTAAACCGCCAGTTTTAATTAAGTTTGCAAATTGATATCTGGCTGGAAATTGGATGAAATTCAGCATAGTAATTTCCTTCACGTGTTCTTCGTGTTCTGGAGCAGGGAGTGTGAATTTACGTGGCTGAAGACATTATGTGACTTTAATTACACCTGCTTTTGTGAATGAAATACAACTTTTTAGTTTTGATGGTGTTCATAACAATCCTTTTATGCTTCTTGAAGGGAAGGGATCAGTAAAAGGATATTCAGTTTTAAGCTATGGCAACTTTTATTCACTATAGCAAATAAGTTCACATAGGGATTTTAGTTAGGAAAGCTTGCGGCATTTTGTATTGTGAAAAAAATGTACTCTAATTTTAAAGAAATTTCAGGATATTCCGCGAATTGTGCACACTCTATGTTCTTGACAATTTGTATTCTTGAGTATATTACCCACTTTTTTCCCCACTCATTTTTAAGTCAATTTGAACCTAAGAAAAGTTGGACATATACATACCTTAAAAAAAAAAAACCTCTTAATCCTAATTCTCAAATGGAGAAATTAGAGAACTATATTTGTTTTGTGTCTCTAAGTTAATCAAAATGTTAATTCTTTTTTTTTTTTTTAGCTTCTTTTGATTTCTCAAGTATAAAGTAAATGGGTGTTTCTGGTAAGCTCAGCTGGTGTTTCTCTGAGCACTTTTTGGTTTTGTTACGTGCATGATAAACATGCATGGTAAAGGTTGACAGTTACCTAAATGGCTTTCGGTATTCCTTCTTGGCTTCCTTGGATTTTATTGGCTAATTGATGTGCTTTAAATGTTTTTTTCTGATGTCTTTGATTTGGTGGATGCTCTTTACTGAGGATTCTTTCTGTCCCATTTCCTAACCACCACATCTTGACCATGAGTCATTGTTTTTCTATCAGTGTAATCAAATTAATTTGATTTAGTTGAAGGTATGGGCTAGGGCTTCTGGTGGCCTTGAGAATATACCTTCCAATTTTGCTGTCATGGCACTGTTAGCCAACCACATGCTCAGGGTGGTGCTAACAAAAACACTGTCTGAAGAAGACTTTAACAAGTGCTAATATTAAGATTTTAACCAAGTAAGAATCACTACTAAGATTCTTACACGGGCATAATACTTTTAATCTTACAGAAGAACTGTAATAAATATTCTAAGGCACCATGATTTTTGGACTTTGTCCTTCACTGAACTTCAAGGTCCTACATACTTAAAAACAAAAGCCAAAAATATGTCAATGAATTTCTTTCCATCAAACATACAATAACAATAGAAAAGTGGGTTTTTTTCCCTCCCCCTTCAAAAATTGATCCCTGTTCACTAGGAGAATAATTTCCGTTTAAGATACTTATTTTGAAAATTACTTAGATGGGATCCAGAAAAAGTAAAGGGAAAAAGAATAAAGAGTAAAAATGAGTAGTTCTGTTGTACTCTTCCTGCTCTTTCCTTTTGGTTACGTATTTAGTTTGAATAGGAATGCTTTAAGACATACTTAAATAATAATTTAAGTCAGGAAGACTAATTCTGGGAAGAGGAGAGGAGAACAGTTATTGAGAGAGGCTATAAATTGAGGTCAGATTAACCAAAGAATATGGCCATCCATATAGAAACTTAATATGGAGACAGAAGAGATTGTTCAAAGAAAGGGGAGAGTGTGGCAGAGAAGAGTGGAGTTAATTTACTATGATATACTTAATTTTATATGGGGTATTTTAATCAAAACCCAATGCTTTCTATATTTATTTTCATTATAAATTTTATTCATTCATTCTTAGCAAGTACACTCAACCAGGATGATCAAACCTGCTTCAACATGTAAGTTATTATCCAAAATGCAGCCTTCCTGGAGCCCCATTGGGGATCATTAGTGCAAATTCCACTGTGTTCTTTGGTCCTGGGGGACTGTTCAGGAGGAAGGTGATGCCAGAATTAGCCGATCGAATTGCGGCACTCAGTATCTCCAAAGAGCAGATTTTCCAGAGATAGTATTCACTTATACATCCATTACAGAACTGTCTTCATACTTATTTTCAGATTATCCATTCAGAATCATTCTGTGACTCTGAAAAATCTGTTTTAGAGTATACTTGCTGAGATCCTTTTAAGTAAACAAGTACTTTTTACATTGTCCAGCTTGATGGGCATCAAGACTGTTGAATGAACACGTTTTGTGGGATTTTACACTCTTTGTGGCCGAGTTGCTTTGCTTTGGTGGCTTGTGTCTGAGTTGTGGTTTCGTCTGGGCAGCATGGTTGCTGCAGCCTTTTGGCCGGTGCACTTTACACTGCTTGTCTTGCTTTGTGCTGTTTGCCACCTGGATGATTCCATCCAGCCATTGAACCTCACTGCACAAAGAAGAAAAGAACAAATAACCCATGTGTGTTAGGGCATGCAAGATGCTGGCTTTCTTGAGGATGGCAAATCTATGAATAGAGTCTGGATAGGCTAAGTTATGCAGCATGTGTTGTTATGTTTGGGCAGGTTTCCATAGTCCAAGGCACATCAGCTGAGCAGTAGCAGGTCTAGCTTCTGGTCTTGATGCTAAAAGTAATTTCTTGTGTTATTTTAGTAATAAGTCACTTATTTGGCTTCAGTTTATTAATCTTTTTGTCATCTTTAGGTCCTTTAAGCTCTTAAACTATGGAATCTGTATCTTAGATCGTTATGGATGGGATCAACAGATGAGGATATAACGGTTTGAAAAGAGCCATACTGACAAAGGTGCTTAGTTCCAGAGAGACCAACCTAGGTGTCAAATCATGGGGCCATTTTCACTCTTCTGTGGGTTTTAAAATATACACTTCCATTCCAGACCTAAAGCTTGTTTGACGTTTGCTCTTCCTTGCTACCCTACATAGACATACATTGCCTCCATCTTTAAAATGCTCTGTAGTACTTGTTTATTGCTATTAATGTATAATTGGCCTAAAACAACAAGTGTTTATTTGCTGGGGATTCTGCAATTTGGGCTGGGCTCTGCTGCGCAGTTCTTCTGGTCTCACTCACGTGGCTGCAGTCACCTGGGGAATCACTGGATCTGGGGCTGTTGTAACCACCTTCCAGAAGAACAAACCCAGGGCTCAGTGCTTGTCAGGCTTGTGCTTATGGTCTTGTTTGCTGATTGCCCACTGGCCAAAGCCACCCTCGCGGCCAGTACCAGAGTCACTGTGGGAAGGGGCTGCATAAGGATGTGAACACCTAGGAGTGTGATTCATCGGGGACCGTTAATATGCAGTCGTCCACATATTTACACGCTGGGCTTGTATTTTGAAAGTCTGTACTACAGACTTGAAGGACATGTCTCTATTCCCTGTCCTAGGCTGTAAACTTTCAGAAAGTTTTGCTTGACAGTATCTACACCCCTACAGCGAATGAGGTGAGTGCATAATAAGTTTTGACTGTGTATGGCAGCTCATGCCTATAATCCTACCACTTTGGGGAGGCTGAGGCAGGAGAATCGCTTGAGGCCAGAAGTTCAAGACCAGCCTAGAGAACATAGTGAGACCTTGTCTCTACAGTGTTTTTTGTTTGTTTGTTTTAATTAGCTGGGTGTAGTGGCACACACCTGTAGTCCCAGCCACTCAAGGGGCTGAGGTGGGAGGATCCCTTGAGCCTGGGACGTTGAGGCGGCAGTGAGCTGTGGTCATACCACTGCACTCCAGCCTGGGTGACAGAATGAGACCCTGTCTTTAAAAACTAAAAATAAATAAATTTGAAAAATAAATCAGTTGTGGTGACAGAGGTGGGTGTCTGTACTTCCCTGAGTATGGCCAGGAGAGAACGTTTCCTGTTCCTTCTGGTTCTTTCTCCAGTTCCTTTTCAAGACTCCATTGTGGAGTCCTCTTCCTGAAGATTTTCACAATTTTTTTCTCTCTGAATCCCTTTGTGGCGTTATCAATTCCTATAGCTACGCTTTTCCTAAAGCTTTAAATAAAATCTCTTTGCCGATTACTTCTAAATGTTTTCAGCCTCAGAACCACATTTGTGGCTGCATGTTAAACATCTCCACATGAATAATCTGTGGACAAACCAAAATAATGCATCTTCTACGTACCCTAAGTCGACTTCTCTTTCTGCGTTTCCTGTTTTTGGTAATGGCTTCACCACTCTTCCACTCTCAAGGGCGTGAAACCTCTTAAGCATTCCTAGCACCTGTTGCTTGGTCCTGCATTGTGATTCTGGCCTCCAGTCCTCATCCTTGCTTCAAATTATATTCCACACACTGAGCTCCTTAGAGGGTCCTCGTCATAGAACCCCCCGGCTCATAACTTTCCATGCTTCCTCGCTGCCCACAGAACTCGGCCTGGCACTGAAGATCCCCATCAGTTTGGGCCTTTTAAGTTCTTCAGCCATTTTCTGGGTGTAATGACATGCTCTCTTGAATAAGAATCCAAATCCAAGTGTTTTCCCTCCTTCAGGGTCTGGCTCCAACATTTCCTCCTCCTCAGACAAACTCAGTGGGTAACAGTCTCTTCCCTCTCAATACTATCACAGCCTTTTGTGCTGTTAGCAACTTTTCTTTTTATTTAAAATGGACATTATTTTTTTACAGAAGTTTTAGGTTCACAACAAATTGAGAGAACTGTGCAGAGAGCTCCCACAAAGCCCTTCCAGACACACACATTCAGCCTCCCCACCACTGACATCCCAGTTGGCACCAGAGCAGGACGGTTGTTACATTCGATGAACCTGCCATAACATTTCATTGTCAACCACAGTTCACAGTTGACATTAGGGTTCTCTCTGTGTTGTACATTCTGTGGGTTTTGGCAAGTGTATAATGATACATACCCACCATTATATTAATAGTATGATACAGAATAGTGTCACTGCCCCCCAAATCTGTCGTGCTTCACCTCTGCCTCCCTCCCTCCCCCAAATGTGCTGCACTTCTCATACTCACCTCACTGTTTCTGTTGCTCACCTATGACTCTCTCCACCCCATCGTAGTCTTCTGTTACTATATAGATCTCTAAAAGATGTAGATTACATCTTTGAAATCCCAGTTAAAGTGCAGTCATTATCTCCTAAGACCCAGGTTTTATAGAAATTGGAAATTTTCTTTGGGGACACAAGCCACTAAGGTTAGTGGTTACTTAAGATGAAACTTGACAGGGGAGACATTTTACAGCCTAGTAAAGGTCAGTAAGTATTTGGTGACATTAGAGATGATTTATGCTTTATGTCATAGTTGTGTATGCTCCCTCCTAAATGGTTTCTCTATAGATTAAAAAAAATGTATGCTTCCTAAAACACTTTACACCTCTGCTATGGAGAGGGAGAGAGAGAAAGAGAGAAGAATTGGACCTTGGACAGGAATACATAAGTGCATCCTTCTTTAAGGCAGTCTCCATTTCTAATGTGAATAATAACCTCTTAATTGGTTTTCTAAATTTGGACTTATAAAAGATCCTATTATAAGAAACAAGCGAGTAAATGCCAAACAGGTTAACAGTAACATATGCAGAATATGGTATAATATTGCTGCAAAGAACTCGGCCAAAACGGATACAGCGTTCTAAAGTTGTTGGAACAGCCTTGTCAGCAAGTGTCTAAATGTTCCCCCAAATCTGTAACCGCTAAAGGAAACAAACTTGAAAATAAACAAGAAGTACCATAGGAAAGGAAGGTGATACACCAGAGCAAGACATTACAGTTTCCTATAGCAAAAGGTGTGATGCATGATAGTTTTAGATTGGCCAGCAGTAATGAAACAGGCAAGGCCACTTCTGTTCTGTCCCGTCCTCTTTGGCTGGGCTCTTTGGTCTCTTCTGTGATTTGTGGACACAGTTTTCACAGGTGCTCAGGGTGGCATTGCCTCTCAGCTGCTCTGTGAAATATCAGCTGCAGGTTCTATGTTGAGTTCATGTTCATAGTGACTCTAAGTCCCATAATCATATTTTGATTTAACTACATTTTGTTTTCAATAAAAGTCAGCAAAGATCTATTAAGCGTCTACTCTGGGGCAGCCCTCTGGGGACAGTGATGACAATGACAGTGAAGTGCCTGAGCCAGGCACTGTTGTGGACTCCGTTTTTCCTCACAGCAGCTCCACGCTCCTAGCACTGCATCTGAGATGCCTTGAGAAGCCGACACTCACTTTTCTACCTGTGAATTCGCTTGCTTGGCCTCCCGCTTGCTTATGCCCAGTTGCCTCCATACTGGGGCAAAGATCCGAGAAAACAAAACTACATGCGAGTGTTTAGCATTTATTGTTTCCTTGGTGACCAGTTGTGTGAAGCATTTTTGGAACATATTGCAGACAGCTCTGGGTGTGGCGAGAAGGAATGACGGTCCGGGTGAGAAGGACTCAGCGCCTGCCATGTCTCGGATCCCTTTGACCTGGGTTTCTTGCCCCAAGGTCCCCTCCCC
Source organism: Homo sapiens (assembly GCF_000001405.40). NCBI lineage: Eukaryota > Metazoa > Chordata > Mammalia > Primates > Hominidae > Homo > Homo sapiens. The sequence goes on along the minus strand of NC_000010.11, from coordinate 22,633,587 downwards.
TGCCTGTACCCTTTGCTCCTGGCTCCAAGGAGCACCCCAAAGTTCCAGCCTATCCTGAATGATGAAGATAATTATATTTTTTCCCTCTCCTTACTGGTAGCTGGGACAAAGTTGGGATTTTTTTCCATGAAGGTATTTTTACTGTGGGTAAGTGGGTAAAATAAAAAGAGCAGAGGATCGCATAGACTTACAGAAAGTGAGTGTGTTCTACAGAAAGGCTGTGTGTTTGTTTAATCTAGCTCCCATCTACCTCGTAAGCAGCTTTCCCTCCGGCTACTTTAAGTAGTTGAGCAGGTTTTTCTTTTTCTTTTAAAAAATTATGTCCCTTTCATTTATTTATGTGTTTATAAAACAAGAGGCAGTTGAGAGCCATGGCCAAGAGCCCAGGTTCTGGAGCTGTGTTGCCCAGATCTGAATCCCCTGCGCCATGCAAAGGTCTCTGTGACCTTGAGCCATCACTTAACTCAGCCTCTGCTTTCCTACTGTAAAGAGGGGGGCTGTGTAATAGTTGTGCCCATTTCACAGGGTTAAGGTGGTTACATGGGAGGCTATTGGGGTGGTTAGCAGATACCCGATGTATACTAAGCCTTAAATAAAAGTTAGCCTTAGTGATGTATTGTTATGGGCCATTTTTTGAAATGATGAATGTTGAGGATGAAAAGGGGCCATACAAATAGAAAACCAAAGAATATAAAACAAAATATGAAACTCAACCGCTTCCTACAAGTAAGATATTTTTTTCTTTTGATTGGAAATTATCCATCAAATTTGATAATGTAAGAGAGTCAAGAATATATTATGTCCTATTTCCCCCTACCTTTTTTCCCCATAATTTTTATTTCAAAATAAGCTCTAGAGATTCTTAGCTGGTTCAGCAGGTCATGGAGTAAAATTAAAAAATAACAATGAAGGGGCACTGAGCTAGGTGCCAGGGATATGAGTGTGCCTGGTGGCCTACACCGGAGGTCATGCTTCTTGCACATGGAATAGAGCAGATGACATTGCTTATCCCAGTGGGGTGTGAGAGAAATACTCCAATTAATTGTATGTAAGGTGCATTTTGTGGCATAAAAATGACAAATCCAGCTAACACCAACTTGTCAACTTTAGTAAGGATGGTGCAGATTATTAGGGAGAAAAACAATGTTGTACATACTATACTAAAAATACCATTTTAATGTTTGTTTTTATTTTCATTTTGAAACAATTTCAGACATAAAAATGTAGCAAAAATAATACAAAGAACTCCCATATGGCCTTCACCCAGATGCTAACATCTTATATAACAAATAGTACAGTTATGAATATGAGGAAACTAACACTGATACAAGATGACTGCGTAATAATAGAAAGCTCTTATTTACATTTCCGCACTCATTCCACTTTTGTTTTCTTTCTTGTCCAGGATCACCTGATGCATTTGGTTGTCATGTCTCTTAGTCTCCTTTAATCTGGACTATTTCCTGTCTTTGTCTATCATGACCTTTACACTTTTCATGAAGACTGGTTATTTTGTAGAATGGCTCTCACCGAGAGCTTGCTTCCTAATGATTACATTCATTATGCAGTTTTCACGAGAATACCAGAGCGTTAGTGTTGTGTCCATCTCAGCGCACGTATCAGAAGGCGCGTGATGTCCACTGATCTCATCACTGAAGCTGTTGACTCTGGTCAGTTGGTTACGGTGATGTCAGTGTCAGCTCTCTCCACTGTTAAGTCACTGTTGTTTCCCTTTGTTCTTAAGTATGTTGTGGGAGATACTTAGAGATTGTGTAAATATCCTGTTTCTCAGCATACTTTTGCTCAAAAAAATTGAACATTTATTGCTGATTCTTAATGTGTAACAGTTATTACTGTGGTATTTGCAAATTGCTGATTTTTTAATTTTCATTATTCCTTCTACATAGTTGAAATTGTACTGTAAGGAAGAGTTTCCTCTTCTTCCATAGAACGTGAAATCATAGATTCTTATTCTATGGCTACTGTATTAGTCTGCTTAGACCCACCACCAAAATGCCATCAGTTGGACGGCTTAAATAACAGATACTTATTATCTCCCAGTTCTGGAAGCTGGAAAGTTCAAGATCAGGGTTCTGACAGGGTTCGGTTTCTGGTGAGGGGTCTCTTTCTGGCCTGCAGATGACCACCTTCTGCCCCTGTCCTCACATGGTGGGCCTGGGCTGGGGATGGGGGCATTGAGCTCTTTGGTGTCTGTACTTAAAAGGACATTAATTCCATCAGATCAGGGCCCACCCTGATGAACTCATTTAGCCTTAAATACCTCCTAAGGGCCCCATCTCCAAACAAAGTCACACTCGAGGTTAGGGTTGCATTGTAGGAATTTGGGGGAGACAAAAACATTGAGCCCATGACAGTTACAGTCTGTTATTATCACTATTTACAAAAAGGTTATTAAAAAATATTTGGAAGAGGGATTATTGCTAAAGCAAAGAAACTCTGTATTGACCATCAATACAAAGTAAAACTGAACGTCGTATCCTGTGGTGTGTTAGTATACCGTGTGTGGCCTGTTGTGCTGCTTTCTGGGCAGGGTGCATGACTTGGCTCCTGATCGCGAGAAGCTGTCATTTTAGTTCCTACCTACTCTCTTGTCCCTGTTGCCATGTTCCTGTCCATTAGTATTTAGTCTTGTAAGAAGAATAAGAGAATTGATGTGTCAAACCTTGCCTGAGTCTGCTGGCTTAATTGGGTGGATGATGATGGAAGGTGAGAGGACCCAGAACCCAAGTATGTTGTAGTAATTGATAGATGGTGAGTCATCCCTGCAATTTGCATATCCTGTCCCAGCTTTAGAGGACTGTTGGGGATTTTGAAACCAAAACTTAACAGAATATGAATTCTGCTGTTGCTCAAGTTTTTGAGTTTGTTACCCTTTGTGGCTCATTCTGAAGTTTTGCTGATAATCATATATTTGCTAATGTCTAAAAACAGAACGGTTGGGTCACTGCTGTAAGGCAGATAAATACAGCAGTTCTAGAACCTGCTGACTTGGTGGATTCACATCTACAAGGGAAAGCAGTTTTCGTTGTAAAAATCCCCATTTCATGTATAAGAAAGATGATTCCTATCTAGTCATGTTTTTAACAGTCATCTAGTAATTCTGTATTTTAACATCTAAGTAGCTACTTATATTCTGAATAGCTACAAAGCAGAGCACTTGAAACAATCTTTAAAACATAGGGCTAGAGGAAAAAATATAAACCACATGATTAAACTGTTATGGTGATCATCAGGGACAGTGTAAATCATTATGGAAATTAGGTGGAGGAAATGGCATTGTATCATTACCAGCTTCATATCAAACAAAAAGGCTGTTTGATATGAAACCCCAGCCCTCCAAATAACTGGGACCACAAGTGCATGCCACCATACCTGGCTTTTTTTTTTTTTTTGTAGTCATGAAGTCGCCCTGTGTTTCACAGGCTGGTGTTAAAACTCCTGACCTTAAGCGTCTTCCCTCCTTGGCCTTCCCAACATGCTGGGATTACAAGCATGAGCTACTGCGCCTGGCCTTGGGTGTGCTTTTGGAGTCAGATGGAAACTTCTTGAGAAATACAGAGAGCATCTTGTAGCTAGTCCAGTCAACCAAAGACATTTTTGGAGAACATCTAATACCGCTTCCTTTTGTCATCTAGTGAAAGTAAAATATCTTTTTTTCTTAATCCTGTTTTGAAGACATCTTATAGAAAGGAGGGCTCCCCTGCTCACTCCTTCTTTAGAATTGAACACTTTTATTATCACATGTATCATGTATCTACATGTGCTAATAAAAACAAAAACTACAGCAAAGACTGGGTTGTCTTTGGTTGGAATAGGAAATATATTTCCTCTAGAGTGTTAAAAAGGGTAAGAGAAAACTAGTGAAACTGATTTAGCTAATTTAGTCAACAAGTTAGGAAAATGACATTTCCTAAAGTTCTGATGGGGTTAGCTCTACCTCCTCAGTGGAAATAGTAAACCACCTGGAATTTTACTTTTAGTATATGTCATTATTTGTATTTTAAATTTATCTTCAGTGTTGTTTATATATTACTTTAAAGTCACTCTTGATTTTTTTAATTATAATACAGAACTTTGTTTTCTTTTAAAAGGACAACTTATTTTATAGTTAGCATAGATTGCTTTCCTCGAAATAAAAATTGTCATTCCATTCTAGCATCCTCTGCCAATTGCAGTATGACTCGAGGTATGACTGCAGTTGTCTTAGAATCATAGGTCTAGTGAGTGCTTTAGGCTTCCACATTTTTGAAAAGAATGCAAGTATGGTGGACCTTTAACCACATAAAAGTAAAATATTAAATGAAGCATGCTTTTAATAGCCATCCTGTCATTTTTAAGGTTTCAATAGTGTATGTTTAGAGGCAGTGAATTTAAAAGTGTTTGTATATTAAAGCTTAATAATCCTTAAGCATTATTAAGTTTCTGGTAAATTGTTCTGTTTGATGGGCTGTCAACAAATCATGTGGAAATAAGAGAGAAAATTGTTGTTTTGGATTTTTTTAGCAAGGAGAGTTATGTAAACCAAAAACAAAATTCTGAGGTCCCCAAACCATCTGAACGGACCCCTCCTGTAGGCCAAGGGTGTTCCAAAGTTAACCTGAAAAACGTGTTCAGGCCATGATGGAAGAGGGGGTTGGACATGCCTCATTCTACCATTTTCCCTTTTGGAATTCAGGAGAAGCCAACCAGCATTAACCTCAACACAGATCTTAAGTCTGATAAGAAGCATTTACAGTCTGTTCTTTCTGAAGCTTGCTACCTGAAGGCTTCATCTGCATGATATACCCTTGGTTTCCAAAACCCCTTATCCTAACTCAGACATTGCTTTCTATAGAATAACTCTTTGAACCAGTTGCCAATCAGAAAATTTTTCAATCTACCTATGACCTGGAAGGCCTGCCTTCCCCTGCTTCAAGATGTCCTAACCAATGTGAATCTTACGTGTATCTGATATCTCATGTCTCCCTAAAATGTGTGAAACTAGGCTCTGCCCCAGCCTCCTTGGGCACATGTTCTTAAGATTTCCTGAAGGCTCTGTCATGAGCCGTTGGTCACTCATATTTGGCTCACAATAAACCTCTTCACATTACAGAGTTTGACTCTTCGTTGACGTTACTGTTTCCTGAGTATACAGCAACAATTTAAAGCATTTAGGGTACAATTTTTTCTGTGATTTTTGAGACTTTTTCTAACGATCAAGATTCATACTATAAAAAGGACTTAAATAATGGATATGAACATTTATAAGTTTGAGATGCTGTGCACATTTACAAAAACAAACAACTTCTTCAAAAATTGCTTGGCTGGTGGAATTAGTCTGTGGAGAATATTTTATTGAATTTATTTTATGCCAGTAAAATAATCTTTTAGTAAGTCATCTTGTGTTTAATCAGTCTAAACTTTGGTAACTTGGTAAACAGAAACTTAATCATTGGCATTGTAGCTTTTGGGTTTCTGAGAGATCATTATGAATATCAGGATTTTTCTTTGCTAGATATAATAGTAAAATCACTTTAAAAGTTTATAACCCAGGGAATGAGTTTAAAATTTGGTCAACAACTGTTTCTTGTAGTTGGTTCCTGGGATGTACCAAGTGTGCAAAAATGAATAGATCTAGTCCCCACCCTTAAGGTAGCTGTAATATTGTAGGGAATAATGACAACCATAGGCCAACTTTTCTCTCATTAGGAAAAATTGTGTTTTATCCTGTTGTGACAGCTAATGCTTATATTCTTACATTCTCCCTAGACTGTCTTTACATAAGAAATTACTAGAGTCCTCAAATAAAGAATATCATGGGGATTCTTAAATTTGACAGTAAAAGACCTTGCACACAGGCAAAGCCCTTGCATGGTGAGGTGGCAGCAATGAAAGCACAATGTGTCATGTATCCCAGCAGGTTTGTACAAAGCCACAGCCAGTGGCTTTCCTTATCTTTTTTTTTTTTTTTTTTTTTTTTTTTTTTTTTTTTTTTTATTACATATTAGCTTTTGGTTAAACAAATGCAGGTCTATTTTCAGTATTTCTTTCACATTCTTGATGAGCAGGGAAAGGCAATGTATTAGAGTTTATGTAAAAGAGATATTTGTGAGAAAATATTAAAGAAACTAATACGCTATTTAAGATCTGTATTATTCACCTAATAACCTTTGAGAGATCACTTAGGGCAATCTATGCTGTTCCTAGGAATATGTGTGTGATGCTGGGTGGTTTGGTGGGAGAGACTGTGAGAGTTAAATACTCACAGTCTGCATTTTATCTTGATGAAAACTGTTAGCCTCAAATGATTCAGAAGAATTTTTAGAGGTTTCCAGGTTTAAAATGTAGTGAGAACTGCCTGGATTAAATCTGGGTAGATTGCATGCTTGATTCATGTTCATAGCATATGGAGAATGAGAAATTAATGTTAATTGATCTAATTAGGAATTAGGATTCTCTGACGTCTAATTCTCTGGTTTATTTTGCTCATCTTTTTTTTATAGTTGATAGAATACATAGAATGCGTGGGAGGAGATGGGGAGAAGAGAGAATTATTTATGCAAAACTCATGTGATGGCAAATGCCCTTTTTCCTAAAGTAATGAAAACAACTAGTAGCAGTTTTGTTCTCTTGACAGTTTGTGAATAGGAATATTTGTGGGTAGGAGATATATATTAATTGGCATGACATATTTTTGAAAATGAGTCATGAAACTGTGACAGTTGTTTTTTACTAGGCTAAAAGAAAGTACTTGTTATTTTTGTTATTTGTAAAGCTAAAGTATTTTTTTGTGAGTATACATGCGTCTAAATATAGATGAAAATATCCTGTTTTCAGCTATGAAAAAGAAATTGAGCTTATGGTTGTTTTATAAACCACACCCCTATACTTTACATTAAAATATGAAGTAAATTTGTATCTATACCGGGAAGTGATTTTCTGCACTTCAGTGTGATGATGGAATATAGGTGTGCTAAAACCTAAAGTGAAAAATCTTTGTAACAACTTACTGTACTGGGTAGCTCATCCTTATTCTCCTCAATTTTCAGAAACATTTTCAGGCACAAAAGAAAATTATGTAAGAAATGTAGTGTGGTATGTCTTATAAACAATATCCTCGTGTTCTGAATACAATAGCTTTGAAATATTACTTGCTAAACAATTATTTCTTTAGACAAAACTTGAGTTGTCTCTTGGCTTTTATTCTTTTAACAACATGCATTTTTAGAAATAGTCTCTTAGGCTAAAGAACATAACTCACCAGGAAAACATGATTAATTCAGTATATGAGAAAAGCTCTGAGCTCAAAAGCAAGTTACTCTTTTTTTTTAAGCAGAATATATTTTAGAAATTTGGGTAGGAGAAATTAATATAGAAGATTGGGATTTAGATATCAAAATGCTGAGTACCCCATGCAGTCATCTGATTTATATTCCGAACTTGCATAGTTTTTGCAGGCTCCTGGAATGCAGCCTCCCACCAGGCCATGGGAAAGACTCAGCGGGACCACGCAGGATGGCTATAATGTCATCTCTGTCCATGTGGCACTCACTTCAAGACTCCAGAGTCCAGCTAGAAAGGACTCTGGAGTCCATTGTGTAGGTGACATTGGTGTAAGCACAGGCCTTTATCAGAAGTCTGAATCTACCTTTTCTTCTTGTGACCCAAGAGATAAGAAAGGCCATTTCCCCTCCCTCCTGAGTTATTTAACTTTATTTCTCTTCTGTTCAGTGAGAATAATCTTATTTCAGTGTTGCGAAAACCACGTCTATGTGAAAGGTTTTTGACAGTGTTTAAAACATGATATTGCTGTGGCTAAGCGTGAATGCTGTTGTCGTGGCCCTGCCTCCTGCCTCTGGCCAGCCTGAGTATAAGAGGATCACTTTCTTTCTCAGCACTGCCAACTAAATGCCAGGAGCATGTAGAAGAGGAGAGGATCGTATCACAAATACCTGGGGACTGTTTTGTTTTTTTAACTCCAAAGCCCACCGCCAAATATCCTGTTTCCTCATCCCTGGGGTAATAGATGCATAAAGATAGGTGTATTTTGAAAACATCTCCCTTAGAACAATAGACTCCAGATTTTTTTGGATCACATAGCTGTGTTTATGTGAAATCAGGGCATACGAATAACATGTATTGTGATGTATACATTATAGTCATATAGAAGTATTAATGTTCTATACATTTTAATGCATATTTAAGACTGAAAAAGGTAAGATTAAGTATTTTCAGTAATTTTAACACTACAGAAAATCTTTTGCTCTCCGTTAGAGATTTTTTCATGAAAGCAGTAAAACTAATTTTTGAATTTTCTGAAAATGTTGTTTTAATAGTGATTTTTTAAAAGCCTAGCTCTTAAGTTTAGCATATTTTGATTGTCAGTTTTAATGGCTTTCATTGCTGAAAAATACACCCCACAAAGATTTGTAAATACAAGTGGAAGAACTGTATCACTGGCCATTTTTACTAAATCATACGAAATTATTATGCTCCTTTTCTCAACACATCTCGCCAGTTATACAAAGGTTTTTAGTTGACTTTCAGATGATAAAATTTTATTCTGAAACTTATTGGAAGTTTATTGTGTTTTTAAACTTTTAACAAATAGATTCAAAAACCATTAACAAATGGGTTTGAAACTCTCTGGCAAGATTTCTAATACACTAGAATATTCTATTTCCAAGTTACTAAGTGTGCTGATATAAAAGTTTTCATAGGTGACACAGTTTCATTGTTTTTGGCAAAAAGATAACAAAACAGTGGAAATATTTTCAAACATCTGTTTGTATAATACTCTTTCAAAGCTTTGGTTTCTCTTGAAAAGCAGTTAATTTCTTACTCAATGTTGAGTCTCACCTTTACTTTGAAAGGAAGCGTAAAGTGTGCTGATTTTTTTTTCCCCCTGCTAGGTAACATACTACTGAGAAGCACCTCTGACCCCTGCAAAGGTCCATGAATTTGGAACACATGTTTTATAAGGGAAAAGTGCATGACTCATCTCCTAAATTCCACAACTTTTTTTTAAAGTGCTTGCATTCTTCTTCCCTCTCAACCATACACAGTAGTTCTTTGAATACAGGAAATAAGTTAGCAAATACCCGAAGCAGAGAAATGTTAGAATCATCTTTACTTTGATGCAATTCTAAAGCAAACTTCATAGGCTGTGTAATTTATTCTAATCCTTGAGTCTTCAAATATTGACTGGTGTTTCTATGCCTCTGCCCGCAGTATTTGCTGACAAAGGAATTCATTCAAATTTGATGCCATATTGGTTTTTACATGCTTTAAGCCATTTTTGCCTTGGTAGAAATAGCAAGTGCTTCTCCAGTAATATGTGGTTTTTAGTCTTTTCCTAGCAGAGGAACCCAGAAAGAAGCTTCTACATGTTAATCATTAAATTAATAAAATTTTGTGAAGTACTGAATTTGTAGTGTAGTACTGCCCAATGTTAAACATAGTGAAGAAAACTAGAGTTGTTTGTCTTCAGGTCCTGAGTGCTTAGATTTTAAATGACTTGCGCATTTTGATAGCTCTGGAGTATCATTAGCTGGTATCTCTAGGCACAGTGTACACTTAGGGAAGCTTTATCATGAACAAAAATGAATGGAAGCCCACATTTTAAATAAAGTCTTCCCAGTCATTTTAATTGTTGTGAACTATTCTTTTCATATCTGATGAAATCATCAGTGCTTTGACCTCATCATGTGACTGATAGCGAGAACCCTGGGAGCTCAGGGCTCAGTCTTAGGCCTGCCACGTGGCTTCTTGTTGATTGGTCCTGTGTGTTTAACATTAGCTTCAGCCCATGTGGTTGTTTTTCAGGCATCCTCTTAAGCACTTACCTGTTTTGTGAGCGTTGCTTTAGCTTAGTTAAAGCCAGATGGTATGATCTGCAAATCCACTTAACTGGGCACATGTAACCTACAATTGGTTGCAATGCACTGGACCTGAGCAGTGCACGGACGTCCCCTGCCAACCGCCAACCTCTAAGCTCCTACTGTTCCTGGGGGTACCTCCCTTCCAATATACAGCTCATGACGCTCACATTGGACTGAGGAGGGCATTCGTCAGACAAGCTGTGTAAAGGCAGCCTTTTAGTATAATGTACATAGAGAAGCTCTGCTGTCTTCTCCCCGAGGAGCACACCGCCCTTGTGGAAGACCCTTGCGACCCTTGCCTTAGAGCTGCGGTCTGCCCCTGAGTTAGACGCTTCCTTCGTGAGCACTTTGGTTTTTCTCTCCATCATTACTATGAAAATAACAAGTGATCAAGAATTTAAACAGTACGGAAGCTCACCATTACAGGTGAGCTTCACCCCCGACCCCAGACACCTAAACTTGATCTTTGTGCTTTTTTTGTGCTTTCTCAGTGAGTTTCATAGACAAACACATGAATGTGTAACCTTTTTTTTTAAAAAAAAAGTCAATGGTAGCACATTAAACGCATCTCTATCTCGCTTTTCTCACTCTGCACTATTTCTTAGAGAATGTTCCATGTTGGTTTACACAGCTATACATAATTATTTGCCCCGGTGTTTGCTAGGTAATATGCTTGTGCCATTATTTATGAATTTGTCATGTTAGGCATTTTCTTTTGAGTTTCTGCCAAGGCAGATGATGCTGGCTCTCTCACACCATCTCTTTTCTCCCCTCATCCTTCTTTTTTTTGAAATAATGCATACTTTTTTTGGTAAAATAATAGCATTCACCTTACTGTGACTCAGTTATTTTTAGTACTTTGTGAAGTACTAAATTTGGCGATTTAGTATTGCATGATGTTAAATAGCATTGAGAAAAAAATTATAGATTTGTTATAGTCTCCTTCATGCTAAAGGCTTTCCTCCCATGTCCGGTGGTTTGTTGCTCTCCAGTCAGGTTTTAGAACGAGGTGCTGGAAGACAGACGACTTGTCCCGGGTATGTGGAGTGGCGGTGCCCGTCCACTGACAGTGGGGAAGAGGCCAGCCTTTGTGCTGCCGCCCACTGGCGGAATTATTAATATTTCTAGGGCCTTTCCGCCAGAATGGGAATCCTCCAGTGTCCCCTCGGGGAGTGACCCAGGCCAAAGGTGCGATTGCAGCAGAGCAGGGGACAGCGGCAGAGGGCCCAGGCCTCAGAGCACAGATGGTAACTGGCTCCTCCCGTGCTCCGTGACGCCCAGCCCAGCCCTGTGTGAGCTGGGTCTTCCCGTGCCCGAAGCTTCTTGGGCTGGGGTTTCTGAGGAATCAGTCCTGTGCCTCTCATGCGATGGGATGGCATGGACAGCAACAGGCAGCGCACCGTCTTTCTGCCACCTGAACCCCAGCTGTGGAGCCCCTCAGCATCTGGGAGCACATGGCATTGAGTGGCCACCGGCACAGAGGTAGCAGCTTTGTCTCCTCTTCTGTCTGCTAACAATCCTCTACTACTTTTCTGTCTTTAAAAAATTCTTTGACATTTCTCGTTTTCTATTGTCTGCTCTCCAATGTTCTTGTCATGTTTGGTGGTGGTGTTTTTGATTTTCCCCCAATCTCTAACTTCCTTTACTGTCATCTTAGCAGAGCTTCTGGAAGGAAAAGAGATAAAAATGCATGGTCAGGTCATCTCTTAAAATGGGAATCCGGGAAAGCAGTGTAAATGGCAGCATGGTACCCTTCCTCTCATTGTTCTTTCAGGATGGATGCTGGGCAGGAAAGCAGGCGGCCCCTCTGTTGTGGTCATGGAAAGAAAAACAAAAGTTCTGGTGTAACAGAATTAGGATTTCATTGCTTCCTTCTGGAATCTTAACGAAGGTCCCAACTGTGAAGTCTGCTGAACACATCTCAGTTCAAAATGCTGAACTGTACATGCCATCCCCTTCTCCATTGTCTTACAGGTTTTATTAATGATGTGTTTCAGTGATTGATTTTCTGAATGCACAGCTGTCACTCACTGCTTACTTTTTCAGTAGATGTGGTTATCTGGGGTACCCAGGGACACCTGTATTACATACCAAACTCCTCCCCATCTTCTCCATGGCTAGCCAGATTTAGGTATGAGATTTAGGGCTTCTGGCCAGCTTGGTATCATCTAGCACCTTCTGGAAGCTTTGCCTTCACAGCTTACTTGGGGAACTCTAGTTTTAGAACATCCTTATCCCAGGATGAATGGAAAGAAAGATACCAGGGAAGTATTAAATTATTTTAGCATATTAAATATCTGACTAAAAAGTAAAATGTTTATTTGAAGTTTTCAAGATCAGTTTCTTAGAGTGCTGTGTGATTGCTAGTGGTCATGCCATTTGGATGAGTGAAGTTCTTATTTGACATCCATTAAGTATTTGAGTGTCTTCAATTGCAAGTGGCAGAAATTTACCTTCCTCTAGCTTAGGGGATTGATTGGTTTCTGTCTCTGGAAAGGATGTTGGATTAGGCTGGCCTCAAGATCCCCCAGGTCCAGAGATTCAAATGATGTCATCTGCACGTGGCTCTTATCTGTCTTATCCCGTCTTTTCTGTGCATCAATGGTGATGCTTAACTTTACGTGGCTGAAGACATGGTTACAGGCAACTGCAGGCATATTAGCTTCATTTAGCATCTCTTCCCTGTCCCCTGTGTCAGTTTCAAAAGAAGACCAGGAACTTGCAATGCCTTTGATTAGAATATTGGAGCTGTGGCTTTTCTTCCAATCTTTGTCCCTGCACTGCCACATCCACATAAATGAAACACTTAAAGAGGTTATGTGTGTCTTCCAGGAATTAAGTGGATCTCTGGAAAGTTGTTTTGTGATTCATTTGAATTTGTGGGAATGTCTCCCAAGTGCAGGCACCAGAGCCCTGTGGTGGCTAAAGCCCTGGAATGGGCCAAGTCATCCAGGCAGGAGACTCCAGGGAGTGGCAGGAACTGTGCCCAGCTGGAGGGTGTATCCCCACAGCTACTCAGCACCAGATGAGTGATGCCGGGCCCGGTGCCAGGTCTTCCCATTTTTAAAAGAAGCCAGAAATCCAAATTTGTATGTAAATGTTCTCAAGTCTGAAAAGATTGGTGATTAATTCAAGCATTTTCTAAATCACTATCTGGGCCAAAGCACACATCACTGTGATCTCTTCTCAGACTCGTTTTTTAAAGTATAAAGCGAGATCAAGAGTGCTGGGGCACTTTGCTCAAGGCCAGAGGGTGGTGACGTGGCTGACCAGGGCTCAGTCATAGGTCTCCTGACTCCCTGAGCCTGGGGCCCTTTTGAATGGACCACGTTGTAAGCTCTTGTTTTCATTGGCAATGTCTTTGTTTGAATTTTTAAAAAAGCCAGTATTACCTCTGTACCAGATTATAAATTTTTGGCCTGAATTCAGTAGTTTTATGTCAGATTCTGTGGTTCATGGGAGGTAGAATTTTAACATGACTACATTCTTTTGTATGAAGTTGACAGTGGGCCAGCCGGCAAGGATGTCCGTAAGAGTCTGATTGAGCTTGCAGATACCAAGTTGACAGATGGGAGAGTTTGTGTCTATGTTATAAATTAAAGTAAGATTCTAAGCAAAAGTTTAAATATTTCTGATGACATTTTAATTTTAGTCAAGTAGCCATTAATCAAAAGATTGACTTAATGATTCTTGTTTAATTGAAAAATCTGCTGAAGTGAATTAATTTAGGCTTTTGAGTTTGTGGACCCTGGAAAGGATGACCTTTGTGCTTTTATTCTCATTCCTACTCACCTTTGATATCAGAATAACTTTATTTGGCTTGTCAAAAAAAGCATTTCTTTTCTAGATATTGGAAGGTAGCTCAGATTTCAGAAGAAAATGTTAATTAAAATATACTTGGATCTTTGATTTTTGTCTTATCTGCAGATAGACATCAACTTTTGAGAAATGGTCTTAGAAAATGAATATTAGCTGGGCGTGTTGGCTCATGCCTGTAATCCCAGCACTTTGGGAGGCCAACGCGGGTGGATCACCTGAGGTCAGGAGTTCGAGACCAGCCTGGCTAACATGGTGAAACCCCATCTCTACTAAAAATACAAAAACTAGCCACACGTGGTGGCGCCCACCTGTAGTCCCAGCTACTCGGGAGGCTGAGACAGGAGAATTGCTTGAACCCAGGAGGCGGTGGTTACAGTGAACTAAGATCATGCCATTGCACTCCAGCCTGGGCAACAGAGCGAGGCTTTGTCTCAAAAAAAAAAAAAAAGAAAAAAGAAAAAGAAAATGAATATTGATGAAGCAGCTGTAGAAAATTGACCTCTTGCCTCAAGACAAATAAAAGTACATTTCCCAGACATTTTCAGCTGCCCGTTTTTTCCTGCCTCTGTAACTGATTCTAATTTGCCCTGCCTGTCCCTCTGAAACCTCAGAACTTTCAAATTGCTATTTGGTTTGCAGGGTAGGTTGTAATGAGAGCCACAGCATTCCAAGTGTGGGCTACATGCCTGAATCATATTAGAACTTCATTTTTTTTTTTAAAGTTCTTAATTGTTTCAACCTATATTCATTGTAATATTATAAAAATTATTTCCAAATGAGAGCTGGTGCTCAAGTTGGTGATTTTTTCCCCCAGTACAAAATTAACAATTACACATGAATATCAGATAGTGAAAATCAGATTAAAAATGTTTAGGTAATCCCTCATTCTCCCAATAAGACACTTAGTAGAAAAAAGTAAGAAAAAATTATGCCTTTATGATGGTCTTTGTTCTAAGTATGTTCTGGTTGCTACCAATACACATCAAAAATATGAACTTTGGTGTATAAATAGTCGTAGTTTCCCCATTTTACAAACAAATTGGACACAACTTTCAAGTATTCTGAAGGAGAGGTCGTAGGTATTGCACCTAATGTGGGTAATTCTGTGTCAGCCAGGCAGCCTACTACTGTGTTCCTGCACATGATTCTAACCCTGGAAGCTGTATTGTCTCTGCTTCTCAGCTCCCAGCCAAGCCCTCTGCACCTCTCCAGAAATAAATTGTGTGCAGATAGCTCTGGAGAGAGAAGAGCATGGTGTGGAGGGGATTGTGCAATGTGATGGCCTTTTTTAGGTGACATTATGGAAAATATTTTCTTAGCAATGCACCTGAGGTCATTTTTTAAACCTTTGTGGAGAACAAGTGAAAGTTCTGATCACAACTGCAGGGCCCTTCTGTTTGCGGGACAGGGACAAAACAAGTCAGAACTTCCAGCTGTGAGTCACTTCAATAGCTCTGGATACCCTCAACTCTTATCTCTTAATAGTCCTAATTTTAGTTCTCTGTTCATTCACTTCTTAAAGCGAATGAACCTCAGGGCAGAAATTGTTCAAAGTCATTTGTTTGGTGGAAGGAATCCTTGTGTGCTTTATCAGCCACAGAGTCACAAAGGAATTTTGTTTTCTTAGGATGAGTCCAGTAAGTGGAAAGTATCTATTTTAAGATACTGATAGGAAGGGATGTGGGGAAAGAGAGGAGAGATTTTTATCTGTAATGTTGAACTCATATCACATTTTAGGTCGTGAACCTAGCGAGCATCCATTTGTAGAAGCCAGAAGCAATTGCAAAACTTGCAGAGTCTAGGGAATCTGGTATGACATATTTATTGTTTGATTTCCCTATGAAATTAATTACAGTAGTATCTAGAATAGTCATCATATCAAGTTATGCGTTACACTTCTTCCTGTTGGGCCCTCATTGATCTTGAACCCTTTGTGCTTAGCTCGCTCTGGTTATTTTTGTTATTGAATTATGTTTTAAAATAGGCCCTCATATTTAAGTAGTAGAAATGTATCTTGGGAGATAAAGTGAGCCCTTTTTCAATCTGTGTCTTGAGATTTTTGAGGAGGGATGCACGGGCCTTTCAAGATAATTCCCAACCCACTCTCGACATCTCCTGTCTTCCCCCATGCTCATGCTGCCATGAAATAGCTCCCCCTCCAGGCCCCCTGCCACTTCCGCCAGCCTTTATACCCAACAGGGGCTCCACACAAGGGGTGCTTCCTGTTTCATCTCAATATGTCATAATTTGTAGGGAATTGTCTTCATTATAATCAGATTAAGTATCTCAGTGTCTCCTCTACATGTGAGAGGCTTTTTTGGTACTTTTTGCATATTCTTGGCTGAATGAAAACCAATTACTAATTATGTATTAGTCTGAGAACATAGTGTTTAGGGTGAATATATCTGAATTAATTAAGTGCCATTAATAATGCCTCTCAGGATTTATGAGCATATTCTTTGCTTGACTTAAAAATGATATAAATTAGTGAGGTTTATTTTTTAAATGTCACACTGTGAGATGGCTTTGTGGGGACACCCCTGTATGCCGTAATTTCAGAACCGTTACCAGCTGGGTCTCACTTATTTATTCCTTGTCCAGTAGCTATTTAGTATTCCCATTTTTGCAGCTTAATTGCAACCTCTCTTTTCCTGCCAGTGTGAATTTAGTCTTACATCTGCAGGAGTGATACTCATTGCAGTCAGCCAGTCTCACACGAAAAAACAAACCTGTGTGTTTTGCAGTGTTGGAGGGAACTTGCATGTGATGTAAATGTCAATGCCTTGCTCAGGAGAGGAATCAAGGTACCTTTTCTGAGTTGGGCTATATAGTAATTTAAAAGGAAAGGCCCACATAAATGTTACTGTGTTTTGTGTTAATTATATTTTTCATGAAGGAAACTGAGACAATTGGCTTTAATAAATAATTGGCTTAGAAGTAGATTTTACATCCTTCAAGGATATTGTGTATGATTCATTAAGATTTAATGGAGCTTTGAGGAGTATTTATTTTCCCTTTTTTAAAATGACAAGAAATGTTAGATGACAACTTTTCAGTCACACAGTTCTTTCCAGATTTACATTGTGCTATTATACCACAGCTGGTGTAATTGTAGTAGCCCATGGTACATATTCAGTTAAGTGTGTATTTTATCATCTGCCCTAAACATGTACTTAATTACTTTTTTTTTTTAAATAAGGAATCTTTTAGAAGTTTTTTTGAACACAATGAAGACTTAAATTTCAGGCAGATATCTTATGAAGTTGCTAGGAATCTTATCTCACTGGCTGTTAGGAATTTGAAAGTATCTTGGGCTCAGCCAGTCCAGCTCCCTGAATTTTATATTCCAGGTAACTCATGTGAGTTATGTTGGCAGAAGATTTAAGATTGGACTGAGTTCCAGGTACAGCTCTACTGTTTAATAGCTTGGGCCTTTTCTAATCTCACTAAGCCTCAATTTCCTTATCTGTGTAATGGGCATGATAATAGCACCTCTACCCCCTTGGGTTGTAAAGATCAGATAAGATACTGTGTGTGGAGTGCCTCACGTGGGTCTTGGCACATGTGCACCTAGCATGAGCCGTAAGGTTAGTGCCAAGTGTGGCAGTGAGTTAGGGTAAAGCTGAGCCAAGCCTGAGGAGCTCTCCCCGGCTTCCTCCCT
The DNA here is from genome assembly GCF_000001405.40 of Homo sapiens. NCBI lineage: Eukaryota > Metazoa > Chordata > Mammalia > Primates > Hominidae > Homo > Homo sapiens. The sequence goes on along the minus strand of NC_000010.11, from coordinate 22,616,226 downwards.
CTCCCTGCCACATGTCAGCTCCCCCTCTGCTCTCTCCCCTGCCCCCACTCTTGAGTCATACCATAATCAGGGACATTTTGGCGCTCTGCACTAGCCCTCTCCGCCCCGTTTGACCCTGTTTCTATTGATGCAGACAACAAAGCTGCTTTATTTTATGTCATCTTTGGAGCCCCAGCATGGGCAGCTTTGATGCCCAATGGCCGGGCAGCAAGGCAGTGCAGACCCACACCTGCAATTTGGGGGTGACTGGCACGGCATAAACAGGAACAAGAAGTCCGGCATAAACAGGAACAAGAAGTCGCTCCCAGGATGCCCTGGGGCCCCAGGCTCCAGCCACTCTGTGTGGGGCGGGGAATTTCTAATACACTTGTTTTACAGGCCTGTGAGTGTGACCAGCAGTACAGAGAGAACTATACTGTGTTTGCCAAAGGGGATTGACAACCATTAAGTATTTGACAACCATTAAGTGTAAAGTGATATTGCTCTTTTGCTGTGAGAATTTTATTGAATATTTGCAACCTGAAGGAACCTTAAAGGTGGCCTGTATGTGATAGTATAACTGGTGCTTTCACTTTGTTCAGCTAACCTAAGAAAATTTTAATAAACTCAAAAACCACTTTCATCTTCATGAATTAAAAACTGTTTGGATTTCACAATATATGCTTATTCCTATAAAGGGTGTATGATTCTTTCCTTCAAAACAGTAATGGTTAACACAAATCTTTCTGTTTCCTTTATGAACATTATGTAACATATAGATAGAACTATATGTGTGCGTGTTCCCAATATAAGTATCTTAGAAAAGTGTCAATTCTTTGTATAAAAAATACTGATGAAAGGACAGGTGGGATGGTTCATGCCTGTGATTCCAACACTTTGAGAGGCTGAGGCAAGAGGATCTGTTGAGCCCAGGCAACATAGCAAGACCTTGTCACCACAAAAAAATTTTTAAAATTAGCCATGCATGGTGGTGTGCGCCTGTAGTCCCAGCTCTCAGAAGACTGAGGCAGGAGGACTGCTTGAGCCTGGGAGTTCAAGACTGCAGTTGGCCATGATCATGCCCCTGCACTCCAGCCTGAGCAACCCTATCTTTTAAAAAAAAAATCCTGATAATAAGTGTAAAATAATGATGATAAACCACTGTTAGTTATCAATTTTAGGGTAGATCATATAGAATGGTTGGTCTAGGTAGGATGCCAAACTAATAATTTAAAGTTTTCTAAAACTGGAGACTTTGAAACCCAAGAATCTTTATTTTGAAATCTGAAAGTTCACAGCCCAGAGCGCTATATAAAATATTGAAGTTAACAAATAGGATTAACTCAGCCTTCTTCAATCTGGGAGCTCATTGCCATTACCTGCATTTGCACCAAAATTTGAACTAGAGACAAGCAATATATTTTAGTTTGGGTAAGAGCAAAGTAACAGGCTAAAGGAGAGAGTTTTTCAGGAAGTTAAATGTCTTTTCAGTTATTAAGCAGCTCTGCAAGTAATCCATTTCAGTAAAACTGACGAATGATCGCTAAGCCTCATATACAACACAATAAAATGTGTTGTAGAAAAAATAATATAGAGGCTCATGGGTACACTATTGAAAAAATAGTTTACTAATTAAAAGCTTCTCTTTTAAGTAGTAGATCCTCTGTTTTGTGAAGTGTTTGTTTACAAGTCATTAAATCTAGCTACCACCTGACGAAGAAGTTTTCTGGGGGGAATCCGGAGGGGAAATAAAGCCAAAAGCAATGTGATGCAAATGTAAAGAATGAAAGGCCACCTGGAAGAAAGATAAAGTAGCCATAAAGTAGCTGTCAGATCTAACTCAGTATCCTGCCGCACTACTCAATTATGAAGGTATAGATACTGCTGTACCAGGACATATTACAATCTGCAAAATGAGAGGTTAGACTATATGATCTCCGAAATTCTCTTTTAATTTCAGCATCTTATGATTCCATGTAAACCATTTGATTTTTCTTCTTGTCTCATTTCTTGTCTTCTTAGATAAAGAGGACCAAACATTCTCTACCTCTTGGGGTAGTCTGGTTTTGGAAGATGGGGAATAGCTAAAAGTTTGTGTTTCCCTGACATTTAAATGACACAGTAGTCAGAACTCTCCGTCCCTCAAGGGCCATGTAGGGCTGCACTCCTTCCAAGAAGCCCGTCACCCACACCCGTGACCACGGGCTCCTGCTCTGTGCTTCTGTGGCACTTGTTGTCTGGCTTCAGCATTTCTTCTGTGCTGCTTGGTATTTTACTACATGTGAAGGTCTTGCACCATCGACTACAGTGGAAAACTCCTTACAGTCAGGGATCTTGTTTTGTACTGACTTTCCATTTCCAAGTGATGGTCCTGGAACTCCTTTCCCCTTTATGTCACACTCAGCCAGCAAACACCCTCCATCCTGAAGAACGCCTGTCATCCTGTCTCTGCACCTGCACCCTGGGGTTGAGCTCTGCCAGAATGAGGAATGTCATCCACAAGTTCACTTGGTTCCTGTACGTGAACCATCACAAACTGTGGATGACGCTCAGCTCTGCCCGGAAGCCCAGCCTCCTGTCTCTATTTAAACTTGTCCATCCACATTCTGCAGTCCCCTTTTTAAGCTCTCTGTGTTCTCTTTAACCTTTGAAGTCCTCAGCCTGCTTCTCACTCTTAGCAGGTGGCCATGGCCCTAATCCCCAGAGAAAATAGGAGCCAGTGGTCGGGAGCCCCATCTTCCCTCCATCAGTTCTGCTCCCTCCCCATGACACCTATCTCTTTTCCCTCCTGTGAACAGGAAAGTCGCTTCCCTCCTCAGAGCCTCTCCTTCCTGCATGCCTGAATCCCATCCCCTCCCACTTTCTCGAGAAGTGCTACGGAATGTCCCTTCTCTGTCAGGTCCTCCCTCTGTCCCTCATCCCTCTTCATCTCGCTCCTGTCCTTCCCTGCCAGGCTCCTTAGAAATCAGCCCTGTGCAGTGCCAGCATTTCCTTAACTCAACTTAGTCTGGGTTCCATTGCTACACTCCACCGAAACAACTCTGCCAAGGTTGCCAAGGACCTCCTGTGCCGTTCAATCTGGCTGACATTTCCCAGTCCCTGCCTTCTCAAAAGCATCATGATCATCCCATAGCATGTTTGAACCCCCTTTTCCCTTCACTCCCATTGGGTGGCCCTGTGCTTTTTCACTTCCTGCCTCGATGGCAGTTTTCCCCTTTCTCATCCTCTTCTCCAGGCTTGGAAACATTCCCGTTCTTGAAGACTGCTTCTCCGCCTTCCTCCCCATCACACCGGCCCCTCTCCAGGTTACCTCATCCACTCCTCTGGGGAGCTAATGTCTGATGCACAGATACACACATTTTTATCTCTTGCCCCTGCTGCCCCTGGGAACTTCAGACCCACCTGTCCACGGCCTACCTGACATTGACACTTAGATGTCCCAAGAGCGCATGAAGTTTAACAAGCTCAAAACTGAACTCTTCTCTTAAGATGCATTGTGCCAGTCGTTGGACCCACCAGCTTCCCCCGCATGCATGCAGCATTCCCTCCATCTTTCCCTACATTTCTAGTCTGTCATCATCAAGCCCCATAGATTTCAGCACTTCAGCATGCCGGAGTCTCTCTGCTTCTTTCGTTTCTGCTGCCGCCTCCGCCCTCTGCTGAGCTGCTCTCCTCTGTCTGGTGCAATTCTACAGCAGCCGCTTCCCGGTGCTCCTGGGCCTGTTGTTCATCCCTTTCATGCCACGCACCTTGTCTATTTCTGCACTGTTTTCCCATTAACAGTGTCCCCTCCTCTCTAGGACTCGCCTTCTTCCTGGAAGCCCTGTCCACCTGCCCTCTCCTTTCTCCACGAGCCATTGCTGCCCAGGGAAGCCTCACATGCCTCCCCCATCTGGCCTGGGCCTTTTCCATACTTGCTCGTAGCCCATTGTGCTTCTCCCTCCTGACTCTGTCATTGTTAGAGTTCAACACTTGGGGCAGTTCTTCAGTTAATGTGTCTGCCCCTCTGGACCATAAGCCCCAAGAGGACAAAGACTGGTGTCCGAGCTGTGCCCAGCACAGAGTGGACTCTTAAAGGTTGTGCTGACGCGAGGATGGGTGGGGAAGGAAAATCAATAAGGAAAATTCTCAGTTTACTCATTCCATGTTGGCTGAAGTTTTCATATTTTCTCCACAAAACATGTTCCAGAGCAGGTACCATAAAGCAAAAGGATGCAGAAAGTTTCTGGTTTCCTGTTTCCTGTCTGAGAAGACTCTCTTAAGTGATACTGATTTAAGCAGCCTGAGGAGGCATCAAAGCTTTGGAGGATCTGCTGAACACATCACGCGCATTTAAATAATCAGTGTCTGATCCCACCTCCACGTTGGGTTTCGCTTTCTCTTGTTCCACAAGATATCGAAGTGCTGATTGAGTTGGCATCCAGCTTCATTCGCATTGTGTTTATTATCACAAGACTTGGATTTCCATTATGATTTTCTTTTTCTGTTATTTTTCAAACTTTGATATTCCACTGATAGCATAAGGATACATAAACTTTAATTTTTCATAGATATACTCTGGGAATGACTTAGTATCATAAGATGCTTGAGTAAAGTGAACTGGAGAAGCTATATGACGTTAGATTCCTGTTTTTGTTCAGTGGGTTTGAGAAGCTAGCTGTCAGCTGTCACTATCATTCCTCTGTTGTGTTTGCCTTTTCTCTCTGGCCACCATTCCTTTCTTCTCTTTGCATTTGGCCTTCTTTAGTTTAACTACAGCGTATCTAGGTATGCTTTGAGTATTCTTACTTATATATTGCTTTGAGTATTCTGCTTTTTTTTGTTTTTTTTTTGTTGTTGTTGTTTGTTTTTTGTTTAACAGACATGGATCCACTCTGTCACCCAGGCTGGAGTGCAGTGGTACAATCACAGCTCACTGCAGCCTTGAAATCCTGGATACAAGTGATCTTCCTTCATCAGCCTCCTAAGTAGCTGGGACTACAGGTGCACACCACCACGCCCAGCTAACTTTTGTTATTTTTTTATTTGTTAGAGACGAATTCTGTTGCCTAGGCTGGTCTCAAAGTCCTGGGCTCAAGCAGTCCTCCTGCCTCAGCCTCCCAAATTGCTGGGATTACATATATGAGCTGCTGTGCCCAACTGTATCTACAGATTTATAACGTGCATTAATTGTGGAAAATTCTGAATCATTATTTTTTCAAATATAATCATCTTTTGTTCATCTTCTATTTCTGTATAATTTCTCACAGCTTAAAAAATTCTATATCTGATCATCTTAGTAACTAAAGTCTTGAAAATATTAATTAGTCGTTGCTGTCTCTGTGAGCTCATGTTTGATTGATCTTCATCTGTGGGAAGCCTGGAGGCCTGGCAGGGGTTGCTCTCCTCCGGAGATCATTTACATTTACTTCCACCAGGTGTTGGGGCCACTTTCAAAGGCTTCCTTCAAGGATCTCAGGTTAACGTTGAAGCCTTTGTTGAGCTCCCAGCTTTCGTTTGGCCCAAGTAAGTGTTGAAACTGGCATTTGTCCTCGGAGTCCCTCCTTTCAGGCTTGCTTAATGGTCCCCACACTCCCTGTGGATTAAACTCACTTTGGGGGAAGAAAGGTGTCTTGGAGATTGCCTCTACTGTCTGTGAACCCAGCAATGTGATTAAAAAAAACAAATAGCTCTATCAAGCAGCTCATTCTTTTGTTGTTTGCTTGTTTTGTTTTTGTAACTGAGAATCCTTCAGCGTACCTGCCTTCTATCCTACTGGAAGCATAAATCTTTGACATGGTTTTTATTGCTAGCAACAAGGAAAGTCAACATGCAAAAATAGTTAACGAAGAGAAAGTTCAGGTTTTTCAAAATTGTGTCCAAAGCTGTCCCTTTCATTCACTGGAACTTGATCTTACCCTTTGTCCTTTGGAAACACATCTTTGCTTTTGTTCTTGACTCATGTCCAACCCACCTCCTTCTCTTGTAGTCCTGGGACCACGTGTCTTCTTCCTTCCCTGAATGGAGGTTCTTCTTTTGGTAAATTCATGCCCCACCCCAATCTTTATTTTTAAACTTAGTTCCTGTAAGGGAAGTAAAGAGCACACAGATGAGTTCAATATATAAATCACGTCCATTAATCCAACAAATATTTACGTGAAAAATTTAAAAGCTTTCTTTCTCAGATAACATTTTCTTTACAGAAGGAAGTTGTCCTGGACATGTGACCAAAGGGTCTGTGGGATGAGGTTGTGGAGGGAAGGTAGGGAGAGTGGATGGGCAAGAAGCAGGGACAGGTGGCATGAGGATTGACTCTCCCTCACCACTGCCGTCCGGTGGCCACCATGGACCCAGCATCAGACAGACATAAGAAGTGGGAATGAGGAAGGCAGGAAGAGAGATTATGATGGCAGAGGGAAGGAGGGTGGGTTGGTGGGTGGGAAGAGAAGTTCCTGTGTCCACCATGTTTTTTTTCCCAAGGTACACATTCAAGTCAAGTCCTCCTCACCTGGATAGTAATAACCCATGCTATTTATTTTATATTTTTCCAGATCAATGAACTGAGCCATGTTCAAATCCCTGTTATGTTGATGCCAGATGACTTCAAAGCCTATTCAAAAATAAAGGTGGACAATCACCTTTTTAACAAGTAAGTACAAGTATGACCTTTCATAAGACTAGCGTGGCTGCTAGGAGTACAAGTTTTGTGAATTTTTGTAATCACATAATTTGTCAATGGGTGGGAGTAAAGTTTTGCTGATGAAGTTAATCCTGTGATAAACATAACCATCTGTCATTTTTAGAGAAGCAACAGCAGGCTCTCTGGGATAATATCCTTTGCCATATGGCATATTGTTCTCTATGAATATCTTATACGTTGAAAGTGATATTCTCATTATAATTCAAATTTTTGAAGCTGTAAATTGCTTGGATTTTTGAGCAGTTATGAACCTCTGCTCTTGTACACAGAACTTTGAAAATGATGATTTATGAACAGCAATGACTCCATCTTAGAACAATAAAGACCCAAGGTACATTTTCATAAGGCACAATTAGATGCCATGTTGGGCATTGATAACATTCCTCCTTCATTTGAATGTTGTTTTAGACGTCATTATGAAGCACCTATTATATGTTAGGTGGTCCATTGAGAGCTAGAGATGCAATGATATAGAAGACACGGCCCTGCCCTCAAGGGGCTCAGAGTACAAAAACTGACACATATACAAACTGCTATAGTTCAGTGTGCAAAGTATGATAAGGGAGGGGTGTGTGCATATGTATAATTTAATTTATCTGGTTGTGTGGGAACACAAAGAGGGAAACAATTCTGAATGATTAGGGTGAACCTCAAATCACTCCCATGTGAGGATCATTATGAAATTTTTTTTTGAGACAGGATCTTGCTCTGTTGCTCAGGCTGGTGTGCAGTGGTGAAATTATATCTCACTGCAGTCTCAAATTCCTGGGGTCAAGCAATCCCCCTTCCTGAGCCTTCTGAATAGCTGGGACTACGGGTGCAGGTTACCATGCCCAGCTGATTTTTTAAAAAACTTTTTGTAAAGACAGGGGTCTCACTATGTTCCCCAGGCTGGCCTCAAACTCCTGGCCTCAAGAAATCCTCCCACCTCAGTCTCCCAAAGTGCTGGGATTACAAATGAGTGGTGTAAGCCACCATGCCAGGCCAATTATGAAATTTCTTCAGGGGGCCATTGTCCTTATGTGAAGCTGATGTTAATTTTTCTCATAACAGTGTTTAGAAGCTGACTTTCAGGGAATTTCCTCTAAGCAAATTTAGAATGTGGCATTTATATAAAACAGGCCTTTTAGGGGGGTGAGGGAGTGGCCCTCCTTTCCTCAGCAGTAGCTGAGAGGGAACCTTGCTCCGCTGCCTCTTCCTAACTCACTCTCCCGCCATTGTGCTTTTCCCTCACTGCTCCCCCTGCCTGGCCCGTTCCTTCCCCACCTCTTGTTCTTTGAGGAATGGCTGCAGTGTGTGGCCAGGATTTAAAGAGGTCACATAGTCCAAGCGTGCCTGTGACAAAGGAGACAGACAGACATCCGTCTGGCCCCCTGTGTCTCCTGGATCTTTCTGCGGGTTGTACCTGGTTCTAGGAAGCACACCTGTGCTTTTGGTAGGCAGTGAACTCTGAACCCTTCTTTGGCTACCTGTGGAACTCAGTGGTGGCAGATGCAAGTCTGATTGACTCTCTCTGAGCTTTATTCCACGCTGTGACTGTTTCAGAGAAAACATGCCGAGCCATTTCAAGTTTAAGGAATACTGCCCGATGGTCTTCCGTAACCTGCGGGAGAGGTTTGGAATTGATGATCAAGATTTCCAGGTGAGTTGCGTTTGTAACATTTGCTTCCAGTAGGAAATGGGTTTTGCCATGACTTTTGCTGTGTCAATTGGGATCTGTATTTTTGTCAATAAAAGTATTATATAATAGTAATTTTCATTTTGTGTAAGAAGTTTTTAATGTTCATGCTGAAGTAAAGTGTTCTCTTGATTGGGGACCTCTATACATATGATACCGGTATAAAAGTCAGTAGGAAAATATATTACTTTTCTTTGGAAGGAGACTGAGCATGTGAGGGTTTTATATAATACTCTCATTTCCAGGTGGAAATTAACAGGCTAGCAGAGCTGCCTGTTAATTTCTGCTGTCAGACATGTCAGTAGCCTGTGTGAGTGTGCATGTTTTGTATCTTCGTAGAGGCTACTTAGGACTCTCAGGAATCTTTATCTTGCTGATTTGCTGCTTTTCAAGTTGGTCAGACTCTTGCTGCAGCATTTTTGTCAAAGGGCACCCTTTGTGCACTGCAGTGCTGGACTGTGGAGTGACCATAGCACTGTGGTCAGCACCAGGAACCCAACATCCTGGGCGTGTCCTGTGGTACATCTTCCTCTTCATCTTGATTCCCACCACGTAAAAATGTGCACTGCTGCTCTCCTCCCCACACTGGCCTGGTCCTTCATTCTAACTTTTAAACATCTGTTTTAACTCTTTAAATAACTGTTGAGCCATGATCATTTTTTTCTGAGAAAGGATTTGACATTGGTTACCCAAGTTTCATATAGCGAGCCAGATTCGTAAATGCTAAGGATTTTTTTTAAAAGTGGAAATCCAAGGGACAGGTTGAGTATCCCAATCAGAAAATCTGAAATCCAAAATGCTTCCAAATCGAATATTTTCTGATCATCAACGTGATGCCACAAGTGGAAAATTCCACAGTTAAGTGCTCAACACAGCCTTTGTTTCATGTACACAATTATTTAAAATATTGTATAAAATTACCTTTAGGCTATGTGTATAAGGTGTATATGAAATAGATAAATTTCGTGTTTAGACTTGGGTCCCATCCCCAAGATATCTCATTATCTTTGCAAATATTCTGAAATCTGAAAAAATCTGAAATACGACTGGCTGCAGGCATTTCAAATAAAGGATGCTCAGCATATACTGACTTAAGTCCCTTCAAATCTAGTCCTAATCTGCCCTCAATTTAAGATCTGAATTTATCCTGCATTAAGTGACATATTGCCACCCTGGGTGACTACAGATTGAGTACTGATACAGCTTACCCTGTATTTTCCTCTGAAGAATAGGGTCCCTCAGGCAAACTGAGATAGTTAGCACACTTTCCTAAAGATCTGTGCTCCCACTGCCCTCTCTGTACCATTGCCAAAAATTTCCAGGAATTTTTCATATGTTTACTCAGGCATGAGAGAGGCTGCCATGTTTGGAGAAAGCAGCGCTGACCAGGCTGCCGGTGACATTGTCTCATGATGGCCTGGGGTTGTGGTTTACATGGAGGTCCAGACCCTGAGCTGAGGCTCTGTGTACACAGAAGAGCTGAGGGCTGGCTAGTGGGACAGGAAGGATGTGGTTGCTCATCTGCTATTAAAACTGCGTGGGAGCCAACACTCCTGTTAGGGCGTTTCTTTTTTTTTCTTGATACAAGGTCTTGCTCTGTTGCCCAGGCTGGAGTACAGTGGTGTGATCATAGCTCACTGCAGCCTCAAACTGCTGGGCTCAAGTGATCCTCCGACCTCAGCGTCCAGAGTAGCTAGGACTACAGGTGTGCACCACCATGCCCAGCTAATTTTTTTTTTTTTTTTGGTAGAGATTGGGGTCTCACTATGTTACCCAGGCTGGTCTCAAACTCCTGGCCTCAAGCCGTCCTCCCAGAGCATGAGCCAGTGCACCTGGCCTTGGGGCTTAATTTTTAAGAGAGAACTTAGATCACAATTATGGACTTGAAATTTACTGCTGTAAAAATAATTAACTTTAACAGAAAATTATTAGAATAGTAAAAAGCATTTCTCTGAAGTTAAAATTAATAATTCTGTATCACTTTAGAACCATTACTAAATTTAAAGAGGCCACCTGAAAATGAACTAGGTGCTTTTTTTTTTTTTTTAAAGGAATTAACAGCAGATAGCTTCAGTGTCTTAAGAAAATCTCCTCTGCCTTAAGAAAAGCTGAACACCAGTGTGTTCCTCCTTCTCTCCACGTCCTTTTTTTGTTTGGCTGGGTTTTGTTTTAATAAAACAATTCCACTGGCATTTCACAGAAACTGACTTTTGAGGGCCCATGCATCTATCTTATCTTGTTAGATTCCTCAATTCATTATTGAAATGAAGTCTTTCTATTTCTTGTCATAATCAATTCTGTCAAATGAGATCCAAAATGAACCCATTATGGTCTGAGTTCTGCACTGCAGCAGAGAAAAGTAGTTTTTAAAATTTCCTCAAATGACCAATTTAGTTGCTGAAATGCAAAGACATGAACTGGTTTTCCTTCCCTTTTTTTCGCCCTACAAAGAAAACTACGTAAGTTGATATTGAAGTCAGTACAAATTGCTGAGTACAAACTTTGAAAGAAAATTAGGCAAGTGGAGGATGATTCACAAGTAACTAATTGGCAAGTCCGTTAAACTCTTCACATGAGAGCTCCCTGTTGGGGAGAGTGGTGTGAGTGTGATTAATCATTCGAACACTCCTCCTTTCCTTAGCTCTGCCTGCTGCTTTCTCTTTGGCAACTGTATTTCTATTAAAAAAAGAAAAAAAAGAAAGAAAAAGTGTGTATTCAGAGTCACTTCAGTACTGCAGAGGTATACTCTTCTTCCCTCCTCAGTCGTATATTTCTTTCCCAGTGTCTGTACCTCTTAAAATTCTTCAGTAGGGTCAGGGACCCTGAGTTCCAGCTGAAAACAGGATCGTAAATCTGGGGCTGTATCCCAGTCTTTTGGCTACTTGGTTTGGAAGAAAGGAGGGTCGTTGTGACAGCTCTGGCTCCAGGGTCACCTCGCAGGCCCCTGTATACTGCAGGGATTCAGGCGGCAGGCGGGCAGGGGCCAGGACCTGGGGCTTCAGCTGCCTGGCACATTGTTACTGCCCAGACAGTTCAATCCTCATGCCCAGTTCAAGTAACAGGTATCATTTGGCACATGTGGCGCCAAATGACTAAAAGCAACCTTGTTTTCCTCTCCTGGAGCTTGCCAATGTGCCTTTGCTGAGTAGAGTCTCCCACCGGCCGCCTCTGTCACTCCTGGGTACTGGCTGCTGAAGACTGCGTATATCGGAAAAAAACCAACTCTCTTTCTGAGCTTATCAATGTGAGCTGCTTTTTGAATACTCTTTCCCAACTGACTTGGAAAGTAGGATCAGTGACCTAGGCTCTCATAGTGTTTTGGAGGACACTGGATAGCTGAAGGGGAACAGGCATTGCCTGCTGTGTTTATTTTTCCAAACTGCTTGCATTTTGGACAAGCGGCTCTAAATCAATGTGGTGGTTAGGGGCTCCATCGTCTGGTTTATCTCGTATTCAGACCTTTCCATTCAGCCAAGTGGGTAAATGGTCCCGACTTGTCTTGTTTGTGTGACCACCTTTTTGCTACACCTGAAAAAAGTAGGTATTGGTCTGTGGAGACCACTCTGATTAAAGCAGAGCATGGTTAAGTAGTAACCTATGCAGTTGACCCCTACTGGTGAATTTAAACTTCTTAAAAAGTTTTTAAGATAAATGAAAAGGATAATGAAATGAAAAATGAAAACATTCCTGCTTTCTCAGTAAACATTTGTATCTTTCCTCTGGTTTTGATTTCTGGAATATCTTTTAAAAATGACTTTTCCTTGTTGTTAAAGACAAATTCAAAGAACAATTCTAGAATATCCATTGTTAATAACAGTACCACAGTACCATGTAACATACATATGTAAACCTCTGTGTGTGTGTGTGTGTGTGTGTGTGTGCGTGCGCGCGTGTGTGCTCGCGCATGTGTGTAACCAGTGCTTCTAGATTCAGAACTTTTTCCAATTCATTAGGGCATTTTTAAATTGCATGATAGGTTTGTAATATGCTCAGGGTTGAATCAGTGTGTCATCAAGGTTCTGATCATTGTTTGGCCAGCATGATATCCATCGTCATACTTTAAAGGTGTGTTTCAGGATGAATGCTGCCTGGGAGGCCTGTTCTGTGACTATAGCCGCAGTCCTGTGTCTACCATTACCACTGCCCCCTTAAGCCCTGATCACCCTGAGGTCTGGGATTTCATGCATAATTATCCAGTCAAAGTATTTGTTTGTACCTACCACATGTCAGGCTCTGTGCTAGCCGTTTTAGGGAATGCAGAGAGAAGAAAGGGTGAAGCATCACTTTCTTTAAAAACTATTGCATACCAGATTCTGTATTAGATGCTAACGAGATTTACAGAAACCCAGCATCTTGATTTGTAATGTTCTTCATGAAAATCTGCACCCCTCTTTCCAGTCTCTTATACTCATTTGATCGTCTCTTATGTTTATACCCAGAGAGACTGGAAAGAGGGGTGCAGATTTTCATGAAGAACATTAAACAGCCCTGGGAAGTCAAACGGAGGCTTCAGTTACATTTAGTAGCTGCCAGAGAGGGTTGCCTCCCAGAAACCAAAAAGTTATGCAGGAGGGAGCTGATGCTGTTAAACCTAAATAGACCACACATTTGAAAGTGAGGCCTCTTGTTCACTGTGGAGGATAATACCAGGTTTGCTTTTCCCCTACTGTGACTCCTGAATTAGAATCCCTCATTATTGACATCTGATGCCCTTTCTTCTTTGTGTTTGTAACAGAGAATTCTAATTTTAAAATAATTAATTTTAAGAGCTAACATTTTAAACTTTTGATATTCTTATTTCAAGTTTAGAAATAAAATTCTAAAGTGTTAAGACCTTCAGTGTATACTAAACTTGAAGTGGGGCAGCAGGAATTCTGCCTTTATCTCTAGAATATCAAGTCTATCCTCTGAAACTTTCACTTGTAGATTTCTCACTTTTGACTTTAAACTGCCTGAGGGCAGGAGCAGTGTTTGTGTTTGCTGGCTGCCTGTCACCCGTTGAGCACAATGCTGGGCTCAGCAGGCACTTAAGAAATATTTGCAGTCAGGACAGTGGCCACACCTGTAATCCCAGCTACTCAGGTGGCCAGTGCAGGAGGATCTCTTGAGCCCAGGAGTTCGAGACCAGCCTGGGCAACACAGTGAGACACCATCTCTAAAAACATGAAAAATAAATAAGTAAATAAGAAATACTTGTGAAAGAGAGTGAGGGCTAATGGGGACTTTGAAGAGAAGTGAACTCTCTGGGCCCAAGCGGAAGGCAGGAGAGCCCATGAAATGTGAAGGTATTTGGATGGTGGCAGAATAGTGGGAGATAAAGATGTTAAAATAGCAAGAAACACAAAGACACCAGGGACACTGGGCCGATTCTGCTGCCAGCGAGCAGCCCTGTGGGTTTTGCTCAGGGGAATGGCAATGTCATGACATCTGTATTTTCTTTTCTTTTCTTTTTTCTTTTTCTTTCTTTCTTTTCTTTTCTTTTCTTTTTTTTTTTTTATAGACAGAGTTTCACTCTGTTGCCCAGGCTGGAGTACAGTGGCACAATCTTGGCTCACTGCAGCCTCCCAACTCCTGGGCTCAATCGATCCTGCCACTTCAGCCCCCTGAGTACCTGGGACTACAGGTATGTGCCACTATGCCCAGCTAAGTTTTGTAATTTTTGAAGACACAGGGTTTTGCCATGTTGCCCAGGCTGGTCTCGAACTCCTGGGCTCAAGCGATCCACCCACCTTAGCCTCCCAAAGTACTGGGATTACAGATGTGAGCCACTGCACCCACCCGAGGTCTGTATTTTCTAAAGATAACTGCATTGTAATTTATAGAATGCATAGAAGGGAGATAAGGAAATCAGGAGGCCATGAAATCCCAGTGAGCCAAGCCTCCGTCACCCACCATGTAAAGCACGGAGCAGCTTGAAAAGACATTGAGAGAAGTAAACCCACAGGTTCAGTGGCCAGTGGCAAAGGACAAGAGCCACAGAGGCACTGGGACCTGAAAGCTAAGAGAGCAGGGATGCGGGTCACAGAGGGAGGGATGTTTGGGGCTACAGGTGGATAGAAAGGAAGATGGAGTTGAGTTTTTGACCTGTTGACTTACCGTAGTGGTAGGATACCTGGTGAGGCTTGTGGCCTGCATTGGGCATTCTGGGTCACAACTCTGAATGAGGTTGGAGCAGAGGTCCAGCTGTGGTGAGGATTGGCACAGTCGTGCTTGTGGGACTCCTCCTTGGTCCAACTCTAATGCTCAACCTACACCATCACCCCTGTGCTTGCTCCTCTAATGCCTAAGCACTGTCATTCCTTTATCACTAGTAGTTGCCTGTTGGGTTTGCTCCATTTGTCCTCACAGGTTAGCTGCCCTGGAAGGAAACTCCACCCTGCTCAGAGACGCACTGAGGCTGAGACCCAAGGGAGGCCCCTCTCTGATTGGACAGCCTCTTGATAGACTGGGGGAAGCTCCCTCACAGCCCATCAGGGTCAGCAGGCATTTCTTGCACTGTTTCAAGTCCTGTTTATGAACTGAGCAAATTACTGTTCCTACCACCACCTGCCCCCACCTGGGACCCCAGGCTTCCTGTTAGCCTGTGTTTCCCGCCTCAAACCTGCTTTGGGTTTTGCCTCGTGGCTTTTGACAGAGAGCTGACAGCCAGTCATCCTTGCTACTGGGTGCTTCTCTCCAGGTTAAACGCTGTGTTTACCGTGAGCCTTGGGGACATGTTCCTGGTTTGTTTTTTTTTTTTTTTTTTTTTTTTTTTTTTTTTGAGACAGTCTCGCTCTGTTGCCCAGGCTGGGTCCCTGGTGTTTTAATCATCGTGAAACAGCAGCTGAGATTTAGAAGATGATCTCATGGCACTCTGTGAAGTTTCTGCAACTCTGTTGCTTTCTCTGTTGGTCATTGCCTTTCATTTTTATATTCTTTTTTTCTGATAAGTTGTTTCATTATTGATAAGTGTTAAATTGCACTGTGTCTTGCTCCCCTCTATAATGAAAGCTATTCTTCACTTGAGATCACAGCTTAGATTTTCTTTGAAATTCCCCAAGAGCTTAACACAGGGCTTTGAACACAGTGGGCATTTAATAAATCCTTGATGATGATGTTCAAGTTCCACATTGGTCTTCAACTCTCTGGCGGGGTCAGAGGACCATCTGTGCTCGCTCAGATATGTCAACTGCAGACCCAGAAAGCAGCCTTCTCCAGACAAGTTGCTCCTGTCTCCTGGGCCGTGTGATTCGAGGCATGTAATCATAATCCTGAGCTGTCAGCAGGGCAGTGATTGGTTTCCAGATTTCCAGTCCATGAAACAGGTAGCCAGGGTTGGGGAAAAGAATATTTCCGGGAAGTTAGGAGGCCTGGTTGAGTCTTGGATCTTCAGTGACTGATGCTGTGACCATGAGATACTCACTCACCCCTGGTGGGTCTCAGTTTCCTCATCCATAACATGAGGAGAGGGACACAGTGCTCTCTCCGGCCCCCCAGCTGTCAGGTCTCTAAATCTATTACTGTGCCACCGTGAGGAGATGGCTGTCACGTGAGTTCTGCACGGTATTGGCATGTTCCCTTATACGAGGGTGGCTTTACACATTTGAGCATGGCAAAGTTTAAGTGGCCCCTCTTTCAACCAAAAATGAAAACTTTTCATACATGATTTTTAGCAGAATGTATACAAACGACCATCAAAATGGAAAAAAAAAACAAATTATACAAGACTTACGTGATTAGTTCAAGAGAATTAAATATGCAAAATGCTTGGTTGTTTAAAAAATGCAGGGAAAAGTAACTGTTACTAAATGAGGACACTTTTATGAGAGAGAGAAAAGATTGGCGGTAAGAATGAGCTAATTAAATTGACATTTATGTTTCCTTCCCCCTTCTGGGGGCTCCACTAATCCTGGACCTCCGACTGCGGAAATAAACATCTTCAGCGCAGACGTTTAGAGGAAGGGGGAAAGGACAGCATCGTTAATCCTTTTCTTAAGGGAAAGGACAATAAATTTCCAGTTATAAATGTAAAAAGGCATTACAGAGGGAGCTTCATCTATCATTGCCTTCCTTTATTTGCTGTTGAGAGGACCGAGATAGCACCAGAGCCTCAAACAGCTTTTGTGGTTTGAGCTAGGATAGTGTAAGGTAGGAAAGGTATTTGGCTATGGGAAAAGTACATTTATTCACCACGTTGCAAAATAGGCGAAAATGAACTAAATTGTCATACTCTTACCTGCCCTGCATCATACAGCTTTGCCCTAGAACTTGAATGTTTGTCCAACTGTTCGTTTTTCTCTAGCTCCCTATGCTAGGAGCAAACTTAGAAGCAACATTTATTGGCTGTGATGTGTCCACTGCAATCGTGTATGGGTGCTGGCCTGAGTAGAGAGCACTTGCCAGGTCACCTCACTCATCCAGAGACAGCCTCATGGTGGATGAGTGTGTCTAGGCTAGGGCACTTGAAAGATCAATGTTTGGGCCAGTCACAAACACCTGTGTAATGTATGGTTACATCCATATGAAATGTCCAGAATGGGCAGATATATAGAGACAAAGATCAGTGGCCTTTCTAGGCTGGGGGATAGGGGAAGGAATGGGAGTGATTGCAGATAGGTTCAGGTTTCTTTTTGGAGTCATGAAAATGCTCTAAAAATGATTGTGGTCATGGTTGCATGATTTGGTGAAAACATTAAAAACTGTTGAGTTGTATACTTTAAATAGGTGAGTCATATGATATGTGAGTCATATCTCAAGGAAGAAGAATGCTTGGAGTTTGAAACTCGTTTAATTTATTCAGTAAGAGACGTTTTTTTCCCAAAAGGTTGAAACTAGTTTAATTTATTCGATAAGAGACAGTTTTTCCCAAAGTTGATTTTGGCTGTTGTTGTTTTTTTGGGATGGGTTATGGTATCAGTATTTTTATTTAGAACAGGTGACTTTAACTAATTTCGTAATTTATAATATGAAACTATCAAATGTATAGAAAGAAGAAAAGGAATAGCCAATGAAGAAAGTGTATTTTTGCAGTTTGTGCATGTTGATTATTAGATTTTTTTCCCATAAACTAATAGTAAATCATCGTCCATTCCCTAAGTCTCTACAAACTGACAGCAGAATAATAATTAGAAGAATGAGCAGGAAGCTTAGAGACCATTAAGTCCAGCTGTCTTTCTTTGCAGATAATCAGATAACAGAGTAAGGGAGGTGGGAAGGGTGAGTTGGAGGGAGGACGCAAAGCCCTGACTTCAGCCCATTGCTGTTGAGATGGATCACCCTGACACTCTGAGGCTGCTTCCTGGGTCCATTCTGTTTTGTCGTCATCTATGTCCTTTGCCCATGTCTGGTTTGAGAGGTCACAGGGAAGTGAGCAGGGGCCAGCAATAGAAGGAAGACCTTGTGGGCTGGGAATTTTCAATCTGAAACTTCCTTGTGAAATTTTAAATTCTCCTTTTAACATGTAAGTTATTATTGAGGCCTTTAGGAAATAACTTACTGTCACTTTTGAACTGATAGGTGCAGAATCCCCAATTTTGTCTGTTTGTTTTTATTTTTTAACAGAGTCTCTGTCTGTCAACTAGGCTGGAGTGCAGTGGTACAATCATGGCTCGCTGCAGCCTCGAACTCCTCAGCTCAAGTGATCCTCCAACCTCAGCCTTCCTTATAGCTAGAACTACAGGCACGCACCACCACATCCGGCTAATTTTTTAATGCTATGTAGACACAGAGCCTTACTATGCTGCCCAGGCTGGTCCCAAACTCCTGGCCTCAAGTGATCTTCCCACCTCAGCCTCCAAAAGTGCTAGGATTACAGGCATTAGCCACTGTGCCCAGCCCCCAATTTTGAATTTAAATAATGTCACTTTATTGCAGACCATATAACTCTCCAAGTGTGTCCATGACAAGGAATTTGATTTTTAATGAGAGTAGATCTCTCCAAAGCCTGGGTGGATTTCACTGGGTAATTTTATCTGGCTGCTTTCTCCTGAAGACAGACAGGTAGATAAGGGTAAGTGTTCCAGAAAGTGAATATTTTACTTTGGAGATGAAGAGGACTAAACCAGCCCTCTAAAGGGTGTTTTTAAGGCCTTAGGTAGGATCAGCTTCATCTCAGATTTGCCCTTTTAAATTAGGTGATTGAGAAGAGAAAGAATTTTTCTAAATGGTGTCTTCTGCTAGGCTTTTTTTTTTTCCATGCAGAGCTGGTCTTAACTTGCAAATTTCATCTTAATTTCTTTTTTTCCCTTCTCGTTTTTTTTAATCCTCCCAGCTTAGTAGTATAGAGAGTGCATATAGAATATAGAGTAACCCAGAATTCAGCACTCCCAGTATAAAAGATTGCTCCTTTCAACTTTGGCATTCTTTGTGAAGAAAATCTGTGGAGTTGTAAGCAGAGAAAGTGGATGGGACAGTCTTCTAAAGGCAGAAACCAGTGACAGGAGGAAAACAAGAACCTCCGACAATTCTCAGACCACATAAACTAATTTAAATAGACATGATGCAGTGTGCCACATGGTCAGAAATGTGAAGAATTCTTAGGGTTGACATCGTCACCACAGTCAACAGGACTCACAGGAAATGCTAAGTGCTGGTCCTCCTTCAGCCCTGTGTTACGCTGTGTGAGTGCCTGACTCTGGGCCCAGGGCTCAGCAGCACGGTCTTCCTGTCCCAAAGGCTTATTCCACAAACACATCTGTCTCAGCTCCTGCGTGGAGAGAAGACAGCTCCTACTCTTCCTACTCAGTTAATGTAAAGTAATGAACAGTCCTAGAATGAGTTCAGATAGCTTTGTACACATGTTAATAAAAGTGTAAATAACAGACTCCGGACTGCATTAGCACTGTGGCTGTTACTGATATTTTCTACACACTTTACTTGGCAAAATCGAAAACCTGAAGACAGGTTTGGTTTTGTGCCAGCTGGCTCACACTCTAAATTGGCATTAGAAGGTGTATGTCACTATAGAAAAATGACTGTCCCTTCATAATGCCCACCATACTCTGGAGCCCAGGCAGGGAAGCAGCACGGCAGGGGGAGATGGAGGCTCTGGGCAGGGCCCCTGCAGGGCCCTCCATGTACACCAGCCCACCTGATGTTGGAGAACTGAGTTGGGCAAGTCATTTCTGCTCTCTGGGTCTGTTTTCTTATCTGTATATTGAGTGGTTTGGAATCATCTCCAAGGTTGCTTCCAACTCTAATGCTCTTTGAGGTTTATTTATACATGGAGGGACCCCTCGGGGGCACCTGAAGGTCACTCCCAAGCTCTGTTTCCATCAAGGGCCTCCCAACTTGTCCAAGCATCCAACATCATGCTGTGATTCCTTTTTCCTTTGCAACAAAACAAAGCACACTGAGGAGTTTCTTATTCAGTGTCAGTAGATAGACTGTTTTGAGGCAGCACAGTGACTGTGTTGAAGATATAAGACCTCCTTCCCTGAGCTCATGTGCTCGTTCTAGCTGACGTTGTCCTGAATACATCTGGAATCTGTGAAGTGTTATTTTCACTGCATGTTCTCTTTCATCTCAGCCCAGGTGTCCTAAACCATCATTAGGCCCCTGCTGAGATGATGGTTGTACTGTCTTCTGATCGGACTCTGTTTCTTGGGACGGTTGTCCTGAGTCACCTTCCGAGGCCCATGCTTTACAGCATTTCCTAGAGCAACGAGTCGAGTCTTCGAGTAAATCCTTTTTTTTTTTTTTTTTTTTGAGACGGAGTTTTGCTCTTGTTGCCCAGGCTGGAGTGCAATGGCACAATCTCAGCTCACTGCAGCCTCCGCCTCCCAGGTTCAAGCGATTCTCCTGCCTCAGCCTCCCGAGTAGCTGGGATTACAGGCATGCCCCACCACGCCTGCATAATTTTGTATTTTTAGTAGAGACGGGGCTTCTCCATGTTGGTCAGGCTAGTCTCGAACTCCCAGCCTCAGGTGATCTGCCCGCCTTGGCCTCCCAAAGTGCTGGGATTACAGGCGTGCCCCACTGCGCCCGGCTGAGTAAATCCATTTTTAGAGTCATAAAAGATCCAAGGTAGAGGTCTAATTCAGCCTGTTCTCTCCCCAAGCTTATTTTCCATCACTTCATAGACCCGGAAACTAAGGCTCAAAGAGACTAAATGCAATCTACAAGAACTGATGAATGTTCTAGATCTCAGACCAGTGCCCTCACCATTACCCTGTGCTGCTCAGGTTGGAGTGCGGTGGTGTGATCTCGGCTCATTGCAATCTCTGCCTCCCAGGTTCAAACAATTCTCGTGCCTCAGCCTCCCAAGTAGCTGGAATTACAGGCATGCACCACCACACCTGGCTGATTTTTGTATTTTTAGTGGAGACCGGGTTTCACCACGTTGCCCAGGCTGGTCTCGAACTCCTGGCCTCAAGTGATCCGCCCACCTCAGCCCCCAAAGCGCTGAGACTACAGGCATGAGCCACTGTGCTGCCTTTAAAAACACATGTCTGCTGCATGCCTTGGAAGAAGGCAAGAAAGTAAATGATAATAAAAATACATAAACAATTTTACTTTATTTTAAAGGCTACAAAAAGTCTATGATTATGATGACAGAAGTTTAGTCTTATCTTTGTAAATCGCCCTTTTTGGTTAGTTCATAGAAAGCTTTAGACAGGAATCTTAGGCACATTGCTTGGCTCCATTGTACACTAGTTTCTTTATCTTGAGGTGGGAAAAATGGATCTAGCTTTTCCTCTCTCACAGGAATATTGTGAAAATAAATATGAAATAATGAGTTGGATTTTTCCAGGCCTTAGAATCATTCCAAGGATCAGGTGTTTTGTATAGAATTGCATGAACTCTTTTGATTTCCTCCTTATCAGATAAGGCTTTTAATACACTTGATTTATGTATTTTTATATTCATAGTGATATGAAAGGTACATTCTATGTTTTGACACAGTGTTCCTAACTTCATTGGTTATTTCATGTTCATGAACCTTAAAAATATTCAGATAGTGTGGGTTGGGGCTACTCACGTGGATTATTAAAATGGTGATTTGAGACAGAATCAAGATTCGAATTTTTAAGGTTTTATATCCCAGGGTGAAGACATGGCTGATATCCTAATCCAGTGTCTGCATATATGATTATAGTAATGCCTTTGAAATTGAAAGAAAAGGCACAAACTGGGGAAGAGGTAGTATCTGAGCTAAGGAGTTCCTACATTATTTGCTTTTACGTTTCCAGCCCTTTATAAACCCATATGTTGCGCTGGGCATGGTGGCTCATGCCTGTAATCCCAGCACTTTGGGAGGCCAAGGCAGGCAGATAGATCACTTGAGGCCAGGAGTTCGAGATCACCCTGGCCAGAATGGCAAAACCCTGTCTCTATTAAAAATAAAAAAATTAGCTGGGCATGGTGGCACATGCCTATAATCCCAGCTACTCAGGAGGCAGAGGCACGAGAATCACTTGAGTCCAGGAGATCAAGGCTGCAGTGAGCCAAGATCGCACCACTGTACTCCAGCCTGGGCAACACAGTGAGAACCTGTCTCAAAAAATAAAAATAAAAAACCCTGTACATTGTCCTGGTACTGGTACATAGTATTATTAAACCCTTCTTTAATTAGTAAAGTAAATGCCATGAATTATTATTCTGAACTATAAAGTTTCCCATTTTAATCGAACTAGAGGTGTAGAGAATATAATGGGAAAGGCATGAGTGCCGGTAAGTCTGTAATTATAATGTACTTAATACGCTAGACTTTACGTGCTGCATGCCAGTAAAACACAGGGTAAACACCATTCTGTAGACCTTGGTTCTCATGTGTGGTCTGCAGACCCACTCCAGCAGCAGCATCTACTTCTGAAAATGCCCCACCCCTGACCTGCTGGATCAGAATCTGCATTTTCACATGATCCCTGGGTGATTCAGTTGCTTGTTAAGTTTGAGATGCACTGACTATGCAGCTTTTGATTCACCCTATTGGCCCATGAGAGGACGTTATACTGTCCTATCTAATGTGCATAAGAAAACGATCTATGAAACTGAGGCTGCTGGAATTCTATCCTGTGCTGAATACAGTTCTCCTTTACTATTCCCCATCCCCCAAAAGTTGTTTTACACGTATTGTCAGTTTGACAGAGTTTAAGGTCTGTTCCACTTGGTCTGCTCCACCTGGCTTTCATAAACTTGATTGTTCCCACTTTGATTTTATGCCCAAAGATAATCTGCAATCTTACAGTTCCTAGAGTTCTTGTTTTATTTGAAAGAAATACCCTTTTGCAAATTAGTGATTGCAAGAAAAAAGTAAGACCACTAACAAAGAGCAATAATTGCTTTTTGGGGGCTAGCATTTAAAACCCCACAAGGGGAAATTCACTTTGATTTTCTTCCTTTTTGTTCTAAGTGGGAAGTAGTATAAAGGAGATCTTGTTCATGTTTTAGGAAAGAAAAATGTAATTAAGAATTAAACTCTTGTTAATGTAGGCATTTTCATCCTGAAAGTCATTTTTATCATTCTCAGTCTATCTAATAAATTTTAGTTGTCTTAAGAATAACTGAACACTGCCAAGTCTTGCTATTTAAAGTCATTGGGGATTATGTAGATTTTTTTTTTTCCTTCTCTCAAGTTTTCTAATAAGCTAAGGAAAGCAAATTCAGTTACTTGGTGGCCTGGACTCTGCATCTGGCAGGTGCGCCTGCTTGCCTTCAGATCAAGGTGTGCTATTGCAGAACGTGTGATCCACCACAGGGGGTGCCAGGGTGGTGAGGTGAGAATCCTGGAAGATGAAGATTTGCTCATGGGCCACTTTTCTCTTCAGGCATAGGTAGGGCCTGCGTAAACCCCTGCACTGCTGCAATGGATTCTACCTCAGGTGGTTCAGTCCTGTTGATTTCATCTAGAAAGGAAGGAAAGGATAAAGAGACTGGAATATACTAGACAGAAAGGCACTCTTTCTTTTGCAAATTCATGGGCAGAGCTATCTATCACCTGCCCCTCTGAAGGTATCTGTGTTCCCTTAACTTGACAGCATTTGGCCACTGAGGCCTTTGAATGCCCACTTCAGAGAGCAAGTTAAAGAGAGAAAGCATGTTTGCCTTTGAATCCCACACAGGCCATCCCGCAGGGCCAGGCAAGGAGTGAAAGTCACTGCTCAGGAGCAGTCGGCAAGGATGGAGACGAGACTTTCTGGGGGCCAGGGGTTTGCTAGACCCCATGGCTGGACGGCCATTGTCAAGAGGTTGGGGCAAGGAGGAGGCTTCTTGGAGGATGTAAGAAAGAGGAGATCTGAACGGAAGAGTCACATGGGAGGAGAAGGGTAGACCTACCTAGCCAGTGTCACTAGCATGAACCAGATCTTGGAGTGAATGATGTCAGCAGAGCCCCTACTCAGAGCCCGTCCTTGTCCACCCTCCAGGAGATCAGTAGTTCTCAAAAATGGTGGTAGGGAGTGGAGGATGGACCAAATTCAAATCGCCTAAGGAGGAGCTGTTTTAGAAGACACTCTCCCAGGCTCCTGCCTCCTCCTCCTGGGGCACACAGGTAGCATAGTCTGCAAGTTAAGTACTTTACTAGTTGAGTAGTTTACTAGTTGAGAGTTTGGATTCTGAGCCAGCCACACTGGAGTCAGAATTCTAGCTCTTCCCTTATTAGCTATATGCCCTTTGCCCAGATACTAAGCCTCTCTTATTCCCATCTCCTCATCTGTAAAATAGTGATGATAGCAATCGTAACCATTGCATGGGAATGTTATCAGAATTGGGGGAAATAATCTGTGCAAAATGCTTGGCACGATACCTGTCATATAAGGAAATGCTCAGTGACTGTAAAATTTTCTTTTATGACTGGAACCTAATTTTATTCAGAAGAAAACTTTGAGAGCTTGTCCAACTCTGAAAAGAACTAAGTGATTAAAGTTACTTTGATTATAATTCTAGACATTAGCCTGCTTTAAAGATATTAGAATCATAGTACAATTCAAGCTGTTTTCATTTCATCTGAAAGGCTTGCAATGTGAGTTATGATGCATGTAAAAATGTTGTCATCCTACTTATCAATTTATCCCACACACAAATGTTTTTGAAAACTTGCAATGATGACAAATTATCTGGGAATCGGAAAGCCACACCTTTAACTAGTTATCTTCCCCCGCCTTCCTTCCCCTCTTACCCCACCCGGGAAGAATTCCCTGACCAGGAGCGCACCCCTCCCCAACGACTCCCAGGCCCGCAGTGGAGCTCGTTTTCACACTTCCTACGACAAAAGATACATCATCAAGACTATTACCAGTGAAGACGTGGCCGAAATGCACAACATCCTGAAGAAATACCACCAGGTAATTTTTCTTGATCTTTATTTGAAACTCCAAGAAGATTAACATGCGTAGCGATTTCTCACCAAGGCCAGAGATTTAAATATATAGTTAGAGAACAAGAAGAACACATTTCACATAAACATCTCCTCTAACCCTGTGTTCTAAAATTACAGTGGCCAGATTCCTGGCAGTTAACCTTTAGGCATGCTTGTGCTATAAAGGTCATTCATTATTTGTATAACACTTTTAACCTAAATACTCTTGTGTAATAGTTTCAGTTATCACTACTCTGATTTTAAAATCATTCAGCTTAAGATTTGGCAACTTTGCAGAAGTTTTTGCCTGTGCCAGAGATTAGGTGTTGACCTCTGAGTATGTATCTATTTACACCTCCGAATCCTATTTTGCTGTCACTGGTTCTTCTGTCCTGGCCCCAGCAGGGCCCACGCCATTCACAATCTGCTACGGAGCAAGCTCTCTGATTTTAGAAGGTGGGTGTTGGTCTGCTTCTTGCCCCCTTTTCATCCCCGAGCATAATTCCATTGTAATCACTGGAGGTAAAGTAGACCATCCTTGGGAGCAGCAATCTGTCTCTCCTGGAGTAAATTCCAGCACAAGCTTCTCTGGTAGAGCACATGTTCCCAAGGCCCAGCCCGCGCTGTGAGAGGCCTCCTTCACCATGGAGTATAAGAGCATGAAGTCCAGCGTTGGACAATCCTGGGCTCAAATCCCAGCCAGGTCGCTTACTAAGCATGTGACTTCTGGTCTTGGTTGTTTTTTAGAGACAGGGTCTTGCTCTGTTGCCAGGTTGAAGTGCAGTGGCGTGATCACAGCTCACTGCATGCTCAACCTCCTGGGCTCAAGCAGTCCTCCCACCCCAGCCTCCCAAGTAGCTGGGACCACAGGTATGCACCACCATGCCTGGCCAATTTTTTTAAGTTGTGTTTTTATAGAGGTGGAGTTTTGCTATGTTGCCCAGGCTGGTCTTGAACTCTTGGGCTCAAGCAGTTCTCCCATCTTGGCCTCCCAAAGTGCTAAGGTTACAGGTGTGAGCCTCCACACCCTGCCTGGATTTTGAAGCCACAGTTTCTTTGTTTATACAGTCGGGATAATAATAACACCTAATATGGATTCTAAAGATTAAATAGGAAATTGCATGTCAAGTGCTTAGCACAGTGTCTGTCACACACTAGATACTCAATGTGTGGTGGTGGCCATAGCATCGCTATTATCAAGATAACATCCATGGTATAAAAATAACGTAACAACTAAGTCACTTGGAGAAATTGTAGTCATATGGTATGAACATGTCTGCTGTTGCAACATCCCAGGAATCATCTTCACAACTGGTGTTTAAAACACATACACACATTGTTGCTTTTAGGACCTTAGTCAGCTTGAGCTGTCATAAAAAACCGTAGACTGGGTAGCTTAAATGACAGAAATCTATTTCTTACAGTTCTAGAGGTTGAAGTCTGAGATCAAGGTGCCAGTATGGTCAGGTTCTTCCTGGTTTGCAGACAGCCAGCTTCTCACTGTAGCCTCACGTGTGTTGGCAGGGTCATGGTGGGTGGGATAGGATCAAAAGCACTCTTCTGTCACTTCTAATAAGGGCACTGATCACATAATGAGGGCTCTAAGCTCATGACCTAATTAGCTCTCAAAGGTCCCACCTCCTAATACCATCACTTGGGGATTAGGGTTTCAACGTAAGCATTTTGGGGGACACAAACTTTCCATTCATAGCAGAGTCACACGGTGTTTTTAACTTAAATAGCTCCCAATCCCCCAAAGGTAAAAATTGGCTGTCACAATGGGTATTCAAAATAAAGTGCCGCAGGTCCTGAATATATTAATAAAAGGATTCTCGAGTATAAACAATCACACTTACTAAGTATCTGCTTCGAAGGCAGCACTGGCCTGGACTTGTGAGCTCCTAGATGTCTGTTTAAACATCCCTTTAAAAGCATTACTTTATGTTCATGCATGATGCTCTAATATCATGGATTCTTTCTTGGCAGTTGCTTATTCTTCCAATCTTTGCAAATATGATCAATTGCATTTTGCTTGCAGTGAAGTCTATAAAAATCTTTGAGCTATATTCTGTTTCTTGAAACTTGGTACTGCCTCTAGTTTGTTTTCTAAAATCATTAGCCTCTAAATTCATTTAATATCTAATAAATCTTTTATAATATCTATTCCTTTTGAAATTTGTTCTACACTGCTTATGCTACTGCCTCTTATTCTACAGGAAATTTTAAAGTGCCAGGATGCTACCTGTGAGGGGGAAGACATGAGGCTCTGTTATCTGAATGAATTGAATTACAGGTTGCAGCTTTGAACTCTTCACCTTTTAAACTGTCTACTTTTTCATTTTTTCCCCTCTGGAAATTGATATCATACTTATGCATTCTCTTTATACTTTCTTTCAGTTGTCTCAGAACATTCAAAGCGAAGTGATATCTCATGACTGATGAGAGCATATTGTTCTAAAAAATGGCCATGATACCATGCTAATAAAATGTGACACAGAATTGAAGTACCAACTTCTTGATGACAACTTTGAGTTTAGCATCCTTTGACTTTACAAAAATCACGATTTGAAATGTTTTCTCTGGGTTAGTTATTGTAACCTAACATAGGGATTTGACATATCCCCAGTGTTACATAAAATAAGTGTGGGATCAAAATAAGTCTATTGACACCTCCCAGGGGCTTTAACAGTATAAAGACTTCCTTCTGTTCCACTGCTACAAAATTGTTATCTTATTGGTGAGTTCTTTATTCAGAAAAGTCTCCTTTATCCAACATCTATACTTTTTCTTTTTATAAACAGAATATTTTAAATATAATTTGTAGGGTCTTAATGATTGGGAATCACATTATTAATATAAATTATTTAAAGGGCACTAAGTAGAAGTCAGGAGACATAGATCCTAACCTGTTAGGAACTGCCTCTTGGATGATCTCTGAACTCAGCTTCTGCACCTGCATTTCATTCATTCATTCATTTATTCATGTATTCACTCTTGACCTTATTCCAGAAAGGATTTAAGGTGGCCTTCAAAGAAGTTGGAAATACAAGCTAGAATAAATGAAAAAAAGAAAAGGAAGAGGCAGAAAGATAAAGGCACAAAATGGAGCCTGGAATGAGCGTAGATATTCATGCCAAGATGACCAGCATGCTTGATACTTTGAGTCTGTTGCCAAGGAGAAATGTAAGTGGTCTTGGTACTAAGATGCAACAGGGTTGACTCTAAGGAGTTCCCCACAGAGCGGACACAGGGACATCTGACCTGATAAAACAACATCCTTGCCACAAGCTGAGAAACATACAAGAATGTTAGAGAACTTAAAAAAAAATTGTCCGTATAGGCTGCTAATTATCAGTATAGGCCATGTATAAATACAGCCACAGTTGCAGCACCGTTTTGCTAATTTGTCCATTTTTAAATTACATTTAAACGAAAGCAAATTAAGAACAAGGAAATGTATAGGTGACACAAACGTTGACCATTAAAGGTGGACATGCCACTCATATACATCTCAGCAAAATCTCACATAGAAGAGGTTTTTAAAAATACAGCAGCAGTGAAGAGTAACAGTGTTAATTACATGATCAGAGAATTCCACAGAAACCTCATAAAAGGTCTCAACATTCACACAGCTTATTTGATACTGATCTATTCGGGGTGACCCCTGCTAGGCTCACTGAGGGCAGGTCTGGGACCCTGCTCAGGTTGGCAGGTGTTCATGAAGGAAGATGCAGTCCGCCGAGTCAAACATCACACCCGCAGCAATTAGCAAAGGCCACACCAGTGTGTAGTTTACATTTAGTAAATGCTGTTCTACAGAGAAAGGCTATAATGCACACCGGCTGCCTAGCCCTCTCCCATTCTGGCTTCTGTTTGAATGTTCTTCAGGCTGTTCTTCTTGTATGCCACTTCCAGACGAGATTTTGATGAATATTACTGGGTGGTGGGCTCAGCCTGGCATGTCCTCATGTGATTCTGTGTGACCGGACACAGGCCTGTCATTGGTAAACCCAGGGAGGCCTGTCAAGCTTTGTGTTTCTATCCCTGTGGTTTGAGATGCTCAGAGGTATTTGAGGTATATGTCAGGCCTTCATTCCTACTTTCTGTGGGCCTAGAGTACTTTTAGGGTTTGTATCTAAGAAACTTTCTCTCTCTAGCTTCAGTAGTGATCATCATTTCTTCTGTTTCTTCTTGCTTGTTGTTGCTTTTGCCTTGGAACTCTCTGGGCTTCTGAACCTTCCGAATCTAGACAAGTAATGCAGATCGTTCAGGTGCATATCAGTTGATGAGAGGCTCTCATAGAGGGTTTCTCCCGTGGAGTGAATTGCATGGACTTTCTGACAACTTTGGTTACCCAACAGCCCTTTTTTTTTTCTTTTCCTTTGTTGTTTTTTGTTTTAAGGAAATGCAGCCACAGTTGGAATTATATTCTGGAGGGTTAAAATTGCCCAAGGCCAGCCTCTGGAGAAGTAGAACATGGCTAGTTATTTGAATATTTGAATAAATTCTTCCTAGGTTTAATTTTCTGACACACTGACCTTCCCAGCAATCTGGGATGGCAGGTGGTTCAAGAGCAAGGACTTGGAGCCAGCCAGCCACCTTCTGGTCCCAGCCATGCCCCTGGCCAATGGCATGACCTTGGGCAATTTACTTATACTTTTGACACCTCTTGGTCTATAATATTTGGATAATAGTACCCTCTTCATTTGGGTGTTGTGCTAATTAGGTGAATTCATATTATAACATGCTCAGAGCAGTGTCTAGTATATAAGAAGTGCTAAATGGGCCAGGCGCAGTGGCTCACGTCTGTAATCCCAGCACTTTGGGAGGCCGAGGTGGGTGGATCACCTGAGGTCAGGGGTTCAAGACCAGCCTGACCAACATGGTGAAACCTCATCTCTACTAAAAATACAAAAATTAGCCAGGCATGATGGCACGTGCCTGTAGTCCCAGCTACTCGGGAGGCTGAGGCATGAGAATCGCTTGAACCCAGGAGGTGGAGGTTGCAGTGAGCCGAGGTTGTGCCACTGCACTCCAGCCTGGGTAACAGAACGAGACTCCGTTTCGAAAAAAAGAAAAAGAAGTGCTAAATGAGTGACTGAATAAGATTTTTAATTAAATATCGTTCTTGTATTTAATTTCCTACACCTCAGTGTTGAAATCATTCTCATGTGGCATTCAGTCCTTAACTCTTTTAATCCACTAGGGGGCCTGGTTTCTGGTAGACTGTGGCACTGATGCAGAATTACGAAGACTTCAGCCGTGAGGAGTTAGATTTTTCCCCCAAGTTCCAGTATCTTGCTCTATTCTTTATTTCCTGCCCAAATTCTACCCTAGCTTTCACTCTGTGCAAAGAAAGAAGAGCATCATCTCTCAGACCAATGGAGAATTCATATTAAGCACAGCAAACTTTCATAAATTTTGTTTACTTCATTTGATTTTCTCTTGTAGTTGGGAAAATAATGTTTCGCTATAAATATCCTTTTCACATTTCTGTTAGGCTGTAAGAAACTCGGATCCTATAAATGATGATTATCAGTTGATTAACTAAACAATGTTAGAACATTCAAAAAGGAAAAAATGGTAAAAAACCTATTTGCCTACTTGAATATCTTTTTATCTTAAATCGACTGAATTTTTTTTTTCCCCGCACTGACGTGAATTCATTGGGAGCTTTGGTATCATGTAGCTTCAACTTGAATTAAAATTGAAAAGTATTGACTGGACACAGTGGCTCATGCCTGTAACCCCAGTGCTTTGGGAGGCCGAGGTGGACGGATCACTTGAGGCCAGGAGTTCAAGACCAGCCTAGCCAACACAGTGAAATCCGGTCTCTACTAAAACTACAAAAAATTAGCTGGGGGTGTATGCCTGTAGTCCCAGCTGCTCAGGAGGCTAAGGCATGAGAATCCCTTGAACTCAGGAGGCAGAAGTTGCAGGGAGCCAAGATGGCATCACTGCACTCCAGCCTGGGTGAGATTCTGTCTCAAAAAAAAAAAAAAAAATTGAGAGGCACTGTTGGTAACATACTTCCCTGAAGTTGTATAGGACTTAGAATGTAACCCGAGGGAAGCTGCAATATAGGTGATCAAGAAATACCTTATGAAAATATTATTGAGTATTTTAATAGCTTTTGAAATGCAGCATTTTAATTTACTTTCTTATTTCAAAGTGACTGAATCGATAAATGGGTAAAATTGATAAAAAACGACTTAAATTCCTTTCTTATCCTTTTATTTAGGGAAACAATTAATATCTTTAGTTGAATCCAGAAGTTTTGCCCCAAAATCTGAACTCCCTGTTAAATAAGCTAATCAGCACCTCAAATTTCAAGGATTTTAGGGCAAACATGTGACTTCTTTGAAATCTCCTCATAGTACATCTGCTTATCCTTTCCCGAAGGTTAGGGACGTTGGTGTTACTATTCAAAGGATGAGACTTCGGTAGAGCAAAACTGAGAAAATAGGGACCATAAAAGCTAAATACAAAAAAGAGTGGAGAGGGTTATAGCACCAAAAGAGAAAAGGTTCCACATTGTGTCAGTGCTTCTTAGACTTTCATCAGGGCTCTGACTGGCTGGGTCTGGAGGGGCTGTCGGGGAGTCTGTGGAGGCCGCCTTTCTACCAGGCCCCCAGGTGATGCTCATGTGCCCCCGGTGAGTGACAGGGCAGCTCCTGTGTTCTGGAACAACAGAACATTCTGAGCACTCAGTTCTGAATCTGCTCTTGGGCCCTTTTGTTCATTTTTCCGGAGGAGTGATCAATTAAAATTTGGAAAGTACTTGGATATTCTCAGTCCTGTGTAAGTATCAGATTATGAGACTAAACACAAGCTCCCAGTAGACCCTCTGCTGCCATTGTAAACTGCGGACACGTCTTGCTTCTCTCTTAGAAACAGGGGAAGGTATTTGTCATCTTGGGAGTTCCTGTGGCCCAATGAGTGCCCCGAAGCTTGCCGATGGCGTCATTTGTAGCCCTCTGTTCCCAATGTCCTCAGCCATTTCCTCCTAGTTTCATGGGGAGCTGCCCGGCACACTCCCCAGCAAGCTTTTCCTGCAGTACTTCTTCTCCAGGGTCTGGAAGTTCCGCAGTCCTTTTCTCTTTCAGCCTCACCTCTCCCCTTCTGTTTCTCCAGCAAGTACATCTTTAACGTGCTCATCCTGGCTTCCCCATCTTTAACTTTTCTTTTCCATTTTCCATCTCCAAACATCTCTGCCCAATTCTGGGTGAATTCTTCAAAATATATCATCCAGTCCTAAGTGTCTCTTCAACTGTTCTAATCTTTTTTTTTTTTAATTTCAACAATTATCTTTTTTATTCTAGAAGTTTTCCAGAAGATTTTTCAAAATCTGACCGTTCATTCCTGATAGTTTCTTGATTTATGCTCATCTCTGAAATTGCATCCTTTGTTTCTTTACACGTTTTGTACGTAACTATTCAAAACTTACTCCTGAGAGTTCCCACCTCTGTAATTCCTGGGGGCCTGAATTTGTTGTCATGGTCTGCCAACTCTCACACACAGTGACTTGCCCAACCAGATGATGACACAGTTTGGGGTCAAGATGTTGATCAGGATCAAAGCTTATGTAGGGAAGAGGAAAGAAGTGAGATTGGGCAGAGGGAGAAGTCAGACTGCCATGCTGGCCCAGTCAAGCCTCAGCTAACCTGGCGGGGCACTATGGAACATGCCCCTAGAGGCTCCTATGTTGGGCCAAAATGACAGGCTGCCCTCGGAAGGCAGACCTAGAAGGAGCTGCCCCTGCAGGCCTTCTGCAGACCGTACACGCTCAGCTGGGCAGCATGACCTTCCCTGGAGGGAATCTGGGCGTCCCATCTCTGTGGCTACACTTGCTTTCCTTAGTGTCTGAGAGTCTTACTGAACTCTTAGCTTCATCTTCACCTCTGCAATGTTTGGGAAGGCCTCTGACCCTAATTTACGGAAGCTCTTTTTCTGAGAGTTTTGTTTCTGCAAAAGAGGAGGGTGGGGATTCCCAGCCCTGGACCCTGTCAGCACCCTTCAAGGGTTTTGCTAGGAGTGGGAGCCCCTGGGCCCACTCCCCCACCATGCTAATGTCCTCAGTGTCCGTGTACCCCTGTGCTCCTGACAGGCTCTGTCTAGCACCTCCAACACCTTGGCTTGGATCCCAGCTCCTCACATGCTCCCTGGGCACACCTGCTCTCCGGTGCACCTGCCCAAATGATCAGCTCCCCCCCAGCCCCAGGCATAGGCTACTCAGGCCCCAGCTCCCCATTGTGTGTGGGGTACAGGGGCCATTCTGGAACCTTCCTGCCTTTATACCAGCTAAGCTTTCTATCTGGGATGGGGCTTTCCAGGAGGCCTTGGGCTTGTCAAAGCTCCCTGCCAGCGGTCATACGTGGAGCAGCCATTCTGTGCTTTTTGTAACAAGTGGCATCTGTACATATGATAAAGCACTTTATTGTATTTTTTACAAAGTTACTTCATTTTTAATGATGATGTTGTTTATGAGTCCTTACTATGGTGTGTCACAAATTGAATGAGGCACATCCGTGTATGTACTTAGGCATTTCTGCATATCTCAGTAATAAGAATTTGTGTAAACACTACAGAAGAATGCTTGTTCCTTTTAAGCTTGAATTTTATCAAGCTTAATTAAGAAAAGCAGTAAAGTTTCATTTGTTTTGTTATATTTGTTATATTTGCTTAAATGTAGTCATCCTTACTTTTTTTTTTTTTTTTTTTTTACTTCAAGACGATTTGAAATCAAATTATATTAACTGACATTTACAGATCATTATCCCCAAACATACCAAGACATCCACTCAAAGGAAGTTGTATCATTTATTTATTTATTTGGTCATTGTACACCAGAGCAATCCATAATTTCAGGCTTCTTTCTTCCCTTCCTTTCCCTTCCTTTTCCTTCCCTTCCTTTCCCTTTCCTTTTCTTTCATGTGAAGTATATTGTAGGAATAATCTCTAAACATAGCCCATGGCACAGTAAGGATTACAGATAATTTAACCTTTCAAAAACATTAAATGAAACAAGACTTTACATTGAAGTACTAATTTGATGCTATATTAAATTGTCACTTCAAGCTTTTTTAAAAAATGAGTGAAACATGATAATAACAGCAATTCCTGAAAGCCGGAGCCCAGGTTCACACTATCGTGCGGAGATATAAATATTTATCTATTGCAGTACATCACTTAGAACCCTTTCTGCTTCAACCTTCAGTCAGCTGTGAATCTCTTAATGGCATTTCATTCTCCATGAGAATAGCAACAAATCAGGGCTTCATAACCCTTATTATTCTCGGTGAGTGCCTAAGGGCAAAGGAAACCTAGGTCTGGTGGCTGTTACGTTTTATGTTTTTGAAAGCCTAATTCCATGACTCTAATTTATCATTGCATTACATTTCTAACAAGCCCACAGTAGTACAGGAAAAAGTTCTGAGGGAGAATTAGGAAGGGAGAAACTTTACCTTTGTTGACGACATCATTTATAAGTAGACTTTTTTTTTTTTCTTTTTTGAGACAGGGTCTTGGTCTGTAACCCAGGCTGGAGTACAGTGGCGCAAACACAGCTCACTGCAGCCTCAAGTGATCCTACTGCCTCAGCCTCCCAAGTAGCTGGGAATACAGGCATGCGCCACCACACCTGGCTCATTTCTTTTATTTTTTTTTGTAGAGATGGGGTCTTCTCATGTTGCCTAGGCTGGTCTCAAACTCCTGGACTCAAGCGATCCTCCTGCCTCAACCTCCCAGTGCTGGGATTACAGGCATGAGCCACCATGCCCAGCTGTAAGCAGATTGTTTTTTAAAAAAAGACAGAAAAAAGTGAAAACTGTTAGTGTTGGAAATGCATGTTACAGATGAGAAAAATGTAAAAAGCCAGCAAAAATAGGAAAGTTTCTGACAGCACTCTTAGAATTAACGGAAGCTATTATGTGGTAAGTAATGAAGGGAAGTGACAAGAGCAAGAGGTGCCCAGCTATGACAGTGCAGAAGTGAACGGTACTTAATAAAAGGAATATTTTAATTTTTTTTTTTTTTTTTTTTTTTTTTTTAGAGATAGGATCTCCCTGTGTTGCCCTGGCTGATCTCAAACTCCTGGGCTAAAGCAACCCTCCTGCCTCAGCCTCCCAAGTAACTGGGCAAAAATAACATTTTAAAATGCAATGCAGTGAATTTAACACTGAGAATAGGAAAGCTGACCCCAAAGAATAAGTGTGATTGACTTAGCTACATATAGCAAGTATAAGAAGAATTGGTGATAATCAGGTTCACTTTTATGAAGTTTGAGAGTAGATTTTCAGCACCTATTCAGATGGAAGCTCAATGTCAAGCCTCCGCTCCAGGTGCCAGGCAGAGCTGCTGTTTGATGTGAGCGGAGGGCTTAGATACAGGTGACCTGCAGAGTCAGACAGGTGGAAATGACAGGTGAGCATTGTGCCACCAGGAGGAATGCCTCAGGGGAAAGAAAAGCCCTACTCAAGGAGCCGCTGAAAGGAACACTCTTCGGTATTGTGTTCATGCTGCCTGTGCTCTCACAGGAGAATAAGCCCACTTATCTGGTGTGTGCTCTTAATTTCTGAGCCACACACGGGACGGCCAGCATTGTTCAGTGTTTGGTCCATTTGCAGCCTCATCTGCCTTGGGACTTCAAAGTGTCTGCAGACAGGAGTTGGCAGACTCATCCATTCTACAAAGGAGCCTCCCGGGCCGCATTAGAGCACTGCACCTGTCGAGTCTGTAAAGCGAGACATTACCATCGCAGAAAGGGACAACTGTGTTGATGACGTCCTTTTGCCAGTGGGGAAGGATTGCCTTGTAGCCACATCTTGTAGACCGTGGTTGAAAGTGAAAGAAATGCACCTTTCCTAAACAGTGGCCCCAAGGGACTGCATTGTAACTTTGGCATTCTTGTAATCTGGAAGTTAAACATGTGGAAGAGAGGAGGCAAAGGTTCCTCAGATTGTCTTGTGGTTGAGCCAACAGTGTTTTACAAAAGGGTAATAGATAGGATGCTTTAAACTCTTACAAAGAAGAGAATGACCGGGTCAAATAATAGGTTGTTAAAAGCATGGCATTGTGGTACCCCCAGTACATGCTCTTCTTCTCACTGTCTTTCTTTTATTTTCTTTTTGTTGAGATGGAGTTTCGCCATGTTGGCCAGGTTGATCTCAAACTCCTGGGCTCAAGTAATCCGCCCGCCTTGGCCTCCCGAATTACCGGGACTGCAGGCATGAGCCACTATGCCCAGCCTCTTCTTGCTGTTTTTGAAGCATTCGCTTACAAGTTATTTTGTTAATTTGTCTATGATATTTAAGTTTTGAAGAAAAATGTGCTCACAGTTGTGATCCTAGAAGCAACATAAGATAGAAATATTTTTTTTGGTGTTTTACGTTTACACTAATCTCACTTTATAAATACAGAGACACTGCAGCATTATTAATTATGGAGAGTCCTTGAAATTGGGAGTCCCCGTCATGCATTAAAGATACAACCCGTGTCTCTGAGAGCATTTGGGGCACATATCAGGTGCTCCTGGAAGTCTCCCTCCCTCACGCCTTCCTGCCTTTGCCCTCTCCACCCCTCACCTCGGGGCCTTGGCTGCATCTTGGCCCTGCTTGAGTCATGAGCAGGTCTTGTTTCCCTTATCTCCACATTCATCAGAATGGGTTGTCTTTTTTTTTCTTTTTTCTTTTTTCTTTTTTTTCTTCTCAGACGAAGTCTCGTTCTATCACCTAGGCTGGAGTGCAGTGGCACACTCTCGGCTCACTGCAGCCTCTACCTCCTGGGTTCAGGCGATTCTCCTGCCTCAGCCTCCCGAGTAGCTGGGACTACAGGCACCTGCCACCATGCCCGTCTGATTTTTATATGTTTAGTAGAGGCGGGGTTTCACTATGTTGGCCAGGCCGGTCTCAATCTCCTCCTGACTTCAAGTAATCCACCCTCCCCTGCCTCCCAAAGTGCTGGGATTACATGCGTGAGCCACCATGCCCGGCCAGAATGGAGCATCTTAAAGGCAGCAAGTTCCTCTGTGGTTGGTATGGGAGCATCATGTCTAAGCAGTGTTATGCCCAAAGATCCCCTCCCCTCCAAGGGTGAGGATAGGGAGGAGCTGGAGGGGAAGGAGGCAGACGTCCTCTAATTGTTGTGCACGTGACTCTGTGGAGAACACCATTTATCAGCTTTATCAGTGCATACAAACTTTGGGAAGTTGAGAGAATTTTAAGTGTGAATTCTGTATAAATCATCGGATGTGATTCTTTACTCTTATTCAGTGACAGATTGATATCACTAGGGTTACGATTCTGCTCCACCCCTTTCCTCAAAGTTCTGTTTCTCCCGTGATGCTGGAGAATGAGGATACATTGCGTGGTACAGTTTACACGTGCGGTAATAGTCCCAGAACAGATAAACTGTGACCATTTCCGAATTCTCCCCCAAGTTAACCATGTGACTGCCTTGTTTTTTTTTTAAGATTAACATCCTTAAACCGTTATTTTGTGGTACCCTCTTTTCCTCCTTTCATGCCCGACATATGCCTTTTTTCCTACTTATTGTGTAAAGTTCTTCATTTGTCGTGGCCATCGTGAGAAAAATCTGGGGCTTCCCTTTCATCATAAATGACAGGTTTTTTTTCTGCTTTCAAAATCTAGAATTTTCATATTTGTAACACCTGGAGGTAAGGGTCATGGTGTTAATTATAAAGAGAGCGGAGAGAGTAGGCATCTGTAGGAAACATCTTGGGTTTTTTTAATTATTTGCTGGATTCATTTATTCAACAGTTGTATATGAAATGGTTTTTACACATGAGGTCCTGCTAAGGGTAGTGCTTGCCACCTTCGTGGAGCTTACATTTGGCAGGAAGCTGTATTACACTAGATGAATCCTATGTGGATGTGCAACTCAAAAGAAAGGGTTGTGGACTGAGAATCATAAGTTTGGGGGTTATCGAGACGCAGATAGAAATGTAAACAAACGGTGTGGATCAGGTAGCCTGTACACAGTGAAGAAGAGAAGATGAGAGGACATCTAGGTCAGGGCCCTGACAATGGGCATGTAGAGGAGGAAGCATTGGCCAAAGAGCAGGAAAGATGGGACGGAGTAGGAGGACTGCCAGGAGAACACAGCGTCTCAGAAGCCAAGGGAGGGAGGAAGCCCCAGACAAGAGCGCTGTTTGCTCATGGGGTTCAGGAGAGAGAAAGGCGGAGAAGCATCTGTCAAATTTAACCACTCAAAGGTCATTGAGATCTCAGGGGGAACAGTTGCTCTGAAGGGAAAGGAAAGTAAAATCCAGAGCAGGATGAGCTGCAGAATGGATGGGGGGTTACAGAGCAACAGAAAATAAGCGTAGACAGCTCTGCCAAGAAGCCAGTCAGGAGAGAGACCAGAGATGGAGAAAGACATGGAGTCAAAGAAGGGTTTGTGTTTCTTTTTACTTTTTATTGTAAAAATGTTCAAGCAGACAGAAAATTGGTAGCATATACCCATCACTTAGATTGAACAATTATTAACATTTTACCACATTTGCATCATTTTATTTTTGCAGAAATGTTTCAAAAGTAAATCACAGACACATTTCCTCTGTAAATACTTTGATATGCTTCTCTGAAACATAAGGACTTCTCAGGTTAAGAAAATTGCCAATAAATTCCTTCCTATCACCAAATATCTAGTGAGTGGCATAATCAGGTGTCCCCAGTTGCCCTCAAAGTGTACGTTCAAGCCAGGATCCAGGCGGTGCCAGACCGTGCATCTCTGCAATTGAGAGGGCGTTTTGTGTTTTGTTTTTGTTGCTTTAATGAGAGAAACTTCAGCACATTTAAGCACTGTTGAGAAGCTGCTAGTGGAGGGAGAGAGGTTGAGGATCCTGGACTGAGAGGGAGGATGCTCAAGAACCCGACAAGATGCGTCGCAGTGTGACTGGAGAGACCACTCTCAGAAGGGGATCCACCGTGCAAGCACTGAGTGTCTTTGCCTATTTGTGTTGCTGTGAGGAATACCTGAGGCTGGGTGATTCATAAGGAAAAGAGGTTTATTTGGCTTGCAATTCTGCAGACTGTACAAGAAGCATGGTGTCAGCATCTGTCGCTGGTGAGACCCTCAGGAAGCTTCTACTCATGTTGGAAGGCAGTAGGGAGCTGGCATGGCTTGGCGAGAGGCAAGGAAGGAGAGGGGAAGGCTCTTTTCCATAAGCAGTTCTCCCTATGGCACCAAGCCATTTATGAGGGACCCACCCCCATGACCCAGTCACCTCCCACCGAGCACCACCTCCAACATTGGGGATCACATTGCAACATGAGGTTTAGAGGGGACAAATATTCAAACTGTATCACTGGGAGATGGGGCTACCGGAAGTCAAGCCATTCCCCTCCCATGGCACCCTTTTCCACCTGAAGTAGGATAACTTGCACACGGACAAGAACCAGGTGTCTCTGCTCCCTGATGCAAAGTCAGCACCGCTCATGGTACCAGGCATATGATGGATGCTCAATACGTATTTTTTAAGTGAATCTATGAATACTTTTTTTTTTTTTTTTTTTTTTGAGACAGGAGTTTGCTCTGTCACCCAGGCTAGAGTGCAGTGGCGCAATCTCGGCTCACTGCAGCCTCCGCCTCCCAAATTCAAACGATTCTCCTGCCTCACCCAGCCTCCTGAGTAGCTGGGACTACAGGCATGCACCACCACATCTGGCTAATTTTTGTATTTTTAGCAGAGACGAGGTTTCGCTGTTGGCCAGGCTGGTCTCAAACTCCTGATCTCAAGCTATCCGCCCACCTTGGCCTCCCAGGGTGCTGGGATTACAGGTGTGAGCCACCGTATTCTCAGCCTCTATGAATGAATATTGAGAGTGATGAGGGGGTTTTGAGGTTTAATAAAAATGGAAAAGGTTCAAAAGATAGATAACACTTCCATACTACTTTTTATGCACCAGGCTTTGTTCTAAAAACTTTATAACTAACTCATTTAATCGTTAAGTACTATTATTACCTCCCAGTTTCCAAATGCAGACCAAGAGGTTGAATAACTGTCCCAAGGTCACACAGGTAATGAACACGGAGCTGGACCGGGAGGGCTCTTAGCTGTGTAAGGTGGCTGAGGCTCGTGAGACCCCGGCTAAAGCTGTAGCTGTAAATCTACAGTCTCCCTGGTTCAGGGCTGACCTCCAGCAGCTGGTGTGTGTAGGAATCCTTGGAGTTAACACCCGCTGGTGTTACGAGTTTGTGCTCAGCATTCTCTGGGTCAACTGGGAGAATCCACCAGGATTCTCATTCAGGTCTCTTTGTGTCAACATCTGCCTACAACAGCGCATCGTGCTAGAGAACAGAGGTTCCTAGCCCAGGCATTCACAGACCCAGTTAAATGTTCCTCCACTGAAATGCAGCAGTGTGCCCTTTTCCCAGTGCTTCCCCCCAGAAATTCAGTTAATAGGTATAATTTTCTCTACTGCAAAATTTTAACCCATTAATGCTTTCTAAACCTTTGATATCACCTGCAGCTTGGCAGTACTCGAATCTAATAGATAAACTTTGGTATGACTTGTGGGTTTGTACATGTTTATATCCTCAGGAGTTTTAGGTATTCATCAAGGAGCCCCATAAGTGAGCCATACGTTTGAGAACAACTGTGTGTAGACTTGCTGATAAAGTAGACAGACTTTTTTTTTCTTTTTTGTTTTTTTTTTGAGATGGCGTCTTGCTCTGTCACCTAGGCTGGAGTACAGTGGCACGATCTCGGCTCACTGAAACCTCCGCCTCCTGGGTTCAAGTAGTTCTTCTGCCTCAGCCTCCCGAGTAGCTGGGATTACGGGTGTGCACCACCACACCCAGCTAATTGTTGTATTTTTAGTAGAGATGGGGTATCACCATCTTGGCCAGGCTGATCTTGGACTCCTGACCTCGTGATCCACCTGCCTTGGCCTCCAAAAGTGCTGGGATTACAGGCGTGAGCCACCGCGCCTGGCAAAGTAGACAGATTTGATCTGTCTCTTTTCAGTGTAATAATTTAGCTAATGTTTAAGGTAGGGGAGGTATAGAATGTAATCTGTATGGGTGTTTTTTCCTAAGGGGGGACAACTAGTCAATGATTTGCTGTATAATATTCAAAAGATTTCTTGACCATATTTGTAGCATGAATAATGGTTCTTTGTCGCTGTGAGACATAGCTTTCTGTGGCTCTGCACAGCAACTTGAATCAGAGAGGAATGGCGGGATTCTGTAAAGGTAGTTCGTGATGGGAGCTCAGTGAGGGGTTGAGCAGCAAAACCAAAATCGGTGTGTCCCCTGGGGCAGGGACTGTGTCTTGTGGGCCTCAAAAATAACTGCCTCGGAGCAGACCCCACTCAGTACATGTCTGTATGTCAGTTGGGAGCACAAAACAGGTGTAACATTAAAATTTCTTAACAGAGTTTTGAATGAAAATAATCATTATCATCTTCAGTATAGTATAGTACACAGCACCGTGTGAAGTATTTTGACATACTCTTACCTGTAACCCTCAAAACAACCTTCAAGGTAGGAATTAGGCTCTTTTTCTGGAAAATGAAGCTAAACTGTGGAGTGATTTGGTAACTTGCCCAAGATCTCACAGCTCGTAAATGGAGGCGCCAGGACACACACACACACCTTTCTGGCTCGCAAACCTACGTTCTCTCTACTGCACGTGGAGACTAGACTTCCTCAGTCTCCATGTTTGAAGGCCCATCCAACCACCTTTCTACAGAGGCCAAGAACCCCTTTTCATTTCTCTAGATCAGATGTGAGAAATTTTCTTTTCACCCAGTGGCTATTTACTGCCTGTTTTGCATTAGCAAAACTCAATTTATTATATTTTGAAAGGAAATAGAAAATGTTTCACTCATCTAATTTCAAATAACAAGGTGAAACTCTACTCAGGAATTACATGAGATTAAAATTTATAGCTCAGTTATTGTCAATAAGAAAAAAGAAAGGGAAGAGGCATCTTTAAAACTTGCCAAAACTCTAGATGGCAAAAATCAGAATCAAGTACCAATGCTGTTTATCTTTAATGATCAAAACCAAAGACTTTTTCATTCTTAAGGTGGTTAAATATTATCAGAATTGATTATTAACAGTATTTACAACTAAGAAGTTTGAAAGGACATTTTAATTACTTTTGTATTTTTTATAAAATGCTCATTGTAAAAAAAAAAAAAAACAGAAAATGAAAAATTCAAGCAGTATAGTAGAAAAGGATCAGAATTCCCTCCAATTGCATCATTAGCATCTCTGAATATGCCCAACATGTATGGTGTTTACAGTAATGGAATCTCACCATTTATGCTGTTTATTATCCTGGAGATTGCACACGTGTCAGTGGACATAGAGCTTTTTTGAAATATTACTTCCCCATGATTTTAAAGGAAGGAAAACCTAAGCTTCCTTTGGGAAGTGCAGAGGGACCCGTTTTATGAAAATCTGCTCTCAGGGAGAAGTGGCTCCATCTTGTGGCCCTCTGGAGTTTGGTCATGAAAAACAGCCAAGGTCGTGTTGTGTTTTTTTTGCAACTCTCCTCGGAAATGGTGTCAACCCTGGGCTTGTCCAGTTAACTTGGTGGAAACCAGCAGGGACAAGGCAGTCCCCATCTGCCGGCAGAGCAGGAGCGAGGGTGCTATGGTCACAGGGGTTGCCCCCTTCTCCCCTGCTCTCTTGAGAAGCTTAGCTCTGCCCTCCCAGCTTCTAACACTGGGCTCCCCACAATTTCCTCTTTCATCTCGACTTCAACACTGTTAGAGAAGCTATTTTAGCAGCCAGGTTGCTCTGCCTCAGCCTTGTAGTCAGGGCTTTGGGGGTAGAAGACAGAGGCGCTAGGTGGAGTGTAATATCCCTTAAAAGGAATTTGAGAAAGATAGTCACATGTCCTCTTGCCTTACACGATCATATCCAAGGTTTGACCATACAAATTCCATTTGGAATGTTGGAAAAAAATCTGTTTGGAGATAAAATTGAATTTTCTTTTCTGTGTAGAGATGGTGAACACAGATGTGATTGGTAAGCAGTACAAATGTGGTCATTTTCTGTAAATAAGACCCTAATGGCTGGAGGTTTTCACTTTGTATGAACACCATAGGCGTATGTATTTTACATCTAAGGAAGCAATCTTTTGATTGGATGTTTTTTTCCTTTTTCTTTCTCTCCTATGCAGTACATAGTGGAATGTCATGGGATCACCCTTCTTCCCCAGTTCTTGGGCATGTACCGGCTTAATGTTGATGGAGTTGAAATATATGTGATAGTTACAAGAAATGTATTCAGCCACCGTTTGTCTGTGTATAGGAAATACGACTTAAAGGTGAGACTGATTTTATGAATTTTTGTAAAGTAACTCAAG
This sequence comes from Homo sapiens, assembly GCF_000001405.40. Taxonomy (NCBI): domain Eukaryota; kingdom Metazoa; phylum Chordata; class Mammalia; order Primates; family Hominidae; genus Homo; species Homo sapiens. The sequence goes on along the minus strand of NC_000010.11, from coordinate 22,573,271 downwards.
CTTACTCTTCTACATTGTAAATGTTGTCATTGATCATCAGAAATGCTTAGGAGCCGCTCAGCACTTAAAGCTACCAGACAAGTAGCAGTGTATTCCTTCCTGTGAGGCAATAAGTGCTTGCTGGCCTCACCAAAAAACACTGGCACATGTTAGAGATATCACATCTACTTAAATATTCAGCCAACTGCATACCAGGCACTGTTCTAGATGCTGGAAGTGATGGGATGAACAAACCAAACCTGCACTCGGGGAGCTGACATTCTGGTGGGTAAAGACAGGCAGTAAGTAAAAGTGATAAGTTAGTCATAGAGCATACCCAGAAGTGGTAAGTGCTATAGACAGAATTAAAGAGGGGGAGGGTTTTAAATAGTCCTGTCAGGGAAGGTTCCCCTGAGAAAGATGACATTGGAGCAGACTTGAAGGAGATGAGGAAATGAGCTGAGGAAGAATATTGCTGGCAGAGGGAACTGTAAGTACAGAGACCATTTCAAAGGCTTGGAGATAAAGGGGGGCCCCTGGAAATTCTGAGAGTGGAGTGACATAATCTGGCTTCTGGTATCACCAATTCAGGGGAGAATGTTCAAGTTAGGGGTTGGAAAACTATGACTTTCCTGAATTCCAAATCCTACTTGAGGGACTTTTTTTTCTTTTCTTTTCTTTTTTTTTTGAGAAAGAGTCTTCCTCTGTTGCTCAGTCTGGAGCGCAGTGGCTCAATCTTGGCTCATGGCAACCTCTGCCCCACTGGCTCAAGCAGTCCTCCCACGTAGCTGGGACCACAGGCACGCACCACCATGCTCAGCTAATTTTTTGTATTTTTTGGTGGAGACAGGATTTCACCATGTTGCCCAGGCTGATCTTGAACTCCTGAGCTCAAGCAATCCACCCACCTTGGCCTTCCAAAGTGCTGGGATTATAGGCATGAACCACCGCGGCTGGCTGGGCCAATTTTATAAATACATTTTTATTGGAATACCACGATGCCCCTTGTTTCTGTATTGTCTGTTACTGCTTTTGCACTGTAATGGCAGAGTTTGGTAGTTACCGCAGAGACCATTTGGGACCACAAAGCCTAAAACGTTTACCCACTGACTGTTTGCAGAAAAGTTTGCCAAACTCTGGTCTCTGACATTTGGTTCTCAAGTTTTTTGGTCTCAACGCTTTCACGCTCTTACAAGAGGACACTCGAAAGCTTTTGCAGATGTGAGTTGTGTCTGTGGATATTTACAGTATTAAAAATTAATATAAGAAATATTAGAATATGTAGTTTCTTTAAAAATGAGAAAAACATTACATGTTAACATTTTTATGAAAAATAACTATTTTCCAAAAGCAAAAACATGAATGAGACAAGTAGCATTGTTTTACATTTTTGCAAATCTCCGTAATGTCTTGACTTAATGTGAGATAGTTGGAATGTCCTGTCTGATTCCGCTGTCAGTCTGTGTGGTGTTATGCCGCTGAAGTATGTGAAGAAAATCTGAACTCACACAATAATGAAGTTTGGAAAGTTGTTAAAGCATGTTTTAACAACTTTTTTGGATAATTGTAGATATTCTTCTTTGATACTACACCAAAGCTTGACAAGAGGTAATTTCTCAAAGCTTAGTTACATTATGAAATCTGAAATCATATCAATGAACTTTTTGTACTCTTCATCGAAATCCATTGATTGGTTTGCATGCATTGTTTGAATGTGTGATTTTGCCAAGGCATGCACTTGCCATTTGGAACACATTGGTTCACTGAGTTATTTGACTCTTCCAAATATTGACACATTTCATTATACAGTATCAAAAAGTCATAACAGTGTTACCACCAATGTCATCAGAAAAGTCTTTTACATATTGGGAAGCGGTCAGGCCCAGGATGGTGGATATAAGTTTTTTAAAAATCAGTTTTTTACTTGGAATCTCAAATTTTATCACTGGCCACAAGCCCTGTCAGTTGTTTTCTGTGAAATGACCACATGTAGCAAGCACCCCAGCATACAGGGGAGCCTAGCAGCTTCATTCATTTTGTAGCAAACATCAGTCACATGCCCAGATCTAAATAAACATAGACTGTCAGTTGTTCTTTCAAGTAAAAGTGTTGTTTCATGAAAAAGATGGCCAGTTCAACTCATAACTCAAACCGTCACGAAAACAGTTCTTAAGAAATCATTCCTTCTTTATAAACAGAAGTGCTTTATGTATATTTCCTGCACAGAATATTGAAAAGACGTGTACTCCTGGGTCTAGATTTGATACATTTAATGTTATGCTTTCATGTGTTTACTAGATGCCTACTTGTATGACACACCATCTTAGCCAGAAGTTCAGCAACTCGTACACAGCTCACAAGTCACAAAAACCAGGATGTGTGGCTTCAGAGGTTTCTGAAATGACGCTGGGTTTCTTAGATGGTGCTGGTTTTTTTCATTGTTTTTTTTTTTTAAATCACAAACACTACTAATACCCACTGTTGCCACTGTTTGACTTATGCTAAACTGCTAGCAGTTCTTCCCACCATTGTTTTTGCATTATTTATACAAATATCAAGACGCTGAAAAAGGCAAATAATTTCTCAGTATTATTATAAAAATAGTTTTGGCTTTGTATAGTTTTGGTCTTGGGACCCCAGGGTTCTGAACCATGCTTAGAGAAATGCTAGTCTAAGTGAAGGAAATGGTCTGGGCTTGTCTCCTAACCTCTGAAGTCCCCACACACTGGATCCACTTCCCAAATACACCCTTGTCCTGTCCTGTCTTAAAGTCTTCGCCCAAGCAAGCCATTTTGTGCCCCTGGAATTGCCCCTGGGGAAATCCCAGCCATCCTCCAGGGCCCTTGCCAGCACCAGCTCTTTTCGTGAAGCCTTGGCGGTACTGCTCAGAGCACACAGGACTCTGTCTGACTTCCCCAGGGAAGAAAGCCAGAGTGACCTCTAAAGTCACATGTTGTTCTTTTATGACTTGTTAACCTTGTGTAAGTTGCTGAACCTCTATGACCCTCCGTCTCTTCATCTGTTAAAATAGGGATAATTTTACCTACATTTGCAGGGATGTTTTGAGAATTAAATAAGATACATATGTATTGTGTCCAGCGTGAGGCATGGCATATGGGAGTTAATGAATCTTGGTTGCCTCATTCATTCTCCTGATGTGTAAGTGCCTCAAGGGCAAGTATGTTCTTCTACTTAACTTTTTTTTTTTTAATCCCCCTGCAATGCCTAAGATAGCGCCTCGGACAAGTAGGCATCTGGTAAACATATCTTGGAGTAAATTATACTTAGAGATTGGATATTCTAGTTTTAATTTGCCTTGCTTTTTTCACAGTTTCATCTCCCTTTCTGGCTTGTGGCATAGATAAACTCTGTTCTTGCCAGTGCTCTCAGTTGTGATGGAACCTGTACATCTGGCATTGTTTCATGGCTTAAACTCTTGGCCTTCCTTTTCTATTTTTTTTAATAATTTTTTATTGTGAATTAATTTAAACTTGGATGAGTTTTGTGTTTTGTTGTTCCCAAGCTAATGATCAGCATTTGCATACAGATGAAGCTTCCCTGAGAATCAGAAGCAGGGTGGATTATATTGTAGGAGAGGAAACACACACACAGACACAGACAGACACACACACACACAGACACACACACCCCAAGAACTTGGTTAAGAATTCAAAGTAGAATAGTTTCTTCCTGTTCCCAGCATCATAGGCAGTGCTCAAGTATTACAAATGTCCCATTTTTAAAAAGTATTTGGGAACATTCGTTGTGAAAAATCAGTGTGTAAAGGAAGGTACTTCTGGTCCATATTCAGGAATCCCTAAAGGAAGGAAAGTAGACCATGGCAAGTAACAGTTGCTGGGCATGGCTGTGCAGAGGGGCTCGGACTGTGGTCGTAGAATGGGTTCTCAGGTTTGCCTTCATGAATGGTTCACATTATCTGTCTCCATCTGATGGGTCAGCTTTGGGCTGCTCTGAATCGCCCTGAGAAACATTGAACATTTTCCCTGGGCCAGCAGCAGCGTCCCTCGGATCTTCCAGTCCTGGGGGCACTGAGCACCAGGGGGATGGAAGATCGGCCCTGGGGAGACCCCCCCAGCCTGGTCTTGGCTCCCTTCCCCAATGTGAGGAGTCTCTTCCGTTCAAGTTTCCGCATCTGTGAATTGCAGGAAGCTCAATCCTAGTCAATGCCTGAGCTGCTCGATGAAAGCCAGTAATCAAAAATTTTGATTTCTTTGCAGATGGCCAATCTAAAAGCCACTTTCACTTTTCCCAAGCCAACTGTAAGTTCATTTAATGAATGGCTAACTCAAGTAACCCAGGGCAATAGATGTCTTTTCATCAGGTGGTAAAGAAGCAAGTGGCTTGGCTGACCTCACGATAGTTAGGGGTGTCCAGTGCAGGAGGGGAAGGGAGCCCAGGAAATTGGCCTGTGATTCTTCTCCAGCCATTTATGCAGTAAACACAGGACATCTGCTGTGTATGAGACACCGTGATTGTCATCCATACTTAGGAATTCACCAGACCATTTGTTTCCCAGCTTTTCTTTTGAATTAAAATCTTCCACAAGCCACGGGAAGTTTCTCTGCTTGGACTCTACCCCTAAAGCCTCCCCGTCGGCCTCCGAGGTAGACTCAGGTCATGCTAGACAACCCAGAGCTCTAAGGCAGAGTTTTGAACACCACTGCAGTAAGAGCACAAACTGCTGAGATCAAGGGCCATGTTTTCCTCCACTTTGTACCTCTGCACTCAGCATAGGGCCTGGCACAAAAGAGGTACAAATAACTGTGTGTCTTTGAAGGAATCTCCAAAGTAAATGGGGTCAGAGAGTGGCTGTGGGGGACTGATGTATAGCAAGCAAGGAAAGAGTGTTCATCAGTAACTCTTAAGACGGGAGAAAACAATGAGCATTGCAGAAAAAAGTCAGCAGGTGAGGATGTGCCCACAGAAGGACGTAATGTGGGGAAAGAGGCACTTAACGCTCCTGTGGTCCCACTGCAGCCAGCTAGTGGGACTCTTTAAGATAACAGGACTGACTATTTCTGGCAGTTGATACAAGGAGTAAAGTGTGGGGCTGATCCAGTGTTGAGTAAGTTACTGCTCAAGTAAGTGATGGTCAGGTTTTCTAACTTCCAGCAGGTGGACAAGAACCACAGAAACACAGGTGAGCAAGACAGAGTCAGGGCTAGAGAAGCGGCCAGTGGCCAGGAATACCTGCAGAGAGGGGACACAGGCCGGACAGAGAGCCATGGTCAGGGAGGGATGAGAAGCCCATTCCGCATGGGCTGCGAAGCAGAGTGGGTGCTGAGCTGGCTCTCTGCTCCGCCTGGAGCCATTTTCATATTTTCTGCGTGTGAAACCCAATGCCTCCCATGCGCATGTTTTTATTATTGCCTTGTGTTTCAGGGCTCTACAGTGGCTAGAGAAGCTAGTGACAAAGAAAAGGTAAGTACCTTGCTGTATGTCTCCCCATGTCCTGGGGGCATGATCACATACTCCCAATCACCTTTACTCTTTATTTCTAGTCTCCCACCCCTGCTATTGTGGTTCTTCCTGTTCCCCATTCTGCTGCCACCAGCGAGAAACACTGTATTGACCCGATGAGAGTTCTACTTCATTTCTCTTCATCAAATTGTTGAATAGTGAAACAGTTATTTGTTGCAAGCATGGTTGGAAGGAACATTCCACATGCAACTTGCTCTTGAAAAACACAGCCACCTGTGCAGTAAACCTATAATCGAAAATGGCACTGACAGCTGAGAGTGCGTTCCTGCGGGTCAGGGAACCAGGACCTAACACTGCTTCACCGATATCAAACCGAATGTGACCCTGAATACATTTCTTTGCATCGCTGAGTCTGCTTTCTCACCTGTAGTATGTTGGCTTGGATGAGCCTCAAACTCCTTTCCAACTATTAAGACATGATACAAGTATTTTTTGCCTAAGAAATTAAGGATAAGAAGACTGCATCTCTTTTTCTCTTTTCCTGGCTTATTGGACCTTAGGTAGTATTTGAGCCACATTTAGTTTACTGTGCAAGATTATAGAGAGAGTCAACTTGAAGGATTGGTTTGAATAGGAATTTAGGAAGTAGCTTCCTGGATGTAAACCTAAACTAACTCAAGTCAACACATGCTTATATAAAGGGTACATCTATACTCTTAGTTATGCCTTCTTGTCACCTTGGGAAGTGCCTTTTTCTTAACTATTCCATTTGAAAACAGAGCTCAAAATTGTTGTTTGAAAGTTGTTCTTTTAGACTGATAGCAGTTTTGAGTTGAATTTTATAGATTTGCAAATCTACTTTTGTTTGTTCATTCAGAGGTGTTTGTGAATATTTTTGTGGCTACTATCCTAGCTTCAGGGGCTAAAATAACAAGACACACAGAAAGATCTAGCAGGGGATGCAGACCTCAAATAGAAAATTATGTTATCATGGGGTGAACACTTGGACAGGACACTCAGGGAGCTCTAGAGCACATAGCAAGGGCGCCTGGCTCAGGCTGGGCAGGGTCAAGGAAGGGCTTCCTGGAGGAGGTGATGTCCAGAAACCTGAAGGATCAATAGGAGTTAGTCAGAGGAAGAGCGGCAGGTGCAAGGGCATGAGAGTCAGAGTGGGGAGTATTTGGTGCATTTGCTGCAGGGAGAGAGGAAGCCACAGAGGGAAGGAAGCCAGTCCTGTCAGAGAGGCTGATGAAGTAGCCCGGAGAAGATGCTGGCCGGAGCTGGGATGTGGTAGAAGTGGATGAATTACAGAGAGATTTGGGAAGACAAATCTACAGAACTGAGGGATTGAGTGCCAGAGGTGCCAGGGAGTGTGCGTAGAGGGAAGGGGGTTAAGGATGACCCCCAAGTTTCTGGTTTAGGCAGTTGGGTAGGTAGGTGTTCATTCCACTCCCTGAAATAGCAAACAAGAGCAGGAGGAGGAGTTTGAAATGTCAGTTATCGGGGAACCTGCCCCGATATTCACATAGGTTCTTTTCTGTTTTTCCTAAGCATCAGCCGGCTTGAGAAATAAAGGGACAGAGTACAAAAGAGAGAAATTTTAAAGCTGGGCGTCCAGGGGAGACATCACACGTTGGTAGGATCTGTGATGGCCCCACAAGCCACAAAAAACAGCAAGTTTTTATTAGGGATTTTCAAAAGGGGAGGGAGTGTGTGAATAGGTGTGAGTAACAGACATCAAGTACTTAACTGGTTAATAGAATATCACAAGGCAAGTGGAGGCAGGTCGAGACCACAGGACTGAGGCGAAATTAAAATTGCTAATGAAGTTTCGGGCACCACTGTCATTGATAACATCTTATCAGGAGACAGGGTTTTGAGATCAACCGGTCTGACCAAAATTTATTAGGTGGGAATTTCCTCTTCCTAATAAGCCTGGGAGCGCTATGGGAGACTGAAGTCTATTTCATCTCCGCAGTTTCGACCATAAGAGACAGGCACACCTGGGGGGGCTGTTTATAAGCCTGTATCTCCAGGCGCGTATTCTCTTTCTCAGGGATGTTCCATGCTGAGAAAAAGAATTCAGCGATATTTCTCCCATTTGCTTTTGAAAGAAGAGAAATATGGCTCTGTTCCGCCCGGCTCACTGGTGGTCAGAGTTTAAGGTTATCTCTCTTATTCCCTGAACAATTGCTGTTATCCTGTTCTTTTTTCAGGGTGCCCAGATTTCGTATTTGTTCAAACACACATGCTGTACAATTTGTGCAGTTAACGCAATTATCCCATGGTCCTGAGGCAACATACATCTTCCTCAGCTGACAGGATTAAGAGATTAAAGTAAAGACAGGCATAGGAAAGCACAAGGGTATTGATTGGGGAAGTGATAAGTGTCCATGAAATCTTTACAATTTATGTTGAGAGATTGCAGTAAAGACAGGCATAAGAAATTACAAAAGTATTAATTTAGGGAACTAATAAATGTCCATAAAATCTTCACAATCCACGTTCTTCTGTCATGGCTTTAGCCGGTCCCTCCGTTTGGGGTCCCTGACTTCCCCCAACAGTCAGTGCGGCGTCAGAACAGAGATATCCAGTAGGCATGAGAGGCTGCACAGTGGCTCTCAGCTGAAAAAAGAGTGTGGGAATCCTCCCTGAAAGGATGGTTGGCAGAGACAGGAAAGTGGGTGAGGTCCCCCAGGAGGAGTGTGTGGAGAAGAGAAGCATGTCTAGAACAAGCCCAGCAGAACATCACCTTTTACAGGAGCCAGGAGACACTGGGTCACTCACTCAGATATTGATTGTCTGTGATGAGTACACACTCTGCCAAGCATTGTAAGAACTGCTTCGTGGAACTAGGCTGATACAGTCCCCATCCTCATGAAACTTTCACTCTAGTAATTTTCCATGAACCAGAGGAAATGAACTTCCCAGCGTCAGATGCTTTCGTGAGGCCAGGTAGGGTAAGAATGGAGAGTTGTCCAGGGACATATCCACAGGGAAATCGCTGGGGACCTGGTCGGTGAGGGCGAGTGGGGACCAAAGCCAGATTGCAGCAGGTAAGGAGGAGAGAAGAAAATGGTGGAGGCTTCTTTGGCCATTTGCCCTTTTACTGTACATCAGTGAATGTACATTTTGAGAATTCAACCTTCGCCTAAACCCCCTCTAAGGCACTGGCTTTGGCCAGAAGAGGCAGAAACAGTGACTGTCGACTTCCATGCTGCCATGAGTGAATGTTTCTTCCAGGTACTGAAGACTCAGCAGGTATTTCAGTTTTAGCCCATGAGAAGCTCAGAGGCTAAATTTTGTTGAGATTTTCTCCTCAGAGGAAATGCCAGGGTGTGTACAGAGTCACACATGCTCTTCAGCATCGTACGACAGGCCAGCCCCTGAGTCACATGATGCCCCATGTTGGTGGGTCTGTTTTTACTTTCTTCCAAAGTTCCTTGGGACTACCACTAGCAGGATTTTTTTCCTTCATTCATTTTGATTTCTTCAGGTTCAGTCAACAAGTGCTTGGTCCTGCTCTGACAGTAAACACTGCCAACAAGGACAGTTACAGCTAATGGCGTGGTTGCTGCTGAGGCCTAAATCATAAAACAAGGGCACACAGAGAGGAAAGCCACACGTATTTGACTTCCTGTATCTGTAACGGTTCCTGCAAAGCAGGACATTCACTTACCTATCTTCCGTTCCGCTGTTGCACCTATAGGACTTAACACACTTTCCAGAAACCCAGGGCATGAACCACAGTTCACTGCCCTCCTCACCAAAAAGTGTTTAGTCCCTTTATTGGTATAGCTTCCTATGAAAAGAGAATAATAGAATTTGTTTGACCGAGAACTCATCTTTCTAGGACTCTGCTAGGATGCTTTTATCCTGTATCTAATATGAACACGTAGCCATCATTCCTTCAAACATCTCCCTAGGGGGTAGGCTTAGAGGAAGTCACAACTGGCACTGGTTGAGTACAAACTATATGCCAGACCGTTTTAAATTGTACATGAATTATGTCATGTAATCCTTAACAGTCACCAGATGAGATTGGTGCTGTCGTTACTTACTTTGAGTGGATGAAGTTGCTTAACTGACAGGTTTAGTAACTTCATCCAGGGTCCTACAGTTAGGAAGTGACAGCGCCAGGGTTTGAGCCTGGGATCAGCAGCCCCAGAGCGCACATTTCTAACCACTATGCCACACTGCCTTGTAAATGTTTGTGAGTTCATGTCTCTCCTTTCCTTTAAGGGCATATTATCAAAAAGTCATGTTAATCCCATTGTGAAAATGAGGAAAAAGTTAACTACATTGACAAAAACATTGTTTCAGAGTTAAATATGGTGCTGAAACAGTTGATTCTAAAACTTGATTTTTTTTCTAAAGTAGTGAAATAAATTATTTGTTTCCATACTATGTTAGCAAAACAATTTGTATTTCCTCTATTTGAAGAGCTTGAGCATTTTCGCTCATACTTTCAGATGTACATATTTGTAAAACTTTTACGTTTAATGCAGTCTTTATCACGTGTCTTACACTGTGCAAACATTAGAATTGTCTGCACAGTTGCCCTGAGGAAGAATTCAGTGCCCTAGCCTTCTTTTTGTGGTTGAGGTTTCTAATAACTCTTATTCCAGAAGACAGAGGCTGCATAAAGCTACCCCACCCACCCTTCTATATTAAAAATGCTCACTTGGGAAGGGGAAAAGGAAATAGCTTGAAGATGTGGAATGTCAAAGTCATAGAAATTGGTAAATGATGGAGAGTGTGCCTGCCTTGACAGTAGGGTAGAGATCAAAATGTACCTTCATTCATGCACAGTAAAAGGGCAAATGGCCAAAGAAACATCCACCATTTCCTTTTCTCCTCCTCACTTCATCACCTGCTGCAATCTGGCTCCCACCCACCGTCACCGACCACGTCCCCAGCGATTTCCCTGGGGATACATCACCCAGACTAGAGAGAGAGGAGGCATTTGAAATGTCAGGGTGGCGTCAGAACAGAGATATCCAATAGGCATGAGAGGGTGCACAGGGTGTCTTAGCTGAAAACAAAGGGCTTGGGAATCCTCCCTGGAAGGACGGTCAGCAGAGACAGGGAAGTGGGTGAGGTCACCCAGGAGGAGCGTGTCGAGAAGAGAAGCACGTCTAGAACGAACCCAGGGGAAAGTCGTCATTCACGGCTCGGTAGAGATCATGCCATGCCTTCTCTCTCTGATACAGCAGTGTTTTGTAGACTCTAGAAACGTTTGTTAAACTGTAATAGATGAAATGAAATGTATTAATAGAGCCAAACTGTTTTGTTTTTTTTCGAGACGGAGTCTCGCTCTGTCACCCAGGCTGGAGTGCAGTGGTGCAATCTCAGCTCACTGCAAGCTCCGCCTCCTGGGTTCATGCCATTCTCCTGCCTCAGCCTCCCTAGTAGCTGGGACTACAAGCGCCTGTCACTACGCTTGGCTAATTTTTTTGTATTTTTAGTAGAGACGGAGTTTCACCGTGTTAGCCAGGATGGTCTCGATCCCCTGACCTCGTGATCCACCCGCCTCGGCCTCCCAAAGTGCTGGGATTACAGGCATTAGCCACCGCGCCCGGCCAAGCCGAACTCTTAAAAACATTGTTTGTTTGTTTTTTTAACTTTTAAAAAAAGTCTTTGCTTTCCCTTTTCTGCCATCCTTTGGGTTTTCTTTCCATGATCAGTTAGGATTTTTGACTCTTCCAAAAAGCCTACCATTCATTGTGTTCACAAATCATAAATACTCCTTTTTATGATCAGACATCGGGGGGGAAAATGCTATCAAAACAGTCTACTAAATGCTATCAAAACAATCTACTGGTACCTCTGGTTTGAAATATTTGGGGAAGGCTAAAAACACTTACTACATTTTAGCCTTTTATAAATGAAATGATTTGCAAGAATATTATATTCATTGCTATTATATATAACTATATTCCTTTCCAAATGATCGTTATGGTACAAAGAACAATCTTTCTAGAGGGCTGGGCATGGTGGCTCACGCCTGTAATCCCAGCACTTTAGGGAGGCTGAGGCTACAGGATAGCCTGAGCTCGGGAGTTCAAGACCACCCTGGGAAACATAGCGAGACCCCCAACTCTACAAACAATTCAAAAAATTAGCTGGGCATGGTGGTGCACACTTGTGGCCCCAGCTACATGGGAGGATTGCTTGAACTCAGGATGTCGATGCTGCAGTGAGCCGTGATCACACCACTGCATTCCAGCCTCAGTGACAGAACAAGACCCTGTCTCAGAAAAAAAAAAAAAAAAAAAAAAAAAACTGCGTAGAGAATCTCTGGTGACATAGTTTAATTAGTAATCTCAATTCTTATTCTTCCCAGGTTTTCTTTCATATGAGTCATTATAACTTCTAGTTTTCCATACTTTTAACTTGTTGATGACAAGTTTGAAACTGTCATTTCAAATATTTAGCGTTATAGGTGCAGACAAGTCCCATTTCTTAGATTGTAGCTTGACATGTAATTAGTGTGATTTGCATTAGCATAATCATGAAGATGGAACTGAAGGAAATAAGTTATATTCTAACAATGGAATCACTTTCATGGCAACAAGTCTCAGAACATGCATGTACAGATGTCTTGAGGTTTTTTTTAAGAGCAGAACAGTGCTTTAAAAAAAAATAACCATTGTCAAATTCTGACAGCTGCTATGACTTGTTTTATTCTTTAATTCTTTCCTTTTTAATGGAAGGGCATCTCCCATTCATGGCTCCAGCAGTTTCGCCTCCTCTAAATGAGACAGAGAAATGTGAACCTCCCTGGTGGTCGATCTTTTCACAGCTGCGCTGCAATTCCAGTGTGACATCAAATTAGTAATTATAGCTGAGCGGGCTGCTTTTTACAAATGACAGTCTTAGCATGCTGCCTGCTAGCGAGCGACTCAGCAGGGGACCTGGGGAAGTAAAAGAAAACATAACTGGACTCACTTGATTTCTGGGGGATTTGACCTGACTCTTTAAAAAGCCCATGTTCTTGAGAGAGAGAGTCCTGGGGATTTACACAAATATGCATTTTGTTCATCATCCTGCACAGTTCTTCTCAAAACTCATGTCTGATTTTATTAGGTAAAGTAAAGTATGTGTAATGGAGCCATAGGGTCACAATAAGAAGATCCCTTTTAACATACAGCCTTCTTCCTGAAACCCATTTGAAAGAAAACAGCTGCCCTGCAATTGGCATTTGTGTAACTGTATTGGCAATAATCATTGTTGACACTTTGATAATGGGCTACAAAAAGCCGCCTTGTCGATTCTCAGGCACTGTGAATTGCACCAGCAATTAAGTGACTGTCACCGTCTCCGACGTTTTACCTATTACCAACTGAGGGTTCGAGAGGATTAATCATTAATACCCTTACGTCTAAAAATGCTTTTCGAAACCAGTTTTCAGCATTTCTTTTGTGGTCTTTAAATTGTAACAAATTATAATTAATTACTACCCCTATCTGGTCATCTGGGCTGCCATTGAAGTGAGGTGGCCAGGGCGGCGGGCTCCCCAAACGTGACACAAAAGCACAGCAGCGTATCCTTCTGGAAATCTTTATTTGCCGCTCAGCTAAGAAGTGCCTCTTTTTCCACTGTGGGCGGATCATCGGTTAAAGGGGGGTTGTCAAGCTTTTTAGGCCCTCAATTCAGCTAATGCTTTAACCGCCTTCTGTAAAATTCCTTTTCTTCCGAGATAGAAGGGAATCATTTCCCTTTGCCAGCCAGTGTTAGTTAGGGACACCAATCCTACTACCCAAAGTGCAGGGGAAAGTTTCCCACTAGGGCAGAAGCAGGGCTTCTTTCTCAGACCTTAAAGGTGGCACCAGTAACATCTACCTTCTGGACCAGAGACATTTTATAAAAGGGAGATTTGGGTGAAGGACTCCAAACAGAGGGTTAGGGGATCTGAGTCCCAGCCCTGGGGGCACAGGGCTGCATTAATGGGGTTTGAGTATAGGTCATCTGACTTTGTCCTCGTTTGTAAAATTAAAGGATTTGCTTGCGTCATTGCTCCTCATGCTGTAGTGTTGGTGAGAATCTCTTGTTTCAAATGAAGCTTTCCTGGACCTTCCTCCAGAGATGTGGTTCAGCAGTCGGCCCCACTTGGAGAAGTCCTGGCCTGACCATCACTAAAATCTTCTCTATTCCAGATATAGATTAAGGTGATTGCTATGATTGATGGGGAAAAAAATGTTCTGTTCAGCAAATATAGATAAGAACCCCATAAACCATGAGGGGTATTCTGGAAATGAAGTTTTAAAGCTTCATTTAGAATATCTCGTAACTGGTAAGCATGGCACGTGACAAAAAGAGAGGATCACATGCAGTGACTCTTGTGAGCACTTTCCAGATTTTCACTCAGATGACAGCATTAAAATCCTCAAGGCTTTATGACTTATGGCTTATGGTGCTTCATCAGCTCTCATTTGCCTCAGATTAATTTTTATCTCACTGGAATGAAATCAACTCAGAGTATCCCAAGCACACGTGGAGCACTGCTGTTAGGTATGGGAATGTTTTCACGCTAACAACTCGTAGTTGGTTCTAGAAAAAGTTGGGGTGGAGAGAAGACTTCCAAAATTCAGTATGTGGTCTGAATTTAAACCAAGCTGCTACAGATGTGTAATTCTTAATTAAATAATGATCTTTAACATGGTAGTATTAAACCAGAGATCTAGAGGAGTTAGCAAACTCCTTGAGTGTTCAGCCTTTGACATTTCTTAGATTATCACCATAGATATCTGCGCACCAGAATCTTCTGTTACGACTGGAACGAAGCCATCCCGTAGGTCCTATTTTGTAGGTCTTGTATGCAGTTCAGCTGTCATATCCCAGTTTGTGGAGGAAGACCAAACCGTCACCTTTGACATTACCACATAGAGTTGTCATAAAATATGACAGTATTAAAAAAGGAATAAATTTTACTTTTTACGTATTAGCTTGAGGGAAAATTGCCAACAGCTAGGTCTTGCCAGCCCTAACAGTTATAACTTAACGCTTCTCCAGTTTTGCGCGGCTTACTTACAGCACTGTTTCACAAGTATGTTGAGGTATATTCTCTTTCCACATTCATACATAAACAGATTCAAAATAAAAATTATAAGATGTTCACATCTGGATGCTAGTCACAGATGTGCACATTCTCACTGTTTTCACTGTGAAAATTAGAAGTTATTAATGACCTCTTAGATCATTTCTCAAACCATGAACTTGTATAGACATTCTGCTTATGTAGTTAAAGGAGGTTGGCATATGTACTATTTGTGCAAAACCACCCTTTTTCTTTGCTACTTCTGTATGAACTTTATCCGTATCCACTAATTTGCCTTTTGATGTATCAAATTTGTGGCTTAGATGTTCCAAGAAGCAGAACTGATTTTATTATAAATCTCCAGCATCTCTTATTACCCCAGAATTGATACCAAATATGTTACTCCATCAAATTATTTTTATCCTAGCTCCAACATAAGGATTACCTAAAATTCCTTCCCTTATAGAAATACTTGTGAATTATGTTTTCAGTTCCATAGATGCTGATTTTTATGAAGATTTTTGCAAGCACGGCAAAAGGGGTTTTATTCTTTTTTGCAAGTTTATTTTCATTTGGGTGAGCTTGGAATTACAAGTAAATCAGGAACACAAGCAGTTCTAACATAAAACAATAATTACTACGTATTTTTTATGTGGAGCATTCAGCTCTGAGTGTCACAGTGACAGCGTATCAAAAGGACACCCGGCAGCAGTCTTTGACATTGAGGCTTACAATTAGACTTAAAAAATAATAAATAGGTTGCCAAATGAGCATATCAAACAAAAAATTCATTCCGAAATACAAGTCCTTTAATCACAGAGTACTATGATATGTATTATCCTTTGCATTAAAACCTAGTGCCAAAATCCTGTTTGCATTAGACACTCAAGTGTGACTGGGTGCATTTCTTCTTCCCAGTAAAGTTTCCATCCAGACTAAAATAAAAACTTGGCTCTATATTATAAAGATTTTGGCTCTGTGCATTTTAGGTTCATGTATTTTCTATTTCCAGTTATTAATGGCCATTTACCCATACTGTTGGCTCTTGTTGTATAATTAAAGTTTAGAATGATCATTAAAAATCCAATGATATTTTAGTTTGAATTCTGTTTAATGTTTCAAACTATAGTTTGAAATTTGTGATTTTTAAAAATTTTGTGTCATCTGAAAGATAGTTTTTTAAAATCTCACTAAAATAAAATGTTCATATAACTTCTGGCTTTACTAAACCTTAGAATATCCAATATTGCTCAACTCCATATGAATGACAGCAGTTATGCATCAAATTACAGAACCTCATGAAATAAGCACATATGTACACATACACGTGAGTTAATTCCCACTTCAAACAAACAAAGCATTTAACTCTTTTGGTAAACACATTGTTTTGGTTTTGGTTTTAGAGATTCTGCAAAAGTTCTTAGTCATTTGGAATTTTTAAGCATAAAAGTACTAAATAATATTAAGCAGGAATTTTTTAGGTGTTGCTTTTTAGCTCCTTTTTATCAGTTCTGGGAAGCAAACAGTGCTGCATCTCCTTTGCTCTCATAGAATTCTGTAATTTTTATACCACAGGTCTCTGCTAAAAGGCGGCATGTGTTTAGAAATTCTAAAAATGAGGGCTCTGAACTTTGTAACTGTCCTGATACGTTTTCCCTTTTTTAATCCCAACCCCCTGGCCAAATCTGTCCTTAGAGATCATTGATACCTTGTATTGAACCCTAGGGCGTAAGTAATTCCGTTGAGAGGCTTTTATACACTGAAAGCCTTACGCGTGTGTTGGTTATCTTCAGGCTCTGACTCAGCTGAGTGTGCATCTCACTTCGCACATTCATGTTGTGTCTTAATGACACACAAACTATTTTTGACCATGACCTGTATTGTCACACAGTGTGTTTCTTACTGTTGACTTACAGTAGACTTGCTGAGGCCTGTGATGCTGTGCTTTAAAAGCCAAAAACTTTGCAAAATGAGGGAGAAATGTCTATAATAAATGTATTATATATACACAAATGTTTATAATAAATTTTCTTTTTACAACTCATAGCAAGTTAAATGTTCCCAGTGGGTTCACTGCTCCCTAGGAGTGAGTTCACCATTCCCTAGTATTTTGGTTATATTTTCTGGCTACTAAGATTTCAGCTTCTGTGGATTTTTGCTTTAGGTCAGCAAAACAGCATTCACTAAATTATCCACTATTATAATGTGCTGAGAAAAAACTAACCCATGGAAAATTAAGGTAAGACAGAAGTCAGCAAATTTCTGTCTTTGGCCAGATACGTAAAATCATTACATTTTATTCCATATATTGAATAAAGATCATAAATTTCAAATTCTTTATTACTTCAGGAATTTAACCAGTCCAATTTTTATGATAAGATAGGGACATTTTACTCTCATTTGGGTTTCAGTTTAAACAAAAGGTCTTTTCAGTGAGGTTTCCTACTAGGAATAGCTTTTGCAGGTGATCACAGAGGTTTTTCTAGCTGGTAGCATTCACAATTGAGGTTTGCAAAGCAGTGTAGGGAACTAGAGCCGCCACGACAGGGAGGTTGGCGCCTCGGGCCATGTCACCTTCGATGCATCCTGTCTCATGTGCCCTCTGTGTTCCCCGTGGGTCCTGTGTAGTGAAATGAAATACTAACTTTGCCCTCATGTATGGTAGGTTTGTGTGCAGTGTGCAGTGACAAAAGTGTCTTCCAAATTTGAAGACAGTATGTAGAGAATTCATGTGACATGTTTGTAACTAGCAGATAAAACCTAAAAACAAAGGAAATTTTAAACATCGTTTAAATAAAGCTTGTCGCTCACGGGCTGCATGGGGCCCAGGACGGCTTTGAATGTGGCCCAGTACAAATCCGTAAACTTTCTTAAAACATGATGAGATTTTCTTGTGATTTTTTTTTTTTTTTTAAGCTCATCAGCTCTCATTAGTGTTCACTGATTCTATGTGTGGCCCAAGACAATTCTTCTTCCAGTGTGGCCCAGGGAAGCTAAAAGATTGGACCCCCAGGTTTAGATTACCGACATCATAAATTGTTTTTTTTTTTTAATTATCCAGGTATCAACTAGAAGGTATCCTAAGTTTAAAGACCCTATTTTAGAAGAAATAGACATAGCAAGTTACTATTGCCAGGCACTATGTGCTTTGTGTCATTTGATTTACACACTAACCCTATTACATAGGTACAGTATTATTAATTACCCATTATATAAGTAAGGAAACTGAGGTTTGGGCAGACTAAGCAACTGGCCCAGAACATCACAGCTAGTGTTAAAATGTTAAATATGTCAGTATATTTTTTAAAAGAAAAATCTTGCTCTGGATTGATCAGCGATGCGCTTTTCCTAGATCCATAAGCCATACTTGAGAACATGATTAGCATATAACGACGTTTGTATATAACACACTGTGTGGCAGGCACCATTTTAGGCCTTTTTACATGTGTGAACTCATGCAACCCTCACAACCCTATGTTTGCAAATCCCCCTTTAAAGATGGGAAACCAAGTCACAGAGAGGTAACTTAACTTGCCAGAGTCACATAGCTAATAATTGGAGTTGCGGAGCTACAACCCAGGCAGCCTGGATCTAGTGTGTTCACATAACCATGGGCTTCAGTTTGTCTCCTACGTGGAAAGCTGAGCCATGCCTAGTCGACCTGGGGTCGGGCATCACTCCGTATGACAGTGAAGGGCTCATTTTATCCGAACGGGAAGCAGGACAGCCAGGCTGCGGGGGGAACGGCGTCCCTCTGCTGATGCCTGTGGCTGTGTTTGTGCATTTACACGTCACATTAGCGGAGATGAATGCCACTTGGAATCCAACCCACCGCAGCAGATTACCTCATGCAAGAGAGAAAACAGCCCTGCCTGTGCTAGCCTGGCTCTGCGTTGGGCTGTATTTACTCACGGGGCCTCAGCTGGCCAGGGCCTTGGAGCAGCTCTGGGGCCCCCGACCCGGGCAGGAATCCCAGCTCAGGACTAGACGCACAGAGGAGGACGGGGTGGGGAAGAGCAGTTCCCTCCCATACCCTCGTCCCCTCCCAGCAAGTACAGAGGGTCGTACAGCAATCGTCCCGCCTTACTTAGAGGCTCTGATCTGCACAAAACTGGCCAGAGCTGAATTCAGCGCAAATAAAGACTCGGCCCGCCGCCACTTCAGAAAGGTTGCTGACCGCTGGCTGGAAGCCGGCCTCGGAGAGTCCACAGCTGAGAAGCATTTCTGAGCTGTCTTTAGTTAGCCCTGGGGGTTTCTTCCACCCTCTGGCTGTTTCTGCACTGAACTAGAAAAGATATCAAAGACACTCATTAAAGAACCAGACCCAGTGACTACAAGCTTGGAAAACTCTAAGCGCAAATAATCCAGTGTTTAAAAGCAAAGTGTAGAATCTGTTGCTACATTAAGCTGTCGCTGCCCACAGTTAATTTTCTGCTGCTCTGCAGACGTCATCTTTGTAGGCAGTTTTACACCAAGAGTTTATTAAGTTCATTAAATCATAGTATAGTTTTCCACATTTAAAAAAAAGATGTTTCTAATATAAGCACTGCTCATTATCAGAGAGATATATTGAAATTTCTTTTAAAAAGCTAAGTAGTAAGATTTTCTTGAGAGTGAATCATTGTCAGGTGACTTAACCTTTGTCATCTCGTTTTTTTCTTTTTGTTTTTGAGGTAGGGTCTTACTATGTCACCCAGGCTGGAGTGCAGTGGCGCGATCATGGCTCTCTGCAACTTTGACCTCCCGGGCTCAAGCGATCCTCCTACCTCAGCCTCCCAAATAGCTGGGATGAGAGGCACACACCACCACGGTTATCTCATATGTTTTATTACTTTTTTGTAGAGATGGAGTCTCACTATGTTAGCCAGACTGGTCTCGAACTTCTGGGCTCCAGTGAACCTCCTGTCTCAGAGTCCCAAAGTGCTGAGATTGCAGGTGTGAGCCGCCACGCCCAGCCTATCTTGTTCTTAATTTAAAAAGAACAGTTAAGTTTTTGTAAAAAAAAAAAAAAAAAAAAAAAAGTTTTTCAACCTGTAATACCCATTTCAAGTCTGTGCGCTTTATTAAATGCTCACAGTGATGATGATGACGATGGGGGTGGTGATGGGGATTATAAGCACCACTATTTGAATCTGTCACATGGTTTCTGATTGAGTTCCCAGCACAACTCTACCTTAGCAGAATGATTAAGGTTCCCATCTCAGCTCATCACTCACCAAACTCTGAGACCTTAGTTAAATTGCATGATCTCAGTTTCCTTGAATGTAAAACGTGAATAATAGTTAAGGTTGTTGCAAAGACTGAAGATAGATGATAGATGTGAATAAAATGACGCACACAAAGTGCTAAGCAGGTTACCTAAGGCTGCTGCGTGTTTTCCCCTTTCTGCATCTATGGAAACAGGCTGGAGAGGTCCAGGAACCTGGCCCCTGGTCCCTGGCAAGCAAGGGGTGGAACCAGGATTGCAACCTCAGGATTCATGACCCCAAAACCTTCGTGCCCCTGAGCACTCTGTCTTGCAGCAAGCATTTGGGAGGTTGATATCTGTAGGCCAGTGTTAGATTCCATGCTGGCAGCTGCCCTGCCAGGATCCGCCTTCGCCTCTTGATCCTTTCAGTAAGCCCTTAAGTCTTTTAGCCAATCTGGGTGCCCTTTTTTGAGCTTGATCCAATCTAAATACGACCCTAGTGCCTGTGAAATTCACAAGTCAGCTTAGTCATAGAGTACATGGTGTCCAGAGTTTTATGAGGTAGGATTATACTTTCCCTGTCACATGAGGTAATTCTGCTGGGGTGAACCTGAAGTGGCATTCATCTTCATTAATGTGACTTGTGTTACAAACACACATCCAGCATGTAATTTACTGCCTTGTCGGGGGTCTGTCATCTCTGCCTTCAGGTTTCTCACATTTATACAAAACCAGAAAAAAACACCCTCTACCCTTCTTTTCTTACACTTATAAAATGGGTTGTGGAATTGAGGCAGATATCCTTAACACCCCCACCCACACGCCTCCCATCGCCAACACATAATGACACAGAAATGCCCAAGGTGTCTGCTGGGAAAATTACGATCCTTCTCCATCTCTCCTGTTTTTGTGTGTAGGTCTGGCTTCAACCCTTTTTTCTAACGTGCTTCCAATTTTCTGTTTTGGGCAGTGCTTATGTTCTCACTGCCCTCTGAGTTTTGTTAAACTTCAGAACCTTGCATTTCATTCTTGGTGAAACTTCATTATGTTTACAGTTCTAATAGGAGAGAAACCTTATAATCTAGTGTGATGAACTCAAACATTTTAATATTGTGCTGTCTTCACATTTCAAGGTTTGTGGGAATGGGGGGTGCACGTATTGCATTATTTTAAAATTATTAATGACAGATTTAGGGGGTAAGTCTAGCAGGCGCATCCTGACATTTTGTGAAGAATGGCGTTGCATTCTCATTTCTTAAAGACTCAATAACTCAGCATAAAAGTGTTTGGAATTAGATCAGTCTTTCCTAGAATCTTAGTATTTATCTTTACATCTTACATACACATCCCATCCTGCTTTATTTTCTACCTACGTGCTTTCATATCATTCTCCCGTACGAGATTACAAACTCCTTTACAGCAGAAATTGTGACCTATTCATATTTGCATCTCTCTACTTGACTCACTCAGTAACTGCTGATTGAATTGAATCTTGACATTTCTGGGCCTTGCTGTACCTGCTTTGTAAGGATTAATTCTGTTTGGCTTATAAAGATTGTGGTTATATCTAATTCAAAGTTGCAAAACTGTTTAAATTTTCTCAAAGTTAGTAGCCAAAGCGACTAATTTAGAAATGCATAATTTATGTACATATGTGTTGCTGTAAATAGATGTGACTGTTTACATGCATGTCTATACTTTATAAATAGGAGGGGAAGTGAACAGTTCGAGCATGTGAAAGATGCAGGCGATGGACCCAGGGAGTGTTCTTTCATTGCTCTGAATAAGGAGGGAGGAGGAACAGTGCCGGAGCCAGGAAGGACAGCAGCTTGTTTCCTTGGATTATTTTGTTTACATTTGGTTCACACCTACAGAAAAGAGGACCATTCCAGGTTCATCAACATACAGGCAAAGGCAGTGCATGACATTGGATTTCTTTCTGCTGAAATAAACAAGCTATGGTTAGCCGAAAGGGGTGGGAGATTATTTTGAGCTCGTACTGAATGCAGGTTGCACAAAGTTAAATAGAATAATCCACACTGTTTTAAAACTATATGCCTATATTATCCTGTTTGCTGCAATACAAGCTACAGTGTTTTCTGCTCATGATCCATGTTTTGATAGTTGCTCATTGCTTTGTGTTGGTTGCCATAAGTGCAGTTTACTTATTAGCTCACCCTCTCGTTCATTTGTAAAAGGTAGAACTCTGATCTTAATACGTTTATGTTAAGAGAAGACCCTTTTTCTTTGATATTGTCCAAATGAGAAGAGAATTTCCTTCTTGGAGTGGTGAACAGGAAGGCTTGGAAGGGCAGATGGCTAACCTCGTGCTGCATGTCTCCCTGGTGCAGAAAGTAGATATGATTATGGATAGAGCTGTTCTGAGACAAGATAACATGTTATTTGCAATGTGAGCCCAGCAACGGCTCCCCAAAAGTGGGAGGAGGGATGGAGTTGGGTTGTAAGAAAATTGAGGGTTCCTGGGAAAGTATTCCAAGAATACAAATTTTATACTTAGAAGACTTCTTGTAAGAAAGTGAGTCTAAGAAAGCAGTCAGGTTCATTCCTCTGAAAAACATGAAATGTGTTACAAAAAGCCTTATGATATGGAGTCTGTCTGACCCCCACCCCACTGCTCTTGCGAATGCTTCCAGAGATTGGGGCTCACTGGCGCCCCCCGGTGGTATTCAAGCCTTCTCCTATTTTATTGTTTGGGTAAGACCCCTGTGGTGGTGAACGGGGTGGGGGCGGTGAAAGGGGCAAACTTCAGTGTCCAGGGTTGGAAGGTGTATGTGGTTTTTTTAGGTTTTCTTCAAGCGCCTTTGTCATTGTTTTTCTCATTTGTTTTAGGCCAAAGAACTGCCAACTCTGAAAGATAATGATTTCATTAATGAGGGCCAAAAGATTTATATTGATGACAACAACAAGAAGGTCTTCCTGGAAAAACTAAAAAAGGATGTTGAGGTAAGAACAGTCAGTGGAGAGGCCAGACTCATTGTATAAATATCAGCCCTGTTGGGTTTTAGGAGCTTTTTAAACCATCTATTTAAATCTTCAATCAAGGCAAAAACCTGCATACTCTACCTTAGGGAAGTCAGACATGAAGGTGTCTCATGTTACATGATCTGGTTTAAAGCAAACGCATGCCAGTTTAGCAGCCCTCTCATTTAGGCACCAAACACAAGAAAGCACCTGCTGTCATCCGCTGGGAATCCCCGGTCCCAGGCCCCTGTATTCTGTATTGGGATGGCCCATGAAGACTGACCTGCCCACACCAGCCAGTTTGGGAGGGGCCAGGGGAGTACTGGACTCTGTGTCAACCAGCAGAGCATCTCAAAAACAAATATTCAGTCACTATTACAGTCTTGGCACTTTTCCCTCTAAAGCACAAGTCAGTGCTGGTTAACATAGCCTGGGTCACTTAATGCTTTCCTATCTCCACCAGTCACCACAAACCATGTCATGAGGCCCAGTGAGGCCCCCTTACACATTGTGGGACTAGCACAGGGGCAGCTTGGGATACTAGGTCATAGGGGACAGTGGAGAGACATAGAACAGTGTCCAAGGGGCTTTCGTCCATAATGATGGAGTTTTGCTTTTAAACACTGTTCTAAACATTTAAAATGTACCTTTTCCTGTCATTTAGTTTATGATAAAGGCATTGCAGCTTTTCCATTGGATTTGCTCATTATTTAAGTCTTTTATAAATCCAGGAAAAAAGGAAAAAAAGGTTATTTTCTTTCCTTTCTTTTTTTTTTTTTTTTTTTTTTTTTTTTTTTTTTTTGAGATGGATTCTCACTGTCTTCTAGGCTGGAGTGCAGTGGCGCGATCTCGGCTCACTGCAAGCTCTGCCTCCCAGGTTCACGCCATTCTCCCGCCTCAGCCTCCTGAGTAGCTGGGACTACAGGCACCCGCCACCACGCCTGGCTAATTTTTTGTATTTTTATTAGAGACGGGGTTTCACCGTGTTAGCCAGGATGATCTTGATCTCCTGACCTCGTGATCCACCCGCCTCTGCCTCCCAAAGTGCTGGGATTACAGGCGTCAGCCACCAAGCCCGGCCAAAAAAAGGTTATTTTCTTGGACTTCGTTGAGTTACAAAACAATGCAGTGGGAATTAGAATTTAGGCAGCTACTAAACTCAGCTTTTCTTAGCTGTTGCTTTCATTCATTTGTGTACACTTCATGGCACACCAGTACGGATCTGCTACTTAGAGAGAGGCTTTGTGGGAAGATTGTCTTTTTATGTCATTAAACCAAAAAAAAAAAAAGAAAAAGAAAATGACGAAAGCCACAGAATGAGTGTCATACATTTGTATTTCCCATGAAGGCGGAAGCAGTATAATTTATTTTTAATCTTCTAACAGTTCTTTTTATTACAAGAAACTCACACTGACCAAGTTATTAGTAGTTAATATTTTTAGATCATAAATTAGTTTAATAAAATTTTTTACATTATTTTACCTTTATAGTATACATACTTGGATTATTTATAGTATACATACTTGGATTAGAACCTATATATTGGTTATTTGTGAAGGGTGTAAGTATCTACTTTCTTGTTGCCATTGTTTTTAGAGACAGTCTTGCTGTGTTGGCTAGAGTGGGGTGGCATGAGCATAGCTCACTGCAGCCTTGAACTCCCAGCTCAGGCAGTCCTCCCGCCTCAGCCTCCATAGTAGCTGGGACTACAGGCATGCACCACGGTGCCTGGCTAATTTTTGAATTTTTTTTTTTTTGTAGAGACTAGGGTCTTGCTTTGTTGCGCAGGCTGGTCTTGAACTCCTGGCCTCAAGCAATCCTCCCACCTCAGCCTCCCAAAGTGCTGTGATTACAGGCATGAGCCACTGTGCTTAGCCTGTAAGCATCTACTTCAAACAAACAAAACGATACAAGTGTTTGCTTTTCTCTTCTAACATTTTCCTCCAGTCTTTCATTAAGGAATGTTTAGTTTTCCTCAGTTGTGAGTGGTTACTAATAAAATGTATTAGTTAAGCATTTCCCCCTTGCTTTGGGATCTGTTTGATCCAACTGATAAGTATCCTTAGTAAACATACTCTTGGATTTTTATTGATTAATCAGCAAATCCTTGATACTGAGAAGAATATGGTTTTAGCAATTATGGTAAGTAGCCCTTAGGGTTATCTGTGACCTATTAAAAAAATGGTTTTTTTCTGTTGGCAGTATATCACTATGATATTTAGACTCCAGAAATAATGTAATTCAAGCAGTTCAAATTTACAGTTGAATTACAGAAGGATCCTCTTAGCTCTTTTGTTGTCTCTAATAATACCATTGATTAGAGGACTCTATAGTCTAATCCCATACATGGCTCAAGCACTTAGCTGTTTCGTTGAAATGGAGGCAGGGTGTAAAACATCCTTTCATTTAAAAATATTCTCAATAGCTGATAACAGTGTCTTTAGTTTTGAAATTTATGCAGAACCATCATTAAATTTTTAAGCAGGTAATTATGGTGAAGTAGCTTGACATCTGATCTTGATAATGAGGCTAGAATTTAATCGAGTTTTCTGTTTTCATCAGTTCCATGCTTTCTAATTTAGCTGACTGACCCATTGGAGTTTCATTGCAGTTTTTTGTTGTTGTTGCTGTTTTTCCTTAATGCCTCGAGTAGGAGATCTGAGTGTATTACAGCTCAAGAAATCTAGATTTTAGGAAAACTAATTTTCATCTGAGGTTCTAGTTGCTGTTTTT
The DNA here is from genome assembly GCF_000001405.40 of Homo sapiens. NCBI lineage: Eukaryota > Metazoa > Chordata > Mammalia > Primates > Hominidae > Homo > Homo sapiens. The sequence continues at coordinate 22,547,907 of NC_000010.11, read as the reverse complement.
CTGTAACAGCAGCCCTGTTCTATTCCTATGCCATGCTGGGTATTTTCATCCACATAGCTTTGCACGTAACACAGGTGAGTCTTTTTCTGCACACAAACACACACACAGATCGGTGTATGAGGAGTGACAGGCACTTTTGCCTTCTGCCCTGTGTTTTGTCAATTCTGATCACGGCCCTGAAGAATCAACCCTGGTCTCTCCTCTCATTGACTCACATGATGCAAAACTGTTCTCCCTCTGTGGCATCCAGGAGTACCCCCTCACAGGGCATTTCAGTTGTCTGAGGTTTATAGCCCCCCATCCATGGAGATGGGTGAGAGGGGATAGGGCGGTGGGAGTAGTGGGATGGGTGGCAGCATTTATGGAGCACATCGAGCCCAAGTCCTTCCCATGCAGTGTCACTTGTCATTCTCAAAACAGCCCCTTGACAGTGGTCCTGCCCCTACCCTAGTTTGATGAATGGGGAAGCCGAGCCCAGAGACCCTATGTAATTTGCTCAAAGGCACAAAGCTTCTAAATTCAGACTGGGGCGTCAGGCCCTCAGAGGGCACAGTCCTTAACTACTCTGACATAAACACAAGTTAAAAATACCTGTGAGAGCACAGTGGAGGCTTTGTTTTCTGATAATTGCTTCGAAGGAGGATTATAATTTTTAACAAGTGGTAAGATATAACCGTTAAACAGGGCTGACTGGCATTTTAATTCTACTTCACAGATATGTTGGGAGATGGTGATGTGGTAGAACACGGTGTGTTAGTAGAGTTAAATAAATCAGTTGAGAACCATTGTGAAGGATAGTCTTAGACTCGTAAAGATCTCAAGGAAGATTGTAGCTCAAAGATTTGTCACAGCAAGGACTCAATTAGTAAGGAATTAGATGAGAAGGGATATTCTGAGGGAAAAAGAGGCAGATGTGAGGTCCAGCAGGTGGTTTCTGAGAAGCTGGAAAGGAAGAAAAGCAGGGGACCTAAATAAAGACTGAAAAATCTTCACACTTTGAAATCTTATGTTCTTAAAACTTAAAGAACAAATATATACTGTTTTCCTGCAGTGAGCCGGAAGCAGACCCCGCAGTGAAGCCCACGCCCCCTTTCTGTCTTCTCTTTCCATCTGCGAGCTTCCAGCCCACGAAAAATCTCAGATGTATTGCCACACTTCATTCACTCTACCTCAGAACAGATTTAAAGTAAAGTTTGAGGCCTGTTGTGGTGGCTCATGCCTGTAATCCCAGCACTTTGGGAGGCTGAGGCAGGAGGATTGATTAAGCCCAGGAGTTTGAGAACAGCCTGGGCAACATAGTGAGACCCCATCTCTACAAAGTTTTAAAAATTAGCCAAACGTGGTGGTGCATGCCTGTGGTCCTAGCTACTAGGGAAGCTGAAGCAGGAGGATCCCTTGAGTCCAAGAGTTTGAGGCTTCAGTGAGCCATGATCACACCACTGCACTCCAGCCTGGGTGACAGAGCCAGACCCTGTCTCAAAAAGAAATTTAACGTTTTGAAGATGAGAGCCCGTGAATTAACAGGCTTTTCCATATGGTTCTTTTTCCCCCGGTCTACAAACTGAAACCTGTTTAAATTGAAATCTTGATATTAAAAAAAGACTTCTACCATAATCAAAACATTGCCAGTTACAAATAACAGCTTCCATTATTTTGTGTGAGGCACCATATTTTTTCTCTCAGTTTCATTATCTTAATTCTTCGACACCCCTGTGAGGTGAGTGGCATTGTCCAATTTTAAAGTCAGAATGACTGAAGATCCAGGAGGCGAACTCGTCAAGCATGGAACTGGCGAGTGAGACCAAATCAGACTCTTTGTTTCTTGAATGGGTCTCCCTGGTCAGCATGACCTGTCCTTTTAACCACTGTGCCATATTTGGTTTTTCCCATTTCTACCTCAGTCTCAGAGACTTGAAATCATGAATAATAATCCCAGCAGTTTGGGAGGCCAAGGCAGGAGGATCACTTGAGGCCAGGTGTTTGAGACCAGCCTGGACAACACAGCAAGATCCTGTCTCCACACAAAATAAAAAATAATTAGCTGGGCATGGTGGTGCACCTCTGTAATCCAGCTCCTCGGGAGGGTGAGGCAGGAGGATTGCTTGAGCCCAGGAGTTCAAGGCTACAGTGATCTGTGATCATACCACTGTACTCCAGCCTGGGCAACAGAGCAAGATCCCATCTCTTAAACAAAAAGAAAACATGTGCAATGCCCATTGTGACTGCAATTTTCTCAGTCTTCTTGGGTGCCTCAGAACAGCTTCTTACCTAGAGATGCATTTTGCATCATGCTGATGGTTTTTGGGTTGTGCTAGGAGTTGACTGCACCTTTATTTCTTCCTCACTGGAAGACGACAGTAAGCGGTCTGACCACAGGCCTGAGGCCCAGGAAAATTACTCTGGGCTGCCCGGTGTGGCGAGGAACCCAGATGGGGTGCCAGGGGAGGCTGGGCCCTGGAGGCTCACCCTGGTGAGTGCGGCTGGCCAGTCCCAGTTGTCCCCTTCCCTCTCTGCCCTTTGGCAAGTTAATCACAGACAGCCCTGACTTCTGTAACTAAAACATACTTGAAGGTCAACCAGTAGACCTTCCTGTTAAGGTAATCGTCTTAAATGGTCACCTTGCGCTTCCTTTGCAGAGCTGTTGCCTCATGCAGTCTCAGACAAAAGTTTTCTGTTGTTGCTTTGTTGTTTGTATTTGGCTTTGGTAGTTACTTCCTGCTGGAAGCAGGTTGGGGAGAATTAGGGAGAGTTGGGACGGATAGGGAAGAAGTAACAAGCATCCCATTCACTTGTCCAACAAGTGCCGAATACTTTCCCGAGCCCTCTGCCTGCCGGGATTCGGGAATGCAGTGAAAGCCAAAACCTTAGAGCCCCGTTTGGGGCTGCCTTGCTTGGGAAAGAGAGAAGTCGCTCAAATACTCCAACAAAATGAATGTGCAGCGAGGCCCCGTGTCACTGGGGAGGAGTGTGCGGTGCCCTAAACACCCAGACTCTGGGGCTGTGCTGCCCTGTGCAGTGCCCCGCAGCTGAGACCTGAAGGCACAGGAGGAAGTACCTGCCCCCAGAGAAGCCCAGGAAGTGGGCAGAGCAGAGCTCAAGTGGGCCCCAGAAGTGGATGGGGCCAAGCTCTCCAGGCCTCCTGGGCCATGTGAGTTTTGTTTGTGCCCTGTGAGAAACGCGGCACTATGGAAATGTGTTAAGCAGAACAGGATGGGATCAGGTTCACATTTTGAAAACTTCTGCCCTTTGCAGAGGACTGGAGGGGTGGTTGAGGCACCACTCAGCCTTTACCACTTCACAGGGACCTTCCAAGCACCCAGAGGGAGCAGGTGTGGGCAGAAGGGGGGCCTTTTCCCTGTCACCTCTCAAGCCGAGCAGGGCCTGGCCTGGCTCCAGAGAGGCTTCCAGGTGTAGAGAGAGAGGCCAGGGAAGCCGTAGATCTAGGGAGCAGAGCCAGGCACCGTGCTAGGCTTGGGAGGGGCAGCAGAGGTGGCCAAGGAGACCCTGACCCAGTCCTCCAGCAGCCCAGAGGCCTTGGAACAACAGGGCAGGGAGAAGTGGGCCCACCATAAGCACCCCCACCCCCACCATACCCCTCAAGCATTGGAGAAGACAACTGGGTACTTACAATGCAGTATTTTTCAAATAGGCTTCTGAAACCCCAGGCCCACAGGTCATTCTGACGGGAAAGCAGGTTCCATGATCACAGCAGTGCCATGTGTGCTGCTGCTGGCCACCTAACCCTCCGGAGACCCACAGCGCAGAGTCATGTGTGGAGGGCCTCCGATGCCAGCTGATTTTAACTCGTTACCTTCCTCCTAGGGTTGCGAAGAAAAGGAGAGGGGAAAGCTGCTTTAAGGCAGCCTCCAGAGGTAGCTGATAGAGAGCAGAGAGTACAGGCTCAGAACAGGCCCTGAATTCACCCCTCCTTGGATCTGAATCCTTGCACTCTCGTCCAGCTGCTGAGCCTGGCTGCTGTCTCACACGGAGAGCCTGCCCCCTGCCTTGGATCTTGTCACCTGTCCCTATACCCCGGAGTGCCCAGTTCTCTTCCACATCCACAGGCCCATGTATAGCGGAGCTGGTACCCGAGACCCAGCTCCCTGGCTGGCTTCACCGTGCGGGTGGAGGACTCAAGTGAGCCTTCCACCACTGTAGATTTCTCCCCGCAGCCGCCCCCACAAACATGATCCCAGCCAGGTGATCTCGGCCAGGTGCACCTCACAGCCTGGCAGCTGCCGAGATTCTAGGGGAGGATGCGCAGTCTCTGACTGCTGGAAAGGAATCTGGCAGAGAGAGGTGCAAGTGGAAAGTCAGTTCTCATGTTTACTGTAATGGGGGAGTTTGGGGAAAGACCAGGGGGGATGAGCAGTGGCTTCCCCTCTTCTCTGGGACCCAGAAAGCTGAACGCAGGAGCCCCATGCTGTTTCCACGAGGGGTTTGCCTCTATTTTTAAACAAACAGGTTTCTCCCACTTTGCTTAAATATTTGAGTGTAAGATTTGTGTGATTTCTCTTTTTTGAGCTCAAAACAATTGGGGAAGATATAGCTGGCCCTGGGGGATTCCTGTTGGGAAGGCAGCGAAGTGGGAGCTCTGGCCAGTTTGCTGGGCTGAGCGGGGTGCTGGCTGATGGAGAATTGCAGGCACCAGGAACCAGCTGGAGAGTGGGATAGCCCTGTGCCCAGGGGTCCTCTCCTCGTCTGTAAGGAATCGGGGCTTCTCATTCAGTTTCGAGACAGAACTCCTTCCCAGCAGGCTGAGGAGAAATGACTCTGCGGGGCTTAGCAAATTGATTTCATTTTTAGCCAGAACTTCAAGACCTGTGATTTTATCTGTTTGCCCTTTGCATGAGGACATCTGCTTCCTAAATTCTATCAGCATAGCCCAGAGGCTGCTCAGCCACTCTGCATTCCCCAGCGAGGTGGCACTGAGTCCTTCCAGAGCCAGGACCGTGAACCTTCCTGGACCCTGAGCCCAAGGTCGGAGTGGAACAGGATCCTGTGCAGAGCCAGCCAGCCACGGGGTCAGGGAGCCAGTTGGGTCCAGCCCGCAGATGGGCTGCCACTGTTTGCACTCAGCACAACCATCCACATCTTATGGCAACATTGGAACGTTGTGCTGAAGGTCTCAAATAAGAAAAGGGAAACAAAGAGAAATCGTGATCTGAAAAGTCAAAGAACTGGGCAGACAGGAGTAGCCAAACACACAGAGCTGGGTCTTGCCCCCACATTATGTTCTAGCCACGGCTGGAGGAGGAGAGGGAGGACAGGAATCCTGGATGTGTGGTGCTTCGTGGAAAGCACACGTGGAAAGCACCTTGTTGACCTGGACAGGACTGCATTACTCACCAGATGTGGACACAGTGCCTTTACTTTTACTTATTTACAACAGCGTAACAATCGCCTCCACAGAGCATGCTGAATTCCAGGGTGCTTTCCTGAACTACCACCAGAGACTCCGCTGGAAGCTACTTGGGAGATGCCTGGGTTTCCCCATTAGCCAGTCTTAATCATTGGGAGGAACTTGCTCTCTCTCCCAGTCTCTCTCCGCATCTCTTACTGGTCATGCTCCTTGCTATCTGGTGAAATCCAGCCACCCTGTGATAGATACACACCTCTCCGCATCCAGTGTGGCATTCCAGGGTAAACAGCCTGAGCTCTGAGCCAGCCTGAAGTGTGAGGCTACATTTTAGATAGAGAAACAGCCCAGGAGTGTAAGAGCATCGTGAAGGAGGCACCCGGCGCCTCTGCTGCCCCACCCCACAGCCTTCCCTCTGGGTGTCACCCGAGCTTGTCTCCTTTAAATGTTGGCTTTTATGTTTAAGGTGTGGCTGACTCACCCTGTTGCCTCTGTCCCCAGTTTCTGGCCCAGCTGAAGCTCATGGACTACAGTCTGCTGGTGGGAATTCATGATGTGGAGAGAGCCGAACAGGAGGAAGTGGAGTGTGAGGAGAACGATGGGGAGGAGGAGGGCGAGAGCGATGGCACCCACCCGGTGGGAACCCCCCCAGATAGCCCCGGGAATACACTGAACAGCTCACCACCCCTGGCTCCCGGGGAGTTCGATCCGAACATCGACGTCTATGGAATTAAGTGCCATGAAAGTAAGTTTGATTACTGTGGACCCTTTTTGCATGTGAAGTGGTTTGACTTTGGCCTTGTTATCTACCAGTAAGCACTACCCCAGTTATGAGGGTGCTGCCCGGCAGCACTCATCCTCCAAACTCCAAAGAAATGGATTTGGGGACAAGAGTATGTTAAAGCTAACCGTGATCTCAGTGCTGAAACATAAGGCGATCGGACCTTTGAATTCTGTGATGTTGAGGGAATACAGCAAAACCACGAACTATACTATACATGTACAACACACCTGTACATATGCACATACACACTGGCATACAACGTACGTGCACACACAACACAACATGCATGTACATATGCACACATACATGTTCACAAATAACATCAGAAATGCTTTAAAATATTAATACGTTTTTGCCTAGTTATCTTTTTTATCTAAGTCAAAAGCATCATGAGTCTAAGCTAGGCACATGCATGTGATCCTCTGTGACCCTTAGCTTGTCCTCTTGTCATTACCAACAGCCCTCTCCCTCTCAGGGGTGTGAAGGGTGTGTGAAGATGGGCCCTGTGGGTGGGGTGGGAATCTGATTTGCTGCTGAGTCTGGCTCTGCTGTCCTCCCCCATGGAAGGGCCTATGGCCCTCTTCCCTAGAGTCAGATAAATCTTAATCCACCGTATCCAGGTGATTGGGTGCACCAGTTATTTGAATATTACATCCTACCTTAGCAACTTATCCGTGACAATACCAAAATATTTTTGTGATAGGATAAAAACAGCTTCTTGGTTTTTGAATAATAAAAACTGTGGCTCATCAGTTGTTTTTTAATCTCAAATGGCATATCAGCTGAGGATCTGAGTTCTGTTTTGTTCTGTTTTGCTCACCAAAATGTTTTCTTCAACACAGAAAATTAGATAGTCAAATGTACTTTTCTTACTGTTCATATTTTTGGAAATGGATAGAAAACAGACACGGGCCGGGCGCAGTGGTTCATGCCTGTAATCCCAGCACTTTGGGAGGCCGCGGCAGGCAGATCACCTGAGGTCATGAGTTTGAGACCAGCCTGACCTACATGGAGAAACCCCATCTCTACTAAAAATATGAAATTAGCTGGGCATAGTGATGCATGCCTGTAATCCCGGCTACTCGGCAGGCTGAGGCAGGAGTCACTTGAACTCGGGAGGTGGAGGTTGCTGTGAGCCAAGATCGCACCATTGCACTCCAGCCTGGGCAACAAGAACAAAACTCTGTCTCAAAAAAAGAAAATAGACATTGGAGTGGATGTATGCCTTTATCCAGTTCTGATACTGTATCCAGTGAGAATTATGAACAGTTCTACCATTTGATGTAAAGGATTAGTGTACATAATTAGTTCTGTTTTATAGGGTATTTTTAAATAGCATATTTCTTCACACCAAAGCAATACACAATTATTAAAGAAAATGCAAATTAAAAAAAAAAAAAGACTCCGTTCCACCGTTGGATCTCCACTGTTGATACCCTGGTGTGATGATGTTTTTAGTTGTTAGGGTTGTTTCTTTTTAAATTGCAGGGGGACTGGGTCAGAGAGGCAAGCTGTGTGTTTAGTCAGGATCCGCAGGGGTGGTGTAGAGTTTGTCTCTGGACTCCTTCCATCCGCGTTCCATTGAATCCCCTCCCTCCAGGCTCACTTCTCCCTCCCTCCCTCCCTCAGCAGCAATGCTGGCACTGGTGTTGTCACATGTCCCACAGTCATTGCTCTCCTGTCTCTGCAGACTCGCCTAGGAAGGAGGTGTACTTCATGGCAATTATTGACATCCTTACTCATTATGATGCAAAAAAGAAAGCTGCCCATGCTGCAAAAACTGTTAAACATGGCGTGAGTATCTCCATTTTGTTTCCTTCTCTCTTTCTCTCCCTCTCTCTCTCTCTCTCTCCCTCTCTCTCTCTCTCTCTCTCTCTCCTGGCTCCTCTGTGTGACCTGTAACTCAGGGATCACTCCTTTCTGCCACTGAGCTGCTTTCTACTGAGCCATTCAAAGCCCTTTAGTGACGCTTGTTCCCTGGGGGCAAGTCATGTTCTGAGCGTAAGATACAGAACCCACAAACGCTTACTGCTCACTGCTGCTCTTACCACAGCTCCCTGTGGCTTCCAGCGAAGTCACTTAAACATGAACATCTCTTCTTTTTACACATGGCGGACACTAACAGGCATGCGCATCACTAGGATGTTACACAAATTCTTTTTTGTTTGAAAAATGTTCCAGAGATAAAAGTGCAAAAGAAGATAATGAAGTGTTCTAATATGAAATATTCAAAACTGAAGCATGATTGTCTGCTTAAGACACTTCCCAAGTATACAGGATTAATATTTCTTTTCTCACAGTGAGTTGTATTTTTTCTACTACAGAAATCTCTTGAGTGCAAAATCAAAGTTGCATAATATTACTCACCGTTAATGTTGCTTGATGGGAGTTTTCACTGCTCTAGCCATATGTTAAGCTATTTTATCCCCCATGAGAAGCCTATGAAAGAGATAGTAGTGTACCTGCTTTTGTCAGTTGGAGAAACTGAGGAAAATAGCTTCAGGAGTAACTTGCCAGGGCCTCATAGTAGCAAGTGGCAGAGATGAGATTCCTCCCCCGGACCCAGCCCCCTCCTGGCTCTGTGTTCATGCTCATCCCCTTGCCCTGCCTGCAAACACCTCCTGCCTGGCTGAACTTTACAGCTCGCCAAGTTTCAGGCTTGTATTGCAGGGTGCCATCTTTGTTTTGCAGAGGTCCTGAAAGCCATAGAGCCCACCCCACACAGATGAATGTATTCCCTGGTTTGTTGGCCCTGGAAGAAGAGGTGCTTCCCACAGACTGTGTAGAACTAATGAAGATTCACCAGAACCAAAAACTCACTTGAAACCTCTTCTTTTCTATTTTAAAATAGAAATCAGCCTAACAAACACAGTATTCTATTTGCCAAAGAAATATTTCAGTCACATTGTCGATAGCTATGGTATTCCTGCTGTGTGCAGAGCACAGACTGGGACCTCACCGCCCCCGAGCACGTCAGTAAGCAAGTGTGCCTGGTGGCTTCCCCCCAACAGAAATTTTTGAGTACTCTTTTTAAACAAACATCCGCACCAGGTGCACCACCCCCATTCCGTCATTTCTGAGGCCAGTTCAGGAGGGTGAGGGAGGGGTCTTCAGAAGACTCCATGGTCATTCTGATGCTCACCTCTGGTTGAAAACCATGGAGTGTGGCAAAGAGAGAACTGGCGAGGAATCCTCGTTTGACCCTTCCCACTTGTATGACCTCAAGGGGACACTTTTGGAGCTCCTGTTTTTTCACCTCATACAGAAATCCTACTGCCTTGCTGATGGGGTTTTGCCAGAGATACAAGAGTTGTCTGGACAAATGCTTTGTAAATGTCTGTTCCCATATTATACATCCTGTGAAATTGGAGTGTATCCTAGCCAATATGGCTCCATGTTCATCTCTCCTATCCTAGCCAATATGGCTCCATGTTCATCTCCCCATAAGCCACAAGTTCGCCTCCATAGTGTGCCACACGGCATAAAATCACAGGTAGTTTGCAAGAAGAAAACATTACTGTCAGCAAAGGAACGCTGTGTTAAGCTGCTGTGGGGGACCATTCTCTCTGCATTCAAGCCTGGGCTCCTCCATGCAGCCGAGGCCTGGAAATATTACAAGTTCCCCGGTGAACATGGGTGTCTAAAAACAGCACATGCTCACTTAGCAAAACTCCGTGCTTGCCCTTTGCAGCTCAGGAAACTGGCCAGTGAGTGACTCCCTTGAGTGTGCTGGCCTGCACCCTGCATCTCATCATGGAAAAATCCCTCACCGTGCTTCTGCAGGGGGCCAGGCTTGCTTGCTCTCTGCAGGGCTCAGAAAGGGGAACAGTGGCACCCCTGTGTGCTGCTGCAGAGGGAAGTCAGCTCCTTCCCCCGTGGGCAAGATGGAGCCAGCAGTGTTGTGCCTCACCTGGTTACGGTGCAGGGAATGGGCTGGGGGCAGCTGTCCCAGAACCTGTGGCTGCTGCTGTTGCCCCTCATGTTTGAGCACTGAGCTGGGGGCCTCTGTCCAGAAACGAAGGGGTCCTGAAGAAATCATGCGGTTTTAAGTCATCGTCATTAAGGTTTCCCTTTCGCCAAATGTTGATGTCATTCTCAAGGTGGCTCCAGTCTGCCTTCTTGAAAAGTATAACATAAGTATTGTTTCCGTGACTTCTGAACAATTCCACTCTTTGATAGTAACATCCCAAACGTGGCCTGTTTGATTTTTTTGTGAGTTGCAACAGCCCCGGTGTGTGTGGTAGCATCTGGTGCTCCTGTCGCCCTTTGTCTCATTTGCAGACACAGATTTGTAAGAACCTTGCTTATTCAACCATGAGCGCCAAGATATTTTGAGTGATGTTTTTCAGAGCAGAGACTGCATGGATTTGAAAATTGCTTGCTGTATATTCAGTTGCCATTGGAAATAGCTGTAGATATTGAGTAATAATTTGGGGAAATCATAAACACTATGTCAATATTTCCTTTTTTAAAAACTGCCCAGGCTGGCGCGGAGATCTCCACCGTGAACCCAGAACAGTATTCAAAGCGCTTTTTGGACTTTATTGGCCACATCTTGACGTAACCTCCTGCGCAGCCTCGGACAGACATGAACATTGGATGGACAGAGGTGGCTTCGGTGTAGGAAAAATGAAAACCAAACTCAGTGAAGTACTCATCTTGCAGGAAGCAAACCTCCTTGTTTACATCTTCAGGCCAAGATGACTGATTTGGGGGCTACTCGCTTTACAGCTACCTGATTTTCCCAGCATCGTTCTAGCTATTTCTGACTTTGTGTATATGTGTGTGTGTGTGTGTTGGGGGGGGGTGAGTGTGTGCGCGCGTGTGCATTTTAAAAGTCATAAATTAATTAAAACAGATCCACTTCGGTCAGTATGTGTCCCAACAAAGACCCTTTGATTCCAGCTATGGCCGAATGAATGAGTGAGTGAGTGAGTGAGTGAATGAACACACGTGTGGGGGAGGGGAGAAGGAAGTGCATGATGTCAGGCACCGTGTTGGCATCACACAACAAACTGTGGATCAGTTTTTTTTTTTTTTTTTTTTTTTTGGAGTTGAAAGATGTGAGACAGTATTCAGAATAATGAAGATAATAATGATGATTATTATAATAATGATGATGATTCCAAGGAAAAAACCTACAGCGAATGTTCCATTTCTACCCCGCACGCAGACACTCTCCCTAACACTGATAACCTGAGCCCCCAGCACTGGACGGAAGAATGCTGGCGTCTCCGTGTGTACTGGTTCAGGGTTCTGGCCCCAGCCTTGTCAGGACCCCCTGGTGTCCAGAGCCCCCACCCCTCCCGCAACAAGCAGCTGATGCCCCAGTGATTCTCTATACATTTTTCACCTCGGCCAATATGTCCAGGAAAACTGCTTACTTCTCTTTTCTTGCCTGGAGCCTTCATTGTTCACCCTTACGTTGCAATATAGGAATTAATGCTACAAAATAAAAGTAAAGCTTACCTGAAAAGTGCATAGTTTGGGGCAATGGTATCTACATCTCCCACTGTGGGAAAACCAGCAAAGCATCAAAACTCTCAATTCTCCTGTTACCAAATGCAGATCTGAATTATAAGATGTTTATGTTTGACCATTGTTTCAACAATGGGATTTTGTTACGAATTATCCCTTTAACTGAAACCCTCAGTTTTACTGTTTACATTATTAGGAAAACAGGGATATCTTTTGAATCTAAAAATTTGATGTACAGCATGTGATTTTTGAAGTTTACATGTAAAGTCACAGTATAGGTGAAATAACGTTTGTCATATTTTGAGACGTATCCTGCAGCCATGTTTTTACGTGAGTGTTTTAGTCAAAGTACATGGTAGACAGTCTTTCACAATAAAAGGAAAAGGATTTTTTTTTCCTCCAAATGTACATTTATCAACCTAATGATTGATTTTTTTAAAAAGAGATTTCGCCCCAGTCTGGTTTATGAAAGTTCATTGCCCTAAACTGTGCTGATTGTTTTTAATCAAGTTATAAATTTCCAACCTAGATCATGTATCTACCAACTCTCCTGCATTTTCCAAAAGGCATTGAGCTTAAATATTAGTCTTGCTTAGAGTAGGTTATCCACTTACATGCTGCGCTAAAGCCATGCCTTTGAAACTCCTTGTTTAAAACATGATATGATTTTTGTGGGCAGTTTCAGAAAAGAAAACAAACAAACAAAAATCGACCCTTTAATTATTACTTGCAACTCAACAGATCTCCCTGCCGTACTGCCTTTTCCAGGAACTTTACTTCAGGGCTGTCCAGATTGCAGCTGTGCCCCGTGTATGTGGATCTAGTTCACAGAGTCTTTGGAAGCCAGCAGTCGTGCCCTCCGTATACTGTCCACTCATTTTATGTAGATTTGGTATCCTCAGCAGCCAGTGTTAACACCACTGTCACGTAGTGTACAGATTCATCTTTTATGTATTTAAAGTAATCCATACTATGATTTGGTTTTTCCCTGCACCATTAATTCTGGCATCAGATCAGTTTTTGTGTTGTGAAGTTCTACTGTGGTTTGACCCAAGACCACAACCATGAGACCCTGAAGTAAAGATAAGGTACACATACATTATTTGAGTAACTGTTTCCTTGGGGGCCAATCTGTGTATGCTTTTAGAAGTTTACAGAATGCTTTTATTTTTGTCTATAACAAACAGTCTGTCATTTATTTCTGTTGATAAACCATTTGGACAGAGTGAGGACGTTTGCCCTGTTATCTCCTAGTGCTAACAATACACTCCAGTCATGAGCCGGGCTTTACAAATAAAGCACTTTTGATGACTCACAAGATGAATCCTTTTTTCCTCTGTCCCAATTGTGTGTCTCTGTTCCAAACACATTTTAAATACTCGGTCCTGACAGTGTCTTTAGCTAATCCTTGAAGAAATGAAAGTGGAATTGAATCTTTTTAGTTTCTAGAGCCTTGCCTTCAGTTTGGGAATTATTTTATCAGTAATAACAAACTTCCACAACACAATTGACTTTGCCGCAAGATGAACAAGTAGAGGAAAAGAATCTCTTCCATGAACATCCTATAAAGTCATATGTTTTGTTTTTAGCTTTGATACACCTTAATTCTATGTGTATCACCATTTTTTGAAACTTCCTTGGGATACCATTGATGGATAGCAGACTTAACGGCATTCCACTTGGTGCCAGGTTAACACAGACAGCTTGTCTATAGCACTTGCTCTGATAACTCATTTTTCTTCTAATGCAACTGATGTATTATAGCAGGGGTCCCCAAACCCCGGGCCACGGACCGGTACTAGTCCATGGCCTGTTAGGAACCTGGCTGCACAGCAGGAGGTGAGCAGCTGGCCAGCATTACCGCCTATGCCCCGCCTCTTTCAGATCAGCAGCAGCATTAGATTCTCATAGGAGCGCGAACCCTATTGTGAACTGCACATGGGAGGAATCTAGGTTGAGCACTCTTTATGTGAATCTAACTAATGTCTGATGATCTGAGGTGGAACAGTTTCTTCCTAAAACCATCTCCTCAGCCCCCTGCCAGTCCGTGGAAAAACTGTCTTCCACAAAACCAGCCCCTGGCACCAAAAAGATTGGGGACCACCATATTAGAGAATAATTTGAGCATAATGCACTTGTCACATTGCTTGTGTGCCGTTTGGTCTGCAAGGAACATTAGGTGAATGCAGAGAACTGCACTCAACTGAGCTGCATAGGGAAACACAACACACCGACACTTCAAACATCTCCAGCACCTCACTTCAGTGCATGTGATTTGTTACACTCGTTCATATCTGGAGTTACACGTTTCCACCTGACATCAGATCACCTTTCTCCTCTTTACAATAACCCAAGAGCTGCCATCCTTCTGATGCCCACAACCACAGGCGTGCCTTACATCTTTTTCAAGGTAACTTGCCCTGTTTTTATATTTTGAATATTTCCTAACCAGTTAGCGTTTTTATAATTGTGCTACTGTTTTTATTAGATTTCTTTTTCTTTTCAGTGTGTGACTCATTACATTTTGGGATGTTGTGGCCCTAGTTTCATTTTTCCCAGAAGTTCTGTGATTTCCATTGTGCAGCTTTGCCTAAAGCAGTGATTTCTAGGAACATACATGTTGCATTATTGTAGAATTGACTGTGGTCAGCAGGGAGCTTTAATTCAATGTTCTTTGTGGACTGTTTGAATGTGGACATTCATTTTCCCTTCATTTTGGTTAAGTTCCTGGATTAGAATCCACAATAGTTCCAGAAGGTTATTTCTAATTCATGGAAGGGCAAAAGTTGGTATGAAGCATTAATCCTGAGCACAACACTTTTAAAAACAGTGGTTAAGAGTTAAGTGCAAGAGATTACAAACTATATGTTGTGAAATGGTGATGTATATAGTGTGCAAATGTACACAGGCCGAGAGGCTGAACAAAGACTCAGGACCGCTGCACACAACCTTTCTTGGAATTTTTAAATAGCACAAAATCAGTGATTGGAGTGACTGTTGTACACGTGCATCTTTCTTCGAGCTCTGAAAATAACTGGCCCCCATTCCTTCCTATAATATAGATATATTAAAAGCATAAAAATTAATATAGATTGCTATATTAAAAACATAGAAGTCATTCTTCCTAAAGGGCAGAAACTCTGCCATGTCTTTTGAATTCCTATGCTAGGCTGGGCACACTGGCTCATACCTGCAGGGGGATCACTTGAGGCCAGGAGTTTGAGACCAGCCTGGGCAACCTAGAGAGATCCTGTTGCTAAAAAAAAATAACAATTAAAATTTTAAAAAATTAGCTGAATGTGATGGTGCATACCTGTAGTCCCAGCTACTCAGGACGCTGAGGCAGGAGGATCTAATTGAGCCTAGGAGTTTGAGGCTGCAGTGAGCTATAATCACACCACTGTACTCCAGCCTGGGCGAACTTGTCTTTTAAAAAAATAATAATAATTAAATAGATAGTGAATTCCTCTCCCGTAGAGTCACCTGCATCGCCTCATGGAGCCTCTGGCCAGCCTGCCTTCACTCCATATTTTCATTATTCTGAGCTGGTATCTTTATAAACAGTTGGCAAATTGAAGGGGCAGTCATAGTAAAGTAGCCCAGAAGACCAATGAAGTGACCCGGGAAAATTACAGTTGCTAATTTAACCTAGAGTGGTCATTGAAAATTATTTCATAGGCCGGGCTTGGTGGCTCATGCCTATAATCCCAGCACTTTGGGAGGCCAAGGCGGGTGGATCACCTGAGGTCAGGAGTTTGAGACCAGCCTGGCCAACATGGCAAAACCCTGTCTCTACTAAAAAATACAAAAATTAGCTGGGCACGGTGGCAGGTACCTGTAATCCCAGCTACTGGGGAGGCTGAGGCAGGAGAATAGCTTGAACCCCGGAGACGGAGGTTGCAGTGAGCCGAGATTGTGCCATTCTACTCCAGCCTGGGAAACAGAGCAAGACTCTGTCTCAAAAAGAAAAAAAAAGAAAAGGAAAATTATTTCATAAAAGAAACTCCTGAGGAGTAAAGTACCTCTTTTTCTTAACTGAGTGCCCTTCAGAAGTTTGTCCTAGTTCTGCTTTTGGAGTTCTGTGAAAATCCTGCCAAAGAGCAATTAAATGCCCCAATCTGTGATTGTCTCTCAAACACTCTGTAAACACTCTGTTTAATTTCATAAGAGAGGGGACAAAAGATTAGAATTCTCCAGAATCTACTGTGATAGATCTTTGTTTTTATAGAATGTTTTATAGAACTTGTTGCTGGAAGAGATGTTACAGATGAGAAGACCTTGGCCCAGAGAAGCTAAGTGACTTCTTCAAGGTCAGACAGTGGTCAGTGGCAAAGCTAAGCTTAGAACTCAGCTCTCTGCCCCAACTTCTAAGAGTGGAATTTGAATGCATGCGCTATGGACCTGGAACCTCACCATTTCCCTAATGAGAATTAATCTGTATTATCCCATTTTCCTAATTCTTTCCCTGAGTCCAACAGTTTTGTGGGTTTTTAACTGTCTCTTGATTTTTTTAAATCAAGGAGTCTCACTGGGGAATATAAAAATATTCGTAGACCTACTTAATGGCACTGTGGACATGGAACTTGAAAATCTGTCATGAATAGATTTCCTGGGTGCTTCTGAATGGCCAGATTTAGAAACCACTGTCTTAAGTAGTGAAGCACTCCCAATGATGACTAAGGGGTTTTTTTTTTTGTTTTGTTTCTTTTTTTTTTTTTTTTTTTTTTTTTTGAGATGGGCATTTGCTCTGTCGCCCAGGCTGGAGTGCAGTAGCCTGAACATAGGTCACTGCATCCTTGAACTCCTGGGCTCAAGTGATCCTCCTTCCTCAGCCTTTGGAGTAGCTAGGACTACAGGAGCATGCCACCATGCCCAGCTAAGTTTTTAAATTTTTTTTGTAGATAAGGAATCTTGCTACATCCCCCGTCCATCTCCATCTCCCTCCCCCTCTTTCTCCCCCTTTTTTCTGTACTCTCTCCTAATATATGAACAAGTTAACTTCTCATTGATTAGAGCAGGAGTTAGAAAATTACAGCCTTAGGGCCAAATCCAACCCAGAAAATGATTTTTATTGTAAATAAAGTTTTATTGAAGCATAGCCACACCTATTGATTTAATGTTTTCTATGGCTGCTTTCAAGCCACAGTGGCAGACATCATGGTCCACAAAACATGTACCATCCAGCCCTTTACAGCAAAGGATTACTGATGCCTGAAACAGCCTCGTTTTAGTATTACAGTCTAATTTCTGCAAAGCCGTGGGCTTCAGCTACAGTTGCTTCACGTTTTTCCTCAGCTGTGATATAAAACAAAGTTTGAGAAACATTTCAAGATGTGCCAACAAAATTGAATATTAAAAACTTGGTGGGATCTGGCAAGATGGCCAAATAGGAACAGCTCTGGCCTGCAGCTCCCAGCAAGACCAATGTAGAAGGCAGTGATTTCTGCATTTCCAACTGAGGTACCCAGTTCATCTCACTGCGACTGGTTAGGCAATGGGTGCAGCCCACGGAGGGCAAACAGAAGCCGGGTGGGGCATCGCCTCACCCAGGAAGTGCAAGGAGCTGGAGGACCTCCCTCCTCCAGCCAAAAAAAGCCATGACTGTGCTACCCAGCCTGCATACTAAGCTTTTCCCACAGTTTTTGCAATCTGCAGATCAGGAGGTTCCTTCACGTGCCTACACCAACAGGGCCCTGAGCTGCAAGCACAAAACCGGGCGGCTCTTTGGGCAGACACCAAGCTAGCTGCAGGAGGTTTTTTTTCGTACCCCAGTGGCACTTGGAACCCCTGTGAGACAGAACCGTTCATTGCCCTGGAAAGGGGGCTGAAGACAGGGAGCCAAGTGGTCTCACTCAGCTGCTCCCACTCCCAGGGAGCCCAGCAAGCTAAGAATCACTGGCTTAAAATTCTCATTGCCAGCACAGCAGTCTGAAGTCAGCCTGGAATGATCGAGCTTGGTGCAGGGAGGGGTGTCCAACATTACTGAGGCTTGAGTAGGCAGTTTTCCCCTGACAGCGCTAAGGAAGCAGGGAAGTTTGGACTGGGCAGAATTCACCACAGCACGGCAAAGCAGCTATGGCCAGACTGCCTCTCTAGATTCCTCCTCACTGGGCAGGGCATCTCTGAAAGAAAGGCAGCAGCCCCAGTCAGGGGCTTACAGATGAAACTCCCATCTCCCTGGGACAGAACACCTGAGGGAAGGGGCAGCTATGGGCACAGCTTCAGCAGACCTAAACATTCCTGCCTGCTGGCTCTGAAGAGAACAGCAGATCTCCCAGCACAGCCCTCAAGTTCGGCTAATGGACAGACTGCCTCCTCAAGTGGGTCCCTGACCCCTATGCCTGCTGACTGGGAAAGACCTCCCAACAGGGGTCAACAGACACCTCATACAGGAGAGCTCCGGCTGGCATCAGGCCGGTGCCCCTCTGGGACTAAGCCTCCAGAGGAAGGAGCAGGCAGCTATCTTGGCTGTTCTGTAGCCACCACTGGAGATACCCAGGTGAAGAGGGTCTGGAGTAGACCGCCAGCAAAATGCAGCAACTTGCAGAAGAGGGGCCTGACTTTTAGAAGAAACACTAACAGAAAGCAACAACATAAACAAAAGGCCCACACACAAAAATCCCATCCAAGGGTCATCAGCCTCAAAGATCAAAGGTAGATAAATCCACGAAGGTGAGGAAAAACCAGCACATAAATGCTGAAAATTCCAAAAACCAGAATGCCTCCTCTCCTCCAAATGATCATAACTCTTCTCCAGCAAGGGCACAAAACTGGATGGAGAATGAGATTGACGAATTGACAGAAGTAAGCTTCCGAAGGTGAGTAATAAACTCCTCTGAGCTAAAGGAGCAAATTGGATAAAGAGTCAAGACCCATTGGTGTGCTATATTCAGGAGACCCATCTCATGTGCAAAGATGCACATAGGCTCAAAATAAAGGGATGGAGGAATATTTACCAAGCAAACGGAAAGCAAAAAAAAAAAAAAAAAGCAGGAATTGCAATCCTAGTCTCTTGTAAAAGAGACTGGCAATCCTTGTTACTTATAAAACAGACTTTAAACCAACAAAGATCAAACAAGACAAAGAAGGACATTACGTAATGGTAAAGGGATCAATGCAACAAAACCAACTATCCTAAATATATATGCACCCAATACAAGAGAACCAAATTCATAAAACAAGTTCACCTACTGGTTGTGTTTTTCTGGTGGAGTTTTGACTAAAACAGCCTCTCAGATGTTCCAGACTTTTTCTGATAACAAGGGAAGAAGCACCTCTGGAAGGATGGAGTAAAGGCCTCTAAGCTCTTCCTCAGGAGGCTTAAATGCTACTGCTGCTGCCACCATCCTGTCTCTAGTGCCCTCTGAAAAGTTCCAGCACATTTTTTAAGTACTCAACACCAACACTGATGGGCAATGGAAAATAGCTTTTGTCATCATTCCCATTAAGGATGAAGGGCGAAGATGTGCTCTTGTATTAAGGACAATTCGTAGAAAGTGTCCTTAAGAAAGCCTAGATTTTGGACTTGTTAAATAATAACTTTAAATCAGCCATTATAAATATATTCAAAGAACTAGGAAACTATGCCTAAAGAGTTAAAGGGGCCAGACACTGTGGCTCACGCCTGTAATCCCTGTACTTTGGGAGGCCGAGGCAGGCAGATCACTTGAGGTCAGGAGTTCAAGGCCAACGTGGTGAAACCTTGTCTCTACTAAAAGTTAAAAAAAAAAAATAGCTGGGCATGGTGGCGGGTGCCCGTATTCTCAGCAAGTAGAGAGGCTCAGGGAGGAGAATCGCTTTAACCCGGGAGATGGGGGTTGCAGTGAGCAGAGACCGTGCCACTGTATACCAGCCTGGGCAATAGAGTGAGACTCCATCTCAAAAAAAAAAAAGAGTTAAATGAAAGTAGGAAAATTATATCTTAAGAAATGGAGAATTTCAATACATAAATTAAAATTATTCAAAAGAATCCATAGAAATTCAGGAGGTGAAAAGCATAATAATTAGAGCAAAAAAAAATTACTACAAGGGTACAACAGCAAATATGAACTGGCAGAAGAAAGCAAGCAAACTTAAAGGTCCATTGAGATTATCCAGTCTAGGAAAAAAAGAAAAAAATGAAGGAAAATGAGCAGCCTTAGAGACTGATGGGATATCAAACATGCCACTGTATAAATAATGAGAGTTCCAGAGGAAGAGGGGAGAGAGAAAGGAATAGAAGAAATATGTGAAGAAATAATGGCCGAGGGAATTTTAAGAAATTTACAGATAGAAATATGTAGAAATTAAATAACATTTCCTGAAAACCCAGTGGGTTAAAGAAGAAATCACAAGGGAAATTCTAAGATACTTTGAAGTGAATGAAAACAAAAACACACATGCCAAAACTTCTCAGATGCAGCCAAAATCATGCTTAGAGGAAAATTTTTTCAACTCTAAGTAACTATATTGAAAACTAAAAAATCTCAAAGCCTTTATTCATAAACAGCCTGATGATCTTAATAGATGCAGGAAAAGCACCGGACAAAATCCTTTCATAAAATATTCAACAAATTACGAATAAAGGGCAACTCCCTTAACCTCCATGGACATCTATGAAAAACTCACAGCCAGCATTGCACTTAATCCTGAAAGACTGAATATTTTCCTCCTGAGATCAGGAACAAGACAAGGATAACCACTCTTGCCACCTCTACTCAGCATTTGTCTTAATTAGTTTGGACTGCTATAATAAATTACCATAGACTGGTGGCTTAAACAACATTTATTTCTCACATTTCTGGAGACTAGAAGTCTGAGACTGAGTGCCAGCATGGTCAAGTTCTTGATGAGTACCCTTTTCTGTAGAGAAAGTAAGACTTTTTCTAGTTGCAGATGACATGATCTTACATATAAAAAATCTTAAGGAATCCACCAGAAGAAACTAATAGGGCTAACAAGTTCAGTAAGATTGCAGGGTACAAGATCAATAAACAAAAAGCAATTTTATTTCTATGCTAGCAATGAACAATCTGAAAATTGAAGACAATTGTATTTATAATAACATGGATAAAGTTTTTAAATCTGAAAATAAACTTAGCCCAAAAGTGTAAAACTTGTAGACTGAAAACAATAAAACATCATTAAAAGAAATTAAAGAAGACCTAATAAGTTGAAAGATATCCTATATTTATGGAAAGCATAACGTCATTAAGATAGCAATACTCCAGATTTAATCCAGTTTCTATCTAAATCCCTGCAGGCTGCTTTGCAGAAATTGACAAACTTATCCTAAAATTGTATGGAAATGCAAGGGACCCAGAATAGCCAAAACAATCTTGAAAAGTACAAAGTTGAAGGATGCACACTTTTAGATTTCACAGTTACAGAAATACAGCAATCAAAAGTGTGGACAGATATACATATAGATCAAAGAAATATAATACAGATTTCAGAAATGAACCCTTACATTTACGGTCAATTGATTTTTCATGAGGGTGCCAAGACAATTCAGTAGGTGAAAGAATAGTCTTTTCCACAAATGATGCTAGGACAACTACGTATCCACGTGCAAAAGAATGAAATAGGACCCCTACCTCACATCATACATGAAAAATTAATTCATAGTGCTTCAAAGACTTAAATGAAAAAACTAAAACTAAAATTCAGAAGAAAACATAGGCAGAGGCTATGGCTTGGATAAGTATAACGAAAAAGCAAGTGTTGGTGAAGATGTGGAAGAATTAGAACCTTCATATACTGCCTGTAAGTGTGTAAAATGGCACAGCTACTTTGGAAAACAGTCTGGGAGTTCCTTGAATGGTTAAATATAGGTTACCATATGACTTGGGAATTTTAGTCCTGGGAACATACCCTAGAGAAGGGCTGCATCCTTTCTGGAAGCCCTGGTGGAGAATTTGTTCTCTTGCCTTTTCCAGGTACAGATTGTCTGCATGGTTTGGATATTTGGTTTCATCCTTATCTTCAAAGCCAGCAATATAGCATCTTTCTCTGGCTCTGCTTCCATCATATGTCCTTGATTAAATTAGCTGCTGGACTATCTAGTTAGTATGTTTTTTCTAGTTTGCATGTCTCTGAAAGAAAGGCAGCAGCCCCAGTCAGGGGCTTACAGATGAAACTCCCATCTCCCTGGGACAGAGCATGAGGGAAGGGGTAGCTGTGAGCCCAGCATCAGCAGTCTTACAAGTTCCTGCCTGCTGGCTCTGAAGAGAGCAGGTCTCCCAGCACAGTACTCGAGTTCGGCTAACGGACAGACTGCCTCCTCAAGTGGGTCCCTGACCCCTATGCCTGCTGACTAGGAGAGACCTCCAAAAAGGGGTTGACAGATACCTCACACAGGAGAGCTCTGGCTGGCATCAGGCTGGTGCCCCTCTGGGACTAAGCTTCCAGAGGAAGGAGCAGGCAGTGACCTTTGCTGTTCTGCAGCCTCCAGTGGTTATACCCAGGTGAAGAGGGTCTGGAGTGAACCTCCAGCAAAATGCAGCAACTTGCAGAAGAGGGGCCTGACTTTTAGAAGAAACACTAACAGAAAGCAACAACATCAACAAAAGAGCCACACAAAAACCCCATCCAAAGGTGATCAGCCTCAAAGATCAAAGGTAGATAAATCCACGAAGGTGAGGAAAAATGAGCACATAAATGCTGAAAATTCCAAAAACAAGAATGCCTCTTCTCCTCCAAATGATCACAACTCCTCTCCAGTAAGGGCACAAATCTGGACAGAGAATGAGGTTGATAAACTGACAGAAGTAGGCTTCAAAAAGTGAGTAATAACAAACTCCTCTGAGCTAAAGGAACATGTTCTAACCTAATGCAAAGAAGCTAAGAACCTTGATAAAAGGTTACTGGAACTGCTAACTAGAATAATCAGTTTAGAGAAGAACACAAATGACCTGATGGAGCTGAAAAACACAGCACGAGAACTTCATGAAGCATACACAAGTATCAATAGCCGAATAAAGTGGAAGAAAATATATTGGAGATTGAAGATCAATTTACTGAAATAAGGCATGAAGACAAGATTAGAGAAAAAAGATTGAAAAGGAATGAACAAAGCCTCCAAGAAATATGGGACTATGTGAAAAGACCAAACCTACAATTGACTGGTGTATCACAAAGTGATGGGGAGAATGGAACCAAGTTGGAAAACAAATTTGAGGATATTACCCAGGAGAACTTCCCCAACATAGCAAGACAGGCCAACATTCAAATTCAGGAAATACAGAGAACACCACTAAGATAATCACAGAGAAAAGCAAGCCCAAGACACATGTTTATCAGATTTTCCAAGGTTGAAACAAAGGATAAATGTTAAGGGCAGCCAGAAAGTTCGGGTTACCTACAAAGGGAAGCCCATCACACTAACAGCAGATCTCTCTGCAGAAAGCTGGCAAGCCAGAAGAGGGTGGGGGCCAATATTCAACATTCTTAAAGAAAAGAATTTTCAACCCAGAATTTCATATCCAGCCAAACTGAGCTTCATAAGCAAAGGAAAAATAAAATCCTTTCCAGACAAGATAAGCAAATGCTGAGGGATTTTGTCACCACCATGCCTGCCTTACAAGAGCTCCTGAAGGAAGCACTGGGTATGGAAAGGAAAAACCAGTACCAGCAACTGCAAAAACATGCCAAATTGTAAAGACCATCCAAGCTATGAAGAAACTGCATCAACTAATGTACAAAAAACCAGCTAGCATCATGATGACAGGATCAAATTCAAACATAACAATATTAACTTTAAATGTAAATGAGCTAAATGCCCCAATTAAAAGACACAGACTGGCAAATTGAATAAAGAGTCAAGACCCATCAGTGTGCTGTATTCAGGAGACCCATCTCACATGCAAACATACACATAGGCTCAAAATAAAGGGATGGAGGAATATTTACCAAGCAAATGGAAAGAAAAACAAAACAAAACACAACAAAACAGGGATTGCAATCCTTATTTCTTATAAAATAAACCAACAAAGATCAAAAAAGACAAAGAAAGGCATTACATAATAGTAAAGGGATCAATGCAACAAAAGCTAACTATCATAAATATATATGCACCCAATACAGGAGCACCCAGATTCATAAAGCAAGTTCATAGAGACCTACAAAGAGACTTAGACTCCCACACAATAACAGTGGGAGATATTTACACCCCAATGTCAATATTAGATCAACAAGACAGAAAATTAACAAGGATATTCAGGACTTGAACTCAGCTCTGGACCAAGTGGACCTAACCTACATCTACAGAACTCTCCACCACAAATCAACAGAATATACATTCTTCTCAGAGCCACATAGCACTTATTCTAAAATCGACCACATAATTGGAAGTAAAACACTCCTCTGCAAATGCAAAAGAACAGAAATCATAACAAACTGTCTCTCAGGCCACAGTGCAACCAAATTAGAACTCAGGATTAAGAAACTCACTCAAAACCATACAACTACCTGGAAATTGAACAACCTGCTCCTGAATGACTACTGGGTAAATAACGAAATTAAGGCAGAAATAAAGAAGTTCTTTGAAACCAATGAGAACAAAGAGACAATGTACCAGAACCTCTGGAACACAGATAAAGCAGTGTTAAGAGGGAAATTTATAGCACTAAATGCCCACATCAGAAAGCTGGAAAGATCTAAAATTGACACCCTAACATCAAAATTAAAAGAACTAGAGAAGCAAGAGCAAACAAATTCAAAAGCTAGCAGAAGACAAGAAATAAGTAAGATCAGAACTGAAGGAGATAGAGACACAAAAAACCCTTCAAAAAAAGCAATGAATCCCAGAGCTGGTTTTTTGAAAAGATTAACAAAATAGACCACTAGGTAGACTCATAAAGAAGAAGAGAGAGAAGAATGAAATAGACACAATGAAAGTGATAAAGGGGATATCAACACCAATCCTACAGAAATACAAACCAACTTCAGGGAATACTATAAACACCTCTACGCAAATAAACTAGAAAATCTAGAAGAAATAGATAAATTCCTGGACACATATAGCCTCCCAAGACTAAACCAGGAAGAAGTCAAATCCCTGAATAGACCAATAACAGGTTCTGAAACTGAGGCAGTAATTAACAGCCTACCAACCAAAAAAAGCCCAGGACCAGATGGATTCACAGCCGAATTCCACCAGGGGTACAAAGAGGAGGTGGTACCATTCCTTCTGAAACTATTCCAAACAATAGAAAAAGAAGGACTCCTCCCTAACTCATTTTATGAGTCCAGCATCATCCTGATTCCAAAACCTGGCAGAGACACAACAAAAAAAGAAAATTTCAGGCCAATATCCCTGATGAACATCGACGCAAAAATCCTCGATAAAATACTGGCAAACCGAATCCAGCAGCACATCGAACACCTTATCTACCATGATCAAGTCAGCTTCATCCCCAGAATGCAAGGCTGGTTCAACATACACAAATCAATAAACACAATCCATCACATAAACAGAACCAATGACAAAAACCACATGATTATCTCAATAGATGCAGAAAAGGCCTCCAATAAAATTTAACATGCATTTATAACATGTAAGGAAGGGGTCCAGTTTGTTTTCTGTTTCCCTTATACATCCCTTCATGCTAAAAACTCTCAATAAACTAGGTATTGATGGAACATATTTCAAAATAATAAATTGTTATTTATGAAGAACTCATAGCCAATACCATACTGAATTGGCAAAAGCTGGTAGCATTCCCTTTGAAAACCGACACAAGACAAGGATGTTCTCTCTCACCACTCCTATTCTACATAGTATTGGAAGTTCTGGCCAGGGCAATCAGGCAAGAGAAAGAAATAAAGGGTATTCAGATAGGAAGAGAAGAAGTCAAATTGTCTCTATTTGCAGACAACGTGATTGTATATTTAGAAAACCCCATCGTCTCAGCCCCAGAACTCCTTAAGCTGATAAGCAACTTCAGCAACATGTCAGAATACAAAATCAGTGTTCAAAAATCACAAGCATTCCTCTACACCAATAACAGACAGACAGCCAAATCATGAGTGAACTCCCATTCACAATTGCTGCAAAGAGAATAAAATACCTAGGAATACAACTTACAAGGGATACAAAGGACCTCTTCAAGGAGAACCACAAACCACTGCTCAAGGAAATAAGAGAGGACACAAACGAATGAAAAAACATTCCATGCTCATGGATAGGAAGACCCAATATCGTGAAAATGGCCATTCTGCCAAAAGTAATTTATAGATTCAATGCTATTTCCATCCAGCTACCATTGTCTTTCTTTTCAGAATTAATTAGAAAAAACTACTTTAAACTTTATAGGGAACCAAAAAGAAGCTATATAGCCAAGACAATCCTAAGCAAAAAGAACAAAGCTGGAGGCATCACACTACCTGACTTCAAACTATTCCACAAGGCTACAGTAACCAAAACAGGATGGTACTGGTACCAAAACACCACACATCCTCTGTACCAAAACACCACACAACCATCTGATCTTCGACAAACCTGACAAAAACAAGCAATGGGGAAAGGATTCCCTATTTAATAAATGGTGCTGGGAAAACTAGATAGTGCAGAAAACTGAAACTGGAACCCTTCCTTACACCTTATACGAAAATTAACTCAAGATGGACTAAAGACTTAAATATAAAACCCAAAACCATAAAAACCATAGAAGAAAACCTAGGCAATACCATTCAGGACACAGGCATGGGCAAAGACTTCATGACTAAAGCACCCAAAGCAATTGCAACAAAAGGCAAAATTGACAAATGGCATCTAATTAAACTAAAGAGTTTCTGCACAGCAAAATAAACTATCATCAGAGTTAACAGGCAACCTACAGAATGGGAGAAAATTTATACAACTTACCCATCTGACAAAGGTCTAATATCCAGAATCTACAAGGAACTTAAACAAATTTACAAGAAAAAAACAACTCCATCAAAAAGTGGACAAAGGATATGGACAGATACTTCTCAAAAGAAGATATTTACGTGGCCAACAAACATATGAAAAAAAATCTCATCATCACTGGTCATTAGAGAAATGCAAATAAAAACCACAATGAGATACCATCTCACGCCAGTCAAAACGGTGATTATTAAAAAGTCAGGAAACAATAGACACTGGTGAGGCTATGGGGAAATAGAAAAGCTTTTACACTGTTGGTCGGAGTGTAAATTAGTTCAACCATTGTGGAAGACAGTGTGGTGATTCCTCAAGGATCTAGAACCAGAAATACCGTTTGACCCAGCAATCCCATTACTGGGTATATACCCAAAGGCTTATAAATTATTCTATTGTAAAGACACATGCACATGTATGTTTATTGCAGCACTATTTACAATAGCAAAGAATTGGAACCAACCCAAATGCCCATCAATGATAGACTAGAGAAAATGTGTCTTATATACATTATGGAATACTATGCAGCCATAAAAAAGAATGAGTTCATGTCCTTTGCAGGGACATGGATGAAGCTGGAAGCCATCATTTTCAGCAAAGTAACACAGGAACAGAAAACCAAACACTGCATGTTCTCACTCATAAGTGGGAGTTGAACAATGAGAACACATGGATGCATGAGAGAGAGAGGGAGGGAGGAAGGGAGGGATGGCTAGTTGGAACAGTTAGAACATACACAACAGTTTATTAAGTTTGCCATTTTACATGGGGACAGTTTGTGATGCCCCCAAACAATTACAATAGTAATATCAAAGATCACTGATCACAGATCACCATAACAAATCTATTAATAATTTAAAAGTTTGAAATATTGCAAGAATTCCCAAAATATGACACAGAGACATGAGGTAAGCACATGCTATTGGGAAAATGGTGCTGATAGACTTGCTCAACTCAGGCTTACACAAACTTTCAATTTGTAAAAAATGCAATATCTGCGAAGCTCAATCAAGTGAAGCACAAACAAATGAGATATGCCTGCATTTCCCTTTTAACCCAAGAGCTGTCGAATAGGAGGGGTTTTTTTTTTAATTTTAAATTTCCAGGTAGAAGTGCCTTTTTGGTTTTTAATATCTAGCTTTACTGTGTTGTCTTTAGAAAATGAGTAATATTTTAACTTTTTGGAACTTATCAATATTCTCTTTGTGTCCTCACATATGAGCACTTTTCAGGAATGTTCATGAGTACTTTAAAAAGAAGGTATATTCTCTATCACCACAGAGTGATGTTTAATACATACACAAAAGATGTATCTTATGCATTATGCTGTAGATCTTTTGTATCTTTACTTAATTTTGCCCATCTGAACTGTCCCAACAGGATCTATTTTGTACTGAGAATGGTTTCTTGTTCTCTTGTTGTTTCTATTTCTCCTTAATCTCCTGTAGTTTGTTTTATATAGGTAATTGGTGTGTGATTTGTTGCATACATATTCATAATTGCTACATCACCATCTTGAAATGTGACTTTTAGTGTTATAAAATTCCTTTGTCTCATGTAATGCTTTTTCACTTGAAATTCTACTTTATCCGCTATCAGAATCTCAATCTTCTTTCTTATTTTTTCCCTTTGCCTGGTAAATCTTCCACCTTTATTTTCTGATTTTTGAATAACTACATCTTAGATGAGTCTCTTCTATACACCATAGAGTTGTGTTTTACTTTGTATGCACACTTGAATAGACAAATTAAGCCCATTCATTTATTTTTGTGCCTGATAAGTGTGGTCTTAATTCTCCTATATGCTTTGTTACACTTTCTATGTGTGATGTGTTATATTTATTGTGTTTCTTTCTATATTAGATGTGTTCTCTTTGCCTACATTTTCTTGGAGTATTTAGGAAGGTTTGCATTTTTATTCTTTTGGTTACCTTAATGTCAGTATTTTTGTAATGTCCTAATTCTCTCTTTTTATCACTTAGTCTGTTACTATCTTCTAATAGGTATTCTTTGACATCCATTATGTCTATAGCAATCTATAATCATATGCTACTTTCTCCTCTGTCTCCCTCCTCTTCCCATTGGGTCTTATTCTACTTTTCCAGAACATCAAAATAAGCCTACTAAACAAGGAACTGATTTCATTAACAAGTATGGATTTTTATATCCATAATCCCATCCTTATTTTAGCTTTGGCACTACAATTAAATACAGGGAATGCTCACCATAAGTCCTTTTGCCAAAGTTTTCTTGATCATCTTTTATTTGGATGCAGCTCATCCACTAGTACAGGGGTGGGCAAACTTTTTCAACAGCTGAACTGATAGTAAATATTTTAGGCTTTGCGGAAATCTTTTGAAATTACTCAGTTCTGCTACTGTAGTGCAAAAACAGACGTAGACATTACATCAATGAATTGGTGTGGCTATGTGCCAGTAAAATTTTATTTAGATAAATAGGCATCAGGCCAGTTTGAGGACCACCACTTTACTAGGTTTCTTAGGAAGAGCACCTGTCTCCTGTATTACCCAAGTTCTCGCACATTCAGAACTGTTTTTCTATAGCCTTGATACTTGAAGGATGCCTGGCTGAATGATTTTTCTAGTTTATATTTTCTTTCCTTAAGTTTCTTGAGAATGCTATTCCACTGTTACCATTAAAAATCATCTTGTCTTTTTGCTTGCAGGCCCTGAAGATTTCTTCTTTATCTTTAAAGTCTAATCATGTTATTAGGTCTAGTATGCAGGCTCCAGTGAGCCCATCCTCCTGATATTCATGCCTTTGTTTAATTACCTTTCCTCAAGTGTGGGCTGGAGCAGTGACTCACTTCTAAAAAAATAGAATATGACAAAAATGAGATGTCACTTCCAAGATTAGGTTACGAAAACACTCTGGCTTCCACAGTCTTCACCCTCGCTTGCTCTCTTGCTTGAACACTTTGATGATATCCATTTGTTATGCTATGAGCTAACACACATTGAAGCCTACTAGACAAGGAATTGATAACATTAACAAGTGGAGTTTTGAAGCAACAATATAAAGTCCTCCCTCAATTGAACCTTCAAGTGAGGCCACAGCCGTGACTGGTAAGTTAGCTGCAGCTTCTTCACAAGAGACTTTTAGGCAGAGGCACCTAGCTAAGATGCTCCTGGATTCCTGACCCATAGAAATTGAGTTGACAGGTGTTTGCTATTTTAAGCTGCTAAATTTGGAGGTAATTTGTTACACAGTTGTATCTACATAATTATAGATAACACAATCATTATCTACACAGTTGTAGATAACAATTATACAAGGATCCTCAAAGTTGACCATCCCAGGTTAATTTTGAGGGCACCCAGTTGGTCCTTTCTTTCTGGTGGTAAAATACACATAACAGAAAATTTACCACCTCAACCCTCTTTAATTATACAGCTCAGTCATGTTACAAACATTCACACTGTTGCACAACCAATCTCCAGAACCCTTTTCTTCTTGCAAACATGAAACTCAGTACTCATTAAACAACTCCCATTTTTCCCCTTCCCCCCAGAACCTGGCAACCACCATTTTATTTTCTGTCTCTACAAAATTAGCTACTCTTAAGTATTTCATATAAGTGGGATCACACAGTATTTGTCTTTTTGTGACTGGCTGATTTCACTTAACATAATGTTCACAGGCTTCATCCATGTTACAGCATGTGTTAGAATTTCATTTCTTTTTAAGGCTGAATAATATTTCATTATATGTAGACACCACATTTTGTTTAGACATTCATCTATTTTTAGCTATTGTAAATAATGCTATTACGAACAAATTGGCCTTTCTTCCTTCTTTTCTTCTCTTCTCCTTTTCTTCTCTCCTCTCTCTCTATCGTCTCCTTTCTATTTTGAGCCTGTCTGGAGTGCAGTGATCCCATCATAGCTCACTGCAGCCTCAAACTCCTGAAGGGATCCTCCCACCTCAGCCTCACAAGTAGTTAGGACTAGAGACATACACCACTGCGCTTGGTTAATTTTTTTTTAAGTTTTTTTGTAGAGATGGGGTCTTGCTATGTTGCCCAGAATGTTCTCAAACCCCTGGCCTCAAGGGATCTTCCCACCTCAGACTCCCAAAGTGCTGGGATTGAAGGCATGAGCCACCTCACCCAGCCTGATTGGTCTTTTTAATGGGTACATGCCAGGAGGCGGGGGGGCAGGGGGAGGGATATCTTTCTTTACCTCATTTTCTGTCTCTTGGGTTTTTCCCTGGTTTTTAATATCTTTTATTGAAATTTAATTTGAATTTATTCTTCCTTGGGCACCTTGCAATTGAATCTTTGTTTCTAATATGATTTTACAGTTTTATTGTGTTCCTGAGTTTAATATTCCCTTGAATATTAAGTGAAAAGAGGCATTGTCATTTTTTTCTGCAGGATCCTTAATTTCCCCCTCATATTTTTTTCCCTTTACTGCCACATCTCTAAGAAGTACTTTCCCTACACTATATTGCTGAGACTTCCCCAGAAGCAATATTTCCTTCCTGCACACTTTCAAGCCACTTTCCTCTAGCCAGTGCTATGAATTAGTAAGCCTTGACTTGGATTCAGTATTTTGCATTGGACTTTCTCTTTCTGGAGGTGGCATTTTTCTGTTCTCTGCACCCCTCTACTCTTTTTTTTGAGTCTCTTAAGTTTCCTCTCTCCTGCTTTCGATACCCACAGGCTTGCAGTGGAGGATGGACAGCAGGAGCTTTTTTTTTTTTTTTTTTTTTTGAGACGGAGTCTCGCTCAGTCACCCAGGCTGGAGTGCAGTGGTGGGATCTCGGCTCACTGCAAGCTCCGCCTCCCGGGTTCAGGCCATTCTGCCGCCTCAGCCTCCTGAGTAGCTGGGACTACAGGCGCCCGCCACTATACCCGGCTAATTTTTTTGTATTTTTAGTACAGACGGGGTTTCACCGTGTTAGCCAGCATGGTCTCAATCTCCTGACCTCGTGATCCGCCCGTCTTGGCCTCCCAAAATGCTGGGATTACAGGCGTGAGCCACCACGCCCGGCCGAGTTTTTGGTTTTGTTTTGTTTTGTTGAGACACGGTCTCTCTGTGTCACCCAGGCTAGACTGCGGTGGCATTGTATCATCATAGCTCACTGGAGCCTTGACTGCCTGGGCTCAAGTTATCCTCACTCCTCAGTTTCCTGAGTAGCTGGGACTATAGGAATACACTACAATGCCTGGCTATTTTTTTAATTATTTGTGGAGATGAGGTCTTGCTATGTTTCCCAGGCTGGTCTTGAACTCCTGGGCTCAAGTGATCTTCCTGCCTCAGCCTCCCAAAGTGCTGGGATTACAGGTGTGAGCCACTGCACCTAGCCAGGAGCTCTGTTGATATTTGGTTTTCTTTTTCTTTTTCTTTTTTTTAAGAGACAAAGTCTCACTCTGTCCCCCAGGCTTGAGTACAGTGGTGCTGTCATACTCATTGCAGCCTTGAACTCCTCTCCAGTTTTCAACTAAGCATCAACTCCTATTCGTAGATCTCCTGCCCATCTCTCTCCTCAAAGGCCCCTATCTTCAGCCAACTGGCTATTCAACCTCTTCACTTGGATGTTTCAAAGGCTCTTATTCCCAAAACTCTGCAATCCCAAGCTAAATTCATGCTATTATGTCTCCCAAATCTTGGATTCCTCCAGTTTTTCCTATTTTATCCCATTCATTTAGGTATATAAATCAAAATCTTGGGAGCCATTCCTCTCCAACCTCAATTACATCATGCTTCCCCAACGTCCAAGATTCTCACACCCTCCTAATTCTCCTCCTAAAGAGCCCTCAAATCCATCACTTCCCTCTGTGCCCACCACCTTGTTTAAGCAACTGGAAGTACATTCAGTTACTCAAGGCAGAAACCTGGGAACATTTGTTACCCATTTCTTTCCCTCACTACCACATTGAATCTACCATCAAGTCCTGCTGGCTCGTCTTTCGAAATATCTCATTCTATCAACTTCTATTTCCACTGCTACCAGGCTGGCCCAGGCCACTGTCATCTCCCCCTGAGTGTCCTCTTGCTTAAAGGTATATTCTGCTCTTCCGACAAGGTAAATCAAACATGCCACTCACATCTTTAAAGACCCTTCCATGGCTTCCCATAGTACTAGGATAAAATCCACACTCCCCACATGACTTGCCTGGCCTTGCTTAAATCATCTTGTCCCTGCCTGTTTTTTAGATTTTATCTCCCCATCACCCAGCAGTGCCCTCGGTGCTCCAACTATACCTGATTTATTGCTATTTCTCAAACAAACCTAGTTCTTTCCAAACTAGGATGTTTCTCTTTGCTGTTCTCAGATATTGGAATCTCCTTCCTGGAAGTCTTTATGTCACTCATTCCTTCTCATACTGAACATCCTGTGAAACGGAGGTTGTTTCATTATTCTTTATCATAATACTCTCTTTATTTCCATTCAGATTCATCTCATGGTCTGTAATGTTTTTCGTGTGTGTTGGTTTGCATACTTATTTTTTGTTTTCTGTAAATCTCCTGCTATCAGGTGGAAGTGTAGGTGCTATGGGTGCATCTAGGCAAGGCATTTACACCATTTCTTGAGGAGACAGAAAGCTGCCTAGAGGAAGTGGTGCTATTTTGCCTGAGATCTAAAGGATCCTATTCCAGAAAAGGGTGTGGAGTGGCTCATAAGAAGGGACTTTTTGGGAAGTCACAACAGTAGACAGAGAGTTTTGAGAAAGCACAGCACTTTCACATGGTTTCCTGTGGCTGACATGTAAATTTGAAGGCTGGGCGCAGTGGCTCACGCACGTAATCTCAGCACTTTGGGAGGCCAAGGTGGGAGAATTGCTTGAGCCCAGGAGTTTGAGACCAGCCAGGGCAACATAGCAAGACCCTGTCTCTATAAAAAAAAATTAAAAATTGAAAAAAAAGGGGATTTCCAGCAAGATGTCTGAACAGGAACAGCTCCAGTCTGCAGCTCCCAGCAAGATTGACACAGAAGATGGGCAATTTCTGCATTTCCAACTGAGGTAACTGGTTCATCTCATTGGGACTGGTTGGACAGTGGGTACAGCCCATGGAGGGCAAGCCAAAGCAGGACAGGGCATCGCCTCACCTGGGAAGCACAAGGGGTCACGGGATTTCCCTTTCCTAGCAAACGGAAGCCATGAGAGACTGTACTGGGAAGAACAGTACACTCCTGCCCAGATACTGCATTTTTCCCATGGTCTTCACAACTGGCAGACCAGGAGATTCCCTCCGGTGCCTGGCTCAGCAGGTCCCATGCCCACGGAGCCCAGCAAGCTAAGATCCATTAGCTTGAAATTCTCGCTGCTAGCGCAGCAGTCTGAGATCGACCCAGGACAATTGAGCTTGGCAGGGGGAGGGGCGTCCACCATTGCTGAGGCTTGAGTAGGCGGTTTTATGCTCACAGTGTAAACAAAGCTGCAGGGAAGTTCGAACTGGGCGGGGCCCACCGCAGTTCAGCAAGGCCGACTGCCTCTCTACATTCCACCTCTGTGGGCAGGACATCTCTGAACAAAAGGCAGCAGTCCCAGTTAGGGACTTATAGATAAATCCCCCATCTCCCTGGGACAGAGCACCTGGGCAAAGGGGCAGCTGTGGGCACAGCTTCAGCAGACTTAAACATCCCTGCCTGACAGCTCTGAAGAGAGTAGTGGTTCTCCCAGCACAGCGTCCGAGCTCTGATAACAGATAGACTGCCTCCTCAAGTGGGTCCCTGACCCCCATGTAGCGTGACTGGGAGACATCTCCCAGTAGGGGCCGCCAGACACTCCATACAGGAAAGCTGTGGCTGGCATGTGGCGGGTGCCCCTCTGGGATGAAGCTTCCAGAGGAAGGATCAGGCAGCAATATTTGCTGTTCTGCTGCCTCCACTGGTGATACCCAGGCAAACCTGAGTCTGGAGTGGACCTCCAGCAAACTCCAGCAGACCTGCAGCTGAGGTGCCTGACTGTTAGAAGGAAAACTAACAAACAGAAAGGAATAGCATCAACAAAAGGGATGTCCACACCAAAACCCCATCCGTAGGTAACCAACATCAAAGACCAAAGGTAGATAAAACCACAAAGATGGGGAGAAACAAGTGCAGAAAGGCTGAAAATTCCAAAAACCAGAATGCCTCTTCTCCTCCAAAGGATCACAATCCCTCACCAGCAAGGGAACAAAACTGGACAGAGAATGAGTTTGACGAATTGACAGAAGTAGGCTTCAGAAGTGGGTAAGAACAAACTCCTCCGAGCTAAAGGAGCATGTTCTAACCTAATGAAAGGAAGCTAAGAACCTTGAAAAAAGGTTAAACGAATTGCTAACTAGAATAACCAGTGTAGACAAGAACATAAATGACCCGGTGGAGCTGAAAAATGCACCATGAGAACTTCGTGAAGCATACACAAGCTTCAATAGCCAAATCAATCAAGCAGAAGAAAGGATATCAGTGACTGAAGATCAACTTAATGAAATAAAGCAAGAAGACAAGATTAGAGAAAAAAAGAGTGAAAAGAAACAAACAAAGTCTCCAAGAAGTATGGGACTATGTGAAAAGACCAAATCTACATTTGATTGGTGTACCTGAAAGTGACAGGAGAATGGAACCAAGTTGGAAAACACTCCTCAGGATATTATCCAGGAAAACTCCCCCAACCTAGCAAGGCAGGCCAACATTCAAATTCAGGAAATACAGAGAACACCAGTAAGATATTCCTCGAGAACAACAACCCCAAGACACATAATCATCAGATTCACCAAGGTTGAAATGAAGGAAAAATGTTAAGGGCAGCCAGAGAGAAAGGTCGGGTTACCCACAAAGGAAAGCACATCAGACTAACAGTGGATCTCTCAGCAGAAACCCTACAAGCCAGAATAGAGTGGGGGCCAATATTCAACATTCTTAAAGAATTTTCAACCCAGAATTTCATATCCAGCCAAACTAAGCTTCATAGGTGAAGGAGAAATAAATTCCTTTACAGACAAGCAAACGCTGAGAGATTTTATCACCAACCAGGCCTGCTTTACAAGAGCTCCTGAAAGAAGCACTAAACATGGAAAGGAACGACTGGGACAAGCCACTGCAAAAACATGCCAAAGTGTAAAGACCATCAGCACTATAAAGAAACTGCATCAACTAACGGGCAAAATAACCAGCTAACATCATAATGACAGGATCAAATTCACACATAACAATATTAATCTTAAACGTAAATGGGCTAAATACCCCAATTAAAAGACACAGACTGGCAAATTGGATAAAGAGTCTAGACCCATCAGTGTGCTGTATTCAGGAGAACGATCTCATGTGCAAAGACACACATAGGCTGAAAATAAAGGGATGGAGGAAGATCTACCAAGCAAATGGAAAACAAAAAAAAGCAGGGGTTGCAATCCTAGTCTCTGATAAAACGGACTTTAAACCAACAAAGATCAAAAGAGACAAAGAAGGGCATTACAAAATGGTAAAGGGATCAATGGAACAAGAAGAGCTAACTATCCTAAATATATATGCACCCAATACAGGAGCACCCAGGTTCATAAAGCAAGTTCTTAGAGACCTACAAAGAGACTTAGACTCCCACACAATAATAGTGGAAGACTTTAACACCCCAATGTCAGCATTAGACAGATCAGTGAGACAGAAAATTACCAAATATATCTAGGACTTGAACTCAGCTCTGGACCAAGCAGACCTAATAGACATCTACAGAACTCTCCACCCCAAATCAACAGAATATACATTCTTCTCAGCACCACATCACACTTATTCTAAAATCGGCCACATAATTGGAAGTAAAACACTCCTCAGCAAATGTAAAAGAACAGAAATCACAACAAACTGTCTCTCAGACCACAGTGCAATCAAATTAGAACTCAGGATTAAGAAACTCCCTCAAAACCGCACAGCTACATGGAAACTGAACAACCTGCTCCTGAATGACTACTGGGTAAATAACAAGATGAAGGAGAAATAAAGATGTTCTTTAAGACCAATGAGACATGGCACATGTATACATATGTAACAAACCTGCACATTGTGCACATGTACCGTAGAACTTAAAGTATAATTAAAAAAACAATAATAAATAAAACAAAGATAAAACCAATGAGAACAAAGACACAACATACCAGAATCTCTGGGACACATTTCAATCAGTGTGTAGAGGAAATTTATAGCACTAAGTGCCCACAAAAGAAAGCAGGAAAGAGCTAAAATCGACATCCTAACATCACGACTAAAAGAACTAGAGAAGCAAGAGCAAACAAATTCAAAAGCTAGCAGAAGACAAGAAATAACTAAGATCAGATTAGACCTGAAACAGATAGAGACACAAAAATCCCTGCAAAAAAATCAATGAATCCAGGAGCTGATTTTTTGAAAAGATTAACAAAATAGACCGCTAGCAAGACTAATAAAGAAAAGAGAGAAGAATCAAATCAATGCAATAAAAAATGATAAAGGGGATATCACCACCGATCCCACAGAAATATAAACTACCATCAGAAAATACTATAAACACCTCTATGCAAATAAACTAGAAAATCTAGAAGAAATGGATAAATTCCTGGACACATACACCCTCCCAAAACTAAACCGGGAAGAAGTCAAATCTCTGAATACACCAATAACAGGCTCTGAAATTGAGGCAATAATTAATAGCCTGCCAACAAAAAAAAGCCCAGGACCAGATGGATTCACAGCTGAATTCTGCCAGAGGTACAAAGAGGAGCTGGTACCATTCCTTCTGAAACTATTCCAAACAACAGAAAAAGAGGGAATCCTCCCTAACTCATTTTATGAGGTCAGCATCATCCTGATTCCAAAACCTGGCAGAGACACAACAAAAAAAGAAAATTTTAGGCCAACATCCCTGATGAACATTGATGTGAAAATCCTCAGTAAAATACTGGCAAACCGAATCCAGCAGCACATCAAAAAGCTTCTCCACCATAATCAAGTCAGCTTCATCCCTGGGATGCAAGGCTGGTTCAACATATGCAAATCAATAAGCATAATCCATCACATAAACTGAACCAGTGACAAAAACCACATGATTATCTCAATAGATGCAGAAAAGGCCTTTGGCAAAATTCAACAGCCCTTCATGCTAAAAGCTCTCAATAAACTAGGTATTAATGGAATATATCTCAAAATAATAAGAGCTATTTATGATAAACCCACAGCCAATATCATACTAAATGGGCAAAAACTGGAAGCATTCCCTTTGAACACTGGCACAAGACAAGGATACCCTCTCTCACCACTCCTATTCAACATAGTATTGGAAGTTCTGGCCAAGGCAGTCAGACGAGAGAAAGAAATAAAGGGTATTCAGTTAGGAAAAGAGGAAGTCAAATTGTCTCTGTTTGCAGATGACATGATTGTATATTTAGAAAACCCCAATGGCTCAGCCCAAAATCTCCTTAAGCTGAT